>NC_000019.10:35990874-36615874 GCF_000001405.40 Homo sapiens
AAGGAGGAAGAAGAAGGAAGAAGAAGAAAAGAAATTTGAGCCCTAGGCATTTATCTTTGCCAACTGCCTGCAGCACAGACCTGCCCACCCCAAGGCCATTACAGCATCTGTGCACAGACCTATGATTTGGGGTGTGTCCTGCCTGCCAACCCCGCTCACTGTTCCTCCCGATGCTATGAGAGCTATGAACGTGGCCTCACCATTGATGGCACAGACTGTGTGTCCCAGGACCACTGTGGCTGCTTCCACAATGAATGCTACCTTCTGGTGAGAGGGATCTCCAGGCCTGGAAGGTGAGGACAAGTCTCCCAAACCTCATCATAAGATGTTCCCTGAATCACCAGTATATCAGTCAGCATTTTCAGTTGTAAATGACAGAAAATGATGCCAGCTGTCTTAAATACAGACGAGAATTTGTCTGCTTTTACTTATCTGTAAAGATGAGGCCTTCAGGTCTGGCTGGTTCAAGGACTCAAATGATGTTGCTAAGAACTTAGTTTCTTTCCATCTTTCATCCTCGCCTTTTCCTTTTTCTGCGTTAGCTTCTATAGTAATTAGGCTCCAGGTCCATATGGTAGAACAAAAGCTCAAAATTACAGTGGCTTAAGCTTTTTGTTTGTTTTTAGAGAGAGGGTCTCACTCTGTCACCCAGGCTGGAATGCAGTGGCGTGATCATAGCTCACTACAGCCTTGACCTCCTGGACTCAAGCAATCCCGACACCTCAGCCTCCCAAGTAGCTAGGACTACAGTTATGTGCCACCATGCCTGGCCAATTTTTTTTTTTTTTTTTTTTTTTTTTTTTTTTGTAGAGACAAGGTCTTGTTGTGTTGTCCCGGCTGGTCCTGAACTCCTGGGTGCAAGCAATCCTCCCAACCTCAGCCTCCCAATGTGCTAGGATTACAGGCGTGAGCAATACGCTCAGCCTACAGTGGCTTAAACTTGATAGAAGCTTAATTATCTCTCACAGGCAGTCCAAGTATAACCAGTTTGCTTCCTCCAACACAGGCTCCATCTGTCACGTGGCTCTGCCTCCCCTGTGGTATTGCCCTCATCTCTTCCTCACCGCAGCTACATTCCTGCAAGTTGGAAGGAGAAAAGAGGGCACAAAGAGGCCAGGCCTCCTCCCTTTAAGGACAAAACCCAGAAATTGCACACATCACATCCATTCACTTCCCAGTGGCCAAACTTTATGGAAGGGCCCCATCTGGCTGCAAAGGGGGCTGGAAGATGTATCTTTAGCTAAGTGGCCATGTGTGCAGCTAAAGATTCTAATTTGGCCAAGTGCGGTGGCTCATGCCTGTAATTCCAGCACTCTGGGAAGCCGAGGTGGGAGGATCACTTGAGCCTAGGAATTTGAGAACAACCTGGGCAACATGGTGAAACCTTGTTTTTATAAGAAATACAAAAATTAGCCAGGCATGGTGGTGAGCGCCTATAGTTCTAGGCCACTGAGGTGGGAAGATCACTTGATCCTGGGAATTTGAGGCTTCAGTGAGTCACAAGCATGCCCCTGCACTCCAGCCTGGGCAACAGAGCAAGACCCTATCTCAAAAAAAAAAAAAAAAAAGGAAAAGACAAAGAAAAAAGGCCAGGCATGGTGGCTCACACCTGTAATCCCAGTACTTTGGGAGGCCGAAGCAGGCGGATCACTTGAGGTCAGGAGTTCTAGACTAGCCTGGCCAATATGGCGAAAACTCGTCTCTACTAAAAATACAAAAATTAGCCGGATGTGGTGGCGCATCCCTGTAGTCCCAGCTACTCAGAAGGCCGAGGCAGGAGAATCGCTTGAACCCGGGAGGCAGAGGTTGCAGTGAATGGAGATCACGCCACTGCACTCCAGCCTGGGTGACAGAGCGAGATTCCATATCAAAAAAAAAAATGCTAATTCTAGGAAAGAAATGGAGAATGGGTATCTGAGACTGCCACAGCCTCATTTTCAAACTACCCCTCTGCCTGCGGGAAGTGATCTCCCACTGCTCCAGGTTGATGATGTACAGTCTAGCAGTCCCAGTGGGGAGACAGCACTTCTTTCTTCACAGTTTCAACAGAAGTCCCGGGTCTGATTCTCATTGTCCCAGTGGAGGTCATTTGCCCATCCCTAAACAATTACAGGGGTCAGGGGATGGGATATTCTGATTTGTCTCTAAGTAGCCAGGCCTGGGCATGTAACAGAGCTGTAGCCAGAGCCAGAGGGCAGGGATATTACCCAGGAAATCCCCTAGAATAAGAGTGGGCCAGTTCCCCAAAGACAAACTGAGAGACTGTAACCAGAAAACCATTGACAGGCCCTGGGCAGGAGGCAATAGTATTCCCTTTGAGGTTTTGCAGCTCCTTGAGTCCACTGGAAAGTAAAGAAAGTCCCCCTAGGCTGATTGACATAGTTGTCTTGGAGATTAAGGGTCATTTGACAGGAAAAAGATAGATGTTTAAATTCCAGAGTACAAGCCAGCATGGTGGCTCATCCCTATTATCCCAGCTACTTGGGAGGATGAGGCCGGAGTTCAAGACCAATCTGGGCCACATAGCAAGACCCTGTCTCTAAAAACAAAACAAAAAATAAATATTTAAAATTCCAGAGTGAAGCCTGGGCAACACAGCGAGACTCTGTCTCTACAAAAAACAATAAAAGAAGAATTAGCCGGGTGTGGTGGGATGTTCACGTAATCCTAACCACTGGACATGTTGAGGCGAGAGGATTGCTTGATCCCAGGAGATCAAGGCTGTAGTTTCACCAATATGGTGAAACCCCGCCTCTACTAAAAATACAAAAATTAGCCCAGTGTGCTGGCACATACCTGTAATTCCAGCTACTGGGGAGGCTGAGGTAGGGAGAATCACTTGAACCTAGAGGCAGAAGTTTCACCATGTGGATCAGGCTGGTGTCGATCTCCCGACCTCAGGTGGTCCGCCCGCCTCGGCCTCCAAAAGTGCTGGAATTACAGGTGTGAGCCACCGTTCTAGGACATGTATTTTTGATAGATACATACACCTGCCAGGCAGGATTCACAGTGGTTTGTGATTCTCCCCTGACTCCAAGACTCCAAGCCTAATCCCCGCCCCTGACCAGCTTCTCCTCTCTGAAGGGGAATGGACCCCCCAGCTGGTTGCCGGCCCAAGTGTGCAGAGCCGCGGTTGCGCGCTGGGTGGAGGGGTCCCCCAAGCTCCGGTGCTGGTGGGGCCCGAGGATGCTGTGTCCTTGCGGGCCTCCCTAGCGCTACGAGGACACCTCCAGGCGGCCCGCGGGGACAACAACGGCATTGCGGCCTACCACCTAAAGCTCCTGGGAGGACAACGGGGTTGCAGTCTAGTCGACTGTTCAGGGTGTCCCGGACTCCGGGCTTTAACAGTCGGTAAGGACCCAAACACCGCTGTCCACTGCCCCGACTCCCACCCGCAGAGGGCGCGACCAACCCAGCTCCTAGAGCCACACGCTGCCTCTGGGGGCTTGGCGCCCACACTCTCTCTGCTTGTCTTCCCCTGGCCCGAGAAGCCTGTCCAACCGGCCGAGAGCCATTTCCCTACGGGGTCTCGTCCCTCTGCACGTGCCCAGGGCTGGGACCCCAGACACAGACCTGCCCCGGACGAGGGAACGCACGGAGCTTCCCAAGATGGTTTGAATCAGTAACTGACGGCAAAAGCACGCTTGTGCCCGGCGTCTCTCCCAGTGCCCCGTGCCCTTGGGACCCAAAGTCCGAACCGGTAGCCGGGCGCGGTGGCTCACGCCTGGAATCCCAACACTTTGGGAGGCTGAGAATCGTTTGAGCCCAGGAGTTCGAGCCATTCTGGGCAACATAGGGAGACCCATCTCTGCAAATAATAATAATAATAAATAAATAAATAAATAAATAAATAAATAAATAAATAGCGGGCGCGGTTGCGCGCGTCTGTGGTTCCAGCTACTAGGGGAGTTGAGGTGGGAGGATCGCTTGGGCCCAGGAGTTCGAGGCTGCAGTGAGCCAAGATCGCGCCACTGCACTCCAGCCTGGGCGACAGCGAGACCCCGTCACACACAAAAAAACCCCTAGCTTCCTCTTCTCCCAGAATGCAGGAGTTAGGTGAGGACCCTCTGTTCCCTCCAACCCAAGACCTAGGAGTCCGAACACATAACGCCCTCCAGGCGGTGCCAGGATCCCCAGAACTGCTGTCCCCTCAAGAACACACGTCCCCTACGTGGGAGGCCGCGACCAGCGACTCCGCCCACTTCTCCCAGCCGGCTGTTACGTAACTGCAACGACAGCCAGTCAGACGCGGCAGCGCCGGATGGCGGGAGGCGGGAGTTGGAGGCCAAGGGAAGCGCTGGGCGGAAGTGGCTGTGGCTTTGCCCTTTGGCCTTTGCTGGCTGTGTGGCGGCTCCGCGGTTCGCAGGTCGTTCGCTGAGCGTCTCTGCTTAGCCGCGGTCATGAGCCGGCACAGCCGGCTGCAGAGGCAGGTTCTGAGCCTGTACCGCGATCTGCTGCGCGCCGGGCGTGGGAAGCCGGGCGCCGAGGCGCGAGTGCGGGCAGAGTTCCGGCAGCATGCGGGCCTGCCGCGGTCCGACGTGCTGCGCATCGAGTACCTGTACCGCCGCGGGCGGCGCCAGCTGCAGCTGCTACGCTCGGGCCACGCCACCGCCATGGGCGCCTTCGTACGCCCGCGGGCCCCGACCGGGGAGCCTGGCGGCGTGGGTTGCCAGCCTGACGACGGCGACAGTCCAAGGAACCCCCACGACAGCACGGGGGCACCGGAGACCCGCCCCGACGGACGGTGACAGGCGAAGAGCCGAACTCGCTCGATGGCGTGGTGGAGCCAGGAGGCTCGCCTGACTGCATGGGGGGACTGGGGAACCCGCCTAAGGTGAGAGGTCTTAAGAGACTAGCTTGACGAATTGGGGATGTCAGAGACTCCTCCTTGGCGACGCAGGGGGCCTAGAGAGCCCCGTGATGGACGGCAAGGGAGGCCCGCCTTTTCCGATGCTTGGAGACAGGTCGGTGCTCCTCCCCCATGAGGGCTTGGGGCGGCCTGGGACGCTGGCGGGCTGGACAGTGTCAAGCCAAGAGCTACTTGCCCGAAGGTACGGGGAGCCAGGACGACCCCCGGTGGACAGGGAGAGCCTGAGACGCCCTTCTCTTGACCCCTGAGAACATACCCACTTCTGGCTCCTCAAGGAGTCTCCCCTCTCCTGTATTTAACTCTGAGAAGTGCAGACTTTTTGCTGAGAACGTTTTGGGAAGGTGCCCTGATGAGCGGTGAGAAGCCCGGAATCCCCTTCTGGAAAACTTTCCCCCATTAATTGTGACAAGCCAGGACCATGAGGAAGGGGTAGGGGTCTATCACCCTGGTTGATCAACTGAAGACCCCCAAAGGCCCCTACTTGATGGTTTTGAGGGGCAACATTGACTCATTTGCCCCTTCCCTCTCGGAATGTTGGACAAAGGGAATAAAATTGGGGATATGTCTACTTCCCTGTTGGTGGTCTTAAAGCTTTTATATATTTCAGGATTTTTGAAACACCCCCAGCCCCCCTGCCACCACACACACACGCACACAGACACCTGGAAGGGACCATCTGGGAGGTGATAGGTGTGGGGATCTGACTCCTTCCGGAGCCCTGTAGACTGGCACATTGATTGAAGCGGCATAGTTTTCTCCCCTGGGCAGATCTGTGGAGGGGGCTCATCCTGGCTTAACCCCCAAAGATACCCCAGTTGGCTCCCTAATGGAGGGCAAGTGATTTAACATCTTTGTGTGGAAGAGGAAATGGTGGAGCTGAGAACTGGCTCGGAGCCCCTGAGGCAGTAGTGAGGGTCTCAGACCTGGAAATTTCTCAAACCTGGCTGAAGGGTCCAGCCTCAGCTACAGTGAACGACAAGGCCCTGGGGCAGGAGAGGGGAGATGAACCCCATAGATCACAGATATACTCCCTCCGGTGTCCCCATATGGGCCTGCCCTAGACATTCTGTGGAGGGATGCATTTTGCATCGCTGAGCTATATTTGCACCCATATCAGTTAAATAAGTGGAAATGAGTTCTTGTGGATGTAGCTGTGGGTAGGAGGACCACAGGTAAGGAGCATAGACCTCAGACCAAAGGGAGGATGGACGGAAGAGAAACAGTCACTGCCCTAATCCCGGTGGGGGAGCCACATTCCCAAATGGTTATAAAGTGGAATTGCAGTTTGAAGAATTAATTGCCGGGATAGGCTTCTAGGCAAGAAGACCAAGGCTGGGCGCAGTGGCTCACTCCTGTAATCCCAGCACTTTTGGAGGCCAAGATGGGCGGATCACGAGGTCAGGAGTTCCAGACCAGCCTGGCCAATATGGTGAAACCCCGTCTCTACTAAAAATACAAAAATTAGCCAGGCGTGGTGGTGGGCACCTGTAATCCCAGCTACTCAGGAGGCTAAGGCAGGAGAATCGCTTGAACCCTGGAGGCAGAGGTTGCAATGAGCCAAGATCACGCCACTGCACTCCAGCCTGGGCGACAGAGCGAAACTACGTCTCAAAAAAAAAAAAAGACCAGTGTGGGGAAAGGCCTGGAGGGGGCAAAGGGAAGAAATGCAGGGTCTCAGGATCTCAGCTGGGGCCCGGAGTGCCCCAGGCACAAGGCTGTGGGTTTACTTGATTGTGGCTTCTACTTCTGCTTTGTCTCAGGTTTGTCCTCACCATGGGACTTCAGCCACCTCATTCATCTCTCTCAGCCTCAATTTCTTCCATCAGGGTGATCATGTTAGTCATCTCCTGGCTCCATCTCAAAAGCCAAAGACCAGTGGGGTCCTACTCATCCAGCCCCCCAATTACATCTTCAGCTGCATCTCCTGCCACCCCCTCACTCCTGGCTCCATGATCTTGAGCCCTGACAAGCCCCAGGATTGGAGCTCCTGGCAGGGCTGCAGGCAGGGATCGAGTTTTCAATGGGGTCTGGCATCCTGGGTCAGGAGAGAAGTCACATTAACCTGGGTGTTAACAGATGAATGAGATTTTCCCGGTAGAGAGGATGGAGGAATGCCTGATTTGAGGGAGGAGCTGTGCAGATGAATAGTGGCTAAGAGCACGGACCCGGGAATGGGAAGGCAGGGTTTGAATCCCAGCTCCCATACTTACTGATTATGTGATCACAGGCGAGTGATTTAACTTTTTTTTTTTTTTTTTGAGACAGGGTCTCTGTCACCCAGGCTGGAGTACAGTGGCACAGCTCACTGCAGCCTCGACTTCCCGGGCTCAAGTGATCCTTCCACTTCAGCCTTCTGAGTAGCTGGGACTACAGGCGTGCACCACCACACCCAGATAATATTTTTATTGTTTATTTTATTTTATTTATTTATTTTTGAGACAGAGTTTTGCTCTTGTTGCCCAGGCTGGAGTGCAATGGTGCGCTCAGCTCACCACAACCTCCGCTTCCCAGGTTCAAGCCATTCTCCTGCCTCAGCCTCCTGATTACCTGGGATTACAGGCATATGCCACCATGCCTGGCTAATTTTTGTATTTTTAGTTAAGATGGGGTTTCACCATGTTGACCAGGCTGGTCTTGAACTCCTGACCTCAGGTGATCTGTCCACCTCGGCTTCCCAGAGTGCTGGGATTACAGGTGTGAGCCAGCGTGCCTGGCCTATTCTTTATTTTTCGGAGACAGGGTCTCACTGTGTTGCCCAGGCTGGTCTCAAACTCTTGAGCTGAAGCGGTCCTCCCACCTCAGCCTCCCAAAGTGCTGAGATCACAGTCATGAGCCACCATGCCCAGCCTGATTTAACCTTTTTGCCTGAATGCCCTTATCAGTGAAATGGGCTTAATAAGAGCCTCCCTGATGTGGCCATTATGATGGTACAGTGAATTAAATGCCTGTTGTGAGGCCAGGCGCAGTGGCTCACGCCTATAATCCCAGCACTTTGGGAGGCTGAGGTGGGCAGATCACCTGAGGTCAGGAGTTCAAGACCAGCCTGACCAGCATGGAGAAACCCTGTCTCTACTAAAAAATATAAAATTAGCCAGGCATAGTGGTACATGCCTGTAAGCCCAGCTACTCAGGAGGCTGAGGCAGGAGAATTGCTTGAACCCGGGAGGCAGAGGTTGCGGTGAGCCAAGATCGTGCCATTGTACTCCAGTCTGGGCAACGAGAGTGAGACTCCATCTCAAAAAAAAAAACAAACCCTGTTGTGACAGCAGATGATGAGGCCTGACCCCCACCCATGGCCCTCCTGCCCTCTTGGGTTCACTTGCAACTGTAGAAGCAGGTTCTCAGGAGGCTGCAGCCTCCTCCCCTGAGCCCCTGCATCTCTGTTGCTCTGCCTGAGGGCTTCCTGGGAGTCCTGGAAGGTGGGTTAATGTGCTCAGAGGCAACCCTCAGCCTGTAGGGGGCAGCAGTCACTGGATGAGCGCCCTGGCCCACCTCTCATCTGGTGGGACAACATGTGTTCTGCAGGGTTCCTCAGGGGCACCCATGGAATGGAGCCCCAGTTGCCCACAGTGGTGTCCACTCCATGAGCACCTTTTTTGGCTTTTCCCCTGCCCTGTCTCTTCCCCACTCCCGCTTCCTGGGATCACATCCCAGATAAATCATCACCCGAGTCCTTGGCTCCAAGGATGCTTATGTGTCAAGCATGGAACAGTGCCCAGTTCTCTGCTGATCCTCTGTGTGCATCTGCTGCTCTGTTTTTTGTTTGTTTTTGAGACAGAGTCTCACTCTGTTGCCCAGGCTGGAGTGCAGTGGCGCAATCTTGGCTCACTGCAACCTCCGCTTCCCAGGTTCAAGCACTCCTCCTGCCTCAGCCGCCCCCCGCCCCCAACCCCGCTCGCCACGAGTAGCTGGGATTATAGGTACCTGCCACCATACCCGGCTATTTTGTTTTGTTTTGTTTTGTATTTTTAGTAGACACGGGGTTTCACCATGTTGGCCAGGCTGGTCTCAAACTCTTGAAGTGATCTGCCCACCCCGGCCTCCCAGAGTGCTGGGATTATATGTGTGAAGCACCGCGCCTGGGCTGCTGTTCTGTATTTTACTCTGCTAAGGCACAGGGTCAATGTTTCTCAATCCCTTGACCCATCTGTTAAACAAGAAATCCCCTGATCTAAGAAAATGGCTATAAAAGACATACAGGGATTAGAGTAATTTAGACTACAGAGTGAGTTAAAAATAGAACTGGGTTGTTAAATTTTCTGATTTTGATAACTACTAGAATTGTGTGAGAAAATGGCCTTGTTCTTAAGACATACACACTGAAGAATGTAGGAGTAAAAAGGCCTCGTGTCTGCAACTTACTCTCAAATGGTTCCAAAACATATGCACTGATATAAATATATTAGCAAGGGTATGGATGGTAAATCACAAGGAGCAAAGTGTTAACCACTTTGAATCTGGGTAAGGGCATATGGGAGTTTGTTCTAGTTTTAAAAGGTTTCCCAACACTTGGGGAGGTTGAGGTGGGCCGATCACTTAAGCCCAGGAGTTTGAGACCAGCCTGGGCAACACAGGGCTTGAGCTGCCATGCTCGGCCTAAATTTTAAAATTGAAGTATTTTAAATGTAAATGTAATGTGAAAGTATTTTGAATGTAAAATATTTTTTGTTACACAACTTCATTGTTTTAGTAGGACTGTATTGCATTTTACCTGTTAAAAATTTGGCATCTGAATTAAGATGTGCTGTAAGTGTGAAATACACACTAGATTTCAAAGACTTAGTAAGAAAAACAGATTGTAAAAGATCTCATTATTTTTATATTGACTACATATTGAAGTGATAATATTTTAGACATGTCAGGTTAAATAGAATATAAGTTAAATTATTAAAATTAATCCATTTTTACTGTTTTAATGTGACTGCTAGAAAATTTGTAACTACATCTGTGGCTCACATTCTATTCTTTTTTTTCTTTTTTCTTTTTTTGAGACAGTCTCATTCTGTCACCCAGGCTGGAGTGCAGTGGCGTGATCTTGGCTCACTGCAACCTCTGCCTCCTGGGTTGAAGTGATCTTCCTGCCTTAGCCTCCCGAGTAGCTAAGATTAACAGGCACCTGCCACCATGCCCAGCTAATTTTTGTATCTTTAGTAGAGACGGAGTTTCATCATGTTGACCAGGCTGGTCTTGAACCCCTGTCCTCAAGTGATCCGCCTGCCTTGGCCTCCCAAAGTGCTGGGATTACAGGCGTGATCCACCACCCCAGCCTCACATTCGATTTCCACTGGACAGCACTATTCTAGGAGTTCCCATGGCCTGTTTCCTCACTACAATCTGCTCTCATGGCAAAATTTTAACATAGTGGCTCCATTCTACTGACTCCCTGATGCCTTCTTCAACCACATTGTTTGAGTTGTGCCCCCTTCCTCTTGCTCACTTTTTCTCCTCAGCACTTACCACCCTGTGACCCACTACAATTTCACTTATTTCTTTTAGTTATTGTCAATTTCCCCAAGTAGAATATCAGCTCCAGAGGCATCGTCTTGTTCACTGTCGTGTCTCTGCTCCTTGACCAGGACCTGACACATAGCAGACAGTCAATATTTGTTAAATGAACGAATGACACAGATATGCTCCATTACCGAGCCTGTTGGGTCAATATTGCCAAGACTGCACCCCCTATTTGCTGGTGATCTCAGGGGGACCATGCCTCTTTGGTTGATGCCAGAGTCTCAGCCTGGCCTTTGAAACAGGACAAATCCGGTTTGCATCCTGACTTTTCCCTGAACCTGGAGTCTCTCCCAGAATCTGCAGCTTCCCCCACCCCATCAGTGTCTGTTCCCCTCTTCTAGTAGCAACAACTTGATACTCTTTGGAGACCCACGCTTCTGCCATTTTCAGTCCACATGGTTTAGGTGGGGCTGACCGCAGCCCCCAGCAAAGGTGGAGCATGTGACGGAAGCCAGAGGAGCCAACCTTGGGACTTTGGTTGGAACTACAAAGGAACAGTGACTCTACTATTGGCTGCTAAATTGGTGGGGTGTGTGTCACAGTGGAGGGAGGCTTAGCATGACTGACTCCATTTTGCCCCTGACACCCTGCAGTAACATCCTTTAGGTTAAAAGCTTCTGCTTAGTTTTGTGTGTAGATCAGCTAATTACAGGAGGAATTTAGTTTATAGCTCAATTTTAGAAAAAATAGCAGTCCCTTTCCCAAAACTAACCACCCCACCAAGAGATCAGGAAACTGTACACACAAGTAACAATGTTATACTAGAGATTTACAAGAATATTGTGACCTGACCTACATCATCAAAGAAGTTTTCTTCTGGACTCTTGCTGGCGACCAGATGTCTGCAGTCATTGGTCACCTAACCTCAACCCCCTTCCCTTAGCATAAAAAGAAACCTAAAATTTATACTAAGTTGAGATGGTTCTTTTTTTTTTTTTTTGAGACAGAGTCTCACTCTGTCACCCAGGCTGGAGTGCAGTGGCGCAATCTTGGCTCACTGCAAGCTCCGCCTCCCGGGCTCACGCCATTCTCCTGCCTCAGCCTCCCAAGTAGCTGGGACTACAGGTGCCCGCCACCACGCCCGGCTAATTTTTTGTATTTTTCATAGAGACGAGGTTTCACCGTGTTAGCCAGGATGGTCTCAATCTCCTGACCGCATGATCCGCCCACCTCAGCCTCCTAAAGTGCTGGGATTACAGGCGTGAGTCACCGCGCCCGGCCGAGATGGTTCTTTAGGACACTAGTCTGCCATCTTCTTGGTTTGCTGTCTCTCCAAATGAAGTTGCTTGCTTTTTTTTTTTGCTTTTTTTTTTTTTTTTTTTTTGAGACGGAGTCTTGCTCTCCCCCAGGCTGGAGTGCAGTGACACGATCTCGGCTCACTGTACCCTCCACCTCCCAGGTTCAAAAGATTTGTAAAAATACAAACGTTAGCCAGGTGTGGTGGCGCATGCCTGTGGTACTAGCTACTTGGGAGGCTGAGGCCAGAGAATCAATTGAACCCAGGAGGCAGAGGTTGCAGTGAGCCGAGATCGTGCCACTGCACTCAAGCCTGGGCAACAGCGAGACCCTGTCTCAAAAAAAAAAAAAAAACTAGCCTGGCATAGTGGCACACGCCTATAATCCCAGCTACTCTGGAGTGTAAGGCAGGAGAATCGCTTGAATCCTGGAGGCAGAGTTTGCAGTGAGCTGAGATTGTGCCATTGCACTCCAGCCTAGGGAAGAGTGAGACTCTATCTCAAAAAAAAAAAAAGCCACAACTTCTTTGTCCCTAGGGTACAACCAGCAATGGGATGACACCCCAGGTGCCCAGTGCAGCAACCAGTAACTCACCCAGTATTGGCTTTCTCCCTTCCTGAGCTCACGTCCTGGCTCCCCTGCCACGCCTAAATAAAGAACTGGTGCTTGACTCTTTGTGTCAGGGTCTGGGGCAGCCCCACCCAAGATGGGCTGATGCAGTTCTGTATTCTGTTCTCAAGGCAAAAGGGTCCATCCAGACATATCCAGGCCACATCCTAGATTCCGGGTATGAAGGCACCTAGTATCTTCACACATCCTTTGACAGTGACCATTTATTACACACATCAGACTGGGGGAAGACCATTGACATAGCTGAGCACCAGGTAGGGTGTCCTGGGTATTCGGGCATGAGAGCAGCAGGGGCCTCCTGACGCGGGCAGGAGAAACATGGCACCCACCAGGAGGAGGAAGAGGAGGAAGAGGATAAGGAGGAAGGTCAGAGGCTGCCTGGATGCAGGATCGGGGGCCCTGTGAAGGGAAATGCAGTGTTAAACATACAGGTGGGCTGCTGCTAGGAGCTCTGTCCCCCACACCCTAGTCCCATCTCTCAGGCACCTCACCCTGGATTCCCCTCCAGCCTCACATCCTGGAGATGAGGAGATGCTTGCCTCTTCTTGTCCTAAGGAGGGAGAGCAGCCAGCAGCAGAATGGATAGAAATGATGCTTTATTTGTTTATTTATTTTGAGACGGAGTCTCACTCTTGGCACCCACGCTGGACTGCAATGGCTCAATCTCAGCTCACTGCAACCTCAGCCTCCCGGGTTCAAGCAATTCTCCTGCCTCAGCCTCCCGAGCAGCTGGGACTACAGGTGCCACCATGCCCAGCTCATTTTTGTATTTTTAGTAGAGATGGAGTTTCACCATGTTGGCCAGGCTGGTCCCAAACTCCTGACCTCAAGTGATCCGCCCACCTCAGCCTCCCAAACTGCTGGGATTACAGGCATGAGCCACCACACCTGGCCGACACATTATTTTTTGAGACAGGGTCTCAGTCACCCAGGCTGGAGTGCAGTTTCACAATCACGACTCATGGCAGCCCCAACCTCCTGGGCTCAGGTGATCCTCTTACCTCAGCCTCCCTAATAGCTGGGACCACAGGCACATGCCACTGCAACCATTTACTTTTGTTTAATGATTTGTAGAGATGGGGGGAGGGGGCAGGTCTCACCATGTTGCTCAGGCTGGTCTTGAACTCCTGGCCTTAAGCAATCCTCCTGCCTTGACCTCCCAAAGTGTTGGGATCACAGGCGTGAACCACGGTGCCCAGCCACAAGTGACACTTTGTGTCACCTTTACCCTACTACGATAGACCTACAAAGCTGGTCTTATTTCTTCTCCTTTCCTGGCACCTCCTTATCCCCAGGACCCCACACAGACTTGGAATATCTCCAAGTGTAGTGGATGTCTGGTTGTGTCTGTCCTTTATCCAATACAATCCCCCTTTTTCTGATAACAGTGCCTTAATTGGAGGTGGGCGGCTGTCATGCCTTCCACTCCCAGACCTTCAGGTTCAAGTGAAGCTGACAGCCACCTCCCCAACTTCCATGATTGGTGTGACCCAGACCTGGCCAATCTGAGCACTCTGGTTTATTCAAGGTGCAGCCCATGACCCCATCCGGTAAGTGGGAGTCAGCCCTGGGACTTTGGCAGCTGTCAGTAGGGTCGGAGGCATGCTCCTTCCCCTGGGGTGGGTAAACCAGTGGGAGTGGCAGTGTAGCCACTGGAGCACCCATTTTGCTAAGAAGGAAGCCACCTTGGGGACTTAGAGCCCAAGAAAGGGAGGGACTGAGCCCTGATGTTATTTCTTTCTTTCTTTTTTTTTTTTTTTTTTTTTTTTTTGTTGAGATGGGGTCTCACTATGTTGCTCAGACTGGAGTGCAGTGGTGGGATCTCGGCTCACCGCAACCTCCGCCTCCCGGGCTCAAGCGATTCTCCTCCTGAGTAGCTGGGATTACAGGCATGCGCCACCACACCTGGCTAATTTTTGTAGTTTTAGTAGAGACGGGGTTTCACCATTTTGGCCAGGCTGGTCTCGTACTCCTGACCTCAGGTAATCCACCCACCTCAGCCTCCCAAAGTGCTGGGATTACAGGCGTGAGCCACTGCGCCTGGCCTGGCCCTGGTATTACTTCAGGCTCTGAATTCAACAGTGCCTGGACCTTTCCATTACTTTTTTTTTTTTTAATAGCATTCCCTTTCTTGTGCCTTTTGATTTCTTGGGTTTCTGTCACTTGCCATCAAGATTCCTGAGTGCTACACCTGGTTGAGAACTGGCTCACCTGAGGCTTCCGGAGCAGGGAGTGTCTTTGGTGACGTGCTAAGCGTTTCTGGTGGCCGAGGCCAGACTCCAGCATGTCCTGTCGGGAGTGAGAGGTGTCTGCTTCCTGGAGAACCAGCAACAAAGAAAAACGTGGTTGGGGGAGGGCCAGGATAGGGATGTCATAGAGATGAGATTCTGGGGGAGCAGAGAGATCTCACAGGACAGACAAAGGCAGAGCCAAAGAAACCAAGAGAGGAGAGAATTATTTATTCATTCATTCAATAAATGTGTAATGAGTTTCTGTTACAAGCCAGGAACTGTTCTAGGAGCTGAGGACACAGTGGGGATGGAAATAGGCAAATTCCTGGCCTCCGTGGAGCTTATATTTGACAGGAGAGAGACCATAAATTAATAAGTAAATGAGGCCTGGTACAGTGGCTTATGCCTGTAATCCCAGCACTTTGGGAGGCCAAGGCAGGCGGATCACCTGAGGTCAGGCGTTCGAGACTAGCCTGGCCAACATGATGAAACCCCATCTCTACTAAAAATACAAAAATTAGCCAGGAATGGTGGTGCACACCTGTAATCCCAGCTACTCGGGAGGCCGAGGTAGGAGAATCTCTTGAACCTGGGAGGCAGAGTTTGCAGTGAGCCAGGATTGCACCACTACACTCCAGCCTGGGTGACAGAGTGAGACTCCATCTCAAAAAATAAATAAAAATTTTTAAAAATAAGTAAATGTACAAAGTCAAGCTGTGGTGAGTGCTGTTAGGAAATAAAGTAAGAAGATAGGAGTGCTCATGTTTGGAGGTCACGACAGGCCTCCCTGAAGAGGTGGCACTTCAGGAGAGACTGGGACAGTCAGGAGGTGAGTGGGGCATCATCTGGGGGCCTCAGGATAGGAGTGAATTTGAGATGGGGCTTGAGGATGTAGACAGAGACAGACGAGAGAGAGAAACAGTGAGATAGAAGGAGACACCGAGAGACAGAGATAGAGGGGGAGACAGAGCCACTGACACCTCCTTGGAAGGGCAGGATCTTGCTAGAAGGTGCGCAGAGATGTCCCCAGGGTGCCTGGCAGAAGGTCCCTCAAGGGGGTCTGCTCTCACCTCAAGGCCTTGTCCCCTGCCCTGGGGCCCCCTCTGGCCACACAGCTCACAGGGCACTCCTAGTGTCCGGGCTGTCTTTTGTCCCAAGGGCCCAAGGCCCCCAATGTCCCCCGCCGGATCCCACTCCAACTCTGTGGAAGTGGGGAGGCTACTGGGTGCCCAGGGCCCCCAGACCCCACCAGGTCCTGGCCAGTCCGAGTCTCCCTCGACCTCCAAGTCCTGGTCCAGCGTGTTGGCCTCCTCGAACACCTGGGTCAAAGGACAGAGGTCATGGAGGCTATGAGGTTGGGGCCTGGGTTGGGTGGGGGGTATCAAGATGGGCCCTACCAGGCTGTAGCTGACCAGCTGGGCCTGCAGCTGCCAGAGCCGCCGGAAGATGGAGTCTCGGTAAGCTCCCAGGGCCCGCAGGATCTGCTCCAGGGCTGCCCAGGCCCTGGGCTCACTCCGCTGTGCCAGCCCCTCACCAAACGCTAGCAGCGCCTCCACACGCTCAGCTGCCCCTCGTAGGTCCACCTGGAGGGCCTGGGGACATATGGACATCACCCCACGCACACACCAGGGACCCAAAACCTGGAGTTACCCCCCTCCCCCATTTCCTATCCAAAGGCCTGGAACATGCACTCAACCCATTTCCCATCCCGGAAAGCTGGCACCCACTGCTGGGGCCGTGCCCACCCCCACATCCTGGCCTCTCCTGCCTACCTGCAGCTGCACCATCCCACTCTGGGCCAATGCCCAGTGCCCCAGGCCTTGCTCCAGGTCCTGCAGCCGGCGGCCCAGCCCCAGCAGGCACAGGTGCAGGCTGTTCTGCTCAGCCTCTAGTACCTCCAGGCCAGAAATGGGGTGCTGGGGAACACAGGAGCCAGGTCAGGGCCAGTGGGCCAATCAAGATATCACCCCTGCTCCCATCCCCACCCCTCTTCTGTAAGCTTCTGGAAACTTCTCTGTGGCACAGTCCATCTCCGGGTCTGTCTGCACCAGGATGGCTCCCACTGGGGGGGCCTTCCCAGTGGAGCCAGGCCTGAGGACAGATATCTAGTTCAAGGTCTCCAGGTTTTCAAAGCTCCTGGAAACTTGGATGTGTGAGGCCTGGGGGGTCTGGACAGGGAGCGGGGCTGGGTACCCCCCAAGAAGAATGGGGCTACACCAGGAGCAATGATGAAATGCTTCTCAGCCGGGCGCAGTGGTTCACATCTGTAATCCCAGCACTTTGGGAGGCCGAGGCCCGAGGATCACTTGAGCCCAGGAGTTCAAGACCAGCCTGGGCAACATGGTGAGACATCATCTCTACTTTTTTTTTTTTAATAAAAAAGAAATATGGCTGGACACGGTGACGCACGCCTGTAATCCCAGCACTTCGGGAGGCTGAGGTGGGTGGATCACCTGAGGTCGGGAGTTCGAGACTAGCCTGGCCAACAAGTCGAAAACCCATCTCTACTAAAAATACAAAAAATTAGCCAGGTATGGTGGCATGTGCCTGTAATCCCAGCTACTCGGGTGGCTGAGGCAGGAGAATCACTGGGACCTGGGAGGCGGAGGTTGCAGTGAGCAGAGATCTCACCACTGCATTCCAGCCTAGGTGACAGAGAGACTCCATCTCAAAAAAAAAAAGAAAGAAAGAAATACGTCTCCCCAGTTGGTCAGATATTGAAACACTTTTCCAGAAGGTCCCTCCCCCTACAGACACCCAACACCTTTCCAGAATCATCACCCGGTCCTCAGTATGGAGGCCAGACTCCAGGGGACAGAGAGGAGGTGGGGCTGGCACAAGGGGTCTGGGTCACCTCAGCTCACCTCACAGTGTTTGCCCCCAGCTGGGTCCTCGTAGGAAGAGGGTGTTGACCATCTCGGGGGGTGAGCGGCAGGCTCATTGCCCCTTGGCCCACCCTGGAAGTGCTCAGGAGGGCCCAAGGAGTCCTGTCCCAGGGTCTGGGCCTGCTCTGGGCTAGGAGGCAGGGGGCGGTGACTGGGTGAGTCTCGACACCTCACTTTTCAGCCTACCGTCACCCCAACCCTGGTGGCCTCTCCTATGTCCCCAGGCGATCACAGCCATGGCACCTCCTACCCTCACATGGCCCCTGCCACCACGCCTACCCTTTTGGGAACAAGCTTCCAAAGCCCCGGCCCCCACCTCGTGCTCTCCTCTCCGGACGCGGGGCAGACGGTGCATCCAACAATGTCCGCCTCTCTAGGTGCTCCCGGTGGGTGGTTGAGGGGCTCTGAGCCAAGTCTAGGGCCCAGAGGCAGGGACAGGGCCATGGCTGGGGGCCTGGGGACACAAAGTCAGGTGAGGGCAGCCAGTAAGACCTCTTCCCTAGACAAGGGTGTCCCAGAGCTCCTCCGCTGGAGTCACCCGGGCCTGAGGCTGCAGGAGAGGCCCAGGACAGGTCTGGCTCCGCCCCTTCCAAGAGGAACCTGGACCCGGCCATTTGATGCCCAGCTCAGGTGACAGAAGAGTCACTTAACTCCTTCCTCCCTAGCAGGCCAGTAGCTAAATCTCCCAGCATCACTCCACGCCATCCAAGAGGGTTCCAGATAGAACCCCTGCGCCACCTCCTCAAGAGCCCTGGATTCTGCCCCACTGGGAACCCAGAAATCGGACCTCCAGGGCCTACCCCATTCATTTAAGACCCTAGATGCCGCTCCCCTCAGGAAACCAAGCATCTGGCCCCTAAAAAATAAAAATATAAAACCAAGGAAAGATTTTTTTGTTTATTTGGTATGGGGTCTTCTGTAGCTCACACAAAATTATTGGGAAAATAAATAACCCAGGGGAGCCCCCTTTGCCCACGGTTCCTAGGTCGCGGAGTCACAGCAGCCCCAAAGGGGCAGGAACCTGGGAATCCGAGGGGTCCCGGCCCTGGCGGTCACTTGCCCAGCAGGAGGCCGGCGCGCAGCACGCGGGGCACGCGGCGGATGGTCAGCGAGACCCGGGTGCCGCGCACCAGGCAGGCTCCCGGCCGCGCCGACGGGCAGGCTGCCGCATTGGGCGGCGAGGAGGCGGCGTCCAGCGCGTCTACGCGGGCGGCGGCGATGCCGTGGAGAAGACGCGTGTAGGCGGGGCCGCGGAGCACCAGCAGGCTGCGCGGTTCCAGCAGTAGCGAGGTGGTGGGCCGGGGCGGAGGCCGAGGCTGCAGGGCGGGTTGAGGGTCAGCAGGGCTCAAGAAGTCGGGGGGTGGGGGTGGGCGAGAGGTCGGTAGCCTCCGGGGATCAGCTAGTCCCCAGGGGCAAAAGCTGAAGAGCAAGTGTGCTCACAATGATGGAGGCTTTGGTGGTTCAGGAGTGAAAATTGCTGGGGCCTGGGCTGGGGCTGCTGGAAAGGGAGGGCGAGGGCTCTGCCGTCCCTCGGGAGGGGGCAGGATCTAGGTGGCAGATGGGGGCGTCAAAGGGTCAGCGGCCGGTGGGAGCTGCAGCTGGGATCTCAAAGGGGCTGAGGCTGGGGCTGGGACCCAGGAATAGGCAGTCCCCAGGAAATACAGGCAGAGCTGGGCTGAGAGAGCATGGCTGAAGCCAGGACCAGGTGAGGAGAGAGTGAGGCAGAGGTTAGAGGCAGTGGGGGTTCCCAAGGACATCAGGACATTAGAGGACAACCGCACAGCTGAGGGAGTGTCAGAGCATCCAGGAGCATGCAGGGCTCGAGGGCAAGCCTCAAGGAGTGGGTCGGCGTGTTCAGGGGCGTTTCTGTGAACACTGGGGTGCTAGAAATGCATCACTCAGAGAAATTGTGTCAAGGGGTCAAGGAGAATCTGGGGGTGTCCTGCACCCCAAATCACATTCCTGGAGTAGCAGGACGTCTGGGGCACCCTGAGCAGGGGCAGATAGAGCATCTGGGAGGAGGTGAGGCCCCCCGAGTTAATGGCGGTGGGGTATCTAAGGATATCAGTGTCTGCTGGGGAGTCAGGGGTATCCATTCAGCAGGTTGGGGCATCGGGGAGCCTGTGAAAATCATGGCATGTGGGACAGACACCCTGTAAGCAGATGGGTTGGGTGTCTGGGAGGAAGTGGGTACACCCCATGAGGGGACAAGGGAAGGTATCTGGGAGAGTGCCAGGAGTACCCCGAAGGCATGTGGGACCAGGTCATCTTGGAGGATGTGCGAGGTTGAAGTGCCTACAAGCAGCTGGGGCAGTGTCTGGGGGCCCACCTGTTCTGTAGGGTCATCGTCCTCTGGCCGCCGCGGCTCGTAGAAGTCCAGCACGGTGTGGGAGCCCAGGCTGATGGTGCTGACAGTCGGGTAGTACAGTGGTCCGTCCTCGTGGGGCTAGGGAGTGGGCACCAGGGCTGGGCAGGGCAGGAGTCCACAACCCCCACCCTCTGGGTCAAAGGGGGGCTTCCCAAGCCAGGGACAGGGAGGTGAATGCCTGTTTGGGAGATGTGGCTGCCTAATGAGTGAGGGTGGGTACAGAGTCCCCTGCCCCAGCACAGCTCAGAAGTCTGAGTGGGGGGACACGGGCCGAGGGTGTGTGGTTACCATGATGCCCTCCCCAGGCAGATACTGGTTCACGAGGACATGGTTAGCTGGGAGGCCTCCAAAGAGGCTGAGGTTTGACACTTTGTCCACGTAGCGCTGGAGCCATGGGGGCAGCCGCTCAGGAACCATCCCTCGGGGATGAGGAAGCCCACCTGGGGAAGGCAATGGGGTCCTGAGGGCCCCCCTATAGCAATAGATCCCCCATTAGGGATTCCACAGTGGCTGGAAGCACCCTGATCCTCTCAGGGACCCCTGACCGTTTGGAGATAGCCACTGGGTCCTTCAGAGGTTTCCTCACTTCTCCAGACCACAGGTCCCTTTCAGATACTCCCAACTCATCAGGAAATCCCTAATCCCTCAGGACCTCCACTGACCCCTTCAGAATCCTCCTGGCTCTTGGGGCCCCTTGAGCTGTCAGGGACCCTCTGATGTCTTAAGTCTATTGGACCTGAGTCCCCTGCCCCAGCCTACATCCCAGAATCACTCCTGCCCCCAGCCAGGGATACTTACCCCAGTTCTGTAACTTTCTCCCAGAGAGCTGGGTCCACTTTGGCTTTGGGGCATTAAAAACCTAAGAGGTGGGAAGGGGGTCACTCCTTTCTCAGGATCACCCCTCTATGATCCTCCCACCTAGACCAACATAGGGGCCTTTACCTCCGGGATGGAAATGGGTCATCTGTGTCTGTGGGACCATTCCCTGGGGCGGTGGGTTCCTAGGATTTTGTGGTTTGCCTTTTTTCCTGGGAACGCCTTTGGCCCCAAAGCCCACCTGTGTCTACCAGGATTTAGGAATCAGGGCTGCACAACCGTGGTCTGAGAGTTGTGGGTCTCACAATCTACTCAGAGTTCTGGGGCTGGACAGGGCTCTTTCAGCCCAGCAAATAGTCTGCATTCTAATTTCCTGATTCCGTGCCAAACCTGGTTGCTCATGCCTGTAATCCCAGCACTTTGGGAGGCCGAGGCGGGCAGATCACTTGAGGTCAGGAGCTCGAGACCAGCCTGGCCAACATGGGGAAACCCCGTCTCTACTAAAAATACAAAACTTAGCTGGGCATGGTGGCATGCACCTGTAATCCCAGCTACTTGGGAGGATGAGACAGGAGAATCGCTTGAACCTGGGAGGCGGTGTGGTGTCACACGCCTGCAATCCAAGCTACTCAGGAGACTGAAACACAAGAATCAGTTGAACCCAGGAGGCGGAGGCTACAGTGAACCGAGATCACGCCACTGCAGTCCAGCCTGGGCGACAGAGCAAGATTGTCTCAAAAAACAAACAAACAAAAATTCCTGATTCCTGGGCTCTCTGAGGACAGTTTGAGTTCTGCAACCGACTTGTTCCTATTGCCTGGGGGAGGGAGTATGCAAAGCTGGGCTATCTCAGCACAGCAAAGAAAGTACTTTGAAAATCTTCCACTGCCAAGATCCTAATGATCTAGAATGGGCTATCTCAGTCCAACAAGTCTAGCTCTAGTTGATAATCTACTCATTCCCTTCATGGTTATGGAGCTGTACTGGGCTATTTCAGCCCAGGAATTCTATAATATGTAGATTTTTCAATGCCAAGAACGCAAAGGTCTGGAATGGGCTATCTCAGCAAAAAAGTCTGTGTTCTGTAGCTAATTTTTTCCTGGACTCAAGATCAGTGGGTTACTCCAACACAGGGAAGATCTGTGCTCTGTAACTTAGGCACTGGGGCTGCAAAGGGCAGGAACTCTGAGCTTTGAAAATTCTTCTTTCCCCAAACCTTAAGAACAGAATGCAGACTGGGCCATCTCAGCGTAGATGGTCTGTATTTGGTAACCTTATTGTGCTCTGGGTCTATGCTGGGCTATTTTAGCACAGGAAAGAGTTTACTGGGCTATCTCAGCACAGAAATCTGAATACAAAATTCTTTACTCCCCAGTCTCAATGATCTGAACTGGGCTATCTCAGCCTATGTTTATAACCCCCTATTCTCTAAGCTAGCAGGATTGGGCTATCTCAGTAGAGGGAGTATGAGCTCTGTAACTTCCTTGTTCCTTCTGTCGGGGTCTTCACTGCAGCCTTGGGGGCTCTCATACAGAGGATGGACATTGGGGAGGAATATGGGAAGAGTGGGAAAACAGACCAGTAGGGCACTGAGGTCACCTGTCGAAGCAAATACTCCTCCTCTTCTTTGGAGATGAAGTCAGGGACATAGTAGATTACAGGTGGTGCCTAGGATAGAAAGACCCCCTGAAGGTGTGGCCCTTCAACCCACACAGAGGACATATCATCACAGAGCAACCCCTATGCCTGGAGACAGGCTCAGGATGTCCTCAGACAGGTCAGGGTCTAAAGTCAAGGGACCAGTGCCATTCCAGAATGGACTCTGACAGTAAGAATGAATTTGGTGGAAGGGGGCAGTCCCAACCCAAGAACTCAGGAATCAGCCTGCCTCCTTCACCCTCTGCACCCTGAGTTCTGACAACCTGCTCCACTCTGAACGGTTCCAGGGCTGGGACTCTGGCGTCCTGCTCCTCCATCAACACCAACTCCTTGCACCCAATCCTGTAGGGAGGGGAGGACATACTGAAGTCACTAGGCCTCCCGCCCTAACACCATGATGCAGCATTCCACCCCATCACAGGCCAGGCCTCACCTCAGCCCTCTTCTGAAACGCACTTGGTCTCTAAAATCTGAGTCTTCAGCATCTTACAAGCCACACAGAGAGCCCCTACGTTCCATGCCCGGACACAATGAGCCCCAAGAATAATCCCCCATTACTCTGTCCACTAAGGGCCCATCCAACTACACATATGCCTTCTCAATCCTCCCACAGAGAACATTCTCTGGCCCCACACACAGGGAGCCTTTCTCAAAAGCTCTACACATAGCCCCCAGGGCTGCACTCCAGAGCCCCTTTAAACACCTTGAGACCCCGCTTCAGACCTGCAACTGTGAGCCCGGCTATCAACACTCAGCGACCCCCGCCCCCCACCGAATCCCATTCTGTGCACTCCTGTGACCCCAATCTGAGCCTCCTCAGACATGTCCACCCTCAGCCTCCTCGGATCCCCCCATTTGGACGCCCCTCGGATTTCCCCTCCTGAGCGCCCCTTCACTCCAGCACCCTGAGATCTTTAGCTCTGAGGCTGACTCCCAAATCTTCTTCCCTCCCTGAACCATTCAGATCCCCGACTCCGAGCCTTTTAGGACTCCAAGCTCTGAGCCTCCTCGGACTCCTACTCTGGGCTCCCCCGGATCCCCACTTTCAGCCCTATTGACATCCATCTCTACCCCCAGCACTCCCCAAAACTGACCGTCCACCAGCGTCCCCTCCAATTTCCAAATTCAACATCCCCATCCCCCTCCCAGCCATTTCCGCCCCACATTACAGACGCAGAGTCCGCAGGCCAATGGGAGCTCCCAGAGGCTTCAAGGGCCCGCCTTCCACCCAATCGGCGCTCTCACTCAGTATTCGCCCGCCCCCTTCATGCTCGCCTAAGGATAGGCCGCGCCTCCTGGCCTCTGAGCCATTGGCAGGAGGGCGTGGGCGGGGCATCGTCGTCTGGCACTGGCCACTCAGAACTTAGGAACTGAACCTGGCCATTGGCGGAGTGGACCCCGATGGGTGGGACGGGGGCGGCAGCCGTGACAGCCGCGGGAAGACATGAGAGGCTGCTAGAAGGACTTCCCGCGGCCAGCGCCATCACCTGCCCACGCCGCAGGGAGGTGAGACTGAAGGAAGCACTTCCTTTCCCGTCTTCTCCCAGCAAGGGAAACCCCCAATGACCCGACACAGAGAGGCCATAGAAACGTCTTTATTGAAGAGGACAGGAGTCATGCTGAGTTTGGGGACATGCAGTGAAGGGGCAGTCGTGAGCTGTCCTTGGTGGTCGGGGCCCCAGGTCCGCCCTGGACCCCCTGGGCCTTCAGGTTCTCCCTCGAGCTGTTGGTCTGGCCCAGGTGCTGTGGGGTCCTTTGAGGCCAGTGACTAGAACGTAGATTGAAATCGGGGTTCCAGGATTTGAGATCCCCTCAGGGCCTTGGGGCCTTCCATTTATTAGAGATGGAGGCTTTAGGATTTGGGGTTCCCTTAGGGCTGGGGCTCTTGGAATTTGGTGTCTTGAAACCCATGGACTCGGGGCATTGAAATTCTCCAGTTTCCAGGGATGGGAATTCCTGTGTGGGGTTTCCTGGTGCCTGTGAATAGGGCTTGAGGTGTCTGGGAGCCTGGAATGCATATCCTGACTGCAGTCTCCTCCATACCAGGCACAAGGACCTCATGATTGGGTTTCCTGGGGACTTGGGATTGGATTTTCAAATTTGGGATTCCCTGGGGATTTGGGATTCCATGATTTGGGGGTCCTAGGAGTTACGGCATTGGGGTCTTCTAGGGGCTGTAGGACTTGAGGGCACAGGGGAGTTTGGGACGTGTGTACTCTAGGGTTTGGGATCCCCAGAGTCCTAGAATGGGGCCTCCAAATTTTGGGGTCCCCCAAAGGGGGAAGTCGTTACTTAAAAAATAGAGAATTTTCTGGGAGTCTGGCCAGCACAGGAGCTGTGGGCCATGTGGGGTGGGCTTCATACAAGGCACTGGGGGTTTCTTGAGGGTGCAGAGGGTAGGAAGACTTGGGGGGTCCTGTAATTAGCACTTCCAGGACTGTTTTGGTGTCTGTAAATTAGGGGTGACAGTGGGCTGGTTATGGTGGGTTTCTTCTTGAGGGATAAGAACAAGGGTCTTTGTTAATGAAGGAAGTCTCTGATTGAGGGGTTGGAATCTAAGGGCTTCAGGGTGACCATGGGGTCACGACATCTTGAGAGGACTGATGTTAAATGGGGAACAATGACATGAATGTCTGTTACTCTTTTGCTTTGGGGGTGTGACCTATGTTTATTTCAAGAGGACTTAAGGGGCAGTGTTTGTTAATGGGGAGGTTTCTGATCCAGGGTTGGGTGATTCAAGAATGTTCTGTTGTAATGCATTATGTGGAGAGGGTCACCATCATTTGGGGTGATATGGAAATCTGTTAATCTGGGAATCTGCTCTGAGGGGTTGGGGATAGGGACTAGCCTGAAGGTGCTACTCAGGGAATCTCTTTCTGGGTGACATGGGGTCTGTATTTGGGGGTTATTATGGGAGTATCTGTTAATAATGGGGCCTCAATGATCGAGGGCTGGCTAACAGGGGTCTCTACTCTGGATGTGTTACTGGGAATCTCTATCTCAGGGTGACTCAGGGCTCCTCGGGTGTCAGGAGATGCTAGTGGGGACTCTGTCTCTTTGTCAGGTGTCCAGGGCCTCTAAGACTGCATCTCCGCCCTCAGCATCCAGGGGAACCAGCAGCAGAACAGCAACCTGGAAAGGAGGATGACAGGGTCACGCCCTTAGGCAGGCAGCGGGGACATCTGCACCCATCACCCCCAGCCTTTCCCCCAGTGTTTGCTATCAGGCCTTTCTGGATTCTGCCTCTACCTCTCTGGCTGTGGTTTGTTTGTTTGTTTGTTTTCTGAGATGGAGTCTCACTCTGTCACCCAGGCTGGAGTGCCATGGCACGATCTCGGCTCACTGCAACCTCTGCCTCCCAGGTTCAAGCAATTCTCCTGTCTCAGCCTCCCGAGTAGCTGGGACTACAGGTGTATGCCATTGTGTCCGGCTAACTTTTGTGTTTTTGGTAGAGACGGGGTTTCACCATGTTGGCCAGGCTGGTCTTGAACTCCTGACCTCAGGTGATCCGCCTGCCTTGGCCTCCCAAAGTGCTGGGATTAAAGGCATGAGCCACCCCGCCCGGTCTCTAGCTGTTGTTCTGAGGCTCGTATGGAGTGAAGGGTGTTCTGCTTCCTTTACCGGCCCACCCGAAAGTGGAATTCACTAGAATTCAGTGCGGGGCCCTACACCCTAAAGACTGTTTCTGGGTATGCTTACAAGTCACAAGTTTTCCTAACCTCTCTTTCCAGCCCTGACCAGAGCTCCAGACCTCTGGGTCCAACTGCCTTATGGATCCCTCTCCCTGAATGTCACATAGGAGAGGGGACAGGGGTTGGCCACACACCTGGAAATGGAGTTCTCTGATGCAATGTCCTTTGGGGTCCGGACTGTGGTGAAGGTGCGTTTGGGCTGCGTCACTGAAGAGGAGGGCAGGATGTCAAGTGAGGGGATGACAGACCACCTGTGTCCTCAATACCCATCCAGACCCCTTCTCATTAATACCTCCCCATGTCTCCAGTCCCCACCTGGATCCTACATTCCCAATACCCATCTGGGCCTCTTGTCCATAATTCCCACCATGTCCCCCAGTGACTATCCCTGTCCCCAGTATCTGCTCAACCTCATGTCCCCGAAGAGCCTTGTTGCTAATTTCCTCATATCCTCTAGCACCTATCTTTTTGTGGACCTTGTCTCATCATTTTCCTGGACCCTGTGTCCCCAATTAAATACCAGAGACTGTCACCAGTATATACCTGAGAACCCATGACCCTTCCTCCCATCCCCAAACGTACACTCCTCCCAACATATCATCCCCTAACTCACTTGTCACTTGATGCACTTTTTTGGCTCCAACGCTGTCCCCGGGGGAATCAGTGGATCCGCCAATCCTGAGGAGACACGGGGAGGGGGAGAAGTCAGAGCCACAAAAGGCCAGGGTCTGACTGAGAGCTGGGCCCCAGGGATCTATGAGGAAAGGGCTGGGGGCTCGGGGGTGTCCACACTGTCCTGCTGGTCTGGGAGGAGGAGGCCATCTGAGGGGGGATCAGGGCTCCAGGTGGTGCCCTGGGTTTGGGCTGGAAGTTTGGGCTCACCTCTGAATACGGGATGCTGGTGCGAAGACCCCATGCCTCGGGGGGCAAGTGAAGTACCGGACACCGAAGACAGAGCCATCATGCTTGCCTGTGGGCTGGTCCAGCTCAATGCCATACCAGTAACCTGCAGCACGAGGGTGTCAGGATTTCTCAAGGCCCTGCCTGCCTCCCGGCCCAGAGTCCCCATCCTCACCTGGGGCAAAGTCTGTCTTCCCGTAGAAGCGCACGATCCCCTGCTTCTGGCCCGCGACAAGGACCTGGTCTCCAACCTCAGCCTTGGCCCCGTCACGCTGCTGCAAGCTGCCCAGAGATGGGGATGATGGGGTCTTCTTCTTGCCTAAGGGTAGAAGGTGTAGGAGGTGGGTAGTGGGGCTGAGGCCAGCTTTGGGAACCTCGTGCCACCTGGAAAACCCCAAGGTAGAAAACCCTGTTCTTCGTTTGAAGTGAAACTGAATCCCAGATGCCAGAGAATTAGGAAGGGGCTTTAGGCCTGAAGGGAAACTGAGTCAGAGAACCTGAAGAACCCCAAAATCCTTTCTCAAAGCTGAGGATATGTTGGATAAGGAAAAGCTGAGTCAGAAGTCAGGAACCCAGAAACTGTCCTTTTAAAATGAAGGGAAAATTGGGTCCGAGAGTAAATCAGGCCATGTGCAGTGGCGCAGGCCTGTAATCCCAACATTTTGAGAGGCCGAGGCGGGCAGATCACTTGAGGTCAGGAGTTTGAGACCAGCCTGGCCAACATGGCAAAACCCTGTCTCTACAGAAAAAAATACAAACATTAGCCAGATGTGGTGGTGGGCACCTGTAATCCCAGCTACTCGGGAGGCTGAGGCACGAGAATTGCTTGAACCCGGGAGGCGGAGGTTGCGGTGAGCCAAGATCGTGCCACCACGCTCCAGCCTGGGCAACAAGGCGAGACTCTTGACTCAAAAAAAAAAAAAAAAAAAAGTAGATCAAATGACAAAAGACAGGATCTCCAAGGATTCTTCCCTAAAACTGGGGGAGACCTTTGGGTCTGAGAGGAAACTAAGTCACAGAGGGCAGGGAACCCACAGGTCCTTCTAAGAACTAGGGGGTGCCAGTACTGAGCCAAAGGGGAAACTGAGTCACAGAAGTCAGGAACTCAGAGCTTGTCTTCCAAAACTGGAGTTTGGGCCTGAGGAGAAACTGAGTCACAGAAGCTGAGCTACCCACACAACATCCCCAAACTGGCTCTTCCCACCACAGGGATCCCCTCTCTGACCTTTGTGTTCCCTGCGGCCTTTGCCGGTGACACGGGAGAAGTCCATCCGGGGGGTCCGGGGTGTGGAGGTGACAGAGGAGGGGGGTGCGTCCACTGCCTTGGAGATCTTGGACACGGAGGCAAAGAGACCTAGGGGTACAGAATCCGAGCCTGGTGTTGTCCAAGCCTCTGCCCTCGGCCCCCATCCTCCATCCCCTATTTCCCAGTCAGCAGCATCAGAACTGCCGAGTGGACACCCAGCCACACCCCTCTTGGGCCCGAGGTCGGACTAACCCTGCTTGGGAGGGCAGATGAAGTACCGAACGCCCCCAACGCTGCCATCGTTCTTGCCCTCAGGTTCGTCCAGCTCCACGCCCACCCACTGGCCGCTGGCAAACTCCGTGGTCCCACAGAACCGCAGTGTGCCCGTCTGGGGAGAGAAGGGAGGCGATGGCTAAGGAAGGAATGCTGGGAGGCCAACGTGGAGTGCCCACACACGGGCAGCAAGGTGGGTTGCATGAGGCCGCCCTGGGCCCAAACCCCAGGTCACACATCACCATTTGCTGGCTACATGACTTAACCTCTGTGTGCCTCAACTTCCTTTGCTGTGAAATGGGAACAGAAATTATACTCACCTTATAGGATTGTTAAAGAGTTGCCCTGTCTCATATAGTGAATAGTGACTAGCCACATAGGACAATGTAAATTTATTTATTTATTTATTTTATTTATTTTTTTTTTTTTCGAGACAGCGTCTCACTCTGTTGCCAGGCTCGAGTGCAGTGGCACGATCTCGGCTCACTGCAAATTCCACTTCCTGGGTTCAAGCAATTCTCCCATCTCAGCCTCCCAAGTAGCTGGGACTACAGGTGCATGCCACCACGCCTGGCTAATTTTTGTATTTTTAGTAGAGACGGGGCTTCGCCATGTTGGCCAGGCTGGTCTCGAATTCCTGACCTCAGGTGATCCACCCGCCTCGGCCTCCCAAAGTGCTGGGATCACAGGCATGAGCCACCATGCCTGGCCAACAATTTAAATTTAAACTAAGGCCGGGTGTGGTGGCTCATGCCTATAATCCCAACACTTTGGGATGCCAAGGCTGGAGGATCACTTGAGGCCAGGAGTTTCAGACCAGCCTGGGTGAAAATGGCGAGACCCTCTAATCTTAATCTGTTCCAAAAAACAAAGACAGCAAGACCCTATTCTCTATAAAAGAAAGAAAAAAGGTAACCAGGTGCAGTAGCTCAAGCCTGTTGTCCCAGTTACTTGGGAGGCTGAGGTGGGAGGATCGCTTGAGCCCAGGAGTTCAAGGGTGCAGTGAGCTATGATGGTGCCACTGCACTCCAGCCTGGGCAACAAGCAAGACCCTGTCTCAAAAATAAATAAATACATACCTTAGAAAGAAGACTCAGATGATTTTTAAATTTAAAAATAAATAAATTTAGTCCGGGCGCGGTGGCTCACACCTATAATCCTAGCACTCTGGGAGGCCGAGGTGGGAGGATCACCTGAGGTCAGGAGTTCAAGACCAGCCTGGCCAACATGGTGAAACCCCCATCTCTACTAAAAATACAAAAATTAACCAGGCATGATGGTGCACGCCTGTAATCCCAGCTACTCGGGAGGCTGAGGCAGGAGAATTGCTTGAACCCAGGAGGGTTGCAGTGAGCCCAGATAGCACCACTGCACTCCAGCCTGAGCAACAGAGCAAGACTCTGTCTCAAGAAAAAATATAAATAAATAAAAATACAAATCAATACATTTAAACTAAATTAAAAATGCATTTCCCCAGTCACACTAGCCATATTTCAAGTGCTCAATTGTCACATGTAGCTTGTAGCTACTTTACTGGACAGCACAGACAGAATATTTCCACCATTACAGAAAGCTCTGTTGGACAGGGCTGTTATAGAGAAATTAAAGCCCTCAGAACAGGGCTTGGTATTAAGTAAAGGATCAGCAAGTATTCGTTATTGAAATTTTTTTTCTATTTTAGAGACAGGGTCTCACTCTGTGGCCCAGGCTGGAGTGCAGTGGTGCAATCATAGCTCAGTGTAACCTTGAACTCCTGGGTTCAAGCAATCTTCCCTCCTCAGTCTCCCGAGTAGCTGGGACTACAGGTGAACGCCACCAAAGCCTGGCTAATTAAAACAACAACAACAACAACAAACTTTTGTTAAAAATAGAAATGGAGTATCCCTATGTTGCCCAGGTTAGTTTCAAACTCCTGGCCTCAAGCGATCCTCCCCATCTTGGCCTCCCAAAGTGCTGGGATTACAGGTGTGAAGCCACTGTGCTCAGCCTGTTAGCTATTATCATGCTGTAACTTTGGTCAGGGGACTTATTGAGCCTCAGTTTCATCTGTAAAATAGAGATAGTAAGCCACCTCATGGAGTGATCATCTGGCGGAAACTTTTTTTTTTTTTAGACAGGGTCTCACTTTGTTGCCCATGCCAGGGGTGCAGTGGCACGACCCTGGCACAGTGCAGCCTCAAACTCCTGGGCACAAGTGATCCTCTCACTTCAGCCTCCCAAGTAGCTAGGACTACAGGTGTGCGCCACCATGCCTGATTAATTTTTTCATTATTAGTAGAGATGAGGTCTCACCATGTTGATTGCCCAGGCTGGTCTTGAACTCCTGGGCTCAAGCGATCCTCTCACTTCAGCCTCCCAAGTAGCTAGGACTATAGGTGTGTGCCACCATGCCTGGTTAATTTTTTCATTTTTAGTAGAGATGAGGTCTCACTATGTTGCCCAGGCTGGTCTCGAATTCCTGGGCTCAAGCGATCCTTCTGCCTCAGCCTCCCAAAGTGCTGGGATTACAGGCATGAGCCACCACATTTGGCGGAAACATTTTTAACACATGTAAACTTGCTTAGCTGCAGTGAGACTTTAGTGAGTGTGGTTATTATCATTATGGGAGGCTCATTCACCTCTCCATGCCTCAGTTCCTGGTCCATATAATAGGCTAATTAATTAGTGCTGATCTTTTTTTATTTTTATTTATTTATTTTTTTTTGGAGACGGAGTCTCACACTTTGGCCCAGGCTGGAGTGCAGTGGCATGATCTTGGCTCACTGCAAGCTCCGCCTCCTGGGTTCATGCCATTCTCCTGCCTCAGCCTCCTGAGTAGCTGGGACTACAGGCACCTGCCACCATGCCTGGCTAATTTTTTGTATTTTTTTTGTAGAGACGAGGTTTCACCGGGTTAGCCAGGATGGTCTCGATCTCCTGACCTCGTGATCCGCCCACCTCTGCCTCCCAAAGTGCTGGGATTACAGGCGTGAGGCACCGCGCCCCGACAATTAGTGCTGATCTTAAGAGTGTTGGTGGAGGGACTAGAACAGTGCCTGGCACACACAAAGAGCATTTAGTATGCGCTGGACTCTGTTCTAATGGCCTTACGCATTTTAATTAATTTAAACCTCAACCAGCCCCCTAAGGTGGTTACTATTATTATCTCCATTTACGGATGAAGACATTGACACCCAAAGAGGCAGAATCACTGGCTCCAGGTCCACAGGTGGGAAGTTGCAAAGCTGAGATTTACCTGGGCAAGTCCCTGAGCCTGAGTTCATGACGCTGTGCTATGCTGCTTCTCTAAGGGGCAGTGATTAGTATTCCGTGTCTTCAGATAAAGGTTTTCACCTGTTGGAGCCTCTTATAGTCTGGCTTGTAAAATGGGAAGAGTCAACCCAACCTTCCTTCTGAATTGTGCAATGGATATGATTAGATCGTGCACAGCAGAATGCTTTCTGGATGGGGCCGGGCGCAGTGGCTTATGCCTGTAATCCCAGCACTTTGGGAGCCAAGGCGGGCGAATCGCTTGAGGGCAGGAGTTTGAGACCAGCCTGGCCAATATGGTGAAACCCGTTGCTACTAAAAATAAAAATAAAAGGCCAGGCGCGGTGGCTCACGCCTGTAATCCCAGCACTTTGGGAGGCTGAGGCGGGCGGATCACGAGGTCAGGAGATCAAGACCATCCTGGCTAACACAGTGACACCCTCTCTCTACTAAAAATACAAATAATTAGCCAGGCATGGTGGTGGGCACCTGTAGTCCCAGCTACTCGGGAGGCTGAGGCAGGAGAATGGCATGAACCCAGGAGGCAGAGCTTGCAGTGAGCTGAGATCGCGCCACCGCACTCCAGCCTAGGCGACAGAGCAAGACTCCATCTCAAAATAATAATAATAATAATCATAATAATAAAAATAAACCCAGGCTTGTTGGCACACACTTGTAATCCCAGCTACGTGGGAGGCTAAGACATGAGAATAGCTTGAATCTGGGAGGTGGAGGTTGCTGTGAGCCAAGATCGTGCCACTGCACTCTGGCCTGGGTGACAGCAAGACCCTGTCTCAAAAACACAAAAACAAAATTCAAACTCCTTCCAGTAGCCTACAGGTCTGCTGTGACCCAGCCTTGCTGACCTCTCCACCTCACCGCCCTTCCCATAACTCCCCTCGTCAACACTGCCCCTTCCTGCCTCTGGGTCTCCATACCTACTGCATCCTCTGCTTCCTTATCTTTGCAAAGGAAGTTCTTTCCTATCTCAGTTTGGACATCACCTCCTCAGAGAAGCCTTCTCAGAACACCCCAGCTAAAACCACTCCAGCATTCAGCCAGGGACAATTTACTAAATCCAAACATGTAATGGTGTTGACAGCCCTTGTTGCTACCAGAAATTACCTTTTTTTTTTTTTTTCAATAGAGGCAGGATCTCACTATGTTGCCCAGGCTGGTCTCTAACAACTCCTGACCTCAAGTGATCCTCCCACCTCGGCCTCCCAAAATGCCGGGATTAGAGGTGTGAACTACCGTGCCCAGCCCAGAAATCATCTCAACCATAGGTTTACTTTCTTGACTGTCTCCCCTTCATTACAAGTGGAGCCCCATGACAGCAGGGCGGGGGCAGACACAGCCCTCCCTCCCTAAGGACAGACTGGGTCCCGTATGGAGCCCAAGGGACACCGGGAAATGAGTGAAATTGGAGTCCCTGGATAAATGAAGATTCTCTCTGCCCTCTCAGCTGTGATACCCGCTCCCCCAAGCTGAGACTCCTTTCTCCCTTTCTTTCCCTGGCTTGCTCCTCCACATCTGCAATTTGGGTACATTCCCCATCACACCCCAATCACTCTGGCCTGGACTTGCCTAGCCAGACTTGTCTCTGAGAGCAGAGGGGCCTGATCGAGGACCACAAGACCCGGGGGGAGCCACAGGTGCACAGAGCTGCGCAGATCACTCTGCTCACCCCTCCCCATGGCAGCCATGACCACTCTCGGCCGTCACTGTCAGATGACGGGTTGTTTCCCACCCTGGATGGAGAGCTCAGCACAGGGTGAGGCTCAAAGGAGACACCCACGGAACAACTGAGATAAAATCAAGTACTGGGTGGATAGTTAGGGCGGCAAGTAGACAAAGGGCAGGGACTGCACTCTGCCCGAGGACGCAGCTCCAAGGGATTAAGGGGCTGAGTCCCACCCCCACCCACCATGCAAACACACATCCCAGCCCCTGACCTTCTGGCCATCCAGCAGCACGCGGTCTCCCAGGCGCAAGCCCAGTGCGCTAAGCATGAGATTGCCTGGGACGTTGTCATAGTTGGGTAGCGTGACCTTGGGGAGGGCGCAAGATAGTGGCACTGCCTCTTCCAGAAGCGTCCGCAGCTCCTTGGCCACCAGTGCCGCCTCTGCCTTGTCCAGGGACATGTCCATAGGATCTGGGACCACCTCCGCCGGCACCTGTCCTTTTCGATTCTGGGGGCCAATGGGAAAAGAAGGCAGGGACTCAGTGGCACAGGTCACACCCCCATGGAGGCCCTGCCCCTAGAGACCACCAGTCTGGGTGATGCAGGGGTAAGACTAGGTCATATCCTGGGCCAACCTGGGAATAAGAAGGGTCAGGGCAAGGCGGGGTAAGGTGGCTCACGCCTGTAATCCCAGTACGTTGTGAGGCCGAGGCAGGCAGATGCTTGAGGTCAGGAGTTCAAGACCAGCCTGGCCAACATGGTGAAACCTCGTCTGTACTAAAAATACAAAAATTAGCCGGGTGTGGTGGCGTGTGCCTGTAATCCCAGCTACTCGGGAGGCTGAGGCAGGAGAATCGCTTGAATCCGGGAAGCAGAGGTTGCAGTGAGCCAAGATCATGCTACTGCACTCCAGCCTGGGTGACAGAGCGAGACTCCGTCTCAAAAAAAAAAAAAAAGAAGGGGCAGGGCAGAAAGGTGCAGACCACATCCCCAGGGAAACCCACCCCTGAGACCCAGGGCTGGGGGTGTGTCAAGTAATTGAGGGTGGGCCTGGGGGTGTAGGCAGTAGGGATGAGGGCCACACTTCAGTGCTGTAGGTCACGCCCTCAGGGAGGCAATCTCTGGAGACCCCAAGCCTGTAATGAGGACATGTGGGAGATGAACATTGAGAATGGGCTCCTGTGGGCTGGGTGCAGTGGCTTATGCTTATAATCCTAGCAATTTGTGAGGCCGAGGTGGGCAGATCACCTGAGGTCAGGAGCTCGAGACCAGCCTGGCCAACATGGTGAAACTCCATCTCTACTAAAAATACAAAAATTAGCCGGGTGTGGTGGCGCATGCCTATAATTCTACCTACTCGGGAGGCTGAGGCAGGAGAATCGTTTGAACCTGGTAGGCAGAGGTTGCAGTGAGCCGAGATTGCACCACTGCACTCCAGCCTGGATGACAGAGCCAGTCTCTGTCTCAAAAAAAAAAAAAAAAAATTAGAGAGAGTGAGAGTGGGCTCCTGTGGTATAGAGTCAGGAGTCAAACTCTGGGCCAGTGGAAAATGGGGAGAGGCAGGGTCTCAGGGGCACAGGCCATGTTACCCCAACATACATGTGCCTGGACGGCTGCAGGGTAATTAGCATTGTGGATGGAGCCTGGTAATGCATAGGTCAGAGGTCAAAGATCATATTGAGGGCTTAGGAGAGGACCAACCCTCTCATTCACAGAAGGCCTAGCCCAACTTTCCTCATGACCTTGAAATGCTGTTATGCACTGCCATGGGATAGGCTGGATGACCCTGGGCAGATCCCTTAATCTCTGCCTCAGTTTCCCCATTGTAAAACAAGGCTTATAATAGACTTCACCTGACATGTAATGAACACTAGGCATATTTCAGCTGTTATTGCATTTGCTGAATGTACAGACGGCATTTGTAGTATTTGGGGAGTCACGGGAAACGCAGAGACCTGCTGGAGGGAAGTGGGGGAGGAAGGGAGCAGGAGGGTAACGGGTTCTGGGCAAGGGTGGCAGTACCCTCAGCGCAGGGTTGGCGCCGTGCTCCAGCAAACATTTGGCGGCGCCCAGGCACAGGCTGGAAGCAGCGATGTGCAGGGCTGAGCCGTGGTTGAAGTCACTGCACGTGGAGTTCACCACTGGAAGTGGGCAAGAGGAGGGGTTCCGGGTGAGCGCCTGTGGGACCCCAGCCCTCCTCCCACCTCGGGGCTCATCTCTTAACTTGCAGGTCCCAGAGCCTCCGACGCAGAGCCCCGCCCCCACCTCGGAGCCCCCCTCTCCCTTGGCAGCCCCGACCCTCCCTAGAGTGGTAGTCCCTGAGCCCCCTCTCCCACGCCTCCAACCTCCCGCTATCTCCTCAGATCACCGTCCTCCTTCCCCTCGCAGCCTGGCCTCACCTGGGTCTCCGCGTCCCTCACCCAGGTCCTTGCCCCCTCCCAGCCAGGGCTCTCCTCCTCACCTCGCGGCCTCGCACCCTTCAGCAGCACACGCACGAGGTCGGGCACATCAAAATAGGCCGCGTAGTGAAGCGCGTTCATGTTGGTCCAGCGGCTGCGCAGCGTCACATCTGCGCCCAGCGCCAGCAGCTGCTGCGAGAGGCGCACGGCTGCCGCGGGGTCCCCTGCGCGATAGGCCGGGTCAGCTTGGAACCCCCATTCCAGAGCATGGGCCCAGTGCACGGGGAGGACCCTGGGCTTCAGGGACTATACTTTGGGATCCGAAGCTTCGGGTTCCAGATGGGGCCTGAGTTCTGGGTGGTTTTCAGCGTGTTGGGTCTGGGGGCCTAGGCTTTGGGGCTTATGACTTGGGGGTAGGGGGCCCTCACCGACTCCGTGGGCCCCAGCTTTGCACGCATAGTGGAGCAGTGTCATGTCGGTCAGCCCGTCACGATCGTTCACATGGCAGCCTCGGCGCAGAATCTGTGAGTACCAGGGGAGCAGGGAGGGTCACCCACACATGTGGGGAACCGCATCCCCTCTCCCCCTGGTTTCCCCAGTGTTCTCACCTCATTGCCGATGACGTCTATCTTGTGCTGGACTTGGGGCACCCACTGGCGCACAATGGCAAACAGCTCGGGGATGGTGGTCTGAGGGTCAAACAGGATCTCCTGGCACGCCGGGTCATTGGGATCGAAGAAGGTGAAAGCTGGGGTGGCAAGAGGTCCAAGGTCACCCCACGCAACTGACCCCCTCCTTCCAGCCTCAGTAGGGGAGCTGTAGGTCTTTGCCTTTTAGAGCCTCTAATGCAGGGTCTCAAGCTGGTGGCACATGGGCCACAGTCAACCCACAGGCATTTTCTGTGTGGCCAGCATGAGGTTTCAAACTCAGGTGGGTTCACATAAAAATCTCGATGCCCAGTGTGTCTTGAAAAGTTGGAAGATCAGGCAATTCCCATATAGCAGCAAACTCCACCCCCTGAAACAAAAGCCTGACAGAGAGTGCAGTACCTTGGAGTCTGCATGTCCAGGGGGACTGCTACTGACCTCACCCACTGTTGCCCTGTGAGAGTATGAGTGAAGTTTGGCTGAATCTCCAGAGCAAAAATAAATAAAGCCAGAAGTCCTGGTTTTTAATAAAACTCTCTCAATTGTTTCAAATACCATGCAGTCCACATCAAATGTATCCATGACTGGGCACAGTGGTTCACATCTGTAATCCCAATGCGTTGGGAGGCTGAGGCAGGAGGATTGCTTGAGCCCATAAGTTCAAGACCAGCCTGGGCAACATAGCAAGACCCCTGTCTTTACAAAAAGTTTTAAAATTAGCCAGGTGTGGTGGTGCGCATTGGTGCTACTCAAGGAGATTGAGACAGGAGGATTGCTTGAGCCCAGGAGTTCAAGGCTGCAGTGAGCCATGATTGTGCCACTACACGCCAGCCTGGGCAACAGAGCAAGACCCTGACTCTGGAAATATAAAAAATAAAAATAGAGGCTGTGCGCGGTGGCTCACGCCTGTAATCCCAGCACTTTTGGAGGCCGGGGCGGGCGGATCACCTCAGGTCAGGAGTTCGAGACCAGCCTGGTCCAACGTGGTGAAACCCTGACTCTACCAAAAATACAAAAATTAGCCAGGCGTGGTGGTGGGCGCCGGTAATCCCAGCTGCTCGGGAGGCTGAGGCAGGAGAATCACTTGAACTCAGGAGGCAAAGGCTGCAGTGAGCTGAGATGGCGCCGCTGCACTCCAGCCTGGGTGACAGAGAGTGAGACTCCATCTCAAAAAAAGTAAATAAATAAATAAAAATGAAAATAAAATAAAATGTATCCATGAGCAGGAATCAACCTGTGCCCAGCCAGGGTGGTGCCTAGAGGCACTTCTGTCTCTTCCCACTCGACTCTAAGGAGTACTGCTCTCTGTGACGTCAGCACCCAGCACAGGGCCCTGGCACGTGGCAGGAACTCAGTGCGTGGTGAATGAACGACTACATGAATGATCAGATTATACACAGCCCAGGGAAGTGCCACATAGAAGGTGTCTCCAGGAATCAGCCGGCATGCTCCTTTTAGAACTGCAGTCACATCATAGCCCTTCTTGGCTTAGAACCCTCCTCCAGCTCCCAACCCATCCAGAGTACAGACCAAAGTCTTCCCCACGGCCCTCAGGGCTCTGCACATCCAGCCCCTCAGTTCTCAGCCCTCTCCCCTCACTTATTCCCCTTCCCTCATTTCCCACACTGGGCTCCCTCTGTCCCTCCCACGTGCCAAGCAAATTCTTGTCTCAGGGTCTTGGCACTTGCTGTTCTTCTCACTCAGGATAGACTTCCCACACATCTTCACAAAGCTTTATAAATCTTTGCTCAAATGTCATCTCCTCAGAGAGGCCTTCCCAAACCACACTGTCTAAATCGGCACCCGCCCTTCTCCATCTCCTACTCTTTTTTTTTTTTTTTTTTTTTTTTTTTTTAGAGATAGGGTCTTGGCTGGGCATGGTGGCTCACGCCTGGAATCCCAGCACTTTGGGAGGCCAAGGCTGGCAGATCATGAGGTCAGCAGTTCGAGACCAGCCTGACCAACATGGTGAAACTCCATCTCTACTAAAAATACAAAAATTAACTGGGCGTGGTGGTGAGTGCCTGTAATCCCAGCTACTCAGGAGGCTGAGGCAGGAGAATCGCTTGAACTCGGAAGGCAGAGGTTGCAGTGGGCCAAGATTGCACCATTGCACTCCAGCCTGGAGTCCGTCTCAAAAAAAAAAAAAAAAATAGGGTCTGTTGGAATGCAATAGTATGATCATAGCTCACTACAGCCTTGAACTCCTGGGTTCAAGTGATCCTCCTGCTTCAGCCTCCCTGGTAGCTAGGACTACAGTATACATCACCATGCCCAGCAATTTTTTTTTTTTTTGTAGTGACAACGTTTTGCTATGTTGCCCAGGCTGGTCTCGAACTCCTGGGCTCAAGTGATCCTCCCACTTTGGCTTCCCAAAGCACTGAAATTACAGGTGTGAGCCACCATGCCCAGCCCTTTATTTATTTATTTATTTTTATCATAGCTCATATCACTACTTGACATGTTTACTCCTCTTTCTCCCTCCTTCATTTCCTCTCTTCTTCCCTCACTAGGATCTAAATGCTATGATTCTATTCTGCCTCATTCACTCCTTTATCCCCAAGGCCAGGCACAGCACATGGCACACAGTAGGTGCTCAGTCAATCTCTGTTGAATTAATGTACAAATTTAACAGATACATGATTTCCTCTTGGAGTCCACCTTAGCCTTCTCCCTGTCCTCGACCACATTTCCAGATTTCTTCACATTCTGGGACAAAACCTCTCCCGCTCTACAAGCAAGACTGCTTGGAGGGCTCAGCCTATACCCTCCGACCTCCCACTGAGTCAGAGGCCCCAGCCACCTCCAGCTGCATTTCCAAAGGAGATTTTCCAGTTTTCTGAGGTACAGCACCCCCCCGACCTCAGGCCCCAGATAACTTCCTTTTACTTTTTTCTTTTTTTGAGACAGGGTCTCACTGTGTCACCCAAGCTGGAGTGCAGTGGTGCAATCCTAGCTTACTGCAGCATCGAATTCTCAGGCTCAAGTGATCCTCCCACCTCAGCCTCTGGAGTAGCTGGGACTACAGGTACCCACCATGCCTGGCTAATTTCTAAATTTTCTGTACAGATGGGGTCTTGCTCCATTGCCCAGGCTGATCTCGAACTCCTGGCCTCAAGCAATCCTCCCACCTTGGCCTCCTAGAGTGCTAGGATTATAAGCCAGAACCACTGTGCCTAGCCAACTTTCTTATTTTTCTATTAGACTGAAGTCAACTTGTAGTCTCCCTGATCTACCTCTAGTGGGTGACATGTCCATGGATGCCATCTGTCTTGCTCTATCCTGGCAACGCTGACTCTCTGAACCTGGTTTCTGAACCTCACAGCTGCCGGGGATTCCCAGCCTGCATATCTTCCAAATTCCCCTCCTACATCCAACTCTGGCTGCACTCCATCCCCTTCTACCCAGTACCCAGAGGGAGCTTTCAAACTACAAATCAGACCTGCCACTCCTCTGCTCTTAAACACCCTCCCCTTGCCACTCTTCTCCCCTGTCCCACTTAGAATATAACCAAAGTCCTCACTGTAGCCTTGAAGGCCCTTCCAGATCTGGCCTATGCCAACCTCTCACCTCAACCTCGATCATTCCCTGAATGCAGCTCCAGGATCTTTCTGTTCCAAGTTCAATTCTGCCTCAGGGCCTTTGCACTTGCTGCTGTCTGCCTGGAACACTCTTTTTCCAGCTCTCTTATGGCTGATTCCTCCCCATGCTCTGGGTCCCAAACTAAATGTTACCTACTCAGAAAGAGCAGCCCTGACTACCCCTGCAGGTAGCTGCCCCCTAGTCATTATCGTATCTCCACCTTTAATTTCTTTTTCTTTTTTCTTTTTTTCTTTTCTTTTTTTTTTTTTTCTTTTTTTTTTTTTTTTTTGAGACAGTCTTACTCTGTCACTCAGGCTGGAGTGTAGTGGCTCGATCTTGGGCAACCTCTGCCTCCCAGGTTCAAGCGATTCTACTGCCTCAGCCTCCCGAGTGGCTGGGATTACAGACATATGCCACTATACCCAGCCAATTTTTGTATTTTTAGTAGAGATGGGGTTTCACCATGTTGGCCATGGCTGGTCTCAAACTCCTGACCTCAGGTGATCCGCTGGCCTCAGCCTCCCAAAGTGCTGGGATTACAGGCGTGAGACACCATGCCCAGCCCACCTTTTCTTTCTTTCATAGCACTTGCTCCAATCTGAATTTATCTGATTTCTGATTTATTTATCTGTTCACTTGTTTAGTCTCTCCTTCTCTCCTGCAAGGGAGGATCATGCCTGGATCACTTAGGATTAAATCTCCGGCACCCAGCATAAGGCTTGTCACAGAGTAGCAGCACTCGATAAATATCGCTCGGTCAATGATTAGACACTTTCAGTTTCTCCAAGAGGCCGCCCTCTCAGCTCCATACCCTCCTACCTCAGATCCTTTACCCAGCGGTTACCTCTCCTGGGAGCCCTTTCCCCTGACCCTTCTCTTAGTTAACCCCAACTCACCCTCCAGTCTTCTCAACTGTAACCTCCTCAGGGAAACAATGTCTTAAAAAACTCTTGCAGCAGCTTGTTTATGGTAAATACAATTTTCATAATGTCTTGTAATTACATATTTATATTACATTATATTTTTCTTTCTTGCATATAAACCTAAATGTGAAAAATTACATTATGGTTTAATACCTATTTGTGTGGCTGTTACTGAGGCCTGTGAGTTGTCTCAGGGCAAAGACTGGGTCTCTCTTGCCCCCTGCTGTGGCCCCAGCCCCTAGCATAAAGCCAGGTCCACAGCCGCTTTCAAAAAATGATTGTTGAATGACTAAATGATGGAATGATGTGTCATGAGTCAAAGACTAGGAGTATTACAATTCCATTCTCCAATGGGTGAATGAATGAATTAACGAGGGGTGCTCTGCAGCCAAGATTCCTCTGGACCACCTTCAAATTCCCCAGAATTCTCCCACCATCACCACCAGCAGAGCACAGCCCACCCTCCCCGGCCACCCAACGCTCCAGGCCAGATTCCAGGGTGGGGACAGTGGTTACCGTAGTCCTTAGGGAGGGGGGCAGGTGCCGAGGGGTGCACAACAGGCTTCTGCCGGCGCTCCTGGGTGGGGCTGGGGGCCTCGGGGACGGGTTCATCCTCCTCCTCCTCTTCTTCCTCCTCTCCTCGGGGTGGCGGGGCCATCGGGGCAGGATCTGTCTTAGTCATGGTCCTCGGTGGCCCTCGGGGGGCGGGTGCAGAGTTGGGGGCAGCCTTCAGGCAAATCCTGGAGGCAGAGGTCAGCTGGAGAGGGTGCCCGGCAGGCTCCAGGGTCCAAGCCCCTAGGAGCTTCCAGGGCCCCGGGTGGCCTCCGCGCAACTGGATCTTGGGCAACCATAGGGACCCCCGTTACCCATAGAGGGCCCCGGTGTGTGCGCCCAGCGCCTGCCACCTCCCCCAGGCCCAGCCCCCCATTCTTCTCCTCCCGCGTCAGGCCCCTCAGTCGCGGCTGCCCCCTCCCCGGGTTTGTTTATCTCGGGATTCAGGATGCTTCGCCCCTCCCCTTCTCCGCGGGCCGCCCCCTCCCCATCTTACCTCGGGCAGACAGCGCTGGGGACCAAAGTGGAGACTGGGGAGACTGTGGGAGCAATGGGGTGTCGGTGTCAGGGGACGTGATGGGGGAGGCAAGGGAGACAGAGAGAAGGGGACGAGGCCCAGACGCCGACAGGGGGTGGGGGCGGAGAGGGAGGGGCGCGACTGCGCATGCGCCTGCTGCCCCCCTACCGGCGGCGGGGGAGGAGGGACCAGGAGGAGGGACCGGGAGGCGCTCGCATTGATGGAGGGGCCAGAGGCGGCGACTGAAAGGGGAGAGCCTCCGGGCACTGGGAGAGGAAGAGATGGCTACGGAAAGGAGCGAGATGAGCAGATACAACGGCAAAAGAGAGGGCTGAGAGAGCGGACACAGATCTTCTCCATCCCCTTCCCCCACGCCTGCAAACCAGGCCGGTGAGGGCAGTGGTCTTGGGGCGTGGTGACGATGGGGACCCTCTAGGGGACCCTCTCTCTAGGACCCTAGACCGGACCCCTTCTCCAAGCTCACCATTCATAATGGGTGCCTCAGAGGGGTGATTTCCTAGAGACTCCTATCATGATCATCTCATCCTTACCATCATAATGCGAGGCTCACACACTGGGGCCCAGAGGTTAAGCAGCTTGCCCAAAAGTACATGAGTAGGTGATGGAGCGAACATTTGAAACCAGACAGTCTGTAAAGTCTGATTTTTATTTTTATTATTTCCTAGACAGGGTCTCACTCTGTCACCCAGGCTACTGTGCAGTGTTGTGATCTTGGCTCACTGCAGCGTCAAACTTCTGGGCTCAAGCCATCCTCCCACCTCAACCTCCCGAGTAGCCGAGACCACACGTGCATGCCACCATGTCTGGAGAATTTTTTTTGAGACAGGGTTTTGCCATGTTGCCCAGGCTGGTCTTGAACTCCTGACCTCAAGGGATCCTCCTGCCCCTGCCACCCAAAGCGCTGAGATTACAGGCACGAGTCACCATGCCCAGCTTTGATTCTTAATCACCATGCTACATGCCTGTAGCAGTGTCTGGGAAACAGATCTGCCGATTGACCCCTCCAACTCTCTCAGAACCTGTATCTTCCCCACGGAGGCCTCCTGAAGCCAGCCCAGGGTCCTGGCTCCATTGTCATGGCTTGGCTTCCCACCTGGAGCTGTAGCCTGCTCTGCCTCAAATCATCCCAGCCTGGATGGGGCTGGGTGACAGCCTTGAACACCTCATCCTTCTAATGCACAGGTCCAGTAGCTCCATCTCCAAAAGATTTCCAGGATCTCACTCTCCCCACCGCTACCCTGGGCCCTCATCTTGGTCCATCCTTCTTCTTCTGCCACCAGCACTACGGCAGCAGCCTCTTACCTGCTGTCCCCGTCCTCCTCCAACATGCAGCCACAGGGACCCATGAACACCTGTCACTTTGGAGCCCTCTTTCCCTCAGAGGGGTCTGCCTGCTGCACCTCACTCCAGGTAGAAGCCAAGGCTCTCAGCCATGGCCCACAAGGGCCTATGTGAACCTGCCCCATCATCTCTGCACTCACCTCCTCTCACCCTCTTTTGTTCACTCCACCCCAGCCACACTGGCCTCCTTGCTTCTCCCTACCCCAGGACCTTTGCACTGGCTCTTTTTTTTTTTTTTTTTTGAGATGGCAGTCTCACTGTTCCCCAGGCTGGAGTGGAGTGGCATGATCTCTGCTCACTGCAACCTCTGTCTTCCAGGTTCAAGTGATTCTCCTGCCTCAGCCTCCCGAGTAGCTGGGATTACAGGCCTGTGCCACCACACCCAGCTAATTTTTGTATTTTTAGTAGGGACGGGGTTTCGCCATGTTGGCCAGGCTGGTCTCAAACTCCTGACCTTAGGTTATCTGCCTGCCTCAGCTTCCCAAAGTGCTGGGACGACAGGCGTGAGCCACCGTGCCTGGCCTGCAACGGCTCTTTGTGATGCCCGGAATGCTCTTCCTCCAAATCCCTACGTGGCTCCCTCTCTGCCCTGTTTTAGGATCTTACTTGTTGGTGTCTTTTCACCTTCTCTGCTCTAAAACTGCACCCCTTCCTCCCTTCCCTACTATGGTTTTCTCCATAGCAACACCGCCTCCCAGACCTGACACATCCCAGACAGCAGGCCCTCACTGCAGGGGTTGTTCGTCCTCTGGAACCTGAGCCTGTAGCGCTCCAGGCCAGCCCCTTCTGATCACCCAGGTTTCTGCTAAAACATGGCCTTGGAGGGCCCTCCCCCAGGCCCAAACCAAATTTTTGTTGTCTTTATAGCACTCATCGCTCATGTCTGCAGTGTTCTTGTTTATTTGTTTACTAGTTCATCGTCTACTCAAGTAGAATGAGCACCATGAGGGCAGGGATTTTCTCAGCTGTGTCCACCATGGTATCATGAACTCAGTACCAGGCTTGGCAAAAAGCGTGGGACTCCTTAGAACCAGGTATGATTCTCCCAAACAACCCTTGCTCTGCTCTGAGGCTGTCGTACTGATTTGCAAAGATCTGAGCCGGGGGTGGCAGAAGCCTGGTACCCAGGGGATTGGGGGCTGATGAGAGACTTGGGCCCAGGTCACCCCTAAGGTTCAAGAGATCCCTAGGAGTGGGGTGGTAGAACCCAGGCCCTTGAGGGAGGCACTGCTACTACCCAGGCGTGGGCGGTGGGGCTGGGCCAAGCCCACGTATAATGTCTTTCCTCCTCCATCTTCTATCTTTTGTCCCTCGACATTGTCTGTCTTGATCCTTATGCACTGGGGATCCGAGTGTCCAGGAGCTCCGGCTTGGCATCCACTGTGGCAGGTGCAGGGTCCTGGGCAAGGACCATGGCTATGTCAGGCCCTCCACAGATGATGGTGAAGGTTTGGGATTCCTCAGGTCCAAGGGTCTGGGCTGTTGTCTAAGGCAAAGAAGTGGTAGAGATGGGGAACATTACGAAGCAAGTTGCGGGAGAGACAGACAGATAACGGTGAGGAACAGGGAGGCAAAGGTGGCAGGAGGGCGTGTCAGGAAACAGAGAGAGATGTGGGGAGAGATATGAGGAGACAGGAAAGCAGATGTGAGGGCCAGAGAGACATTCATGGGAAAGGAAAGAAGGGTGGGGAAATGGGAAGAGAAGTGCGGGGGCACAGACGCAGACACGTGGGGGAAAGAGATGTGCAGGCAGACAGACGTACAGACAGGGTCAGAGATATGGGGGAGACAGAAAATATGCAGATAAAGAGAGACACAGGGAGGTGGGGAAACAGGTGGCGGACAGAGATGATGGGCAGAAAGACAATGAATGTTGGGGAGGGAGGAGATTGGGAGGTAGGGATAGATGAGTAGGAGACAGAGATTGAATGACAGGAGGGGAGGCAGAGAGAGGCAGTCAGCTCAGGGGATCTGGCAGGCTCCACAAAGAGCCCCAGGCCCGAGTCTGAGCTCTGTCCCTGCCCCACTGTCCCTCTGTGCCCCAGGCCACAGTCTCAAACTTCAAGGCCCCAGAGGCAGCCACACTGTAGCTCCAGCCAACTGCTATCACCTGAGAATCCAAGCCCAGTGCTGCTAGATATGCAGAGCCTTCAGGAAAGACCAGACTTTTTTTTTTTTTTTTTTTTTGAGACAGAGTCTCACAGTGTCACCCAGGCTGGAGTGCAGTAGCACAATCACAGTTCATTAAAGCCTTGACCTTCTGGACTCAAGCAATACTCCCACTTCAGCCTCTCAAATAGCTAGAACTATAGGTGCAACACTTGGCTAATTTTTTGTGTTTCTTGTAGAGACAGGGTTTCACCATGTTGCCCAGTCTGGTCTCAAACTCCTGGGCTCAAGTCATCTACCTGCTTCAGCCTCCCAAAGTGCTGGGATTACAGGTGTGAGCCACTGCACTCGGCCATTATAAATTATTTTAAAGCACTGCGGAGGCCAAACAAATTGTATCTGTGGGTCATGTCCAAACCACTGACTATCAATCTGAGACTCCTGGCTGGGCATGGTGGCTCATACCTGTAATCCCAGCACTATAGGAGGCCGAGGTGGGCTGATTACCTGAGGTCAGGAGCTCAAGACCAGCCTGGCCAACATGGCAAAACCCCGTCTCTACTACAAACACAAAACTTAGCTGGGCATGGTGGCACGTGCCTGTAATCCCAGCTACTTGGGAGGCTGAGACAGGAGAATCGCTTGAACCAGAGAGGCAGAGGTTGCAGTGAGCTGAGATCGCACCACTCCACTCCAGCCTGGGCAACAGAGCAAGACTCCTTCTCAAAAAAAAAAAAAAAAAAAATCGGATACTCCTTAACTCCAGAGGTACTGTGGGGGCTCCTTCCTGAGCCCCTTCAGTGAGTCTAGCATTCAGAGCTCTGTGTGGGCATCTCTCTCATACAAGCAGGGCTCTGAAAGCCATGGGGGCTAAGCTGGGCACCTCAAGCTTGGCCCTAGGGTTTTAAGACAGGAGAAATTTCGCCTTGGTCAAACTGTGATTTTCAGAGACATAACACCATTCCTCATCTTCCTCCCCCGCCACCCCACACACAGAGACATAACACCCTTCCTCAACTTCCTCCCCTACACACACACACACACACACACACACACACACACACCTTCCTCAGCTTCCTCCCCTACACACACACACACACACAAACACCTTCCTCAAATTCCTCCCCTACACACACACACACACACACACACACACACACACACACCCAGCAGTAAAATATAGAGGCAAAAGGGATTCAGATAGGGCCTGGGGGACACTATTACAGAGATTGCAAACTCCAGCTCTATAGGGGCCAGGCAGGAAGCTCTCACAGGCCTCTTCTGCAGCCAGACACCTGGGTTTGAATCCTGGCCCTGAAACATGTTGGCTGCCTGACTGTGGGCACACTACTGGACTGCTCTGTGCCTCCATTTTTTCATCTGGAAGATAGAGACAACAGCAGTATTAAGATTATAATGAGGTTTTTTTTGTTTGTTTTTTGAGATGGAGTGTTGCTCTTGTCGCCTACGCTGGAGTGCAATGGCACAATCTCGGCTCACTGCAACCTCTGCTTCCCAGGTTCAAGCAATTTTCCTCCCTCAGCCTCCCGAGTAGCTGGGATTACAGACGTGTGCCACCACGTCCGGCTACTTTTTGTATGTTTAGTAGAGATGGAGTTTCACCATGTTGGCCAGGCTGGTCTCGAACTCCTGACCTCGTGATCTGCCCACCTCAGCCTCCCAAAGTGCTGAGGTTATAGGCATGAGCCACCACACCCGGCCTTTTTTTGTTTTTGTTTTTGTTTTTGAGATGGCGTCTCGCTCTGTTGCCCAGGCTTGAGTGCAGTGGTGCCATCTCGGCTTACTGCAACCTCCACCTCCAGGGTTCAAGCAATTCTCACACCTTAGCCTCCCAAGTAGCTGGGATTACAGGTGCGCCACCATGCCCAACTAATTTTTGTATTTTTAGTAGAGACAGGGTTTCTCTATGTTACCCAGGCTGGTTTCAAACTCCCGAACTCAAGCAATCTGCCTGCCTTGGTCTCCCAAAGTGCTGGGATTACGGGCATGAGCCACCGCACACAGACCATAGTGAGTTTTTTGTTTGGTTGTGGTTTTTGGTTTTTTTTGAGACCTTGCTTGGTCACCCGGGCTAGAGTGCAGTGGTGCGATCTTGGCTCACTGCAGTCTCTGCTTCCTGGGCTCAAGGGATCTTCCTGCCTCAGGCTCCCAAGTAGCTGGGACCACATGTGCCCACCACAATGCTAATTTTTGTGTTTTAGTGAGACAGTCTTACCATGTTGTCCAGGCTGGTCTTGAACTCCTAGGTTCAAGCGATCTGCCCACCTTGGCCTCCCAAAGTGCTAGGATTACAGATGTGAGCCACTGCATTTTTTAAAAATTAACCTTGTAGCAGTCAGGCATGGTGGCTCACTCCTGTAATACCAGCATTTTGGGACGCCAAGGCAGGTGGATCACGAGGTGAGGAGATCGAGACCATCCTGGCTAACACGGTGAAACCCTGTCTGTACTAAAAATACAAAAAATTAGCTGAGCGTGGTGGCGGGCACCTGTAGTCCCAGCTACTTGGGAGGCTGAGGCAGGACAATCGCTTGAACCTGGGAGGCAGAGGCTGCAGTGAGCCGAGATTGCACTACTGCACTCCAGCCTGGGCAACAGAGCGAGACTCCGTCTCAAAAAAAAAAAAAAAAATTAACCCTGTAGCTCCAGCTCAAAGGGTCATAGTGAGTTTTCAGCTCACTATGTTATAACTCTGTGTCTGGCAGACAATAAGAGCTTCTCAAATATTAAGTATTTAGTATTAGTAAATGGAGCAATCATTACTCAGCTCCAACCAATAGTTGCTTGGCATTGCCAGATTTTGTTTTTCAGGAAAACCTAGAAATTTGTTTTAATTTTCTGTAGAGACAGTGCTTGCTATGTTGCCCAGGCTGGTCTCGAACTCCTGGCCTCCAGCAATCCTCCTGCCTTGGCCTCCCAAAGTGTTGGGATTACAGGCGTGAGCCACTGAGCCCGGGAAAGCCAGAAATTTGGAAACACGGCTGAATGTTCTGATTTTTGAATAGGGGATCCTAGACAAAATGAAAACACACTGCAGGCCAGGCCACCACCCATGGATGGGGCTGCCAGGCTGGGGTGCCACTCACCAGGCGCTGCAGACCCCGGCGTGCCCGTGCCAGCAGGCTCTCCCCGTGTAGCTGCTGTGCCAGCCGTTCCAGGGCCTGCAGCTGCGCCTGGTGCCGCTCCTGGCACCGTTGCAGCCTCCGCACCCGGCGTTGCAGTGCTCCCAGCACTGGGCCCAGCCCGGTCTGGGCCTGTTGGGCAGGGACTTCAGGTTGTGACCGCTCAGGAGTTGGCGCAGGGGCCAGGGGGGTCAGGAGCATGGTGGCCACAGTCTTGGGGCTCCCCGATGTGGGGCCCAGCACCACTAGGCGCACTGGGCCAGAGACTGGGATGGCAGGGCTCTGGGGCAGGGGTGTATTCTTCTGTAGGGGAGGCGGCGGCGAGACTGGCTTCTGGGTGCTTCGGGTCCTCCGCTGACTCTGGAAGACAAGGCATGGGGTGCAGGGGTGCCGTGGTCAGACTTCGACTCAGGAGGAAAGGGATGGAGGGTCTGTTTCCAAGGGGGACTTGCCTAGGTAAGGCCAGACCTCAGGGAGGAAGTGTCGTCAGGAGGGGAGGGCCAAAGTTCAGACTCAAGGAGGGACTTCCCTTAGGCAGGGAGGTCTGGGGGTTGGATTCCAGCAGCAGGACCTCCCAGCGCTCACCTTGGCAGGTGGTCCCCGGGAGAAGATGGAGGGCACTGCATCAGGCCGCAGGTAGCGCACACCCCAGCGCCACTGGAAGCAGGAGGGTGTGAAGTGCTCGCTGCACAAGTGCTGGTGGCAGCTGGGCACCCAGTGCTCACAGCCCATGTGCTGCAGCCAGGCCTGCAGCCGGGGACCATCCTTCAGTGGGAACCTGCATGGGTGGTTGGGGGGCTGGGTCAGTGCTACGAGGTTCAGACTTATCCCTCCCAGAGGATACCCACCCTGGAGGTCTCTGGGCTCCAAGCCTGTGCCTCCCTAGGGCTAGGAAGTAGACCTGTCTTGTGCCCAGGCTTTCTCTATCTCATACACACAACCACAACCCTTTTTTCAGCTTCATCTTTTAGTAGTAGTATTTTGTGAGACGGGGTTTCGCACTTGTCACCCAGGCTGGAGTGCAATGGCGCGATCTTGGCTCACTACAACCTCCGCCTCCTGGGTTCAAACGATTCTTCTGCTTCAGCCTCCTGAGTAGCTGGGACTACAGGCGCACGCCACCACGCCCGGCTAATTTTTGTATTTTTAGTAGAGACGAGGTTGCACCATGTTGGCCAGGCTGGTCTTGAACTCCTGACCTCAGGTGATCCACCCACCTTGGCCTCCCAAAGTGCTAGGATTATAGGCATGAGCCACCAAGCCTGGCATTTCTTCTTATTATTATTAATTTGAAAGCTCCACCTTTTAAACACCCAGCATCAGCCCACCTCTGCCCCCTCCACTGCCCCTCCTTCCAGCCTCCTTCCTGGTCTTCCTGCCCACAGTCCCGCCCCTCCACTCCCAATTTGTTCTTCCACATCAACTTGTTGGAGCAGTTTATAAAATCAGACAGTTACGATGTGGGAGATCGTGCAGCCAAGCGAAAACGTTTCTTCCACACCATATAAATGGGGGTGTGGGGTTTCTGGATTAAGAGAGATTTAAGAAACATCAGCACAAACGCAGGATGTGGACCTTGCCTACAACAAACAATTCAGTAAAAAGACATTTTAAGACAATTGGGGAAAACTGAACATGAACTGGTTATAAGATAATTGTAAGAAACTGGTCAGGCATGGCGGTTCATGCCTGTAATCCTAGCACTTTGGGAAGACGACAAGGTGGGAGGATCGCTTGAGCCCAGGAGTTCGAGACCAGCCTGGGCAACATAGGGAGACCTCGACTCTACAAAAAAAAAAAAAAATTAGCCATGTATGGTGGTACATGCCTGTAGTCCCAGCTACTCGGGAGGCTGAAGTGGGAGGGTCACCTGAGCCTGGGAGGCAGAGGTTGCAGTGAGCCGAGATTGCGCAACTGTACTCCAGCCTGGGTGACAGAGCCAGACCCTGTCTTTAAAAAAAAAAAAAAAAAATTCATTTTGCTAGGTGTGATAACTGTATTGGTTTATACTTCTGAAACAGTCTTCTGTTAGAAATCAGTCTGAAATAATTACGGATAAAAGATCTGATGTCTGGGATTTACTTTAAAATAGTGCAGGACAAAAACTTAGAGGTGTGGGCAGGGCAGGGAAGAAGATTGGCAAAGTGTTGATAACTAGTGACACAGTGATGGATACTGAGGGCTCTACTTTTTGTGTATGCTTGAAAACACCCACTAACAAGTCTTTAAACAACTCAACAACAATAAAACACAAATAACCTGATTCAAAAATGGGCAAAGGACTTGAACAAACATTTCTCCAAAGACATACAAATGGCCAATAAGCACATGAAAAGATACTTGACATCTCCAATCATTAGGAAAACGCAGTATCAGAACCCTGATGAAATATCATCTGACAAACACCAGAACAGCTACTATTGAACAACAACAAAAAAGAGGCCGGGCATGGTGGCTTGTGTCTGTAATCCCAGCACTTTGGGAGGCTGAGGCAGGAGGATCTCCTGAAGGCAGTAGTCCAAGACCATCCTGGGCAATGTAGCAAGACCTTGTCTCTACGAAAAAATATTTTTTAAATTAGCTGGGTGTGGCAATGTGCATCTATAGTTCTATCTACTTAGGAGGCAATGTGGGAGGATTGCTTAAGCTCAGGAATTTGAACGCTGCAGTGAGCTATGATCACACTACTGCATTCCAGCCTGGGTGATGGAGGAGGAGGGGAAGGGGAAGGGGGAGGGAGTAAGAGGGGGAGGAAGAGGAAGAGAAGAACAGTGTGTGTGAGGATGTGGAAAAACTGCTGGAACTCTGGTACACTGCTGGGAATGTAAAACGGTGCTGCCACTGTGGAAAACAATATGGCAGTTCCTCAAACACTGAAAAATAGAATTACCATATGACCCAGCAATCCACTTCTGCTTACATACCCAAAAGAACACAAAACAGGGTCTTGGAGAGATATTTGCACACCTGCGTTCGTAGCAACATAAATCAGGCCTGGCGTGGTGGCTCATGCCTGTAATCCCAGCACTTTGGGAGGCTGAGGTGGGTGGGTCACTTGAGCCCAGGTGTTCAAGACCAACCTGAGCAACAGGTGAAATCTTGTCTCTACAAAAAATAGAAAAATTAGCCAGATATGGTGGCATGTGCCTAGAGGCACAGCTACTCAGGAGGCTGAGGTGGGAGGACTGCTTGAGCCCAGGAGGTTAAGGCTACAGTGAGCCATGATCACATTACTGCACTCTAGCCTGGGCAAAAGAGCGACATGCTGTCTCAAAAACAAACAAACAGACAACAGAAACATAGCAGCATAAATCACAACAGCCAAAAGGTGGAAGTGTCTATCAACAGATACATGGATAAGAAAAATGCTGCATATACATACAATGGAATTTTATTTTATTTAGTCTTTTTTTTGGGGGGAGGGAGGAGATGCAGTCTCACTCTGTCACCCAGGCTGGAGTGCCATGGCGCAATCTCGGCACACTGCAATCTCTGCCTCCTGGGTTCAAGTGATTCTCCTGCCTCAGCCTCCTGGGTAGCTGGGATTACAGGCTCCCGCCACCATGCCCGGCTTATTTATTTATTTTTGCGATGGAGTCTCACTCTGTTGCCCAGGATGGAATGCAGTGGTGTGATCTCGGCTCACTGCAACCTCCGCCCCCTGGGTTCAAGCGACTCTCCCGCCTCAGCTTCCCAAGTAGCTGGGATTACAGGTGCCTGCCACTGCACCTGGCTATTTTTGTATTTTTAGTAGAGATGGGGTTTCACCATGTTGGCCAGGCTGGTGTCAAACTCCTGACCTCAGGTGATCCACCCACCTCGGCCTCCCAAAGTGCTGGGATTACAGGTGTGAGCCACTGCATCTGGCCTGGAATTTTATTTAGTCTTGATCTGACACATGCAACAACACAGATGAACTCTGAGGGCCATTAGGGTAAGTGAAATAAGCCAGTCAAATACTGACGATTTCACTTATATGAGGTAGAACAGTCAAATTCCTAGAGACAGACAGTGGAATGGTGGTTGCCAAGAGCCTGGGGGAGAGGGAAAGAGGGAATTGTCCAATGGGGATAGAGTGTTTTAGGAGAGGAAAAAGTTCTGGAGATTGGTTATACAACACTTAACATTAGTGAATTGTACACTTAATGATCAAAATTGTACACTTAAAAATGATCAAAATGGTAGATTTTATGTGTATTTTGCCACAGGTAAAAATAATTTTAATAGGCCAGGCACGGTGGCTCACGCCTGTAATCCCAGCACTTTGGGAGGCCGAGGTGGGCGGATCACTTGCAGTCAGACCTCAAGTGATTTTGAATTCAAGTTCAAGACCAGCCTGGCCAACATGGTGAAACCCCGTCTCTACGAAAATTACAAAAATTAGCCAGGCCTGGTGGCGTGTCCCTGTAATCCCAGCTACTCGGGAGGCTGAGGCAGAAGAATTACTTGAACCTGGGAGGTGGAAGTTGCAGTGAGTCGAGATCACGCCACTGCACTACAACCTGGGCGACAGAGCAAGACTCCATCTCAAAAAAAAATTTTTTTTGTTTTAAGTTTTAAAAAATAAAAGCTTTCTCAGTGGTTGTGGGTGAGGATTATCTGATGAGGGACCCTCTAAATGTGCCCCACTTCTCCGGTTTCCGGGTGCCACTTATTCCCAGCATCTGCTCTTACCCTCTTAGATGGTAATCCACTCTCTATTTAGACCTGGGCTCAAGGCTACCCATAATAAAGACCTCCTTTTCCAGCCTTATTTGCAGCCAGGGGTGGCCACATGATCAAATGCTGGCCAGTTTGTCCTTAGCAGCTGCCAGAAACTGAGACTGTAAATGTTTATTTCAAGCTGCTAAATTTGGGGATAGTTTGTTATATAGCATTAGATAACTAAGACACATCTCATGCATATCCCATCTTCACAATGTTTTCCATATCTGTGATATTACTTATTTCATATTTTTCTTAAAACTAACCAATTTTAACTATTAAACAAAGATACTTAAAAGAGAAACTTTACATCACAATTGAAAATGGAAAATCAGTATCAATTCCATAAACAAAAGCTAACCATAAAAACATCAGATGCCATTACCTACTGAGGGTTATGAGCCTGAGGCCTGCTCTCTTTCTTTTCTTTTCTTTCTTTTTTTTTGAGACACGGTCTCATTCTGTTGCCCAGGCTAAAGTGCAGAGGCACGATCATGGCTCACTGTAGCCCTGAACTGCTAGGCCCAAGTGATCCTCCCACCTCAGCCTCCCGAGTACCTGGGACCACAGGCATGTGCCACCACACCTGGCTAATTTAAAATTTCTTTTTGTAGAGACAGAGGTCTCACTATGTTGTCCAGACTGGTCTTGAACTCCTGGGCTGAAGTGATCTCCCACGTTGGCCTCCCAAAGTGCTGCGATTATAGGCATGAGGCACCACACCCCACCCCTGCTCTCTCTTTGTTGAAAAGATAGACTAGTGAGTGCTAGAGAATTAGGGACAAAATTCCTACAGGAGAGAGGGTAAACATAGGCACATCCACACAAAAGAATACGATGCAGCTATAAAACAGAATGTAGAGGTACTCTGTGAACTGACATGCTATTGTCAGGCACACATTATGTGAAAAAAAGCAAGGTTCTAAATAGACTATCTCAGCTTTTAGTCATTGTGGTAGCCCCCAAAAGCTATCCATGTCCTAATTCCTGGAAACTGTGACTATTACTTTATTTATTTATTTATTTATTTAATTTATTTTTTTGAGATGGAGTCTCGCTCTGTCACCCAGGCTGGAGTGCAGCGGCGCAATCTCGGCTCACTGCAAGCTCCGCCTGCCAGGTTCACACCATTCTCCTGCCTCAGCCTCCCGAGTAGCTGGGACTACAGGCGCCCGCCACCACGTCCGGCTAATTTTTTTGTATATTTATTTATTTATTTATTTAGAGACAGGGTTTTGCTCTGTCACCCAGGTTGGAGTGCTGTGGTGTGATCTCGGCTCCCTGCAGCATCAAACTCCCCAAGCTCAGGCAATCCTCCCACGTCAGCCTCCCAAGTAGCTGGGACTACAGGCATGTGCCACATGCCCAGCTAATTTTTATATTTCTTGTAGAGATGGGGTTTTGCCTTGTTGCCCAGGCTGGTCTCAAACTCCTGGGCTCAAGCAATCCTCCCACCTCGGCCTCCCAATGTGCTGAAATTACAGGCGTGAACCACTGTGCCAGGCCTGAATATTACCTTATATGACAAAAGATGTGATTAAGTTAAGGATCTTGAGATGGGGAGATTATCCTGGGTCATCCGGGTTGGCCCTAAATGCCACTACAAGTATCCTTTTAATAAGAGGGAGGAGAATATATTACCACAGAAAAGAAGAGAGGGCAATGCAACCATGGAGGCAGAGACTGGAGAGATGTGGCCACAAGCCAAGCACTGCCTGCAGCCACCAGGAACCGGAACAGGCAAAGAAGAGATTCTCCCCCAGAACCTCCAGAGGAGTACAGCCCTGCCGACACCTTGGTTTTGGCCCAGGAAAGCCGATTTGGACTCCTGGCCTCTAGAACTGTTAGAAAATAATTTGTCTTGTTTTAAGCCACCAAGTTTGTTAGAGCAGCATGGGAAACTAATAGTGTAATAAAGGGAGAAATAAGAATGTCTTTCACATTTGCTGGTATTTATATAAAGAAACTATGGTAATGTGGTTTGGCTCTGTGTCCCCACCCAAATCTCATCTTGAACTGTAATCCCCATGTGTCAAGGGAGGGACATGATGGGAGGTGACTGGATCATGGGGGATGTTTCCCCCATGCTGTTCCCATGATAGTGAGTGAGTTCTCATGAGATCTGATGGTTTAAAAGTGGCAGTTCCCCTCTTGCTCTCTCTCTCTCCTGCCCCCATGTAAGATGTTTGCTTTCCCTTCGCCTTGCACCATGATTGTAAGTTTCCTGAGGCCTCCCCAGCCATTCAGAATTGTAAGTCCATTAAACCTCTTTCCTTTATGAATTACTCAGTCTCAGGTAGTTGTTTATAGTAGTGTGAGAACAGACTAAGACACATAGGAAGGACACACAAGAAACTAAAGAGGCTACCAGTGGGGAGGAGGTGGATGGGATGAACGGAGATGGGGAGAGCCAAGACTTCTCAGACAAAGGAAGATGGAGGTGGAGGGGGCAGGTAGCTGGTGAAAGAGCACAGAAAGGCTGACTCAGAGAACAGCAGTGGCACCCAGAGAGCAGAACCCCAGGGCACACAGCCAGGGAGTCTGGCTGCTGCAGTCAGCCTCCCTCTAAGATCCCAATGTTCTCAGCAGCCCCATTCTTCCGGGACACAAACACAAGATCTATTGCAACAGCATTCCCCATTCTTATTGCCACCATCTCCCAGGCAGAATCTGCCAATGGACTACTCGTATCTACTCTCTGCCTTTTCCTTACTAACAGAACTCCAACTTTCTTTGAGGCCACAATGTGTCCTGCTAAAAGACTATGTTTCCCAGGATCCTTTGCAGCTGGCTGGGGCGTGTGACTACCTTCTGGCCAAGGAATGCTTTAGTGTTGTGTGGGATCTCTGGGATGGTGCCTTAAATGGAAGGGACGATCAACAGGATTCAGCAGCTCAAAGAGCAAAGGAAAAAAGTCAATATCCTAAGAAAGGTCTCCTTAATTGGTCTTACTCTCTCTTGTTCCTCTGGATAGCAGCATTTGTAATGGGCAATGTTGCTTTCTAAAAAACTACCTTAAGCAGACAACAAGTGTTCCCCTTTGTATGCAGTCAAATGCTCTACCACTGAGCTATACCCCCATGTTCCCCTTTGTATAAACTATTTTAGTCTTGCTGGTCATCTTGTCCAGAGCATGGGGTGGCATATACTGCTAGAAGTCCTTTTTTTCTTTCTTACTAATGTAACTCAAAATTTCTTCAGGCTGATTAAATGCCCAGTTTTTAAAGACCACAATTCCCAGCCTCTTTTCCAGTTGGGGTGACCAATGATGAAAAGGTGCCATTGAACGGGGTTTCTGGGAAGGCCTTATAAAGGGAGATGATTCAGTTTAGACCTGAACGCTTTTTGCTCTTCCTCCCTTCCCTTTTCCTCCTATAAGGAATGGTGGCAGTGGTGGCTGGGGCACTGGCAGCCACCTTGGATGGAAGCCACAGGCCAAGGATGGAAGCCACAGGCTAAGGATGACAGAGCAGAAAGAGGCCGGGCATGGTGGCTCACACCTGTAATCCCAGCACTTTGGTGGCCAAGGTGGGAGGATCATTTAAGGCCAGGTGTTTGAGACTAGCCTGGCCAACATGGCAAAACCCTGTCTCTACTAAAAATACAAAAATTAGCTGGGTATGGTGACATGCGCCTGTAATTCTATAATTCCAGCTACTTGGGTGGCTGAGGCATGAGAATCCCTAGAACCCAGGAGGTGGAAGTTGCAGTGAGCTGAGACTGTGCCACTGCATTCCAGCTTGGGTGACAGAATGAGACTTTCAAAAAAAAAAAAAAAGAAAGAAAAATAGTGATAGGACCCCTCATTTCTCATGACTGTGGAGCTACTATCCCAGTGCTGGTTTGCCAACCTCTGTACTTTCTGTATATGAGGGAAAATAAACCCTGTAATAGAATGTCTGCTGTCTCTCTCCACATGAGGATTACACATGCCCACTCCATTGACTTGAGGCTTGCTATATACTTGCTCCAGCCAAAAGAATGCCAGTGAAAGTGACACAGGCCACTTCTAAATATGAAATTGACCAAGAGCCACTGGGTGATTCACTCCACTTTCTTTTTTCCTCCTCCTGCAAGACCAGCAATACTCCAAATAGGGATAGTTTATTCAGCCTGAGACCCCAATTAAGATACTGTAGAGTAGGACCACAAATGACCTGCAAAGGACATAGTGTGAGCAAGAAATACACCTTTGGGCCACGTGTGGTGATTCATGCCTGTAATCCCAGCACTTTGGGAGGCTAAAGCAGGAGGACTGATTGAGCCCAGGAGTTCCAGCCTGGGCAACATAGTGGGACTTCATTTCTTTTTTTTTTTTTTTAGACGAAGTTTCACCCTTGTTGCCTAGGCTGGAGTGCAGTGGCGCGATCTTGGCTGACTGCAACCTCCGCCTCCCAGGTTCAAGCGATTCTCCCATCTCAGCCTCCTGAGTAGCTGGGATTACAGGCGTGTGCCACCACGCCTGGCAATTTTTGTATTTTTAGTAGAAATGGGGCTTCACCATGTTGGCCAGGCTGGTCTCAAACTCCTGACCTCAGGTGATCCACTTGCCTCAACCTTCCAAAGTGCTGGGATTACAGGTGTGAGCCACCGCGCCCAGCCCAATGGGACTTCATTTCTACAAAAATTAGAAAAATTTGCCTGACAAGGTGGTGTCTGCCTATAGTCGCAGCTACTCAGGAGGTTGAGGCGGGAGGACTGCTTGAGCCCAGGAGTTTGAGGCTGCAGTGAACCATGATGGTGCTGCACTCTAGCCCAGGTGATAAAGACCCCTTCTTTAAAAAAAAAAAAAAACAAAAAAACAAAAAACACCTTTGTTGTAGTAAGCCACTGAGATTTGAGAAGTTTGTTTGTGCAGCATAACTTAACCACACTGATTCCTATAGACCCCATAATTTGTTTAAGCAACTCTTATTGCAGGACTTTGTTACTACCAAGCAGATACAATTCTAAGTGATAGGTCCCCCATAAGAGATGACCCCATTGCCACTGTCCCTGAAAGGGCCTAAGACAGAGCTAATGAAAGCTAGCCAGGCATGGTGGCACATGCCTGTAGTCCCAGCTACTCAGGAGGCTGAGATGGAGCTGGTCCGAGTGTTGTGGGTTATTGTTAAGCTGATTTAACATTGTCTCCCCACACAACCATGCTTGACTAGCATAAAAATAAAAAAGAAAAATGAAAAAAACAAAAAAAAAGGAGGCTGAGATGGGAGGACTGCTTGAGCCTGGGAGGCTGAAGCTGCATTGAGCCATGATCGCACCACAGTACTCCAGCCTGGGTGACAAAGCAAGATCATGTTTCAAAAAAAAAAAAGAGAGAGTGAACTAATGAGTGTTCCCATTGGCTGCCAAGCAGGATTTCAAGTTATTTCCTGGCAGCCACTTCCCTCAATGTGTCTCATCTTATCTCTCACCTGGCATCCATGCCCTCTCCTAAGCCTCTTTTGGAAACTGCTTCTCATCTAACTCTTAACTAAGTGGCTTCTGCAAGACTGACTCAGGGGTAGGCCCTGAGGTGGAAATGGGCTAGTCACTAGCGGGTGCCAATGAAGACATGAAGTGATTTTTATACAGTCATCTGGCTGCTATATACAGTCGTCATCATTTTCCTCCTTATTATACATACAAAGCACTTAGAACAGTGCCTGGCATAAGGTAAATACTAAGTAACTATTGTTGTTGTTATGAGAGAGGTAAGAGTGGAAACGGGCCAGGCACGGTTGCTCACGCCTGTAATCCCAGTACTTTGGGAGGCCAAGGTGGGTGGATCACCTGTGGTCAGGAGTTCAAGACCCACCTGGCCAACATGGTGAAACTCCATCTCTACTAAAAATACAAAGAATTGGCTGGGTGTGGTGGTGTGCACCTGTGGTCCCAGCTACTCAGGAGGCTGAGGTAGGAGAATCACTTGAACCTGGGAGGCAGAGGTTGCAGTGAGCCGAGATCATACCACTGCACTCCAGCCTGGGCGGCAGAGCAAGACCCTGTCTCAAAAAAAAAAAAAAAAAAAAGATGATGGCAGCCTGGACTACATGATGACAGTGGATGTGATGAGAAGTAGTCTGGGAATGTGTTTTCCTTATTTCTTATTTATTTATTTTGAGACAAGGTCTCACACGGTTGCCCAGGCTAGAGTACAGTGGCACAATCACAGCTCACTGCAGCCTCGGCTCCTGGGATCCAGTGATTCTCTCACCTCACTGTCTCATGTAGCTGGAACTACAGGTGTGTACCACCACGTCCAGCTAATTTTTTACATTTTGTAGAGATGGGGTTTTGCCACGTTGCCCAGGCTGGTCTCAAATTGCTGGGCTCAAGCGATCCTCCTGCCTCGACTTCCCAAAGTGCTGGGATTACAGGTGTGAGCCACCACGCCCAGCCTATCTTTCCTTATTTGTTAATGATTTATTTAGGAATTTCTCATTTGTGTTTATAACTGTCTTGTCAAGGTGTTAGAGATTTTGTTGTGGTTGTTGCAGGATGGAGAAATGTCTTGAGGGTAGAGCCAAAGGGTGGGTTAATGGACTAGCGGTGAATGAAAAGGAAGGATCATGGGTAACTCCCAGGTCACGTACTCAGTTCCTCAATGTTTGATCCCTCACCTATCCATGAGCTCTGTCATGGCAGAAACAAGATCTGTCAGGATTCTTTGTGTCCAGCAGGGGCTTACTTGCTTCTCCAAGAAATACTCAAAAAGTTGCTGAATTAATCAATGTTGCCAGAGTCATACACAGGCTTAAAGTCCCTTTGGCCCTACACCAGGGTCCCTCAAAGGATCCGTGACACATGGACTGCTGGCTTTCCTGGAGAGCCCATCTGAAAGGCATTCACCAAATCCACCCAACGAATCTTTACTAAGAACCTACTATGTGCCAGGCAATATTCTAGAGGTTGGAGACACAAACAGGAGGAAAGAAGAAAGACAAAGAAAGACAAAACCTCTGGCTTGATTGAACTGATATTCTAGTGGGGGAGATAATGAATGAATACATCGAAAACGCAATATGCAGACAGTGATGTGTTAAAGAGAAAAATAAAGCAGGAGACAGAGAGAATCGTGTGTGTGTTTGGGTGTCAGTTACAGTTTTCCATAGGGTGGTAGTCATAAAGGCAAGAACTTTGAAATCAGAGGGAATCACACAGGCAAAGTCCCCAGGGCAGCAACATGCCTGCCACACTACAGGAACATGAAGTAGGCCAGTGTCACTGGTGTGAAGGGCAGGAGGAAAGAGATGAGGTCACACTGGTATCAGGGAACCAGCTCTGTAGGACTTTGCAGGCCTGCTTTCTACCTGTTCCAGCCTCACTTTATTTTTTATAGTGAGGTGGGAGTCACGGAAGGGATCTGGGCAGAGGAGGGCGCTGATCTGACTCAGGTGTTCACAGGCTCCCTCTGGCTGCAAGCAGGGAACAGACTGGGGGTGACGGTGGGAGCAGGGAGACCAATGAAGAGGCTGCTAAAATAGTCCAGTCTGGAGGTGATAATTGCCAGGAGCAGGATGCAGGAAGAGGAGAGGGTTAGAAGTGATCAAATTCTGGACAGTTTGTAAAGGGAGAGCCAACTGGATTTGCTGAGGGACTGGATGAGGAATGTGTCCTAGCCCACTTAGGCTAAGACCACCAGGGACAAACCTGTAGTCCAGCACTGTCAGATTTATTTACAATGGCAATGGGAGAGTCTGCACACTAGAGATACCATAGGCCAGGGGTCCCCAACTCCCAGGCTACAGACGGGTACCAGTCTATGGCCTGTTAGGAATAGGGCCACACAGCAGGAGGTGAGTGGCAGGCAGGTGAGCGAGTGAGAGAAGCTTCATCTGTATTTACAGCCACTCCCCACTGCTCGCATTACCACCTGAGTTCCGCCTCCTGTCAGAGCAGCAGCAGCATTAGATTCTCACAAGAGTGTGAATCCTATTCTGAACTGTGCATGTGAGAGATCTAGGTTGCCCTCCATTTTTTTTTTGTTTGTTTGTTTTTTGGGTTTTTTGGTTTTTTTTTTAGATGAAGTCTCACTCTGTCGCCAGGCTGGAGTGCAGTGGCGCAATCTCGGCTCACTGCAACCTCTGCCTCCTGGGTTCAAGTGATCCTCCTGCCTCAGCCTCCCAAGTAGCTGGGATTACAGGCATGTGCCACCACACCTAGCTAATTTTTGTATTTTTAGTAGAGACAAGGTTTCGCCATGTTGGCCAGGATGGTCTCGATCTCCTGACCTCGTGATCTGCCCGCCTTGGCCTCCCAAAGTGCTGGGATTACAGGCATGAGCCACTGTGCCTGGCCAGTTGCCCGCTTTTTATGAGAATCTAATGCCTGATGATCTGAAGCGTTTCATCCCAAAACCATTCCCCCAACCCTATCCCATCCGTGGAAAAACTGTCTTCCACAAAACCAGTCCCTGGTGCCATAAGGGTTGGGGACCACTGCCATAGGCCCTATGGGCCTTTGTTTTGTGAGGGAGTCTCAACAAACAGAGTTATTTTTTAGGTGAAATGTAAACTAAGCAGTGTTCAGATTGCCTCAAAGCAAATCAGAACTGTGTGTAAAGGGATCAATATCAGGTCCGGATGGTGAAGTGGGCCCAGGGTTTGTCTTCTCAGATGCAATAAAGTTTACATAGATGTAGAATATTGTGTCCTTATCTGAAGCTCCAAACCTGGATTGTAAATAGGGACTGCTTTTCTGTGTCAAAGTGACTTAGCTCCTCCAAGCAAAAGTGAGATGTTTCATTCTTACTTGATGTGATTTCAAACAGCAAAGTTTGTGATCATCTCTGACTTTAGACAACCAAAGTTTCCTACTAAGAAAGCAGTAGACACTCAAAGGATGGGAATTCTGCCACTTTACATCTGCAGTATGTCCAAGAGAAATATTTTTTCCTGGCTGGGTGCAGTGGCTCACGCCTGTAATCCAAGCACTTTGGGAGGCCGAGGCAGGAGGACTGCTTGTGCCCAGGAGTTTGAGACTAGACTGGACAACATAGGGTGATCCCATCTCTCTCTTTAAAAACAAAATTTTTTTTTTTGAGACGGAGTCTCACTCTTGTTGCCCACGCTGGATTGCAGTGGCCTCATCTTGGCTCACTGCAACCTCTGCCTTCTGGATTCATGCGATTCTCCTGCCTCAGCCCACGGAGTAGCTGGAATTACACGCATGAGCCACCACGCCCATCTAATTTTTGTATTTTTAGTAGACACGGGGTTTCACCATGTTGGCCAGGCTGGTCTCGAACTCCTGACCTCAGGTGATCTGCCCGCCTCGGCCTCCCAAAGTGCTGGGATTACAGGCGTGAGCCACCAAGCCTGGCAAAAAAAAAAAAAAAAAAAAAAAAAAAAAAAAATTTAAATTATCCAGGCATGGTGGCGCGTGCCTCTGGTCCCAGCTACTTGGTAGGGTGAGGTGGGAGGATCACTTGAGCCCGGGAGGTCGAGGTTGCAGTGAGCTGTGATCGTTCCACTGCATTCCAGCCTGGGCGACAAAGCGATCTTGTCTCAAAAAAAAAAAAAAAAAAAAGCAAAGAAATGTTTTTTCCTAGTAATTCTTCCACCAACTGGCTTATGTCAGCCAGATAAATAAGGAGACAGATCTTTTACAGTCGAAGCTAATTCTGACTTTCCCAAGTATGACGAAAGAGGTAAGGATGACATTTTTTAAACCTAAGCAACAAGAAGAATGAAGCACGCTACTAAGATAAGACAGACTGGAAGGTTTTGGGGAGACACGATCGCAAGCTCAGTTTCGGATGCTCTGAGTTTCAGATGGCTCAAATGCGTGGGGAGGGCAAGTGGGCATCTGCAGGCTCTCTAACAGCCTGCACCGACTTCACTTCTTACATCCCTTTCACTCTTCGGCTCGCTTCGCTCGCTATCTGTAGTCAATCGTCTACTCCTGTTTCCCACGCCTGCACCTTTGTATGTGCAATGGACACTGCCAGGAAGGCCATCTCCTCATGGTTTAACCCCACTTCCTAACACCCTCAAGCAAGACCAGAAGCCCCGCACAGCAGCACTAATGCTCGGGCCCCACCCCTCTCAGGGTCCCGCCTCCCTCAAGCCCCGCCCCGCGCTGCGCTCACTTGTAGAAGCTCACAGGGCGGTTGTCTGCACCCAGGCGGCCCGCAGTGTTGGAGCAGTTCGGCGCCCTGCAGTACTTGGGCATGGCTATCCAGCCCCCGCTGAGTTTTGCCGGGTCAGCGGCTGCACTTTGGTTCTCGCGGAGCGCCGCCTAACCCCGCCCCACCCGCGCTCGCCGCCTGCCTCACGTGACGTCCGTGGAGTCTCGTCACGTACCGGGGAGAGAGCTGAGAGCGCCTGCCTACTAGGCGCCCCTCCACAGTGCCACAGTCCCGCCCTCGTCACGTGACGAATGGGCCATAGCGAGTACTGTGCACCTGCGCAAAGCCGGCCCTTCGTCACCCCGACTTTCATCACGTGTTGGGGGGAAGGGCGGCGTCACGGCGTTTCTGAGCCTGCGCCAACCAAATCAACTGGCTAGTCAATCTCTTACGGCTCCACCCTACGCCTACATCCGGGCAACCGTTGGGGCGCACATAGTTCCTCTAGGTGGCGGCAAAAACCGAGGTGAGGCGGCCGTGGCCTTAGCCTCGTAAAAATTAAAACCTGTATGTTTCAGCGAATAATGAAAACGCAGTCTGGATGAAAGACCCCATGACGCTTAATCAGGCATCCAGTACACTGGCTGTGGCCCCGCCCCGCCAGGCACTCGCTCCGCCTCTTCGCCCCCATTGGTTCTAAGCGCCGCCCGGCATCCCTGCGATTGGCTAGGCCGGGCCCGTCGCGTCCAATAGGCGGTGGCGCCGGCTTTCCCGCGGCTGTTCGCTGTTCCAGTGGGTCGTGGCGGTGGCGGCAGCGGCGGTTAGGGGATGTAACGGTCGCCCGCCTCCGGCGTGACGATGGCGGCCGTAGGGTCCGGAGGCTATGCGCGGAACGATGCAGGGGAGAAGCTGCCCTCTGTCATGGCGGGAGTTCCGGCGCGGAGGGGCCAGTCCTCCCCGCCCCCCGCCCCACCAATCTGCCTACGGCGGCGGACGCGACTCTCGACGGCCTCCGAGGAGACGGTGCAGAACCGGGTGAGAAGCTGCTCGCCATGTCTACCCCAGTTCCAGGCTTCCTAGGTTTCCCCTAGTCCCGTCCTGAGAACTGTGGCCCCGACATCAGCCCCCGGCCAGTCCCCTCAGGTTGTTCCCTGCCATGCCTCGTCCCCTAACCCCCGCCCCTTTAGCCACGGCCCCTCCCACTTTCTCCTCGCTGCTTTCCCGGCTCCACCCTCAGCGTTGGAGCAATTCGGGGGTTCCTCGCTGGTTCCCACCCGTGGAAATGCATTTTGCTTCTGTAAATCACAGCCTAGTCCTGCTATATTTTAACCCCCGTTCTATCGCCTTTAGACGTCACGATCATAGCTCACTGCAGCCTCACTGCCCTGGCCCCCGCTGAGTCATTAAGGTCCCTTCGAGGGTTCGGTCCAGAGTGTTACCTGCCCCAACTCTTCCTCGCTTCTACCCCGCCTTCTCTCACCTTCTGCGATCTCTATCCTTTTTCCTCACCAAGGTGGGATTCTTAATCCATATTGTCACTCAAAACTATGAGAAAGACGTGAGAAGTTATTTATAAAATCTCTGCAGTGCTGCCTGGGGAGGAGGGCGTACAGAACAGTTCCCTAAATCCTGAGACAGAAAAATGGAAAGAAATGATTTCACAGTAGGTAGAAGGAATTCCATTAGCACAGCGGCAATTAAAAAAATTGTTTTCCAGCTGTGTAGGCACAAAATCTGTTTTTATAAAATGGAGATGATAAGAACCATACTACTGGTAGGGCGCGGTAGCTCACGTCTGTAATCCCAGCACTTTGGGAGGCCAAGGTGGGCTGTTCACCTGAGATCAGTTCAAGACCAGCCTGGCCAACATGGTGAAACCCGTCTCTACAAAAAGTAGAAAAATTAGCCCGGCATGCTAGCGCGCGCCTGTAATCCCAGCTACTCAGGAGGCTGAGGCGGGAGAAATCGCTTGAACCTGGGAGGCGGAGGTTGCAGTGAGCTGAGGTCATGCCACTGCACTCCAGCCTGGGCGACAGAGTGAGACTCTGTCTCAAAATAAATAAATAAATAAATTATACTATTGCATTGGAGGGAAATGAAATTTTAATTGTGATCTTCTTGGCACGGAGTCCAGATAAAGGGAGGATACCTGGTAGCTGCTGGTGGAGCTTGTTCCTGCCCCATGACTTTCTCCTGCACTGTGATTATACCGCCCACTCCTGGCTACAGGGCTCTGGCTGTACCTCCCATGTGCTCTCTGTCACCAAGGTTCAGTCACACTGGCCTGCTTTTGGTTTTCCTGAGGCTCCATATTCTTTTCTGCCTCCTGGCCTTTGTGATTGGTGAGTCCTCAGCCTGGGCTTTTTGCTGCAATCTGCCTGTCTGGCTCCTTCCCATCCTTCAAGTCTCAGCCTGAATGTCGCTATCTTGAAAGGCCTTCTCGAACCCCATTCTAAAGCAAACAGCCACCTTCATCTGTCACCCAGCACCCTATACTTCATAGCCTTTATCTTATATGTTCCTGAAAGTGCCCTTTGAGCTATTAAACTACATATAACAATAGCAAATTCAGAGAGGCGTTATAGCAAAGTGGCTAAGAGCACAGACTGCTGCTGATGGTATGGTTGGACCCAGGCAGCCTGAGCTTAAACTTTAGTCCTGTTCTTCCTGGCAGGTTATGAACTTCGCTTTTTCTTTTCTTTTTTTTTTTTTTTGAGATGGGGTCTTACTCTGTCATCCAGGCTGTAGTGCACTGGGTTGATCTCGGCTCACTGCAGTCTCAGCCTCCCTGGGCTCAGGTGATCTTCCTGCCTCAAGCCTCCTGAGTAGCTGGGACTGCAGGCGCATGCCACCATACCTGACTAATTTTTTTGTGTTTTCTGGTAGAGACAGGGTCTCGCCGTGTTGGCCAGGCTGGTCTTGAATTACTGAGCTCAAGCGATCTGCCTGCCTCGGCCTCCCAAAGTGCTAGGATTACAGGCGTGAGCTACTGTGCCCCGCCAAGTTATGAACTTATCTGTGCCTCAGTTTTCTTATCTGTAAAATGAGAATAATGATGTAGAAATCTCTCATAGGGTATTTGTGAGGATTCAATGAGGTTACATATCCTAGGCACTTAGAACAACACTGGCATATGGCAAGTACTCTATTCATGTTAGCTAATACTGATATTATGACTGTGTATTTGGGGTAATATTTATTTATTTTTTTTGTTTGGCAGCACAGAGTTGATCTGTCTTGCAAAGACCTAGTCTAAAAGTGACCATTCATACCAGGGCCCAGTAATGCTGATCGACAGATAAGACAACATGAGTGCCATGGCTTGGTTGTTTGTGTTGGAATCCTGGCACTACCCCTTCCTGGATGGGTAACCCCTCTTGGCCTCTGTTTCCTCAACTGTTTTGTTCCTTTTTTTTTTTGAGACAGAGTCTCACTCTGTCGCCCAGGATGGAGTGCAATGGTGCCATCTCAGCTCACTGCAACCTCCGCCTCCTGGGTTCAAGCGATTTTACTGCCTCAGCCTCCTGAGTGCCTGGGATTATAGGCATGGGCCACCACACCTGACTAATTTTTTTGTATTTTTAGTAGAGACAGGGTTTCGCCATCTTGGCCAGGATGGTCTCAAACTCTTGACTGAGCCACCACACCCAGCCTTGTTTAAATTTTAAATATTACTGTTCATGTGGTTTTTTACTCGTTGAAACCGCTCAAATTTCTGGACTGTGAATCTGATGTGGGGAAACTGTCTACCTTTGGTCACTACTGTGTCTCTCCTGTACAGCCCAAAGTGCTAGCTTTGGAGCCAGACTGCCTGGGTTTGTATATCAACATTGCCACTTGCAGATGTAGGATCTTGGGCCTCAGACTTCTTACCTGTAAAACAGGGGTGATAATAGAGCCTTCTTCGTGGCTTGTTGGGAGGATTCAAGTCTTTTATACATATAAAAGTACTAAGAGGCCGGGCACAGTGGCTCATGCCTGTAATCCTAGCACTTTGGGAGGCCGAGGCGGGTGTATCACCTGAGGTCAGGAGTTCGAGGCCAGCCTGGCCAACATGGTGAAACCCCATCTCTACTAAAAATACAAAAATTAGCCGGACATGGTGGCATGTGCCTGTAATCCTAGCTACTCAGGAGGCTGAGGCAGGAGAATTGCTTGAACCTGGAAGGCGGAGGTTGCAATGAGCCAAGATCTCACCACTGACTCCAGCCTGGGTGACAGAGCAAGACTCCATCTCAAAAACAAACAAAAAAAAGTACTTAGAAACTTATTCACAGGTCACCTTCTCACCGCGGCATTCGCCCCCTTCCCCTGTGCTCCTAACCTCCTTATCTGCTTTCTTCTCTCTTGCACCCATCATTACTTGGCATCTATTTCACATATTTGTTCTGCTCCTTTTCTATGTTCTACATACCCATCACCAGTAGAATGTGAGCCCCCCGAGGGCAGGGATTTGTCTCTTCCTCACCACTCTGTGCTTTTCACCTAGCGTTGTATTTGTCAAAGGAATGTTGAGAGAACAAGTGTTAGCTGCTGGTGGATGGCGTGGCCACAGAAGCTCAGTGTGGGTGTTGAATGTAGCAGGACCTGAATGGGTGGCCAAGGCGGCTGCACCATGTGGTGCTGGCTAGGGTGGGTGCCTCTGACTTGGGCTTTTTCTTTGCAGGTGTCACTCGAGAAGGTGCTTGGCATCACAGCCCAGAACAGCAGTGGCCTAACCTGTGACCCCGGCACAGGCCATGTGGCCTACCTGGCAGGGTAAGCAGATAAGGGCCTCGACGTCTAATCATTGCTAGGGAATTTGGAGCTTGGAACCTGAAGCCATCCGTAAATCGCTCTGAGCCTCATATTTTTCACCTGTAGAATGTGGAGAATGGGGCCTGCCTCTGAGAGCTGTGGAGAGGATTCCATAGCCCCCTCTCTGTCTAGAACAGTTCCTGGCATGTAGTGAGTGCAATGAAAGCCTTTATTATGACTACAGGGGGGAGGTGACAGCGATTCTGGGAAAGACAGGTGATTAAAGTCCACGCTGTGGTGTCAGGTAACCTGGATTTGTGTCCCAGCTCTGCCATGTATGCTGCTCTCTGAGCCTCTTCCTCTGCCTCTGTAAAACAGAGCTGGTGACCCCCTCTGCTTGCATAGTTGAGAAGACTGAAGAAGATGCTACAGCTGTTCATTCCATAAATACTCATGTAGCCTGGCACTGTGCTAAGGACGTCCCCTCTCTGGGTTTGTTTCCTTATCTATAAATGGGCCTAAATAGTCGTGACCTGACCTGGCAGTTGTGAGGATTTAAAACAATTACATCCCTCTTTCTCTCTTTTTGTTTTGTTTTGCTTTTTTGAGACAGAGTCTGGCTGTGTTGCCCAGGCTAGAATGCAATAGTGTGAATAACAGCTCACTACAGCCCCAACCTCCTGTGCTCAAGCGATCCTCCCATCTTCACCTCCCATGTAGCTGGGACTACAGGCACATGCCACCACAGCCAGCTAATTTTTTTTAGTGGAGATGAGATCTCACTCTGTCGCCCAGGCTGGTCTAAAACTCCTGAGCTCAAGTGATCCCTCCTGCCCCATACTCCCAAAGTGCTGGGATTATAGCCAGCTTAAGGTCTTAATTAGCCTAGGGCCTGACAGACATTACCTCAGAGGAAGTGTTGGTTTCTATTTAAGAACATAGCAATGTTAAAGTGCCCTAGAATTCTCAGCGTAAACACCTGGAGGAGGGGGAGGAGGAGGAGACCAGAGAGAACCGAGGGAGCTTGTTTATTTGTGGGCTTTTCTGGTGGGAATAGAATCATCCCAGGACCCCAACACTCCCCACAGTTGAGGCACATTTTCCTCTTTCTTCCCAGCTGTGTGGTGGTGATTTTGGACCCCAAGGAGAACAAGCAGCAGCACATCTTTAACACCGCCAGGTAGGCTGAGGCCTGGGCCCGGGGCAGGGGTGGAACCAGGGGCTTGGCACGCCTCCCCTCCCCTACACAGCCTGGAGATACTCATGGGTAGGTGCTCACTCATTCACTTACATGTTGGCTCAGCAGCATTCGCCTGTGCTGGGTGCTGTTCCGTGTGCTGGGGACACAGCAGTGACCAGAGGAGACGAGAATCTCTGCTGGCTAGAGCGAGACAGACTGTAAACTAGTCAGCAAATTACGGGCTGATCATGATCAGTGCTATGGAGGAAATGATGGAGGATGTCTTCGGGCAGGTTTGTGGGCAGAGAATAGGAGGAAAGCCTTATCAGAAGGCTCAGGGAACGCTGCCTTGACTCTGAGACCTGAAGGAAGCGAGAGGGTGACCCATAAGAAGCTGTAGGGAGAGCGCTTCAGGCAGGGGGCACAGGAAGGGCAAAGGCCCTGCAGTGGTTAAGAATCTCCGGCGCTTTAGAAGCAGCCAGGGATCTGGGTGCCTGGAGAAAGGAGCAGGGAAGATGAGGCTGGACCAGGCAGAAGCCACATCCCGTAGGCCTTGCAGCCTTGTAGAGGGTCTGCATAGCATGCTGAGTGCAGAGAGCAGCCACAGGAGGGCACCACAGGCCAGGAATGTGCTTTTCACCCCCAGCCCTCCAGCAGCTCTATTCCCTGCTTTGCTTTTCTCCACAAAATTTGCTCCCATCTCTGATATGCTGTCCAGTTTCCTCATTGATGGTATTCACTGTGGGTCTCCCTCAGTGTGAGCACTCTTGAGAGCAGGGACTTTCTCTGAGTTCATTTCTGTGTCCCTAGCACCAAAGAGCAGTATCTGGCATATTGATGGCTATTTTCTAAGAGAAAGACTTAACATGATTTGGGTTTTAGAAAGATCCCTTCAGCTATAAGTTTACTGGGGAAGGACCCGCTCCTCTGCCTTGGGGCTAACTGATCACTGCTACCCTGGGGATGTGGTCCCAATAGGGCTGTGACCTTTGGAAGGCACACCATGTCCCTCCTTGGCATAGCTCAGGCTCAGCTCCTTTGGCCCAGTTCTCCAGGTGGATGGATAAGGAGTGGGTTTTCTCCTGCCCTTATGGTCCCTAAGGTACGGTCCTTAAGCTACGGCAGGTTCTTGTTATCTGACAGAAGTGCATTCCCTCTTGAAAGTGGCTTTTTGGACCTTTTGCTCCTAACTGTGGGTTCTGTTACTGGTGATAAGGGCAGAGCTGGGTTCCATTCCTGGCTCAAGCGTCTATTCACTGTGGAATCTCAGGTGAGACACTTCTTTCAGAGCCTTGGTCTCCTCTGAAAATAAAATAGCTGCCTCCAACTGGGAGAGCATTCATAAGGCAGCAGCTACAAACCAGAGTCACACACACTTGCCCAATATAGTATGTTTTAAAGGTTGGATAAGTGGACAACATTTCAAGTTTTTTAACACAAAAATCCAAATGTCCCTTTTGTTTGGAGAAGTGAGAAATTCTCTGGCCTCTGGGGCCCAAATTCCCCTGTGGCAGTGAGGGGCTGAGCTTAGTGAAATTTGTCAGGCCCGTTGTGGCCAGTTCCTCACACCTGTGTTGCCTCCCTAATCCCTGTAGGCAGTGGAGTGGGTGGCCTGGATCTATAGTAGATGGTATGCAGGTGTCCGCCCTTGGCCACCAGTGGGTGTGCATTAGGAGGTGGTGTGGCCAGTGTGGGGATTTTCACTCCAACTGCATATCAGAATCACCTGGTCCCTGTGCCTCACCGCCCCCCCACCGCCACGCAAGAGAAAGCCAAATCAGTTGATCTGGGATGAAACTTGGGCATTGGCAATTTTGAGACTTTTTATATTGAAATAATTTCAGACTTAGAATAGTACAAAGAGCTCCTATATACCTATGTACCTTTCACATATTTCACAAATGTTAGCTTTTTTTTCTTTTTTTTTTTTGGACACAGAGTCTTGCTCTGTCACCCAGGCTGCTGGAGTGCAGTGGCACAGTCTCAGCTCACTGCAACTTCCACCTCCCGGGTTCAGGTGATTCTCATGCCTCAGCCCCCCAGGTGGCTGGGACCACAGGCATGTGCCACCATGCCCAGCTAGTTTTTTGTGTTTTAGTGGAGACGGGGTTCATCATGTTGCCCAAGGTGGTCTTGAACTCCTGAGCTTAGACAGTCTGCCTGCCTCAGCCTCCCAAAGTGCTAGGATTACAGGTGCGAGCCACTGCACTTGGCCAAATGTTAGCATTTTACCACATTTGCTTTATCATTTTTTGTCTATATACATATTAATTTGTTCTGAACTATTTGAGAATCAGTTGTAGACATGATGCCCCTATATCTCTAAATACTTCACGCCAGGCATGGTGATTCACGCCTGTAATCTCAGCACTGTGGGAGGCCTTGGAGGCAGGAAGATCATTTGAGGTCAGGAGTTTGAGACCAGCCTGGGGAACATGGCAAAACCCTGTCTCTACTAAAAATACAAAAATTAGCCAGGCCTGGTGGCAGGCGCCTGTAATCCCAGCTACTCGGGAGGCTGAGGCAGGAGAATCGCTTGAACCCGGGAGGCAGAGGTTGCAGTGAGCCAAGATCATGCCACTGCACTCCAGCCTGGGTGACAGAGCAAGAGTCCGTCTCAAAAAAAAAAAAAAAAAAAAAAAAAACTTAATCAAATAAATACTTCAGTGTGTATTTCCTACAAAAAAAAATGACAATCTTTTTAAACTGTAATACATCCAGCAAAATCAGGAAATGAAAATTGATATATCACTCTCATCCACTCCCCAGAGGGCACCATTCAGGAGTCAGCCTTTGTCCCATGAATGTCCTTTATGGCCAAAGGATTCTGTCTAGAATCACACATTGCATTGAGTTGTCCCCTCAGTCTCTTTCAGGCTGACGTGGCTCCTCTGTCTTTTCTTGACTTTCAGGATCTTGACATTTTTTTTTTTCTTTTTGAGATGGAGTCTCTGTCGTCAGGCTGGAGTGCAGTGGTGGGATCCTGGCTCACTGCAACCTGACTCCCCAGTTCAAGTGATTCTCCTGCCTCAGCCTCCCGAGTAGCTAGGATTACAGGCATATGCCACCATGTCCGGCTAATTTTTGTATTTTTAGTAGAGCTGGGGTTTCCCCATGTTGGCCAGGATGGTCTCGATCTCCTGACCTTGTGATCCGCCCGCCTTGGCCTCCCAAAGTGCTGGGATTACAGGCGTGAGCCACAGCACCTGGCCACTTTTTTTTGTTTTTTTGTTTTTTGAGACGAAGTCTCACACTGTCGCCCGGGCTGGAGTGCAGTGGGGCGATCTTGGCTCGCTGCAGCCTCCACCTCCTGGGTTCAAGCGATTCTCTGCCTCAGCCTCCTGAGTAGCTGGGACTACAGGCATGCGCCACCGTGCCTGGCTAATTTTTGTATTTTTTTTTAGTAGAGACGGGGTTTCACTATGTTGGTCAGGCTGGTCACGAACTCCTGACCTCGTGATCCACCCGCCTCGGCCTCCCAAAGTGCTGGGATTACAGGCTTGAGCCACTGCACCCGGCCAATCTTGACACTGAGGATTGTAGACGAGGTATTTTGTAGAGTGTCCCAGCATTTGGGTTTGTCCAATGCCTCCTCACGGGCAGACTCAGGTTCTGCATCTTTGGCAGGAACAGACCAGAAGGGGTGCTGTGTTCTTCCTGGTGCCTCCTCTCAGGAGGTCTCCTATGACTGGTGGTGTTCACTGGGAGCACTTGGCCAAGGTGTTGCCTGCCAGATTCCTCCACTTCAAAGCCTCTCTTTTCACCTTTGTGATTAGCAGGTATCCTGGGGACATCTTTCCTGAGACAGTGCAAATATTATCTTGTTCCTCACCAAACTTTCACTCAACTAATCTTAGGCTTTGACACTTTTCAGATGCTCCCCAGGGAAATCTAATGTACAGCCAGGACTGAGAACTACTGGCTTAGAGGTCAGGGCTCTGCCCTGTCTGGTTAGGTAACTGCAGGCAGGGGACTTCCTTGTGTTGCAGTCACCTCATCTGCCAAGTTGGTTCATGAGAGCCCTGACTCCATGAAGCATGCTTGAGGAATCAGTGCACTGATGGCCAGACAGCATTTGCCAGAGGGCCAGGCACAAGGTCAGGGCATGCGACAGGTTAGAGGTGGCTACGGGCAACAGAAACCCCTCCACAGCATGGCTTAAAACCCAAGAGCATGCTCTTCCTGCATGTCATAAGTCCAGAGGTGGGCAGCCCAGGGGCTGTGTCTCTGAACGCCACATTTTTTTTTTCTGTCTCTCTTTTTGAGACAGAGTCTCACTCTGTTGCCCAGGCTGGAGTGCAGTGGCGCGATCTTGGCTCACTGCAAGCTCCGCCTCCTGGGTTCACACCATTCTCCTGCCTCAGCCTCCCAAGTAGCTGGGACTACAGGCGCCCACCACCACGCCTGGCTAATTTTGTTTTTGTATTTTTAGTATAGACAGGGTTTCACCGTGTTAGCCAGGGTGGTCTCGATCTCCTGACCTTGTGATCTGCCCACCTCAGCCTCCCAAAGTGCTGGGATTACAGGCGTGAGCCACCGCGCCCAGCCCCACTTCTTTTTTTCTCTAGACGGAGTCTTGGTCTGTTGCCCAGGCTGGAGTGCAGCAGCACGATCTTGGCTTGCTGCAACCTCTGCCTCCCGGGTTCAAGCAATTCTCCTGCCTCAGCCTCCCGAGTAGCCGGGATTACAGGCTCCTGCCACCACACCTGGCTATTTTTTGTATTTTTAGTAGAGGTGGGGTTTTGTCGTGTTGGCCAGGCTGTTCGCGAATTCCTGACCTCAAGTGAACCACCCACCCCTCTGCCTCCCAAAGTGCTGGGATTACAGGCGTGAGGCACCGCACCCGGCCCCCATTCCTTCTCTCCTGTTCCACCCCATTTATTGTGAGGCTTCTGGTCTTGAAGTCACTTCATGGCCCAAGATGGAGTTCTGGCTGTCGTGTGCGTATTTCAGGAGGGGAACTGGTAGGAAGCAGGGCAAAGGGTTCCCTTTGACGAGTATTTCAGGAAGTCCCACACAGCATGTCAGTTTACTTCTCCTTGGCCAGACTAAGTCATGTAGCTGTACCTGCATAGTTGCAAGCATAAAACTGGGGTTATGTCAGTAAGGAAAGAGAGGCGAGTGGATATCCAGGAGGCAGCTTGCCCTGTTTGTTGCAGTAAGGAGCCACGGGAAGCCTGGGAAGCAGGTTGACTTGATGATGAATATTCCATGAAGTTGCCAAAGTCTCACTTAGCGACATTTACTTAGTTATCTACACACCAATTTACCATCTCACGTAGGGAGACAATTATTAGATTGTTAAGGAACAAAGGTAAAAATAAGATTAAAAGAGAGAAGGGAGTAGAAGGAAACCATACAATCTGGGAACAGTGAATCTTGCTGCCAGAAACCTACGAGCTAGCCTGTTCATTCAGTGCTTGTGCAGGCTAGCTAGGAGTATCAGAAACATTTTGGCTCTTTATGGATTTTCCAGAACACCTTGAGTATTTAGCAGTGGAGCACAGGCTGCAGGCTACCTTGATGTGATGCCTGCCAGGATCCTCCCATCAGCACCACCCGTTTAGTTAGGCCAGGCCTGTACCATTTCCTGCATCTCTATTTCTCAGTGTTACAGGGTGGATAGGGTCTTAGGATACCCACTGCGGCAGAGGGAGAAGAAAGCAGGGTCCGCATACAGTGTCTACTCCATTTGGGTTTGGTGTCTCAGGGCGGAAGGGGCCTTTGCATTTACCCCCATTTCTCTGTGTGCTTTGCTGGGCACACCAGCGGCACTGGCTCTGTGGGAGCTGCTTGAGCTCACCTCTGCTGGCCTCTTCCGAGGCTTGGGAGGCAGAAGAGGGCAGAGTCCTATCAGAGTCGCCAGGATGGGGTCTGGCTGGCCACCCTCAGCGGAACCAGTGATCAGCTCTTTTCTTTATCCCCAGGAAGTCTCTCAGTGCTCTGGCCTTCTCCCCTGATGGGAAGTACATAGTGACAGGGGAGGTGAGTCGTGATCGTGACTGAGTGGGAGTCGGGGGCTGGGGGGTCTTGGAAGCCATTCCTTCTGCTCCCGGCAGGCCTGGGAGTCCCTGGAATAGCTCCTTCCTGGGCCAGAACAGCCCTGTAGCAGATGGGGGAGGTGGCTTTTGGGCACATCCTGTGGCAATGCCATCTTCGGCCTTGACAACCCTCTAGCCCTGCCCAGTACAGAGCCCAGCAGCAGTAACGACCCCACCTTCCCTAGAATGGGCATAGGCCTGCTGTGCGCATCTGGGATGTGGAGGAGAAGAATCAGGTGGCGGAGATGCTAGGCCACAAGTATGGTGTGGCGTGTGTGGCCTTCTCACCCAATATGAAGCACATCGTGTCCATGGGCTACCAACATGACATGGTGCTCAACGTCTGGGACTGGAAGGTAAGAGCCGACCAGCAGGCCTGTGGCAGGCAGCCAGCTGCCACAGCATCCTATGTCTTGGGCACAGGGAGAGCTACATGAGAGGACGCAGTAAAGTGCTCACTCACCCAACAGATAACAGCTATTGAGCACCTGTGACATGCTGATCCCTTATTGTAGGGCACAAGGCAGGCTCCCAGCTAGAAGCATTATACATATTTTTATATTGACCAGCTGTGACCTTAGGCAAGTGACTTAACATCTCTGTGAGTCTGTTTCCTCCTCTGTTAGATGGATATAGTAGTACTTATCTTGTTGAGTTGTGAGACTTTAATGAGTTGATAAGCACTGGAAGGCTGGGCTTTGGAACAGCTGTGGAGCTGGCAGAAGTGGGTACCAAGTCCTGGCTCTGCCCATAACCCACTATGTGACCTTGAGCACATGACATCTCCCCCTCTGAGCCTGGTAGGGTTGGGGAGAAGCGCCTCCCTCGTGGGGCTTTTGAGGGATTGAGGAAATTTCATGGGTTATCCTGTGAAGGGCTCAGGGCAGGGCCCAGAGCAGGAGCCCCATCTGTGACAGCCATAGGTTGTGTTGTCCTTACATCCCAGCCGTGACTGTCCCCAATACCATGTGTGGGCTGCAGAGCTTAGACCCTTGGAGAGAGCTCTGGAACATACTGTCCCATGGGGACCATTCCAAGCCTCTGTCCCTTCCTCTGTCGGTGAGGAATGAGCAGGGTGCCCCACATAGGTTTCCCCATACAGCAGCTCCCTGGAGGGTCCCAGGAAGACAGACTTGGAGTGGGGACGAGCAGGGAGTTCCAGCCTGAGGGCAAAGGCACAAACAGTCCAGTGGAATGAGTGCTGGCATGAGCTTCTCTGCACTTATTCTTCCAGAAAGACATCGTAGTGGCCTCCAACAAGGTATCTTGTAGAGTCATTGCCCTCTCCTTCTCAGAGGACAGCAGCTATTTTGTCACTGTTGGGAACCGCCATGTGAGGTTCTGGTTCTTGGAAGTCTCCACTGAGACAAAGGTGAGTTTCTGTCCCTGCCCCTTTAGCCAGGCCCTGAGGGAGTCACCATCGGTGGCAGCATGGTCTCCTGTTTCTCCCTGAGATTTGAGGGCAGCGGTCTCGGGCCATTTGGCCTCTCAGGGGCCCAGCTGCTGCTTCTGGGCCTACTCTCAGGGTGCTGATGCACAGGCCCTGCCAGGAACCCCCTGACCCTGGGACCAGCTCTCATTCTTGGACTGCTGCTGTCCAGCCCCTCTGTCCAGAGTGGCAGGGTTCTAGTGTTTTCTTCCCTTCTCCATTTGGAAGAGCTTCTTAGAGTTCTCCTGTTTTGTTGTGTCCTATCATCTGGTCATGCAGGGCCCAGCTGTGTGGACAAGTATCTCACTACGCCCTCTGTGTCTCCAGGTGACGAGCACAGTGCCCCTTGTAGGGCGCTCGGGCATCCTGGGCGAGCTGCACAACAACATCTTCTGTGGTGTGGCCTGCGGTCGGGGCCGGATGGCGGGCAGTACCTTCTGTGTGTCCTACTCGGGCCTCCTCTGCCAGTTCAATGAGAAGAGGGTGCTGGAGAAGTGGATCAACCTGAAGGTACCACCTCCCTCTCTGCCATCAGCTGGACAGACTCTTTCTCGTGATATGTGTCTGCAGGGGTGCTCATCAGCATTGACCACACAGGTTCTGCTTATGTGACTAGTGGTGAATGACGCCCACTCTCTGAGCTTAAGGTTCCACATCTGTAAAATGGGAGTACTGCTGCCCTCCCCGCAGAGCTGATAAGGAAGTCACGTGAGATAACATAGGCAAGGCAGTGAGCACGGTGCTTGGTACCCTGAAATGGGCTCAAGGTGACAGTTGTTTTCCCATGACTATTTGATCTACTTCACATTTCTTTTCTCCTTTGAGCACTCTGGCTGGTAGAGGATTGCATTTTTTTTTAATTAATTTATTTTTTTTTATTGATCATTCTTGGGTGTTTCTCCCAGAGGGGGTTTGGCAGGGTCTTAGGACAATAGTGGAGGGAAGGTCAGCAGACAAACAAGTGAACAAAGGTCTCTGGTTTTCCTAGGCAGAGGACCCTGCGGGCTTCCGCAGTGTTTGTGTCCCTGGGTACTTGAGATTAGGGAGTGGTGATGACTCTTAACGAGTCTGCTGCCTTCAAGCATCTGTTTAACAAAGCACATCTTGCACCGCCCTTAATGCATTTAACCCTGAATGGACACAGCACATGTTTCAGAGAGCACAGGGTTGGGGGTAAGGTCATAGATCAACAGCATCCCAAGGCAGAAGAATTTTTCTTAGTACAGAACAAAATGAAGTCTCCCATGTCTACTTCTTTCTACACAGACACAGCAACAATCTGATTTCTCTATCTTTTCCCCACCTTTCCCCCTTTTCTATTCCACAAAACCGCCATCGTCATCATGGCCCGTTCTCAATGAGCTGTTGGGTACACCTCCCAGACGGGGTGGTGGCCGGGCAGAGGGGCTCCTCACTTCCCAGAAGGGGCGGCCGGGCAGAGGCACCCCCCATCTCCCGGACGGGGCGGCGGCAGGGCGGAGGCGGACCCCCACCTCCCTCCCTGACGGGCCGGCTGGCTGGGCAGGGGCTGACCCCCACCTCCCTCCTGGACGGGGCGGCTGGCCGGGCGGGGGCTAACCCCCCACCTCCCTCCCGGACGGAGCGGCTGGCCGGGCGGGGGCTGACTCCCCCCACCTCCCTCCCGGACTGGGCGGCTGGCCGGGCGGGGGCTGACCCCCACCTCCCTCCGGGACGGGGCGGCTGCTGGGCGGAGACGCTCCTCACTTCCCAGACGGGGCAGCTGCCGGGCGGAGGGGCTCCTCACTTCTCAGACGGGGCGGCTGCCGGGCGGAGGGGCTCCTCACTTCTCAGATGGGACGGCCAGGCAGAGACGCTCCTCACCTCCCAGACAGGGTCGCGGCCGGGTAGAGGCGCTCCTCACATCCCAGACGGGGTGGCGGGGCAGAGGCGCTCCCCGCATCTCAGACGATGGGCGGCCGGGCAGAGACGCTCCTCACTTTCTAGACGGAATGGCAGCCGGGAAGAGGCGCTCCTCACTTCCCAGATTGGGCAGCCGAGCAGAGGGGCTCCTCACATCCCAGACGATGGGCGGCCAGGCAGAGACGCTCCTCACTTCCCAGACGGGGTGGCGGCCGGGCAGAGGCTGCAATCTCGGCACTTTGGGAGGCCAAGGCAGGCGGCTGGGAGGTGGAGGTTGTAGCTAGCCAAGATCGCGCCACTGCACTCCAGCCTGGGAAACATTGAGCACTGAGTAAACGAGACTCCGTCTGCAATCCCGGCACCTCGGGAGGCCGAGGCTGGCGGACCACTCGCGGTTAGGAGCTGGAGACCAGCCCGGCCAACACAGCGAAACCCTGTGTTTGGTGGAGACCAAAAAAATACGAAAACCAGTCAGGCGTGGCGGCGCGCGCCTGCAATCGCAGGCACTCGGCAGGCTGAGGCAGGAGAATCAGGCAGGGAGGTTGCAGTGAGCCGAGAGGGCAGCAGTACAGTCCAGCTTTGGCTCGGCATCAGAGGGAGACCGTGGAAAGAGAGGGAGAGGGAGACCGTGGGGAGAGGGAGAGGGAGACCGTGGGGAGAAGGAGAGGGAGAGGAGGATTGCATTTTTTAAAAATTGGAGGTACCATTGATTTAATAACTTTTCAGTCAAAAAAGACTACACAAAATACATAAACTTTTATTTATTTTTATTTATTTTTACTTTTTTTTTTTTTTTGAGATGGCGTCTCACTTGTTGCCAAGGCTGGAGTGCAGTGGCGCAATCTCAGCTCACTACAAGTTCCACCTCCCAGGTTCAAGCAATTCTCCTGCCTCAGCCTCCCAAGTAGCTGGGATTACAGGTGCCTGCCACCACGCACAGCTAATTTTTGTATTTTTAGTAGAGACAGGGTTTTACCATGTTGGCCTGGCTGGTCTCGAACTCCTGACCTTTAGTGATCCATCCGTCTTGGCCTCCCACTGCGCCCGGCCATAAACTTTTAAACTAAAGCATGATCTATCGATACATTGCAGAGCTTCTTTCCTTTAGTATCTGAAGGTTTGAGTCAAAGCTGTTTTCCCATCTGGAATCAGTTGCCCATTTGGCTATCCGCCCGAGCGTTGTGGTTTCCTCTCCTGTTCCTGGCCTGCCTTTGTGACTCACTCTGGAGATCACCTTCGAGGTTAATGGCTTGTGGAAGAGTTCCAAGTTTTATCTCTGTCCTAGTTGGTTAAACATCATTTTCTCTTTTTCAAGCAAGTGAAAAGCTTTCAATAGATAGATGTTTATTTCCTAAGCACTAAATGACTCATAAATTAAGTCCCTGTAGATTTGGAAAAACTCCTTAAACTGTATCTAGAGGTCTAGCACTTCCTAGTAGGATAGACAGTCCTTTCTAGATACTGTAACTTTTTTCTGTACCGCTTTGGAGTACAGTCTTTATGAAGTTGTTTGTAAGCAAAAGGGAATAAAATTTAAGCCTAAAGGCTGGGCGCGATGGCTCACATCTGTAATCCCAATGCTTTGGGAGGCCAAGGCAGGTGGATCACCTGAGGTCAGGAGTTCAAGACCAGCCTGACCAACATGGTGAAACCCCATCTCAAAATACAAAAAATTATCTGGGTGTGGTGGCGGCCGCCTATAATCCCAGCTACTCTGGAGGCCGAGGCAGGAGAATCACTTGAACCCAGGAGGTGGAAGTTGCAGTGAGCCGAGATTGTGCCATTGCACTCCAGCCTGGGCGCAACAAAAAACTCTATCTCAAAAAAAAAAAAAAATTTAAGCCTAAAATTCAACCCTGTTACTACAAGTGACTTACCTGAAGTTGCAGTCTGCTGAACAGGTATTTTCCATACACAGCTACGTTTCTCTGTAGACAGCAGTGACAATTCTGTTTCCGTTCATGCCTCTGCCTACCTGCTGGCACATGTCTTTCAATAGCAGCAGTATGCTATATCCTGATTTCACAAATCTTAAAATATGCTAAAATGGGTGTCTTAGACCCAAGGAACTGTAAGTCTTCTCTGGAGGCCTAAGGCTGCTCTGTCAGTCCCCATATCCCCGGGCCAGGCCACGTGAAGCACCAAATCCACTGGGGTCCCTTTTGCCCCTACAGGTCTCCCTGTCTTCCTGCCTCTGTGTCAGCCAGGAGCTCATCTTCTGTGGCTGCACAGATGGGATAGTCCGCATCTTCCAGGCCCATAGCCTGCACTACCTCGCCAACCTGCCCAAGCCACACTACCTTGGGGTAGACGTGGCACAGGGCCTGGAGCCCAGGTACTGCCCTGTGGGGAGAGGGAATGGGAGGGGCCCACCCAGAGTCTGTCCACTGGCATTCATCCATGCTTCCAGATCCATCTATCTGTCTGTCCATCCCACAAATACCCATCATGACTCTCAGCCCTGGGCATTACAAAGCAGAAAAGTCCTTGCCTTCCGAGGCAAGCCTCACAGTGAGAAGTGAGGCTGGGTAGGGGGAAGAAACAGTGAGAAAACAAAGGAATAATATCATTTCAGATAGCGGTCAGCATGGTGAAGAACAGTGCAGAGCAGGTGTGAATGTGGCGGAGTGTTTCCATCCACATGGCTGACCCCTACTAAGTGGCTGCTAAGTGCCAGCCCTGGGCTGGAAGCAGGACATGCCTATTATAATGAAGCAGCAAAATCTCTGCCTCTCTGCAGTATAGCAAGGGGGCTCGATGATAAGCAAGTACACGAAAAAGATAATTTCAATAGGCATGAGTGCTTTGGGGAACACAGCAGGGACTCGGGAAGGAGAGTGACTGGGGTGGGCTGTGCTGATTGGGTGCCTGGTGAGAAGGAGCTGCTGTGTGGAGAGCTGGGTCCCAGCAGTTGAGGTGACAGCACACTGGGCTTGTTACGTTGCAGGAATAGTAAGGGACTGTGTGGCCAGAGCCCAGTGTGTCCGGGGAGGATGGTGGGAGATGAGGCCAGTGTGGGGCGCCTGTAGTCTATCCTCAGGTCAGTGGGCAGTTGCTGGGGTTTCGGGCGTTGGGGTAAATGACCAGGCCTTACATGTTAGGTCCCTCAGCTGCTGTGTCGAGAGTGGATAGAAGCACTAGGCTGTGGCTTTCTTCTCCTTTGTTGCAAGTCTGTTTTATGGAATTGGGGGCTACCTAACCAGGGGGTGCCAGGTGCCTAGGGCTGCCTCTTTGTGGATTTCTGGATGCTAGCTCCTGGGTGCCTTTTCCACGACAGGGCCTGAACAGGGGAACTGGGTGTCATGAAGGAAAGGAGGGGGCGAGCAACCCACAGGCAGTGTTGTGTTGTAGTAGTCGGGCTCACAGCTCTGCTGTCTTCTGTTGTGCTCTGTGACCTTGGGAAGGTGACTATACCTCCCTGTGCTTCCGTTTTCTCATGTGTAAAATACAGTACCTAGCTCTTATTGTGGTTGTGAGAATTTATTGCAGGTAAAACTCTCGGCCTGGCACAGTGTAAATGCTCAGTAAACTGTAGCCTTCATAGGGAGACCCCAGGCCAAGGGACAGCTCCCCAGCCTCCTTAGGACACAGAGGCTTTTTGATCATGCGTTGGTGAGGCCAAGAAGAGGTGGGACCTGAGATACATGCCTATTATCTTTCTATGCTCAGAGAGAGAGCAGGAGCTTGGGTTGGGTGAAATGATGGGCGATAAATGTTCATAGGAATCAAAAACTCAATTGCTCTCGGGGCCAGGCAAAAATTTCCGGTTTGTAGCCTCTATATGAAAAGCAAAGCAGAGGAAGAGGGAAGAGGGAAAAGTAGAATTGGAGCAGGAGAGATGGATGGCCACAAATACCATGAGGGATGGCATTGCCGGGGAGGCATCTCCACTGTCACTAGAGGTGGCTGTCACTACTCAGTGACATTGATGGTGATTGATTACCCATGTGGCCTTGTTAGCTTCCTCTTCCACAGGAAGGCGGAAGCAGTCTACCCAGATACAGTGGCACTGACCTTCGACCCCATCCACCAGTGGCTGTCCTGCGTGTATAAGGACCACAGCATCTACATCTGGGATGTCAAGGACATCAACAGAGTGGGCAAGGTGTGGTCAGAGCTCTTCCACAGCTCCTACGTTTGGAACGTGGAGGTGAGCCCCCCCCCCACCCCCTTGCCCCTGCTTGGCCTCTGCACAGTTCCCCACAGTTTGGGAACCCATTCAGTAATTCCTTCAGAAGATACTCATTGACTCCCTCCTATGCATCAGGCCCTGTCCTAGGTGCTGAGGACACAGACACAAAATCCCTGCCCTTAACAAGCTCACATTTGGATGGGAAAGGAAACCTGGAAACATCATCAGTGAATAACACGCCAAGCAGCAGTAACCCTCTGAAGAAAAATGAGGCGGGGAAGGGGAAGGGGAATGCAGGTGGTATTCTAGAGAGGAGAGGGGTCAGGGAAGGCCTCCCTGAGGACATATGAGCAGAGACCTGCAGGAAATCGGGGAGTGAGACCTGCAACTGCTGGGGAGAACCACAAGCACAGAGGCCCTGCGGCAGGAACATGCACTCCACAGAGAGCTTTGCTGTGGAGGTCGTTTATGTATTTCACTGCTTTTTTTAAAAAGGAGTTGAAGACGGGGCATGGTGGCTCACACCTGTAATCCCAACACTTTGGGAATCTGAGGCGGGAGGATCACTTGAGTCCAGGAGTTTGAGACCAGCCTGGGCAACACAAGACCCTGTCTCTACAAATAATTTTTAAAAATTAGCCAGGCATGGTAGCACACACGTGTGGTCCCAGCTACTCAAGAGGTGGAGGCAGGAAGATCACTTGAGCCTGGGATGTCAAGGCTGCAGTGAGCTGTGATTGTGCCACCACACTCCCACACTCCAGCCTGGGTAACAGTGAGACCATGTCTAGGAAAAAAAAAAAAGTTTTGAAGTTTTTATTTTCTGAGAATGAATTTGTGGGTTTTTAAAAATTCTCTAAAGTTAACCAGGCACAGTGGCTCATGCCTGTAGTCCCAGCACTTTGGGAAATCGAAGTGGGCAGATTGCTTGAGTCCAGGGGTTCGAGATCAGCCTGGGCAACATGAGGAAACCCCGGCTTTACAAAAAATACATAAAAATTAGCCAGGCGCGCCTATAGTTGCAGCTACTCGGCAGGGGCTGCGGCAGGGGGGCTGAAAATTTCTTACTGGGAATGTTTGTCCTAGAGAAATTGGGTTTTCAGTGGCCAGATTCAGGATCGTGAGAAAGAACTTTGTCCTTTTGAATAGGCAGCATTCAGCCTATGACTCTGGTTGAATCTGTCTGCCTTCATGGGGCTGACGTTTTTGTTGACAGCACTTTTTTTCCACTCAAAGAATGTTTTTTAATAACTTTTAAAATTCCTGTATGAAATTTTTAAAAATTTGGGATAATAGGTGAAATATTACAGATAAGGCTACAGTCCACATTGATGACTTCCCTGCCCCCAGTTCTGCTCTCTCTCGCCCTCACCATTATCAATTTTATTATGGGTGTCTTCAGTTGATTTTCTTTGCATCTCCTTATTGTTTATGTATATAGCTGTTCAACAACAGTATCTGTGGATAGATCTTTTCATCAGTTCTAGAAAATTCTCAGCCAATACTGCTTCTACCCTCTTCTCTCTCTTTTTTTTTTTCAGACGGAGTTTCACTCTTGTTGCCCAGGCTGGAGTGCAATGGTGTGATCTCGGTTCACTGCATCCTCCGCCTCCCGGGTTCAAGTGATTCTCCTGCCTCGGCCTCTCAGGTAGCTGGGATTCCAGGCATGCGCCACCACGCCTTGCTAATTTTGTATTTTTAGTAGAGACGGGGTTTCTCCTTGTTGGTCAGGCTGGTCTTGAACTCCCGACCTCAGGTGATCCGCCTGCCTTGGCCTCCCAAAGTGCTGGGATTACAGGCATGAGCCACCATGCCCGGCCTATTCGCTCTCTTCTAAGGTTCTATCTAACTCTAAGGTTCTATCTGTATTCTTCATGTTTCTGAAAATAAAAATCACACAAAAGATATGTAGAGTTTATCAATTATTGTTAGCAGCTTTTTTTCCCCCCCAAGACGGAATCTGGCTGTGTTGCCCAGTCTGGAGTGCAATGGCACAATCTAAGCTCACTGCAACCTCCAGCTCCTGCGTTCAAACAATTCTCCTGCCTCAGCCTCCCGAGTAGCTGGGATTACAGGCAGCCGCCACCACGCCTGGCTAATTTTTGTGTTTTTAGTAGAGATGGGGTTTAACCATGTTGGCCAGGCTAGTTTCAAACCCCTGACCTCAAGTGATCTGCCTGCCTCGGCCTCCCAAAGTGCTGGGATTACAGGCGTGAGCCACTGTGCCTGGCCTGTTAGCAGCTATTGATGCTCAGTTCCTGGACCCTTTTATTTATTGAGGGTTGCAATATGGTGATATTCTAAATCTATAATTTATTTTTATTAGTTGGACTACTTACGTGAAGAGATATTTGCTCTCATCTGCCATTTGGTCACCCAGTGCTATACTTCATATAGGAAAGGCAGGAGAAATACTTGATTCTTTCCCTTTATTTACCAGTTTTCAAGATAATGAATTGGTTCCCTATCCTCTAAAGGTAACTAGTTTTATTTAATATCATTATAAACTCATATATATTTAAATATATCAGATATGTTTTAATCTATTGTAATTATTAACTTTATTGGAGCTCATATCATCCCATCTTTGGCCAGTGAGAGCCTCTTAACATTGGCTCCTGAGCCCTTTGGACATGACCCTAGTATTTCTTGATAGCCACCTTGCTGCCTGGGATGCCAATATGTTCCAGTCTCATCTTGTACATTTCCTGTCACACATCAGGAATCAACCATTTCTCGAAAAGACCATGTTTTTTTTTTTGGGCTGGGTGCAGTGGCTCATGCCTGTAATCCCAGCACTTTGGAAGGCTGGGGCAGGGGAATTACCCGAGCCCACGAGTTTGAGACCAACCTGGCCAACATGGTGAAACCTTGTCTCCACTAAAATACAAAAAATTAGCCGGGCATGGTGGCAGGCGCCTGTAGTCCTAGCTACTTGGGAGGCTGAGGCATGAGAATTGCTTGAACCCGGGAGGCAGAGGTTGCAGTAAGCCAAGATCAAGCCACTGCACTCCAATCTGGGTGACAGAGGGAGATCCTATCTCAAAAAAAAAAAAAAGAAAAAAGAGAAAGAGAAGGCCAGGGTTTTTTTTTAGTACAAATTGGGACTTCAGAATCACAGGTTGGGTGTTAGGGATGCTCATCGCTATTGGGTCGTTCTTCCAGAAGCCTAGTTCTTAAGGACACAGGGGATGGTGGAATTAGAATATCCCCAGTAACTCATTTGCTTTTTCCCACATTATACATGCAACAGTCTGAGAATGGACAACTTTTCAATTCTGAAGATAGTTAAAACAATTGTAATGCATATGTTCTCTCTGTTCTCTCCAATTTTTAAAATAGTTATACTATATTTACAGGATCTGAATATGTAGCCATTATATACTATAGTGTCTCCCTTTTGACCCCTGTTTATTTTGGAATGGGGAATTATATATGTGTGTATATATGTATGTGTGTGTGTGTATATATATATATAAAATGATAAAATATACATGACATCAAGTTCACCATTTCAACTATTTTAAATTGTACCATTTGGTGGCATTTAGTACACTTACAGTGTCATGCAGCCATCATTACTCTCTAGTTTCAGAACATTTTCATCACCCACCCACCCCAAAAAATCCTGTATCTGTTAAGCAGTCCTCCCCATTCCCCACTCCCCCCATCCATGGAAATGACTAATCTGCTTCTGTCTTTATGGATTTGCCTGTTCTGAATCTTTTCTTTTCTCTCCTTCTTTCCTTCCTTCCTTCCTTCCTTTTTTTTTTTTTTTTTTTGAGATGGAGTCTCACTCTGTCGCCCAGGCTGGAGTGATGCAGTGGCACGATCTCGGCTCACTGCAAGCTCCGCCTCCCGGGTTCACGCCATTCTTCTTCCTCAGCGTCCTGAGCAGCTGAGACTACAGGCACACGCCACCACACCCAGCTAATTTTTTGTATTTTTAGTAGAGACGAGGTTTCACCATGTTAGCCAGGATGGTCTCGATCTCCTGACCTCGTGATCCGCCCACCTCAGCCTCCCAAAGTGGTGGGATTACAGGCATGAGCCACCATGCCAGGCTGTTTCCTTTCTTTTCCTCTTTCTTTCTTTTTTTTTTGGATGGAGTCTCGCTTTGTCACCCAGACTGGAATACAGAGGCACAATCTCGGCTCACTGCAACCTCCACCTCCCGAGTTAAGCTATTCCCATGCTTCAGTCTCTAGAGTAGCTGGGATTACAGGCACATGCCACCATGCCTGATGAATTTTTTGTATTTTAGTAGAGACAGGGTTTCACCATGTTGCCCAGGCTGGTTTCAAACTCCTGAGCTCAGGTGATCTGCCCGCCTCAGCCTCCCAAAGTGCTAGGATTACAGGCGTGAGCCACCATGCCTGACCTGAATATTCCTTATAAGTGAAATCATAGACTATGTGGGCTTTTGTGCCTGGCTTTCACTTAGCATAATGTTTTCAAGATTTATCCATGTTGTAGCATGTGTCAGCACTTCATGCCTTTTTATGGTGGAATAATATTTCATTGTACGGATAGAACACATTTTGTTCTCTGTTATCAGTTGACGGCCACTTGGGTTTTTTTCTACCTTATGGCTGTTGCGAATACCACTGCTATGAACATGTAAGTACAAGTTTTTTTGTTTTTTTTTTTTTGAAACGGAGTCTCACTCTGTCGCCCAGGCTGGGGTGCAGTGGTATGATCTCCGCTCACTGCAACCTCAGGCTCCCAGGTTCAAGCGATTCTTCTGCCTCAGACTCCTGAGTAGCTGGGATTACAGGCACGCACCACCATGCCTGGCTAATTTTTGTTTTTTTAGTGGAGACACGGTTTCGCCGTGTTGGCCAGGTTGGTCTCAAACTCCTCGCCTCAAGTGATTTGCCCACCTCGGCCTCCCAAAGTGCAGGGATTACAGGCGTGAGCCACTGTGCCTGACGTAGTTCTTTCTTTCAGTTACATCACTTTGTTTCTGAGTTTTTGTAGGTTGTTTTTCATACCTTGGATCATTTTTTAAATATCTTTTACCTTCTTTTGAAACAGTAGGCCCAGCGTGGTGGCTCACGTCGGTAATCCCAACACTTTGGGAGGCCGAGGCAGGTGGATCACCTGAGGTCAGGAGTTTGAGACCAGCCTGGCCAACATGGCAAAACCCTGTCTCTGCTAAAAATACAAAAAATTAGCTGGCCGTGGTGGCGGGCGCCTGTAATCCCAGCTACTTGGGGGGCTGAGGCAGGAGAATTGCTTGAACCCGGGAGGCAGAGGTTGCAGTGAGCCAAGATCGTGCCATTGCACTCCAGCCTGGGCGACAGGGCGAGACTCTGTCAAAAAAAAAAAAAAAAACAAAGTAAGTTATAGTTTTTATCTTTTTTTGTGAAAATATGTTTCTGCTGTGCTTTTTTTTTTTTTTCTTTTTTAAGAGTAACTATTGGATTTGACCTTGGTCCTTTCCTGTTGTTCATTTTTATGTGATACCAGTTTTTCTGAAATTTTAGAAGTTGGTGTGCTTCAGGACAGATTTTCCAACTACACAAGAAGAACTCTGTCTTTTCTTTTTTTTGTGGGGGTGGGGTGGCATGTTTTGTTTTGTTTTTGAAAAGGAGTCTCACTGTTACCTAGGCTGGAGTGCAGTGGCATGATCACAGCTCACTGAAGCCTCAACCTCATAGGCACAAGCAGTTCTCCTGCCTCAGCCTCCCGAGTAGCTGGGACCACAGGCATGCACTACCATGCCCAGCTAATTTTTTATTTTTGGTAGAGATGGGATCTCATTATACTGCCCAGGCTTGTTTCAAACTTGGGCTCAAGCAGTCCTCCTGCCTCAGCCTCCCAAAGTGCTGGGATTGCAGGCTTCTGTTATTTTTATACTGTGTTAAAATATGGCAGCCTGCTTTCTGATACTTCCTTTTTGTGGTCCTCTTTATCTGTTATGTCTCTTCTTTCGTCTCAATCTCCTCTTTACTTTATTTCTTCTGTCCCTGTTGTGATTGGTCAATTTCATTTCTACTCTTAGCAGTTTCTCTTCAGTGTGGAGCTTTGTCCTGGAAGGACAAAGTTCACAGGATCTTCTCCAGTCCCTTTAGGCCTTACCCCTTGCACTCAACTGCTGTTGGGGTGGATGAAACCCTCCTACTTTCAGCTGCTGTTCAGTTTGGCCCAGTGTGCTTTCCAATGAACACCTCTTGGCTACTTTGGAATTATCCTGTTGCTGGGTCTGTCAGATGCCTTATTACTTCTCTGTCTCCCACATGCATGCTGATGATATGTAGGTCTTGTGATTGGTGGTGGTTTGTCCCACTCACTTGTATTTTGGGGTTTATGGGAGTATTTTGTCACTGAGTTTTGCTATAAATGTTGTCTGTAGGTTTGGGTTTTGCTATCTGGTTGATGTTTTTCTTATGTCGAGATTTTGGGAGATTAAAAAAATTAATGCCGCTACTATCATCTTCCCAGTTCTCAATCTTCCGTATTTTGAAATCTCTTTATATGGTGGCTCTTTGTCCTTCTCAGCTTCATTCTAAATATCTTTAGTTTTGTCTTTCAGTTCACTTAATTTTCTCCTCAGTTATATCTAATCTTTGGTTTTTAATGTTTTTATTTTTTTATTATTTTTTTTTTGAGACGGAGTCTCCCTCTGCCGCCCAGGCTGGAGTGCAGTGGCGTGATCTCGGCTCACTGCAAGCTCCGCCTCCCAGGTTCACGCCATTCTCCTGCCTCAGCCTCCTGAGTAGCTGGGACTACAGGTGCCTGCCACCACGCCCGGCTAATTTTTTGTATTTTTTTTTTTTAGTAGAGACGGGGTTTCACCGTGTTAGTCAAGATGGTCTCGATCTCCTGACCTCGTGATCCTCCCGCCTCGGCCTCCCGAAGTGCTGGGATTACAGGCGGGAGCCACCATGCCCGGCCTATTTTTTATTTTTTTATTTTTATTTTTTTGAGATGGAGTTTCGCTCTTGTTACCCAGACTGGAGTGCAATGGCGCGATCTTGGCTCACTGCAACCTCCGCCTCCCAGGTTCAAGCAATTCTGCTGCCTCAGCCTCCCAGGTTCAAGCAATTCTGCTGCCTCAGCCTCCCGAGTAGCTGGGATTACAGGTGTGCACCACCACGCCCAGCTAATTGTGTATTTTTAGTAGAGACGGGGTTTCTCCATGTTGAGGCTGGTCTCAAACTCCTGACCTCAGGTGATCCGCCCACCTCAGCCTCCCAAAGTGCTGAGATTACAGGCATGAGCCACCGCGCCCGGCCAATATGTTTTTATTATTCATTTCTAGAAGCTGTTCTGTTTTGGTCTTTTTCAGCCCTGCTTGGTTAATCTTTATAATTTCTGGTTGGCTGCACACTTTTAATCTTGTCAAAATTATCTTTTAGTTCTTCAAACATATTGAATGTAGTTATTTTATATTCTGTCTGATAATTCCAATTTGGGTTTTTTTATTTTGTTTTTGGTTTGTCTGTCTGTTTGTTTTGAGACACAGTCTCATATGTTGGCCAGAGTAGACTTGAACTGCTGGTCTCTAGCAGTCCTCCTGCCTCAGCCTCCCAAGTAGCTGGGACTACAGGCATGCGCCACCTCCCCTGATTTAATAATTCCAGTATTTAAAGTCTTGCTAGACTCTGTTGCTTCTGCTGCTTCTTGCTGATGGTACCTCGTTTTCTTTTGTGCTTAGTCATGTTTGATTGAGTTCCACATTTCCCTTGGAAGTTTATTTGAGGGTATGTGTTAAGGCCTAGGCTGAAGGTGGGACATGGATGATATATGGTAGCATTTTGTGTCCTTTTTTTTTCTTGTTTATTTTTAGCATAGAAGGTATTGCACGATACCTGTTTATCTTTAACTTACTTTTTTTTTTTCCATGAAAATGCAACAGTAAGTCATAGTGCTGTCATTGAGTCATCCTTTGCCTTGTCCTCTGGGAACTGTAGGTGTATCCTGAGTTTGAAGACCAGAGAGCTTGTTTGCCATCAGGATCCTTTCTGACTTGTTCTTCAGACAACACCATTCGCTTCTGGAACTTGGACAGCAGCCCTGATTCTCACTGGCAGAAAAACATCTTCAGCAATGTGAGTGGCTTCCTTTGTGAACCATCTTTCAGGAGGAACAAAGACCTACTGTAAGCTTGAATGCAGGGGCAGGAGAGAGTCTGATGGACCCTAGATGTTAGGTTCCATGAGGGCAAGAGCCGGCAACCAAGGCAGGTCCCTCTCTGCATCACTGCCTCTTGTTTCTCTTTCTCCTGCCCCCTCTCTGAGGTGGCACGCTCTATCCTCTCTGATTCTTTGCCAGTTGGCTCCTGCTCTGCAGATGTGTGGACGTGGCCACTCCCGGCAGCCCAACACACCCAGCCCAGGTGAAATTGCTTCCTAAGTCTTGAGATGGAATTCCCTGGGAGAGCACCTGATGAGCCAGCCCATTCAGCTGCCACACAGTGAGGCCTCACGGGGGTATGGGCAGAATGCTGGCGAGAGCCATGATGGGAGGCTGGGAAGAAAAGTTTGCTGAGGAAATTTTGGTTAGTATTGCAAGCCCAGTGAGAGGGCGTCTCTGGGGAGCTGAGACCTGAGTCATGCATTCATTTATTCTGCAGACACTTATTAACGTCCATGCCAGGTGCTTGGCTACATGCTAGGGACACAACAGTGACTAAGACTCTTCTGTCCTGTGGCACACACAATCTAGTGAGGGCCGACAGTGAACTGACAGCCGACCATGTTAATGCACAATCACAAGTGCGAAAAGCACTGTGAAGGAAAATGTGCAGGGTGCTAGTAGGACATAGAGCAGCAGCATGTGAACTTATCTGGGACATCCGGAGCAGCTTCCCGCGGAAGGGACAGCTAAGTTGAGATTGGGAAGAGTAAAGAGGGAAGGGGAGAGGGTCTATACTTAGGGAATAGCCTGTATGAAGGCCCTGGGGTGGGAAACAGCTGGGTGAATTGGAAAACCTGAAAGAGGCCAGTGTGATTGGAACTAAAAAGACCCTCCATGCAGGAGGCTGTAGCAGGTGCCCTGCAGGTGCACCTTTATTACTCCCCTCATTCCCTACCCAGTGCTACCATCGTCTCCTCTGTACCTGTGACATACATGCTGTTTTTGGCTGCACACAATAGAAAAACTCAAAACAAGAGGTAAAAGTTAGGTTTCTGACTCATGAAAGTAGTCTGAAGGTAACCAGTTTAGACCGTTCTGCAGGAAGCCCTTAGGGATCCAAGGGCCTTCCAGCTCTCTACTCTGTCATTTGAGGGAGCAGGCTATGTCCTCATGACCCAGTGTGGCTATGGGGGCTCCTGCTATCATATCTGAGTTCCAGGCTGCAGGATGGAGAAAAGACAGCAGAAGAATACGTGCTTGCTTTATATTTAATAGTTCAGAATTTATTCACATATTCTTATCTAGCTGCAGGGGAGGCAAGGAAATAATTATTCTGATTGGTGAAACTCCCAGCTCAAAATTAGAGTTGTATTACTAACGAAGAAGAGACTGGCTATGGAGGGACACGATTTCAGAGGTGCTTCTGAGCTGCTCGTGCTGACCTCAGCCCTGTCCTTCCTGCAGACCCTGCTGAAGGTCGTGTACGTGGAGAATGACATCCAGCACCTGCAGGACATGTCACACTTCCCAGACCGGGGGAGCGAGAATGGGACACCCATGGACGTGAAAGCCGGGGTGCGGGTCATGCAGGTCAGTCCTGACGGCCAGCATTTGGCTTCAGGCGACCGAAGTGGAAATCTGAGGCAAGTGGGCCCTGGCAGTGTCCAGTGTACACCTCCCAGCTCCAGCTCAGGTTCTCAGGGCAGTGGGCAGAAGCCCTGGCCTTGGCACCTCCTGCTGCCCATTGGGAATGAGGGGCTGTGAATAGTAATCCCATGAACAGCTCCCATTGGGAACTTAAGCTCGTAAGAGGCTTCCAGAAGGGCTGAGAGCAGAGTAACTACCAGGACCTCAGCAGCTAGGGTGTGCAGATTTTGCCTATAGAGTGTACAGGCAAGCTCACATGACTCTAGGGCAGCGTGACACTTTCACCAGCCACATGGTACCAGTGCTGAACTGTCACCGAAGATGCCAGCTGGAGGAGGGTCCTGGTGGCTCTGGGAGAGGGGCTATGAGGGTGGGATAGCTGAGAGTTCAGGCTGCTTATGTGCCCTGTTGAGGTTTGGCAGGATGTTACCAACCCAGTAGGTGCTAGTGGGACATAGGCCCTGTTGCTGGGACCAGGTTTAAGATGACAAATGACAGCTGTGACCACCTGGGTATTGGAGCCACTGGGGAATGGAGGAGAGTTGGGGGAAACTAGAGGGGACATAAAGGGGCAGCAGCCACCAGGCAGCCCCAGGAGAGTAGGCTACAAGTTTTCAAACTTTCCTGTTGTCAAGAAGAGCAGAAAGTGCCGATTTTTTTCTGTGAAATTCGATAATTTTTAAATATTGGCACCTGTTTTGATATCAGTCACTGTATGAGACCAGCTCAGTGTGTCAGTGAGCTGCTTACATTGACATGGCACTGTCTGGAGTGGCAAAACGGTACCAAGAGCCAACATGGGGATAGTGCTCTTCCCCCTTGGTGGGCGCTGGCCTGAGCACTGTGTTGACTGATTTAATCCTCTCACTGACCCCTGATGTAAGTGATGTTATTGGCACAAGGTGTCTGGAGTAAGATCACACGGGTAGAATGAAGAAGCTGGGATGACTCGATGACTGATTTCATTTGGGGAGAATCAGGAAGGTCTAGATTTGAGACTCTTTTAACAATGAGAGACTGGAATCAAATGTTCTCATCCATAGCTCCTATCCTGGACTATGACCTCTGGCCCCTAGCCCCTGGCCCCTGTCCTACCCCAGGGACCACCTCTGATGCAGCCCTACGTAAACACCTGCCCCCCTAGAAGACTGTCCTAGATCCCTGGGGCTCTGTTCTGGCCCAGGCACCACAAGGGGCTGCTGCCTGCTGAGGTGCTCCCTGGTTCAACACGGCTCCCTTTACGATGGCAGGTTTCTAAATGAGAAAAGTGGTTGTGCATGTCTAGAGTATTTGGCCATGATAAGGGGTTCTCATTGTTGGTGGCCTGGCCATTCTGACCTATTCTAGAAGTGGTAGAGCACATGGGGCTGGGGTGTGGGGCTTCAGCGGGCGGTGTGTGTCTCCCAGGATCCACGAGCTGCACTTCATGGACGAGCTGGTCAAGGTGGAGGCCCATGATGCTGAGGTGCTGTGCCTGGAGTACTCCAAGCCAGAGACGGGTGAGCCCGCAGCAGGGGTGGAATGGGGGTCAGGCAGGGAGGCAGCCCCCCTGGCAGGGCCACAGAAAGGGGTAGTTGGTGTCTGGTGGGACTGTGGATGACAGCTGGGAGTTTTGTGTTCGGTAAGGGCCCCTGTAGCTGGACCCTGAGACCAGAGTGGCTGGGACTTCAGAAAGCAAGACACCCGCAGGCAGGACTCAGCTTGACTTGCCCGCTGCTGGTGCCAGCACCCAAGCCAAAGGGGTGGATGTATGAATGAGTGAATTGTGAATGAGAAGATAGATTGATTGTTAGGCATTATTTTCAAAAAGTTTGAAGCCTATAGAAATATTGGGAGAATATTATAATGAACACCCCATAGGCTTCACCCAAATTCCTCAATTTTTTTTTTGAGATGGAGTCTTGCTGTCACCCAGGCTAGAGGGGAGTGGCACCATCTCTGCTGACTGCAGCCTCCACCTCTCTGGTTCAAGTGATTCTCGTGCCTCAGTCTCCCATGTAGCTGGGATTACAGGTGCCTGCTGCCATGCCTGGCCAATTTTTGTATTTTTAGTAGAGATGGGGTTTCACCATGTTGGCCAGGTTGGTCTCAAACTCCTGACCTCAGGTGATCCGCCCGCCTTGGCCTCCCAAAGCGCTGGGATTAGGGCATGAGCCACCACACCTGACCTTTTTTTTTTTTTTTTTTTTTTTGAGACAAGAGTCTCACTCTGTCGCCCTGGCCGGAGGGCAATGACGCGATCTCAGTTCACTGCAACTTCCGCCTCCCAGGTTGAAGCGATTCCCCTGCGTTCAAGCGATTCTCCTGCCTCAGCCTCTCGAGAGTAGCTGGGATTACAGGCACGCCCCCACCACACCCGGCTAATTTTTGTATTTTTAGTACAGACGGGGTTTCACCATGTTAGCCTAGGCTGAAGGCTAGGACCATAGTAGGGTCTCCAGACCTCATGGTCCTCTTCATTAAAACAACAGAAAATTCCTTCTGGGCCATCAGATGAGATCATGAGATAGGAGAAGATTTCCAAGTGAAGATTTCGTTTGTTTCAAGACAGAGTCTTGCTCTGTCACCCAGATGATATATGGATGATATATGGTAGCATTTTGTGTCCTTTTTCTTGTTTATTTTTAGCATAGAAGGTATTGCACGATGCTGGTCTCAAACTCCTGACGTCAGGTGATCCACCCGCCTTGGCCTCCCAAAATGCTGGGATTACAAGCGTGAACCACCATGCCCGGCTCCTCAAGATGTTTTCTAGGCTGGGCACGGTGGCTCATGCCTGTAATCCCAGCACTTTGGGAGTTACAGAGTTGGTGGAGTTATATCCTGATGTGATTTTCCCCATGTTCTTCTTTCGTTCTCTCATCCCCCATGCTGTGTGCCCCACCAACTTGTCTTGAAACATATCTTCACTCGGTTCGCCTCTCCTGATCTCCCCTCTGCCTCAGGTCATGTTATTAGGCCTCAGACATAGCAAGTGACCAGAGTAGGGAAGGCTGGTGGCAGATGGGAGTCTGGCCACAGGCAGTCAATAGGACCTGAACAAGGCCCAGGTAGCCAGACCTCAGAGGGTGAGAGGACACTGGTTTTGGAAGAGGCTGAGAGGTTGCCAGGGCTTTACCCAGCACAGACCCAGCAGGCAAGAGCGCTGGGCTCTGCTGGGGCGTCTGCTGTGGATGTCCCTGGAGGAGCGTCCATGCGCCCATCGAGACTCATCCTCCCTGAGCTGGTGGTGAGGAGGTGAAATGCCAGGGTGTGGGGGCTCTGGGAAAGACCACACAGAGCTAAGGGAGTGGCCCTTGCCAGGCTTGGGCCAAGTTGGCTACAGTTGAAGAACCAAAGACCCCTTCTCCGAGGACTGGGCAGCTTGGTCACACTGCCCTTCTGGGAGGCCAGGGCACCCACGCAGCCTTCAGGAACCAGTCTCATTCTCTCCTCTCACAGGGCTGACCTTGCTGGCCTCAGCCAGTCGGGACCGGCTGATCCATGTGCTGAACGTGGAGAAGAACTACAACCTGGAGCAGACGCTGGATGACCACTCCTCCTCCATCACCGCCATCAAGTTCGCTGGTGAGCCCCTTTCTTCCCGCTCCCTGCGCCTTGCTAGCTACCCTGCTAAAAAAGGATTCATTCTTTCAACTCTCCTGTAAAATATATATCCAAACAAGTGAATACAGTATCTGTGTACAGTATACAGAATAATGACTGGGGCCGGGTGTAATGGCTCACACCTGTAATCCCAACACTTTGGGAGGCCAAGGAGGGTGGATCACCTGAGGTCAGGAGTTCGGGACCTTCCTAGACAACATGGTGAAACCCCGTCTCTACTAAAAATACAAAAATTTGCTGGGCGGGGTGTTGTTTCTGTAATCCCAGCTACTCAGGAGGCCGAGGTGGGAGAATTGCTTGAACCTGGGAGGTGGAGGCTGCACTCCAGCCTAGGCAACAGAGTGAGACCCTGTCTCAAAAAAAAAAGAATAATGGCCAGGTACCATGGCTCACACCTGTAATCTCAGCACTTTGGGAGGCCAAGGCAGGTAGATCATGAGGTCAGGAGTTCGAGACCAGTCTGGCCAACATAGTGAAACCCCATCTCTACTAAAAATACAAAAAAATTAGCCAGGCATGGTGGTGTGCACCTGTAATCCCAGCTACTCGGGAGGCTGAGGCAGGAGAATTGTGTGAACCCGGGAGGCGGAGGTTGCAGTGAGCCAAGATTGCGCCAGTGACTCCACTCCAGCTTGGGTGACAATGCGAGACTTTGTCTCAAAAAAAAAAAAAAGAAGAATATAGGCCGGGCGTGGTGGCTCATGCTTGTCATCCCAGCACTTTGGGAGGCTGAGGCAGGCAGATCACCTGAAGCTAGGAGTTTAAGACCAGCCTGGCCAACATAGTGAAACCCCGTCTCTACTAAAAATTCAAAAAAAGTAACCGGGCATGGTGGTGCACACCTGTAATCCCAGCTACTTGGGAGGCTGAGGCAGGAGAATAGCTTGAATCCAGGAGGCCAAGGTTGCAGTGAGCCAAAATTGTTTCACTGCACTCCAGTCTGGGTAACAAGAGCAAAACTCCATCTCAAAAAAAATAAAAATAAAAAATAAGCTGGGCGTGGTGGCCGAAGTGAGTATCCACAGTTCTTAGGAGCAAGGTTTGAACTAGGACGTTGTTGATAGCAGAGACTGTTCTAATTGCTCATGGTCGTAATATTGTTAAATACGGTACTTGGATTCACCACGTGCAGGTTAAGAAGCAGAACATTACCAGAGGCTTGCAGGCCTTCTCTGGGTCCCTCCCAGGTTACCCTTCCTCCCTTATATGGGGCTCACTCCCTTCTGTGAGCCAATGACTCCTCCTTGAGCAACATCTAATACTTGTATGTCAGGCCTGGACCCTCTCAAATGTCCTGTCATGAAGGAGCATGTGTGATGTGCCCAGACTCAGAGTTTTATATTTGTTCTGTCATTTCATCCTCACCAAACTGTTATTCTGTAAAGAAATGAGACGGCCGGGGGCATCTCACGCCATTGCACTCCAGCCTGGGCAACAAGAGCGAAACTCTGTCTCAAAAAAAAAGAAATGAGAATAATAAAAGCAAGAATGTTTCTAATGCTTACCATGTGGCAGTCCCTGTTCCAAGGGCTTCACATCACTCTCCAGAGAAGGAACTGTCACCATGCCCATTGTACGGACCGGAAGTTGAGGCTCAAAGGGGAGGCCCAGGTTCAGAGCAGTGTTTAACAGCTTTGACCTTGGCACCAGAGAATGCCTGGGTTCAGTCCTGCCCCTGTCCTCTCTGTGTGCCTTGGGACAAGGACTCTGTGAACCTCTGTGTTCATGCTTGTCCAGTGGGATGGGTGGTGAGCATTCAGGAAGACCCGCTACATGCATGGGGCCTGGCCCAAGGCTCATGTGGATCTTGCAGTTGATCCTGATGGCACGAGCCTCCCAGCCTGTCTCCACTGGTCGCTGCTGCAGTCCTGCCTCTACTCCGCTACTCAAGTCACCTATCTCAATCCCAGACTGGAGAGGGTGTCCCTTCTTTGTCCCCAGCCTTTGTTTCTCTATATGCCCTTGCTCTGCAGAGCCTGCCTTGGCCACAGCTCCACCTGTGCCCCCTCACACGTACAGCTCATACCTTACAGAGTCCCACCCAGACCCAGCACCCACCTCACCACCTTTAGGAAGCCTTGATCCCAGCACAGTTGATTGATGGCTCTTGCAGTGGAGTTCCCCAGCTAGGGTCCCCTGCCCATGTGGCCCAGCCCTGCCTAACACACAGCGTCCTCCTCCCCTAGGCAACAGAGACATCCAGATGATCAGCTGTGGGGCTGACAAGAGCATCTACTTTCGCAGTGCCCAGCAGGTAGGGTGGCATGGCCTCCTTGGGGGCTGGGGTGGGGGGTTGTCGGGGCATTCTCTGAAGGTCCTGCCGGCCCTGCCAGGGTTCGGATGGACTACACTTTGTCCGTACCCACCACGTAGCAGAGAAAACCACCTTGTATGACATGGACATTGACATCACCCAGAAGTACGTGGCCGTGGCCTGCCAGGACCGCAATGTGAGGTAAGGGGTGGCCCTGGACCCTTAGCTGGCCTGGTCTGCCTTGTCCTAGGCTGTCTGCTTTCCTCCCTCTGTTCCTCTGGTCCCCAAGAAGCTGGGAAGGAATTGAGGGACCCAGCAGGTGTTCCTTCTTGGTTTTTTTTTGTTTTTGTTTTTGAGGCAGAGTCTTGCTCTGTTGCCCATGCTAGAGTGCAGTGGCACCATTTTAGCTCACTGCAACCTCCACCTCCTGGGTTCAAGTGATTCTCCTGCCTCAGCCTCCCAAGTAGCTGGAATTACAGGCGCCTGCCACCATGCCTAGCTAATTTTTTGTATTTTTAGTAGAGACGAGGTTTCGCCATGTTGGCCAGGCTGGTCTCGAACTCCTGACCTCAGGTGATATTGCCCACCTCAGCCTCCCAAAGTGCTGGGATTACAGGCGTGAGCCACCGTGCCCGGCCACCAGCAGGTATTTCTTAGAAGCTGGGCTCTCCCAAGCCTGGCCTCCAGGTCAGCAGAGGGCTTTCTTCTGGCTCTCCCTAGAGCCGGTGTGGGATGACTAAGGTGCTGATGTGGCACATAAACTCCCTCATTCACCCGTATTCCCTGAGCACCTAACTGGGCTGGATGGTGCTGGGATCATGGCAGTGGCCAGGATAGCCCCAGGCCCTCCTTCATGGAGCTCACAGTCCAGTAGAATGGACACGGCCACCTCACAGCCACAGACAGTGACAGAGTGGTCAGAGATGGGGGAGCCCAGGGGCCCTGTGGAGACACCTGACCCCACCTGCGGATCAAGCAGGACTTCCTGGAGGAAGAGACACCTTAGCCTGGGGAGGATGTGGAGGAGCGAGCCAGGGGGAGGCAGAGAGTGAGTGTGCAGAGGGCAAAGCAGTGCAAAGAGGCTCTGCACCCCTTCCCAGTTCTTTCTCATGCGGTGCCAAGCACTGAGCTTGCAGTGTGTGGGGGAGATGAACATTAACTCAGTGGATACCCCAGGACAACCTCAGCTTGAGATGGGGTTTCAGTTTCAGTCTAGGCATCAGATGGGGACAAGAGGTAGCAGGGGGCTTCCAGGGGAGGGGAGGACAGCAAGAGCCAGAGAATGAGGTGGTGGGGTAGGCGGGGCCCTGTTGGCCGCAACATGCCCCTACTTCCCCAGAGTCTACAACACTGTGAACGGGAAGCAGAAGAAGTGCTACAAGGGCTCCCAGGGTGACGAAGGGTCCTTGCTGAAGGTGAGGAGTTGGAGACCCCTGTCTGTCTGCTGCCCTGATGGGCCACCTATTGTGACGGCCCACACCTGAGACCTGTGCCCTTGGTCCTTCCTCAGTGCACCGCGCTGCCCAGCACCTTCTCAGGCCTGGTTAAACAAGGATGCTTGCGAGAGGGTGGGGAGGGTGACCCCAGCTGTGTTTCCTTTATTTACAGAGCCCTTCCCCAAGTGGGGCGTCTAAGTGGGTTCCATTTTGAGTGGCAGCAGGGTATGGTGGGAAGAATCAGAGGCATGAACTCCCCTCCTGGTTTGCCCACACCAGCCACGGGTCACTCAGGACAAGGGGGGACCTTCTCAGAGCCTCTGGTCTAGGACAGTTATGGGTTCAGGTTCTGCCTCAGGCTGACTGTGTGACCTTGGGCAAGCATCATCTCTTGAAATGCACACAGACAGCTTGTCTCATAGACTTGTTCTCTGGAGGAGTTCAGTTTGCACATGTTCAGTGCTTAGCACAGGGCCTGGCTACTGTTGTTACTGCTGCGGTGGTTGTTAATTTCTTCACGTGTCGAATGGGAGCGGGAGCTCCTGCCCTGCCAGAGTCCCATGTGCTGTGCATGCAGCACGGGGGAGGGAGGGGCCCAGGCCTCATCATAAGGAAGAAGCAGGCAGCTGGAGTGACATGTGGGTCCCTTTCCTGGCAGGTCCATGTGGACCCCTCAGGCACCTTCCTGGCCACCAGCTGCTCTGACAAAAGCATCTCAGTGATTGACTTTTACTCGGGCGAGTGCATTGCCAAGATGTTTGGCCATTCAGGTGGGTGTGCCTCTCTGCTTGGGATGCCTCCCCACCCGCCCACACCCTCTGACTCCGAAGGCAAGTGCAGCCTCTCTGCTTTGTTTGCAGAAATTATTACCAGCATGAAGTTCACCTATGACTGTCATCACTTGATCACAGTATCTGGAGACAGGTGGGACATGGACCTTTGGGAGAGTTGTGGCTCAGATACCATGAGCACTGCACTCAGCCTGCCTGTGTAGAGAGCATTTCTAAACTGCCCAGTTTGGATTGTGGGAGTCTTGGTGTCACACCCAGCCCTGAGTTCAAATACCAGCTCTAAGCTGGGCATGATGGCTCACGCCTGTAACCCCAGCACTTTGGGACGCTGAGGCGGGTGGATCACTTGAGCTCAGGAGTTCGAGACCAGCCTGGGCAACATAGCAAAACCCTATCTCTACAAAAAATTAGCCGGGTGTGGTCATGTACACCTCTAGTCCCAGCTACTCAGGAGGGGGAAGATGGCTTGAACCTGGTAGGTAGAGGTTGCAGGGAGCACAGATCATGCCAGTGCATTCCAGCCTTGGTGACAGAGCAAGACCCCGTCTCAAAAAAAAAACAAAACACTAAAAAAACATATCCCAGCTCTGCCATTTATTTTCTTGTCACCTTGAGCAGGTTATTTCCCCTGAGCCTCAGTTTGCTCCCCTGTAAAAGACACCACCGTTTACATTTACCTTAAAAATGGTGTGATGAGGCCGGGCGCAGTGGCTCACGCCTGTGATCCCAGCACTTTGGGAGGCCTAGGTGGATGGATCATCTGAGGTCAGGAGTTCAAGACCAGCCTGGTCAACATGGAGAAACTGTGTCTCTACTAAAAATACAAAAATTAGCTGTGCGTGGTGGCAGGCGCCTGTAGTCCCAGCTACTTGGGAGGCTGAGGCATGAGAATGACCTGAACCTGGGAGGTAGAAGTTGCAGTGAGCTGAGATCGCGTCACTGCACCCTAGCCTGGGTGACAGAGCAAGACTCTCTCAAAAAAAAAAAAAAAAGAAAATTGTATGGTGAGAAATGAATGAGATGATATACATACATTCTTTAGCACATGGGTGGTACTCAAGGAAGTCCCTTTTGTCACTCCCTTTGATTTACCCCAGTTCTTCCCCACAGCCCCCTTCCTCAGGTCTTGAGGCCTCCAGAACAGGCCCTGGTTTGCTGGGATGCCCCAGACCTGGGCCCAGGGTGTGGATGTGGCAAGTCCAGCACCCCTGCACTAAGCGGATAGGGGTGTGTTTTCCAGGAGCATCTGGAGAATGGGGTCCAGGCTGTGGTGTGGGTGGCTTCAGGGTCAGCCACGGCAGCGGCTCCCATGCTTACTCTTCCTCTGCCTTGTGTGTCTCTCTTTGACCTCCGCAGCTGCGTGTTCATCTGGCACCTGGGCCCGGAGATCACCAACTGCATGAAGCAGCACTTGCTGGAGATTGACCACCGGCAGCAGCAGCAGCACACAAATGACAAGAAGCGGAGTGGCCACCCCAGGTCCTGGCAGCCCCTGCCTGTCCACCAGAGGGATGAGTCCCTGCCAGGGCCCCATGGAGTGATGCTGGGGACACAGTGGTGGCCAAGACAGCCCTAGGCCCTGCCCTTAGCACACTCACAGCTGAGTAGGGGAGACAGACTTTGAATATGCAGTTACAGTAATAGATACAAAAAGGTTTTGTGGATTTTTTTAATTTTCGTAAATAATAGAGACAGAGTCTTGCTGTGTTGCCCAGGCTTGTCTTGAACTCCTGGGCCCAAGTGATCCTCCCACCTTGGCCTCACAAAGTGCTGGGATCACAGGTGTGAGCCACTGCACCCGGCTATGAGAAGGGTATTAAAGTGGAAAAGCAAAGTGTTTGGCGAGCCTCTCAGCACTGTGATGGGGGATGCCCCAAGCGGCTGTGGGAACAGAGCAGTCCCTGACCGGCCAGCCAAGGGGAGGGGTGGGTAGACAGGGGATCTGAGGGGAGGGCTGCAGTGGGGCCACGTGTCCTCTTACTCCCACGTGAAAGCTGTAGCTTCACTTACTTCTTTGAATCTTCTAAATATATTTCTTTCAAGTCTTTATGTAGCAAAGCCAATTTTATTTGCAGAGAACTCATGTTCTGGTTTTTGATTTGAGGTTTTGGTTTGGGTATTGCTCATTTTGAGTGGGAGGTTTTTTGGTTTTCTTCTCTTCTGCTGCTGGGTGTGTCTGTTTTTGCCATTGGCTCCATGTGGCTCCCAGGGCAATGTGGAGACCAGGCCTTGACATGGGCCACTGGTCCTGAGGTCCTGAGGTGGTGTTAGAGATATCTTGCTTTTGAGGCTCCCACTCCACCCCCAAGCTATGAACCAGGGCCCTGGCTTCAGTGCCTGCCTCATGCCAAGGGTGTTTTAGTTTCCCGTACTCGGGAAGAGCCACCATCATTGCTACCACCTACAGGAAGCCCAGCACAGGACTGCAGCCCCGCTGTCTGCTTGGCTTTCTGTCCCATTGCTGTGGCCCTGAGAGTTTGCATTCGTTTGTAGCCTGGCCTTTGTTAATCTCATCTATTGTGGTGATGTGTTTCTAGTGGGGAGACGGCATCAAGTGAGAGACTTGCCAGCACCATCTTGACCAGCAGCCAAGAATATGTTCACATGGAGCTTAGCACAGGGCCCAGCCCTAGGCAAGTCCCCACCACCAGCCCATTTGCCTGTATTCTCTCCTTACCATCCTCATTCCTGGCTTTAGGCAGGATACGTATGTGTCCACACCTAGTGAGATTCACTCCCTGAGCCCTGGAGAGCAAACAGAGGATGATCTGGAGGAAGAGTGTGAGCCAGAAGAGATGCTGAAGACACCATCCAAAGATAGCTTGGATCCAGGTTGGAAAAGGGGCCCTATTTTGAACTATGTCAGTGTAGGGAATCATTGCTGGGTTTTGCCCATGACCTTGTTTACAGGGCCTGGCACATATTAAAACTCAGGAGTCGACAGGGTGCGGTGGCTGATACCTGTAATCCCAGCACTTTGGGAGGCCGAGGTGGGTGGATCACCTGAGGTCAGGAGTTGGAGACCAGCCTGACCAATATGGTGAAACCCCGTCTCAACTAAAAATACAAAAATTAGCCGGGCGTGGTGGCGTGCAACTATAGTCCTAGCTACTAGGGAGGCTGAGACAGGAAAATTGCTTGAACCTGGGAGGCAGAGGTTGCAGTGAGCTGAGATCGCGCCACTGCACTCCAGCCTGGGCAACAGAGCAAGACTCCGTCTCAAAAATAATAATAATAATAATAATATAAATAAAATAAATAAAATTCAGTAATCAGGCTTAGCGTGGTGGCTCACACCTGGAATTTTAGCACTTTGGGAGGCTGAAATGGGAGGGTCACTTGAGGCCAGGAGGTCGAGACCAGCCTGGGCAACATAGCGAGAGCCCATCTATGCAAAAAAAAAATTTTTTAAAGAAATTAGCCAGGCATAGTGGCACACATCTGTAGTCCCAACTACATGGGAGGCTGAGGCAGGAGGATCACTTGAGGCCAGGAGTTTGAGACCAGCCTGGCACGTACCAAGACCCCGTTCCTACAAAAAGAAAAAAATTAGCCAGGCCTGGTGGTGCACACCTATAGTCCCAGCTACCTGAAAGGCTGAGGCAGGAAGATCGCTTGAGCCCAGGAATTCCATGTTATAATGAGCTATGATTGCACCACTGCACTCCAGCCTGAATAATAGAGTGAGATCCTGTCTGTAGAAAAAGAAAGAAACTCAATAATCATATCAGTCAAGACTCTTTCAGTATAAAAGCAACCAGGCTTAAGTCAGGAAGAGGATTTTTTGGTGCCTGAAAATTGGAGAGGATTAGCTTTCAGCATGGCTAGATCCAGATAGACAGATGATGTTAAAAGGAAGATTTTTTTTTGTATCTTTTGGCTCTGCTTTTCTTCATGTTGGCTTTGCTGATGGACAGACTGTCCCTTTACTAGGGGAAAAGATACCCCCAGCAACTACAGGCTTATAAAACTCCATAGAGAATAGAACACCTCTTTCCTATAGTAGCTCAAGCAGAGTCTTAGGGTTGTGTGGCTCATGTTTCTGGTATCTGCTGTACCCACTTCTGAGCCAGTTGTTGTAGCTGTCCACATCTCAGCATGTGATCACTTCTGAGGGCAGAGACTGTAGTCAGCTCCATCCACTCACACCACCTGACCAGGCATCAAAGATGTGTTTGAGGCCGGGTGTGGTAGCTCACGCCTGTAATCCCAGCACTCAGGGAGGCCGAGGCGGGTGGATCACCTGAGGTCAGGAGTTCGAGACCAGCCTGGCCAACATGGTGAAACCCCATGTCTGCTAAAAATACAAAAATTAGCTGGGCGTGATGGCGTGCGCCTGTAATAGCAGCTACTTGGGAAGCTGAGACAGGAGAATTGCTTGAACCTGGGAGACGGAGGTTGCAGTGAGCTGAGACTGCGCCACTGCACTCCAGCCTGGGTGACAAAGCAAGACTCCGTCTCAAAAAATAAATGAACAAGTAAAAATAAATTGAATTATGTTGCGGATATTGTCCGGAATCTTTTTCCTCTGCAAAGTCTCTCATCTACCTGTATGTTGGTGAATACAAAGCAGACGCCTGCGAAATTTTAAGTTATTCCCCTCCAGGTGGCCATTTAGGTTTTTCCTGATTGCACATCACTGTTAATGAGGCTATGGAGTGGAGACCACTCCTAAGCCTCCTCGAAATGTGAGGACTTCTCCAGGAGAGAGTCTGAGGAGTAGCACCACTGGATCCTGGAGTTATTTTATTTTACTTTAAAAAAGTTGTTTTATTATTTTATTTCACTATTTTTGTTGCCCAGGCTGGAGTTCAATAGCACAATCATAGCTCACTGTAGCCTTGACCTCCTGGGCTCAAGCAATTTTCCCTCCTTAGCCTGTGGAGTAGCTGGGACCACAGGCTCAAGCTCCCACACCCAGCTAAATATGTGTGTATCAGGGGATGGTGTGTGTAGAGACAAGGTCTCACTGTGTTGCCCAGGCTGGTCTCAAACCCCTGGCCTGAAGTATCCTCCCACCTCGACCTCTCAAAGTGGTGGGATTACAGGCTTGAGCCAGTATGCCTGGCCTTTATTTTAAAAGAGAACCCCGGCTGGGCGCAGTGGCTCACACCTGTAATCCCAGCACTTTGGGAGGCCGAGGCGAGCGGATCACGAGTTCAGGAGATCGAGACCATCCTGGCTAACATGGTGAAACCCCGTCTCTACTAAAAATACAAAAAAAAAAAATTAGCCGGGCATGGTGGCGGGCACCTGTAGTCCCAGCTACTTGGGAGGCTGAGGCAGGAGAATGGCATGAACCCGGGAGGTGGAGGTTGCAGTGAGCCGAGATCGCGCCACTGCACTCCAGCCTGGGCAACAGAGCGAGACTCCGTCTCAAAAAAAGAAAAAAAAAGAGAACCCCAAGAGTTCTCCAAACCCAGTTACTGCCCCACCCTGCATTGCATTAGGCTCTCCATTGTCCCCACACTTTTCCTGCCATCCTTTGGTAGTATTAAGCTTTTTCACCTCGGTCAGTCTCGTGAGTCAAATATCGCATCCCACGGTTTAAGTTTGCATTTCCCTAACCCCCGGTGCTGTTGAGCCTTCTGACTTCTGGGTTGTGGTGTTGCCTCTTTGGGGACTGCCCGGTTATGTATGTGGCCTGTTTGTTGGGTTGTTTGTCCTCTTTTCATGGATTCTGTGTCTTTCCAGATCCTCGTTGCCTGCTAACCAACGGCAAGCTGCCACTGTGGGCAAAGCGGCTGGTAAGTCTTCAGGGAGAGGGTTGCTCAGGGGCTGGCAGAGGAAACGCCTCCCCAGCTCTGCCTTCTGGAAGCCCTTTTTCCTTTCCATGTCCCTCTTTTCCCTGGAGAAGCCCTGTCATCCTTCCAGGCTCAGTGAGACAGCCCTTTGTTCATGATCAGTGCTCTCTGCCAGGCATTGTTCTGGATGTCAGGGACACAACAGTGAGCAAGGGAAACAAAAGTCTCTCCCTTCACAGGCTCACTTGCCTGTGTGGGCGAGGAACAATATCCCCATTAAATAAGTAAATGACGTAGTAGGTTGGGTGCTGATAAGTGCTGTGGAGGGAAAAGAATCAAGAAGGAAAATACGTCAGCCAGGTGCAGTGATACGTGTCTGTGGTCCCAGCTACTCAGGAGGCTGAAGTGGGAGGATCACTTGAGCCCAGGAGGTTGAGGCTGTAGGGAACTGAGAAGGCACCACTACTACACTCCAGCGTGGGCAACAGAGTGAGATCCTGTCTCAAAAAAGAGAAAAAGAACAGGGGCCCAGCACGGTGGTTCATGCCTGTGATCCCAGCACTTTGGGAGGCCAAGGCAGGTTGATCACTTGAGCCCAGGAGTTCAAGACCAGCCTGAGCAATATAGTGAGACCCCATCTCTACAAAAAATAAAAAAATTAGCCAGGCATGGTGGTGCATACCTGTAGTCCCAGGTACTCAGGAGGCTGAAGTGGGAGGATTGTTTGGGCCAGGGAGGTCGAGGATGCAGGGAGCTGCACTCCACAGCACTCCAGCATGAGCAACAGAGCCAACACTTTGTCTCATAAAAAAAATAAAAATAAAAAAGAAAATAAGGAGTGTTGGGGGGTGTCAGTTTTAAGTAAACAGGAAAGGCCTCATTGGGAAAATGATGTTTGAGCAGAGTTGAAGCAAGTGAGACAGGCAGATACTGGGACGAATGTTCTAGTCATAACAGCCTATACGTGTAAAAGCCACGAGGCCAGGAGCTCGAGACCAGCTTAGGCAACATAATGAGACTCCCATCTCTACAAAAGATTAAAAATAGCCAGGCATGGTGGTGCACACCCATAGTCCCAGCTACTCAGGAGCCTGAGGCAGGAGGATCACTTCAGCCCAGGAGTTGGAGGCTGCAGTGATCGTGCTACTGCACTCCAGCTTGGATGGCAGAACGAGACCTTGTCTCTTAAAAAAAAAAAAAGAAAAAGAGACCGGGTGCGGTGGCTCACGCCTGTAATCCCAGCACTTTGGGAGGCCAAGGCGGGTGTAATCCAAGGTCAAGAGATCAAGATCATCCCGGTCAACATGGTAAAACCCCGTCTCTACTAAAAATACAAAAATTAGCTGGGCATGGTGGTGCATGCCTATAGTCCCAACTACTGGTAAGGCTGAGGCAGGAGAATCACTTGAACCCAGGAGGCAGAGGTTACAGTGAACCGAAATCATGCCACTGCACTCCAGCCTGGCGACAGAGTGAGACTCCCTCTCAAAAAAAAAAAAAAAGAAAGACAATGTGGATTATAAGAGACAGAATAAGAGAGGTGAATGAAGGATGATCCCAAGGTTGGGGCATGAGTAACTGGAAAAAACAACTGAAACAGGGAATCTTTAGGAGGAGCAGGTTTGTGCAGAGGAAATGAGTTGAGTTGTCAGCATGTTAACTTTGAAATACCTACCAGACATCCATACAGAAATGTAGAGCAGTCACATGTGCAATTCTGAAGTTTCAGAGAAAAGTTCATGAATCCCAGCTGGGCATTCCCAGCACTTTGGGAGGCCGAAACAGGATTCCTTGAGCCCAAGGGTTTGAGACCAGCCTGAGCAACATAGTGAGAGTCCACCTCTACCAAAAACCAACAAAATGGGCTGGGCGCAGTGGCTCATGCCTGTAATCCCAGTACTTTGGGAAGCCGAGGCGGGCGGATCACTTGAGGTCAGCAGTTTGAGACCAGCCTGGCCAACATGGCAAAACCCCATCTCTACTAAAAATACAAAAATTAGCCAGGTGTGGTGGTGGGCACCTGTAATCCCAGCTACTCTGGAGGCTGAGACAGGAGAATTGCTTGAAACTGAGAGGTGGAGGTTGCAGTGAGCCAAGGTCACGCCACTGCACTCCAGCCTGGGAGACAGAGCAAGACTTCGTCTCAAAAAAAAAAAAAAAAAAAAAAACAGAGAAAGGTTCACGCTGGAGATATGTACCTGGAAGTTGTTTCTGAATGGTATTGAAAGCCAAGAGTCCAGATGGGCTGTGTGAAATGTCCGTGTCGCTCCCTGCAGTGAGTGAGCACTCAGCCAGTTGCCTGACTGTCCGATATCCTTCAAGCTAGGGGACGATGATGTGGCAGATGGCTTGGCCTTCCACGCCAAGCGCAGCTACCAGCCCCACGGCCGCTGGGCAGAGCGGGCCGGCCAAGAGCCCCTCAAGACCATCCTGGATGCCCAGGACCTGGATTGCTACTTTACCCCCATGAAGCCCGAGAGTCTGGAGAACTCCATTCTGGATTCACTGGAGCCACAGAGCCTGGCCAGCCTGCTGAGTGAGGTACACACTTCCACCGCAGCCTGGCCCATAGCCCCGGCACCGTGACGGCCCCAGGGCCTGGCGCCTTAGGCTGACTCCCACTCCATGGGGGCAGGGAGGATTACATGAGATGGTGAAGGGCAGGAGGGTGAGCCCCAGGTCTGTTGCACAGCAAGACTTCCCAAGGCAGACAGGGAGTCTTTGGAAAGTGGGTCACTTGGGGGTTAAGAGCTTGGATGCTAGAGCAGGCTTGTACCCAAGTGGGGGACATTTGGGTAGATCGAGCCCTGACCCTACCCATTCCTGTTGTGTGACCTGGAGTAAGAGGCTTACCTCTTTGGGCTTCAGTCTTCTAAAAAGTAGTCATAATGGGGTCAGGGGCAGTGGCTAACACCTGTAATCCCAGCATTTGGGGAGGCCAAGGCAGGAGGATTACTTAACGATCACTTGAGGAGTTCAAGGCCAGCCTAGGCAACGTAGCAAGATCCCACCTCTACAAAAATATTTTTTAAATTTTTTTGTTTGTTTTGTTTTTAAATGGTAATAACAATCTCTTCTGCCCCAGAGGGCTTTTACAGGAATCCATGCTTAAGTATAGGGCCTGGGCTCTTAGAGGTGCCCGTGCAACTTTAGCTCTTTCTCTACTATTTTCCAAACAAAATTCATTTTTATCCTATCCTATAATTTGTCATCTTCATTGTGGTATAATATACATCCAGTAACATGCACAGATTTTAGGTATACAGCTTGATGAACTATCTGTGTAATTCACGTGTGTCCACTACCCTGGGCAAAATCTGGAGTGTTTTCTACCTCATAGAAACCCCCTTCTGCCCTTCCCAGTCAGGTCCCCGCACCAGGATAACCAGTGTTCTGACCTCTCACCAAGGACTGGGTTTCCTATTCTTGAACTTGATATAAATAGACACGTAGAGGGTTGGGCCTCCTATTTTTGGTGCCACACCTCTTCCTCATCTGTAAAGGGACTGATAATGCAGGGGCAGACCAGGACAAGCTGGTTGCGAGTGGAGGGCATGGCACAGGCCCTGGTTCACAGCCTCCAGCAGTGGGGCTGCTGGCATGGTTCCTGGCGCACTGTTGGTGGCCCCAGCCATGCCTGCCTCAGAATGGCTGTGCTGTCTTCCCCATAGTCAGAGAGTCCCCAGGAAGCTGGCCGCGGGCACCCCTCCTTCCTGCCCCAGCAGAAGGAATCATCTGAGGCCAGTGAGCTCATCCTCTACTCTCTGGAGGCAGAAGTGACAGTCACAGGGACAGACAGGTGGGTGTCCTTTCCACCAAGGGAGCCTTAGTTGGAGGAACCCCCAGCTGATAGCTGCATCCTGGAAGAAGTGCTCTCTGCCTTCCCAGTGGGCTTGTGGGAGTGGGGACAGTTGAGGCCTGGATGGGGCAGGAGCCCAGCCTTAGTTCCCTGGTTCCAGGTGGGGTACAGGAGGGCCTGACCTGGGGGAAGGAGGGGGCATTTGGAGGAGGCGGGGAGGCTGTCGCAGTGCTCCTGCAGGAGCAGCGGGTACAGGTGCCTAGGGGCTCCGGGTGGGGCTAGCTGTTGAGTCTCCAGCTGAAGTCCTTGTTCCCTCTCTGCCCCCACTGGCACTGCAGCCAGTATTGCAGGAAGGAGGTGGAGGCCGGGCCTGGAGACCAGCAGGGCGACTCCTACCTCAGGGTGTCCTCCGACAGCCCAAAGGACCAGAGCCCGCCTGAGGGTGAGTGCAGGGCAGGCAGGGACCCTGTGACAGTCTGTGCGTTCAGCCAAGCCCCTTTCTGGGCACCGATGGTGACTTTGACCCAGTACTGAAGCTCAGAGTCTGTCGAGGAAGACACATGTGGTCCCTGCTGCTGCCTGAGGATTCTGGGCCCAGCTGCCTACAGCTGAGAGCCCAGCTCTGCCACCTCCTTGATGTGGAACTTCCCTTATTCATAAAATGGGGGGCAGCTGCTCTTACCATCCCTCCTCCAGATGGGGAAACTGAGCCCAGGGAAGGGTAGCCCTGGCCCTGGCTCACCAGAATGGTCAGGCTGTGGGCTCCTGACCCCGACTCTGTCCTTCAGACTCGGGGGAGTCAGAGGCCGACCTGGAGTGCAGCTTCGCAGCCATCCACTCCCCAGCTCCGCCTCCTGACCCTGCCCCTCGGTTTGCCACGTCGCTGCCCCATTTCCCAGGTAAGCAGGGGCCAGACACGCAGGGGACTCGCTGCTCGGGCCTGGCTTAGGGCCAGTCACAATGTCTAAGCACAGGCCCTGCACTTGGAGCCCACTGAGCCTGGAAGACGGGGATCCCTGCTTCTCAGCCTGCGGGCAACAGGGCAGGGATGGGTGGGGCCCGCTTTCTCCATTTCAGGTGGCGTCTGCTGTGACTCATGGTGTTGGCTCCTCTTGTCCCTCCCCTCCTTCCCTGTCAGGATGCGCAGGTCCCACAGAAGATGAGCTGTCCCTGCCCGAGGGACCCAGCGTCCCCAGCAGCTCCCTACCCCAGACTCCGGAGCAGGAGAAGTTCCTCCGCCACCACTTTGAGACACTGACTGAGTCCCCCTGCAGAGGTAGGGCCCTGCCTCACCCACACCTGCCGAGGCCGTCTGTGCAGCCTGGGCACAGCATTGGCGTCCCTGGAGTTGGCTCCCCAGCAGGGCCAGGAGGGTGAGTGGAGAGCAACTGCTTCGTTTTTTTTGAGACGGAGTCTCGCTCTGTTGCCAGGCTGGAGTGCGGTGGCCCAATCTTGGCTCACTGCAACCTCCGACTCCCTGGTTCAAGCAATTCTCCTGCCTCAGCCTCCTGAGTAGCTGGGATTATAGGCATCCACAACCACGCCCTGCTAATTTTTTGTATTTTTAGTAGAGATGAGGTTTCACCATGTTGGCCAGACTGGTCTCAAACTCCTGCCTCAGATGATCTGCCCGCCTTGGCCTCCCAAAGTGCTGGGATTACAGGCGTGAGCCACCGTGCCCGGCCCACTGCTTCACTCTTGACCTGAGCCTCACGATGCCTCCTCACCCACTGCCCCTGCTCGTACCCTGTGTCTGTACATAAGGGTTTCTGGGGAGTGCCCCGCTGGGCTGTGGGCTGGCCTAGGGCCAGGGCTGCTCGGCGGGAAGGGTTATGAGGGTCCCCTCGGGATCTTCCCCTAGAGCTCTTCCCCGCAGCTCTGGGAGACGTGGAGGCCTCTGAAGCTGAAGACCACTTCTTCAACCCACGCCTGAGTATCTCCACGCAGTTCCTCTCAAGCCTCCAGAAGGCATCCAGGTAGAAGCTGGCCAAGCACTGCCCACCCTCTGGCTCCTCAACAGTGCCCCAGGGCAGGCTGAATGAGAATCATCCCCCCTGCTCTCCTCCCCACAGGTTCACCCATACCTTCCCTCCCCGGGCAACCCAGTGCCTTGTGAAGTCTCCAGAGGTCAAGCTCATGGACCGAGGCGGAAGCCAGCCCAGAGCAGGTACTGGCTACGCCTCCCCAGACAGGACCCACGTGAGTATTGGGCCCACCTCCGTCAGGGCACGGGGCTGGGAACCCTGAGGCCTTGTCCTCACCTCAGAGCTGTGCCTGCAGGTCCTCGCTGCAGGGAAGGCTGAAGAGACCCTGGAGGCCTGGCGCCCACCACGTGAGTGCCCCAGTCCCAGACGGACAGTCCTGGGTTTCTCGGCGAGTGGCCGGATGTCCAGCCTAGCTGTGGGGCGTGGGGGCCCTAGCCATCAGTTCTGTGTGGTGGAGTCAGTGCCATCTGCTTCCGTTACAGCTCCCTGCCTTACGAGCCTGGCGTCCTGTGTCCCTGCTTCCTCCGTGCTGCCCACAGACAGGAATCTCCCAACGCCCACATCTGCACCCACCCCAGGCCTGGCTCAGGGTGTCCATGCCCCCTCCACCTGTTCCTACATGGAGGCCACTGCCAGCTCCCGTGCCAGGATATCACGCAGCATCTCCCTCGGTGACAGTGAGGGCCCTATCGTGGCCACACTGGCCCAGCCCCTCCGTAGGCCATCGTCCGTTGGGGAGCTGGCCTCCTTGGGCCAGGAGCTTCAGGCCATCACCACCGCGACAACACCCAGTTTGGACAGTGAGGGCCAAGAGCCTGCCCTGCGTTCCTGGGGCAACCACGAGGCCCGGGCCAACCTGAGACTGACCCTGTCAAGTGCCTGTGATGGGCTCCTGCAGCCCCCCGTGGATACCCAGCCTGGCGTCACCGTCCCTGCAGTGAGCTTCCCAGCCCCTAGCCCTGTGGAAGAGAGCGCCCTGAGGCTCCACGGCTCTGCCTTTCGCCCAAGTCTCCCAGCTCCTGAGTCCCCTGGCCTTCCTGCCCACCCCAGTAACCCCCAGCTTCCAGAGGCCCGGCCTGGCATCCCTGGCGGCACTGCCTCCCTCCTGGAGCCCACCTCCGGTGAGTACAGCCCTGGAGCAAGGACTGTCCCCTAAGCTCATCCTGTGTGCTAGTTGGCTCAGCTCCAAAGATGGATACTTGACCTGGCCACAGGGACTGTGCCATTCATTCATTCGTGCATTAACTTAAATATTTAATGAGCATTACATGTTGGGCTTTGTGCTAAACCCTGGGACATGGGACATGGTGGTAAACAACACAGAGAACTGACAGCTTCAATGGGGACAATGCCCAGACTAAACCTTTAAGGAACCCGTCATATGTATCACGAAGTGACACATGCTTAGGAGGGACAGAGGAGGGCGAGGGAGTGCAGGGTGGGGACAGGGGTTGGGATTACAAACCAGAAGATAAGAAGAGGCTTCAGGGAGGAGGCTGCATTGGAGCAGAGACCTGTAGGAGTGAAGGGGAGGGAGCCTTGGGGACCCAGAGAAGTGTTCCAGACAGAAGTACAGCATGGAGTCCACCCAGTCGCTCTGGCCGCTCACACCAATGGAATGCAGCTCATCTTGCTCATTCCCTTCTCTCTACCCCAGGTGCACTTGGTCTGTTACAGGGCAGCCCTGCCCGCTGGAGTGAGCCCTGGGTGCCGGTTGAAGCCCTGCCCCCATCTCCCCTTGAGCTGAGCAGGGTGGGGAACATCTTGCACAGGCTGCAGACCACCTTCCAAGAAGCCCTCGACCTTTACCGTGTGGTGAGCTAAGCCCCAGAGTTGGGAAAGGGTTGAGGGGTCTCTTGAGACCGCCCGGCCTTGGTGGCCCCTGACAAGGCTGGCATCCCTTGCAGTTGGTCTCCAGTGGCCAGGTGGACACCGGGCAGCAGCAGGCACGGACTGAGCTGGTCTCCACCTTCCTGTGGATCCACAGCCAGCTGGAGGCTGAATGCCTGGTGGGGACTAGTGTGGCCCCAGCCCAGGCTCTGCCCAGCCCAGGACCCCCGTCCCCACCGACGCTGTACCCCCTGGCCAGCCCAGACCTGCAGGCCCTGCTGGAACACTACTCGGAGCTGCTGGTGCAGGCCGTGCGGAGGAAGGCACGGGGGCACTGAGGGCGCAGCCCCTCCACCGCAGCCCTGCTGCTTCTGAGGACTTAGGTATTTTAAGCGAATAAACTGACAGCTTTGAGGAATGGTTCCTGGTGTCTGTTTGGGCCTATCCACAAAGCCCTCTTCAAGTGGAAGTGGGGAGGGAGGGTAGAAGGTGATGCCCAGAGGACTCGTGTCTGTCAGTGGAGAGCATGGGACCAGCGCTCCCAAGAAGTTCAGGAACTGCAGCCATGACCTCAGGGCCAGTCCTCCCACACTGCCCACAGAGCTGCCACAGACCAGTGTGAGGTGCTTACCCAGTGGGGCCCATTTGTGCCCCAGGGAGGAGCCAGACCCTCTTACCTGCCCCCTGCCAGTGCCTGAGAACTCACTGGGGCTGCTGTGATCACCATGTGCCTACCTTGCCCAGCAGTCCACGCTTTGCCATATCATGGCTCAGGGCCTCTGGGCCAAGGCCACACTAGATCCCACAAAGTCCACGGTGGTGGTGTCCCCATCTGCAACAGGGGAAACTGAGGACCCATGAACAGGCTTGCCCAAGCTGGGTATGGTGGCCTGCACCTATAATCCCGGCTACTCAGGAGGCTGAGGTGGGAGGATCGCTTGAGGCCAGGAGTTTGAGACCAGCCTGGGCAACTTGGTGAAACCCCATCTCTTTATTTCATGTATTTATTTATTTATTTTTGTTTTTGAGATGGAATCTTGCTGTGTCATCCAGGCTAGAGTGCAGTGGTGCGATCTTGGCTCACTGCAACCTCCGCCTCCCGGGTTCAAGCGATTCTCCTGCCTCAGCCTCCCGAGTAGCTGGGATTACAGGCACCCACCACCATACTCAGCTGATTTTTGTATTTTTAGTAGAGACGGGGTTTTGCCATGTTGGCCAGGCTGGTCTCAAACTCCTGACCTTGGGAGATCCGCCCACCTCGGCCTCCCAAAGTGCTGGGATTACAGGCATGAGCCACCGCACCTGGCCAAAACCCCGTCTCTTTAAATAAAACAAAATAAAACAAGAAACCCAGGCAGGCTTGCCCACTGTATGATCCTGGCAGCAGGCCCAGGCCACGAGCAGCTGGGACCAATAACTGCTTCCCCTTCAGAAGTTCTACATTCCACGAGCTCCCAGCACTGCTACCAGCTCCCCCAGACAGCAGGCATCTGGCCACATGGGGTGTCTGCTAAAAAAGCCACTCTTGGCTGGGGTGTGGTGGTGCACACCTGTAGTCCCAGCTACTCAGGAGGTTGAGGCAGGAGAATCGCTCAAACCCAGGAGGCAGAGGTTTCAGTGAGCTGAGATCACACCATCATTGTACTTCAGCCTGGGTGACACAGCAAGTCTCAAAAAAAAAAAAAAAAAAAATCCTGCCAGTTCCCACCCAGGTGCCGGGCACTGTAGCAGAAGGAACATCAGGCAACGCACCTGCCCTCATGGCCACTCACCTTCTATACAGTCAAACAGATGCAGGAATTAGAGCTCTGTATAATTCTAGATAGGTTGGGGAGATCCATTGCTGGTGAAGGGTCAGGGAAGGCCTTTCGAGGTGACATTTGGGCTGAAGCTTGATAGAGGACATCTCAGGAACACATCCAGGCCGACAGCACAGCCAGTGCACAGGCCTGGGGCAGCCACACGTGATCTGTGTGGAAGCAAGAGGAGCGAAGCCCGGACGGCTGGAATGGAGTGAGCAAGGGGAGGGCAGGAGCTGAGGTGCAAGGAGGAGCAGGGCCTTGTTGCTTCATAACATTTAAGTCCAAGGAATATCCAGAACAGTTTTTTGTTTTTGGGTTTGTTTCTAAATCTCTGCTCTTAATGTTTGGGGGATATCCAGTGTTGCTTATTTCTCACGACTCTGCCTCAGGGAGTCCAGGTGGTCCAGAACTTGAACCACCTGCCTAGGCCTAGGCCCATCTGCCTAGTTCGGCCACCATTGCCCAAAACCTTGCCCAACATCCCTGGGCAAAGCTTGGTGTTCAGCCCCCCAGGCCTCGGACACCCAGGAGACCACCTTGGGCCTCTGTCATGCATGGAATTACCCTTCCTTCCAACCTGTATCATAGTAAAGTCTTCTGCTCCAAGGAGTAAACACCTGGCTTTCAGGGCCCAAGATGGAGGGACGTTGGTTACCCTTGATGTCATCATGCACCTGGCCTCTTCCTCTCCTGCTCTGTTATCCTCTGTGAGCAAGCTTCAGTCTCCAGCTTATGGCCTCATGGTTGCAACACGGCTGCTGTGGCACCCAGCAGCACACCCTCAGGTGGTGTCTCCATTTTGCAATTGTTGGCTTTCCTGCAGCCCTGACTGAAGTGCCTGGCATAAGCCTGGAAGCGCAGGAGCTAGAAGCTGCCCCGATAGTACTGCTATGGGGAGGCTGAGGTTAGATGTGGAGTGCAGGGGGCTCACAGAGGGTGACAGCAGGAGAGGAAGAGGCCAGGTGCACAATGACATGAGGGTCAGAGGCCCAAGTTATTGGTCCCAGCTGCTGGGTGGCCTGGTCCAACCAGGAGCAAAGGCACAGAGCAGGGCACCCTCTAGGGCAGCAGAAAAGATGCAGATCTCTCCCAGGGGTCTCCCTGGGAGACTCATCTGGGGTCAGATGAGTCCCAGGCAACAGGAATGGAGATTGCTTTGATGTGCTTGGACCATCTCTCCTGTCCTGGGCATGTTGCAGCTCAAACAAAGAGGTTCTCTCAATAAGAAAGGCAAGTGGGCTGGTAATCAGAGAGGATCCAGCATGTCTGCCACTTCCCTCTTCCAAATGCCAGGCTCTGTCCTGGAAGGACCATACTTTCTCCATACTTCTTAACCAGGATAAACCACCTGGTTAAGAAGCCACTGCTGGTGGTGCAGCATGTGTGCATGTGGTTTGTGAGCTGACAGGGTCCCAGCAGAAAGATGACAGCATGCTTAGATGGGATATTCCAAAGAGTTTAACCAAGGGATCATTTGCAAAGGAGCAGCAGGGACTGGGAAACCACCGAGGCTGGTGCAGAACCCCAGGACTGGCACCCTGGGAGCTGTTACCACCCCCAGGCCACAAGGCACAAAGAGAAGGAACAAGAACCCAAAAGAGCAAATCCCAGGGAGAGGGTAGTGCTGAGGGAGCTGCAGCCCTGACTCCCACACAGGACGGAGTGAGAATCAACACCCTGACCTTACTCCCCTCCTGCAGGGCACCCCATTGTCCAAATCCTACTGGAAGCCAGAGTGCATAGAAGCCCAGGTGACCCCGCCTCCAGTCAACCTCCTAGGCCATGGAGCAGGGCAGAACAGGACTGAGAGGGTTCCTGGGGAACTGGGTCCCTGGAAGGAAAACAGTTCATCTTTCACTGCAACTCCCCCCCTGCTTCTACCCCCACATCTACCCTTGGCCTCCCCATAGCAGTACCATCAGGACAGCTCCTGGGTCCTGAGCTGCCAGGCCCGTGCCAGGCATCCCAGTCAGGGCTGCAGGAAAGCCAACAATTGCAAAATGGAGACACCACCTGAAACCCCATTTTGCAGATGACCCACCTGAGGCCTGGATGTTTGCCCAGAGGAGGGATTCCTCGGCAGGATGCAGTGGCTCATTCCTGTAATCCCAACACTTTGGGAGGCCAAGGCAGGCAGACGGTTTGAGCTCAGGAGTTCAAAACCAGCCCTAGGCAACATAGCAAGACTCCACCTCTACAAAAAATTTTAAAATTAGCTAGGTGTGGTGGTGCACGCCTGTAGTCCCAGCTACTTGGGAGGTTGATGTGGGAGGATCACTTGAGCCCAGGAGCTTGAGGCTACAGTGAGCTGTGTTCACTCCACTGCACTCCAGCCTAGGTGACAAAGCAAGGCCCTGTCTCAAAAAAAAAAAAAAAAAAAAACCTTCCTAACCAATCCCTGCTTATATGTCTGCCACATGCCAGGCCCCATGCTAAGCATTCTCTCCATGTGAGCTACATGGATCTTCAATACAAACTGGGAAGAGGGAGATTCCTTAGTCTCATTTTCCAGGTGAAGAAACCGAGGCCCAATGAGAAATGACTTGCTCTGGGTCCTGCAGAGAGCAAGCGGAAATGCATGGCCAGCAGACCCTCAGCACTGCCACCCTTGCTTCCCCAAATGAATTGGCACAACTGACTCTCGGGCAATGTAAAGAAATGAAGAAATACTCCTCTCACCAGCAAGCCTTGTACAGATGTCCCCCTCTGACTAGAACACCCTCCCCTTTCATCTGAAACCTTTCAGCGCTTATCCAGGAAGCCATCCCTGTACCCGTAGCCTGGATCAGGAGCCTGTTCGGGTCCCCAGGTACCCCTCTTTTCCCCATCATGGCTGGGTCTCTGCCTCACTTGCCTCTCACTGTCTTGGTCATTCTGGGCTGTCACTGGTGTGCCTCCTTCATGGACTTACGCGATCATTTTCAGTAAGCTAGGTCTGGAGCTTAGAAAATTGTTTAGTTGCCAGGCGCAATGGCTCACGCCTGTAATCCCAGCACTTTGGGAGGTTGAGGCAGGTGGATCACTCGAGGTCAGGAGTTTGAGACCAGCCTGCCCAACATGGTGAAACCCTATCTCTACTAAAAATACAAAAATTAGCCGGGTGTGGTGGTGCGCACCTGTAGTCCCAGCTACTTGGGGGACTGAGGCAGCAGAATCGCTTGAACCCAGGAGACGGAGGCTGCAGTGTGTGGAGATCGTACCACTGCACTCCAGCCTGGGCAACAGAGTGAGAATCTGTCTCAAAAAACAAAACAAAACAAAACAAAAAAAATAAAAACAGGTTGGGCGCGGTGGCTCACGCCTGTAATCCCAGCACTTTGGGAGGCTGAGCCGGGCGGATCACCTGCATTTAGGAGTTTGAGACCAGCCTGGCCAACATGGTGAAACCCCATCTCTACAAAAAACACAAAAAATCAGCTGGGTGCAGTGGTGTGCCCCTGTAATCCCAGCTACTTGGAAGGCTGAGGCAGGAGACTCACTTGAACCCAGGAGGCGGAGGTCATAGAGGAGCCAAGATCACGCCATTGCACTCCAGCCTGGGCAACGAGCAAAACTCCGCCTCAAAAAAAAAAAATTAAAAAACAGAGCTTGGATTGCTTCTTAGTCTTCTGGCTAAGAATCAAGTGTAAAACAGCTTGGCCAGTGTGCCGGGGTAGGGTCCTGGGAGCCCCTGGCTGTGTCAAGAGACCCCCTTTGGGCCAGGTGCGGTGGCTCATGCCTGTAATCCCAGCACTTTGGGAGGCCAAGGCAGGCGGATCACTTGACGTCAGGAGTTCAAGACTAGCCTGGCCAACATGGTGAAACTCTGTCTCTACCAAAAATACAAAAATTAGCCCGGTGTGGTGGTGCATGCCTGTAGTCCCAGCTACTCAGGAGGCTGAGGCAGGAGAATCGTTTGAACCCGGGAGGTGGAGGTTCCAGTGAGCCAAGATGGTGCCACTGCACTCCAGCCTGGGCAACAAGAGTGAAACTCCGTCTCAAAAAAAGAAAAAAAAATAGGAGACCCCCTTTTACTTTCCAGACTGTGGGAGGGAGGAAGAGTGTTGTCCCAGGCAGTAACTAGGGGCTAGATTATTAACAAACTAGTATTTTAGTGCCTGCTACACCTGAACAGTGCTTCTGGCTGAATGTTAGCCCTGGGAATCTGAAGATCAGAGAGGTGGGGCATCCTACCTGAGGATGCACAGCCTGGATCCTCATTTTGCCCTGATTTATCCAGATCTGCTGTCCTCCCTGCACCCTACAGAGCAGGGCAATCACAGCAGGGGGCCCCTTCAGTGTCCTCAGACAGCTGCTGTGATTTGAATAACCAGGCAGGCTGCTGGATGTCCCCTGGTGACTGATTTGCCTGGCAAACAGACCCTCAACCCCTGGGAGACAGTCCCCCTGGGGCCTTGTTTCTTCTTCCTATCCTCAAAAGCTCCCCAGGCCCATCTCCCCTTGCCTGGCTCTGCTTGGTGGTCCTAGTGCTTGTCCACCCCTGGAGGCTGGATGGTTCCCTCCAAAACCTGGGAGAAGATGGGCAGGTCCCCAGGCAGGGGTAACCTGAGCCAGCTTAGTCCACTCCCAGGGCCAGCCAGGAAATTTGCATGAAGAGAATGAGGTTCCTCAGAGGCTTCCCCTCCTTTCCCACCAGGGATAGTCATCCTGGGGCTGAGGTCTGACAGCAGGTGGAAGCAGCCCCTGTGTGTGGAGAGCCTTCCGGAGGGCATGCCCCGCGCCTTCCTGGTCAGGAGTCGGCGTCCACAGCCCCCCAACTGGGGCCATCTGCCTGACCAGCTCCGGGGAGATGCCTATATCCCAGGTGGGCCCCTCACTGTGCCTGGAGGTAAGGGGCAGGAGAGACGCAGTGTCACCATCTGGCTTTTCTCCTCAGACTGCAGCAGCCTGGGGGGGCCACCGGCACAACAGTCGTCCAGTGTCAGGGATCCGTGGACAGCGGTGAGTGTGTAACTGGCTAGCAAAGCCAGCTGTTTCGCTCCTGCCTGCTCTCAGCCTTAATGAAGCTGACAGCCCCTTGCTCCCCCGACCCATCTGCACACGCCCTCCAGCCTCGGGACCTGTCCGCCCCTACTTCTCTGTGTTGGGAATGCCTCTCCTTTCCTAGTAGTGAGCTCTCTACTGTTAGGTCTCACCCCAGGCACCAGGGCCGGCAGCCACAGGGATCTCTTCCAGCGGGGCACAAGATTCATCCCCACATGTGGATGATCCGCTTTATGTCAGAACATGGGACAAGGCAACAGGAGTGCGATGGGAGATAAGGGCTTTTTCAGCTGTGCATGCATTGGAGGAAGGAAAGCGCCAGCCGGAATGTAATATATTCATGAAAGCAAGGCACTGTTCTAGGCATGGGCTGTTATATTCAGCGGGAATAAGACAAAAATCCACAATTTTATGGAGCTTATATTCTGGTTGGGGCTGCATGTATAGACAATAAAATTAGTCAGCCTGTAATTCCAGCACTTTGGGAGGCCGAGGCGGGTGAATCACTTGAGGTCATGAGTTCGAGACCAGGCTGGCCAACATGTTGAAACCTTGTCTCTACTAAAATTACAAACATTAGCCAGACATGGTGGCACGTGCCTGTAATCCCAGCTCCTCAGGAGGCTGAGGCAGGAGAATCAGTTGAACCTAGGAGGCAGGGCAGAGGATGCAGTGAGCCGAGTCTGCGCCACTGCACTCCAGCCTGGGAAACAGATCTAGACTCCATCCCCCCTCAAAAAAAACAATAAAATTAGAAAAATAGACCGGGCATAGTGGCTCATGCCTGTAATCCCAGCACTTTGTGAGGCCAAGGTGGGTGGATTGCTTGAGGTCAGGAATTCAAGACCAGCCTGGCCAACATGGTGAAACCCCATCTCTACAAAAAATAAAAAAATTAACTGGGCATGTGGCGCATGCCTACAATCGTGTAATCGTGGGGAGGCTGAGGCACTAGAATCGCTTGAACCCGGGAGGCGGAGGTTGCAGTGACCTGACATCATACCACTTCACTCCTGCCTGGGCGACAGAGCAAGACTCTGTCTTTAAAAAAAAAAAATGTGTATGTCACATCAGAAGATGGGACTTGGCATAGAGAAAGTAAGGACCATGGGATAGTGAGGGAAGGCCCTGGAGAGTGACAGGCACACACACTAATCACTGTCTCCCACCTGCCTTCCTAATCCTCCGTGGTGGCTCAGGACACTCTGTAAATACTCATTTGCAGAGTAACAAAGGGTGGATGGGGTCCAGCCAGAGAGGCTAATAACTCCTGCATCCCTCCAGCAGCCCACACAGGGCAACCTGACCTCTGCTCCCAGGGGCCCTGGGACGCTGGGCTGCCCGCTCTGCCCTAAGGCCTTCCCTCTGCAGCGCATGCTGACAAGGCACCTCAAGTGCCACAGCCCCGTGCGCCGCCACCTGTGCCGCTGTTGTGGCAAGGGCTTTCATGACGCCTTCGATCTCAAGCGCCACATGAGGACTCACACTGGTGAGCAGTGGCAGGGACAGGGAAAAGTTGCTGGGCCCCAGGTGGGGATGGAAGGAAATGGAGAGAGGTGCTGGGCTGTGGAGTGTCCATGGTTTGTGTATGTGGGGTATGGAGAATCAAGACATGATGTCTCTCGGACCCCAGTGGGTGGGTGTAAGGTGGCACCAAAATAGGGGCCTGTCACGGAATGCAGAGTGCAGACGGATGCCGGTTATACGATTCAGGCTCCAGATCGAAAGGCAAGGGAAGGCCTCCCTCTCCATCCCCCAGGGGAGGGAGCATCCTGGTGAGGGAGAGTGGAGACACAGGTGTCTGGCCCATGTCTGCACTGGGTGACGGTAGCAGATGGTGGGTCATGGGCGGAAGAGTCTGAAGAGCTTGGAATAGGTACCAGAAATGCTCAACACTGGAAAGCAGGGTGGGGGCGCTTTAGTCCAGAGCCCATTGCCCTCTCTGTCCAGCCCTCCCCTCTGCGCCCATCTGTGCAGGGATCCGGCCCTTCCGCTGCAGTGCTTGCGGGAAAGCGTTTACGCAGCGCTGCTCCCTGGAAGCTCACCTTGCTAAGGTGCATGGACAGCCGGCCAGCTACGCTTACCGTGAGCGCCGCGAGAAGCTGCACGTGTGCGAGGACTGCGGCTTCACCAGCTCCCGGCCCGACACCTACGCACAGCACCGCGCCCTGCACCGCGCAGCCTGATACGGTGTGCCAGCGTCCTCCCCACGAGGCAAATAAACACAGAAAACTCACGCATGGAATCTGGTGTTTATTACACTCGGGGGAGAGAGGAGGTCACTCGGTCCAGCGGTGGCCGCAGTGTGGGGCTGTGCACACGTAGTAAAGGCGCATGGCGTCCTGGCAGAAATGATGCATGGTTAGGAAGGATTTGGACCCAGCAGCGCCTTACCCCAAAAGAACAGGCAAGAGAACTTCACCAATAGGTAAGGGCCCGGCAGAGTTCCAAGAAGCGCAGGGTCACCCACATTGATATCCCCGCCCCCAGAAAGGACCAAACAAGCCCCAGATACTTAGAAAGCCCTCGCGCCACTTACCTCGGCCCGCGCACTGTGTGACTGGAAGAACACAGCCTCCTTGTGGCCGCACCTGAGAGGGTAGGGGCTCGGTCACCGGAGGCTTCACACCCTTCCCTCCTCCCTTCGCCCAGTGAGGAGACGAGCCTCACTTTACCTCCCCAGTACCAGCTGAACGCTCACTTTTGGCACGGGTGGTCCTCGGTCCGCGGCAACGTGGGGTCCTGGGACACGTCGGCGATAATCTGGGTCAGTTCGCTGCAGGGACGCGGGGGTGCAAAATTACGCTCAGACCCAGCCTCCAGAGCCAACACCCCCGCCCCCAGCTCAGGGCCCGCCACTCACTCCACTTCGTGCGTGATCTTGTTGACATAGATGCAGCTGTTGTCGGCCTCCTGCTGGTAATCACAGTTCCGGCACTACGAGAGGGCGAGTGTGGGGGAAAGGGGGTCACGGAAGGATTCCAGACAAGATTGGGAGGAGAGGGCAGGGTGATCCCGGAGGATATGACGACAGGACTCTCTTTGGGGATGGGCAGGACATGAGAGTCAGGATCACTTGAGGTGCAGCGGAGGGCGAACAGGGAGTCCGATCACAGAGGCAGGGGGCAGGGCGGGGCCACGCTGGGAACAGGTGGACCTGCCGGGGAAGACCCCGGCGCTCACCGCGTAGAGCAGAATGCGGTTCTCCTTGTCTTCCTTGGGGTACAGCATGTTGTTACTGTGGGGAGGGGGAGGTGCCAGGGGTTAGTTCTGGAGCCATTCCTCGCCCGCCTTCTAACATCACCCGCTCCCTCCGCCTCACCATTCCTGGCAGAAGCGAATACCCACGAAGCCCGGCTCGTAAGTCCCGTCGGGCTCCATGGCGACGCGCAGCCCGCGCAGCCCTCCCAGCCTTCCGCGCTTGCTCCGCCGCGCTACAGGTCGCGGGAGGGGCCAGGCCTAGGTGCTTCGCCAAAAGAGGGCGGAGCTGCGCACACGTGCTGGCTCCCCGCCGCCTCGGGCTCGGCTCTCTCCGCGCAGAGGTTTCATGGCTTGCTTCAATCTTTTGATATCTTAGAGTAATTGCTTCCAATTTTTGGGCATCGCCGCCTCAGTTTACAGAATAGTATGGATCTGGTGCCAGAGCCGGGAAAACGATGCGCATCGTAAACCGCAAAACACTGAGCATCCAGGACAGAAGCCAAGGCGCTTGGCTTGGTTGAAGGCCAGTGCGCATGCGCGAGTTTACCCTTCGCGGACTGGGCGAGCTCTTGCCACTCCTACCTCCGGGCTTCAGTCTTCGCCGCCTGTTCTGGTCCTTTCCCGGGCCGCTATTGGAAGAACCGTGAACTATGGAAGGCCCCTCTGGATTGGCTGGGCTGGCCCAAGAGTAAGGAGAGCCCTCTTCCTGGCGGTGGGGAAGGGACGGCGGCGATTGGCGGACGCTCCTGGCAGGAGAGCGCGGATTGGTCAGGCACGGAGCAGGAGGCGGGGCTGATAGCCCAGCAGCAGCAGCGGCGGCGGCGGCTGCGGAGCGGGTGTGAGGCGGCTGGACCGCGCTGCAGGCATCCGCAGGGCGCGGCAAGATGGAGGTGACGGGGGTGTCGGCACCCACGGTGACCGTTTTCATCAGCAGCTCCCTCAACACCTTCCGCTCCGAGAAGCGATACAGCCGCAGCCTCACCATCGCTGAGTTCAAGGTGTGGCCATGGGGGCGGGGTCCGGAGGGGCGGGGCGAAGAAATTGGGGGGTTCCCGGAAGGGGGAGGCTGGGAGGGGCCGGGGAGTGACTGGGCGGGCCCGGAGGTGATCCCAGGCTGCGGAGGCTGGGGACCCGGTCGCGGCGGGGCGGGTCCGGAGAGAACTCGAGAGTGCAGAGATGAGGGCCGGGTCCAGCGAAAAATCCGACGGTCCAGAGGGCGGGGGCAAGAGGCGAGGGGCTGGATTGCGGCCCCGTGCGTCCTGACTGGGGGGTCTTTTGGAGGAAAAGGGACGTGGCGATGGTCATTGATGCAAGGGGCGGGGCCTCCGTGGCCTCCTTCTTCTCACCCTGCCTCCTCCTCACAGTGTAAACTGGAGTTGCTGGTGGGCAGCCCTGCTTCCTGCATGGAACTGGAGCTGTATGGAGTTGACGACAAGTTCTACAGCAAGCTGGATCAAGAGGATGCGCTCCTGGGCTCCTACCCTGTAGATGACGGCTGCCGCATCCACGTGAGGACTCTCTATCTGGGACACTCCCCCACCCCACCTTTCATTTGGTTATTCAACAGACACTTGCTGGGCTTTGCCCTCAGTCATACCCGAGATAGGTCCTGCCTTCGTGGAGCCTCCAGTGCAGCCTGACGAGAGACAGACCCATCATTAGACAGGGACAGCCTAGAGTGGTCTGGGCTGGGATCAGGAAATCCCAGGGGACTGGAGCCACCAAGAAGAGGTGCCTGACTCCACCTGGGAGAATCAGAGAGGGCTTCCTGGAGGAAGGGATGTCTGAGCTGAGGGATGAGGAAAGGGTGACTTAAGAGAAAGAGGTGGAAAGGAGGGAGCAGGGTGTACAGAGGCCTAGAATGTGAGGTAGGTCACAGTGAGCGACCAGGCTGGACAGCTTGGGAGAAACCAGAACACAGGATCTCTTTGTGCATCCACTCAGTACATCCTTTCTGTCTTTTTTTGAGACAGAGTCTCACTCTGTCACCCAACCTGGAATGGAGTGCAGTGGCACTATCGGGCTCACTGCAGCCTTCACCTCCTGGGTTCAAGTGATCCTTGTGCCCCAGCCTCCCGAGTAGCTGGGATTACAGGTGCCCACCCAGCTAATTTTTGTATTTTTAGTAGAGATGGGTTTTTGCCATGTTGGCCAGGCTGGTCTGGAACTCCTGACCTCAAGTGATCAGCTCACCTTGGCCTACTAAAGTGCTGGGATTACAGGCGTGAGCCACCAAGCCCAGCCCCTTTCTGTCCTTATTCCCTCCCGACCTCACTCAGTCTGTAGCAGCCACATTGCTCCTTGCACAGTCCAGGTGAGCTCGGCCTCTGGATCCTGGGCCTGAATGGTTCTTTTGTCATATGCCTGCGTGCCTCACCCTTCCTTCCTGTCTTAATTTAAAGTGTCAGTATTCTAGTGAAGTCTTCACCGGCCTCAGTGTTAACGTTTACCTCATTCCTTTCCCCTTCTTTGCTTTATTTTAGATTTTTGTGTTTACAAGTAATTCTCCTCTGACACACTCTGGATTTCTCTCATCTGGTTTATTTACTCTCTGTCTCCCTGGATTCGAGTGCCCTGAGGGTGGAAATTTTGATCACTATAATTCACTACTGTGTCCCCAGTACTTGGAATAGTGCCTGGGACAGGGAGGATAGTCCGTGAATCGTTTTTTGTTTTGTTTTGTTCGAGACAGAGTTTTGCCCTTGTTCCCCAGGCCGGAATGCAGTGGTGTGATCTCAGCTCACTGCAACCTCTGTCTCCTGGGTTCAAGCTATTCTCCTGCCTCAGCCTCCCAAGTAGCTGGGATTACAGGTGTGCACCACCACGCCTGGCTAATTTTGTAATTTTGTATTTTAAGTAGAGTTGGGGTTTCACCATGTTGGCCAGGCTGGTCTTGAACTCCTGACCTCAAGTGATCTGCCCACCTCAGCCTCGCAAAGTGCTGGGATTACAGGCATGAGCCACCACGCCCAGCCCTGTGAATCATTGTTGAATGATGAATTGAATCCATAAAGTAAGACCACAAGGATAATGTAATTATCCCCATTTTGCAGAAGAGAAAATTTAGCTTCAGGGTGGAGTTTATTTATTTATTTTTTATTTTTTTTGAGACAGAGTCTTGCTCTGTCTCCCAGGCTGGCGTGCAGTGGCATGATCTCGGCTCACTGCAACCTCCGCCTCCCCGGTTCAAGCGATTCTCCTGCCTCAGCCTCCCGAGTAGGTGGGATTACAGATGCCCGCCACTACACCAGGGTAATTTTTGTATTTTTAGTAGAGACGGGGTTTCACCATGTTAGTCAGACTGGTCTCGAACTCCTGACCTCAGGTAATCCGCCCACCTCGGCCTCCCAAAGTGCTGGGATTACAGGCATGAGCCACCGCACCCGGCCCAGAATCTACTTTCTTAAGGATGAACTGTCAGTAGCATTTTGGCCCCAGTCTACATGACTCTAGAGAGAACTGCTTCTTTTTTCTCTCGTTGATTAACTGTTCATTCCCCATCTGTGTTGTGCCAGGGGTTTCATTATGACTGCATCTGAGAAGTTCTAGTGTATGAGGCAGATGTTGGCTAAATGGCCAGAGGACTGAATGTGAAGGGTCAGGGGAGACAAGGGTTGTGTAGGAGATCATGAAGCTGGGAGACCCTATCCTGGGGTACCTGATGCATCAGTGACGTCTGGGAGGACATCCTGGAGGTGGTGCTGCTGGAGCAGAGACGAGAAGAATAAAAAGAATTGGTCGGGCATGGTGGTTCACGCCTGTAATCCCAGTGCCTTGGGAGGCTGAGGTGGACAGATCACTTAAGGTCAGGAGTTCGAGACGGTGAAACCCCGTCTCTCCTAAAAATACAGAAATTAGCTGGGCGTGGTGGCAGATGCCTGTAATCCTAGCTACTCAGGAGGCTGAGGCAGGAGGATCACTTGAACCCAGGAGCTGGAAGTTGCAGTGAGCTGAGATCACACCACTGCACTCCAGTTTGGATGATAGAGTGAGATCCTATCTTTAAAAAAAAAAAAAAAAAAAAGGTTAACTGAAGATGGGGAAGGGGTGCCCTAGGAGTGGGGCACAACCCAGCAAACACTCCAAGGTGGGAGGGAGCGCGGTGGGGATTAAGACAGGCCACTTCTGTGGCCAAACACTGTGGAAGCTGGGGAGGACCCTGACCTGGCTCAGGTGTTCACAGGCCCCCTCTGGCTGTGTGTGGGGAACAGGTGGTGGAGGACAGGAAGAGTAGGGAGACCAGGAAGGGGCTGCTGTGAGAGTCCTGATGAGGGGACGAGGTCTGGAGCTGTGGGTCAGGCCTCTGCTGGGTGCACAGGACTGAGCCTTTGGGCCACCCTGGGCAGCTGAAGCTAAGGGGTGCGGGTGTTCATAGGCACCTCATAGGCAGTGGCATCTTTGAGCAGGTTTCATAACAGGCGGTTCAGGTACACACAGACCTCCCAGGCCACTCAAGGAAGGTGTTCCAGAGTGGAGCCACTGGGGAATTTTTACATTTTCTAAAATTCTTTTTCTCTTTATAAATATCACCCATATTCATTGTTTAAAATAACAGAACTTCAAATTTGTGAAAATTCTCAACAGAAATTCTCAGTGACGCTTCATCCGGAGGTAAAGGCCATTCCTATTTTGCCATGTTAGCCCAGTGGCTTAGGCCAGACACCTCAGGGTGTTCCTTGGGCCCGCTCTCTCCCTCACCCCCACATCCACTCTCATCAAATCCTCTCGGCTCCACCTACAAAAACTTCCCTGACCCTGGTCCAGCCTCCATCCTTCCCCCAACCTCGCCATCCCGGCAGCTTCCTCCCTGGCCTCCCCGCTCCCCATCTCAGCCAGAGGGAGCCTGGGACCACCTGAGTCAGGCCAGGGCCCTCCTAGCTCAGAGCCCTGCCCTGGTGGCACTTCGCTCCAGATAAAAACCAAAGTCTAGGCCAGGTGCGGTGGATCGTGCCTGTAATCCCACCCAGTACATTGGGAGGCTGAGGTGGGAAGATCACTTGAGGTCAGGAGTTCTAGACCAGCCTGACCAGCATGGCAAAATGTCGTCTCTACTTAAAAATACAAAAATTAGCCGGGTGTGGTGGTGTGTGCCTATAGTTTCAGCTGCCCGGGAGGCTGAGGCAGGAGAATCACTTGAATTTGCAGTGAGGCAGAGGTTTCCGTGAGCTGAGATCACACCACCACACTCCAGCCTGGGTGACAGAGCGAGACTCCGTCAAAAAAAAAAAAAAAACCCAAAGTCTCCAGCAGTCCCTTGTGTCTTCCACTCTCCCTCTGGCTCGCTCCACCCCACCCGCACCACCCACTCTAGAGCGTGAAGGACATTTCTACCTCTGGCCGTCTGCACCTGCCGTTCTTGCTCATCTTTCCAGCCTTGGCTGAAACATCCCCTCTTTTGGGAAGCCTACCCTCCCATGCTCCTTAAGCCTCTTCCCTGTCATATTTTTCTCCATAGCCATCCTCCAGTGTTTCATAGGTACCTGTTCCTTTGTTTGTGGTTGGCCTTCTCCCTGCACAATGAGCACAGCCTGAGGGCAGAGTGCGTCTGTGTTTACACTGAGTCCCCAGCATGAGGCCCAGCTGGGCCCCTGGGAGCTCGGAAACCAATGAATGAATGAATAGTGGGGGCAGAACAGGAAGAGATGCTCTGGGGCCTGAGGTTGGGGCCAGCTTAGGAGAGTCCCAGAGGCCCATCGAGGAGATGCGCTGTGCACAGGGCTGTGGGCAAGGCCTGAGCTCTGCCGGTTGGACTCTGTGACTTTGGGGCCCTTGGCGATGTTGATGCCAGCAAGCGGGGAACTTCTGGGGACAGAGGCAGCCTCTGGGAGCTTGGATGGGGGTGAGGAAGGGGAGGTGGCCAGTGTACGTAGCTACTTCTCCCTTCCGCTGGGCTCAGGAGAGAAGAGAAGGCTGCAGTACAGGCGAGGGAGGGAGATGCGTTTTTCCCAGATGGAGACACTGAAGTCCCTGCACCCAGCACCCAGGCCTCCCTGGCCAGACCCTGATCCCCACGGAGCCCCTCCCCTCACACAGGTCATTGACCACAGTGGCGCCCGCCTTGGTGAGTATGAGGACGTGTCCCGGGTGGAGAAGTACACGATCTCACAAGAAGCCTACGACCAGAGGCAAGGTACGGGCAGGTGGGCGTCGAGGGGTGCGTGGGGGCCAGAGGGAGTATGTGCAGGTATGAGGGCGGGCAGGTTAGACAGGGCCCCTGCAGGGAGGCCAGTGGTGTAGACGGGGGGCCGAGAGCTTGGGAGGATATAGGGGTGAGGCTGGGAGTGGGGACAGACGGAGGCCTGGGGTGGGAATGAGGGCCGGGAGGTGTCAGGGGTATGGGCAGTCAGACGTGGTCGGGGGAGGGCTGGGAAAGTGGAGGGAGTTGAGGGGTAGGTGTGGGGGCTGGGTGTTGTCAGGGTCAGATGGGGGCATGGGGCGGTCGGACGGGGTGTGGAGGGCAGGACAGGTGGAATGCGAGTGGACAGGGTGGCGGTCAGTGAGGGCGCCTGGGACGGATCGAGTGTTGGGGGAGACCGGGGGCCTCAGGGCCGGAGGAGGGCGGAGGAGGAAGGCGGATGATGAAGGCAGATGTGCGCTGAAGGGGTGAGAGACCATGGGTCCTGTAGTGAGGGGTGCAGGCGGCACCCCTTCCATTTACGATTGTGGAGTTGGGGGGCCTAGGAGTCCTGGGAGAGGCTAAGGCTGTGGTGGGAGACCTGGGGCTTGGGTGACAGCCCTTTGTCACCTGGAAGAGAGAGTTCCTCCGTGAACGTGGGCCCCTCGTGGGTGGAGCGTCATCCTGTTAGGCCCGGCCGACACCCCAACTGACCCCAGCCCCCTCTGCCCACAGACACGGTCCGCTCTTTCCTGAAGCGCAGCAAGCTCGGCCGGTACAACGAGGAGGAGCGGGCTCAGCAGGAGGCCGAGGCCGCCCAGCGCCTGGCCGAGGAGAAGGCCCAGGCCAGCTCCATCCCCGTGGGCAGCCGCTGTGAGGTGCGGGCGGCGGGACAATCCCCTCGCCGGGGCACCGTCATGTATGTAGGTGCGTGGCTCGCGGGCCCGGTCCCGGGCTCCAGGGCTCCAAGGCCGGGAGGAAATGTTGGGGGCACAGTGGAGCCTCGGAGACCACGCTCTGCCTAGGGGCGCGGGGTTGGGGGGGACTCGAAACGATCTCAGTCCCTGGAGGTGACGGAACCATCTGCCGACACTGACGGCCCAGAGTGTTTGTGGAGGGAAGTGGGAGGCGCAGGCGGAGTGATCTGTCCAGCGAGGGAGGAAGCAGAAGCCAGAGGCACGCGGCCTGTGCGCTTCGAAGCGTGGGGCAGTGTCAGTCGCGGTGGGGAAACGGGCGGCGTGACCAAGGCAGGAGTGAGGGAACACAGGGGGCTGTGTGAGCCCAGAGGAAGCACCTGGAGGCTGGGAGCATCTGAAGGAAAGGAGGCAGCAGCCAGGTGAAAAGGGAGGAAGAGTTCCCGCCAGAAGGAGTAGCGGGTGCAGGTGAGCAGAGCGCAGGAGGTCCACCTGGGGAAGGGGAGCGGGAGGAGAGGGGAGAAGTGTAGTCAGGGGCATGGGCAGGGCGGCGTCACAGTGGAGAGCAGTGTGGATTTTTTTAAAAAGAACAGGCTAGGCATGATGGCTCACGCCTGTAAACTCAGCACTTTGGGAGAACAAGGTGGGAGGCTTGCTTGAGCCCCGGAGTTGGAGGTTACAGTGAGCTATGATTGTGTCATTGCACCCTAGCCTGGGCAGCAGAGAAAGACCCAGTCTCAAAAAAAAGGCTGGGTGCAGTGGCTCACACCTGTAATCCCAGCACTTTGGGAGGCTGAGACAGGAGGATCACTTGAACCCAGGAATTTGAGACCAGCCTGGGCAACATAATGAGACCCTGTCTCTACAAAAAAAAAAAAAAAAAAATCCCACAAAACTTTTGTCAGTTGTGGTGGTGAGCACCTATAGGTGCCCCAGCTACTTGGGAGGCTGAGGTGGGAGGATGGCTTGAGCCCGGGAGTTGAGGCTGCAGTGAGCTATGATCGCACCACTGCACTGCAGCCTGGGTGACAGAGGGAGACCCTGTCTCCAAAAAAAAAAAAAAAAAAAGATACACGGGGTACATATATGTATTGTTACATGGGTGTGTTGCCTGCTAGTGGGTGGGGACCGGGCTTCTAGTGTACCCATGACCCAAATTGTGAACATCGTACCCAACAGATAATTTTTCAACCCTCACCACCCTCCTGTTTCTGGCATCCCCACTGTCTGGTATTTCCGTCTTTATGCCTGTGTGTACCCATCCCCCAGTCGTCTTCAGCCACTAATTTACGTCTGTCTCTAATTTGCCGATTCTGGATGTTTCATAGGAATAGGATCATGCAGTCTGTGGCCTTTTGTAACTGGCGCCTTCCACTGAGCAGAATGCTTTCAAGTTTCATCCGTGGCATGCCTGTGTCAGTGCCACACTGTTGCCAAATAGTCCTGCATTGAGCGCCTAGACCACAGTGTATCCAGTCACCAGTTAGTGGACATTAGGGTCATTTCCACTTTTTGGCTATTATGAATAATGCTGCTATGAACCTTCTTCTTTTTTTTTTTTTTTTTTTTCTAATTTGAGACAGCATCTGGCTATTGCCCAGGCTGGAATGCAGTGGCACAATCTCGGCCATTTCAGCCTTAACCTCTTGGGCTCAAGCCATCCTCCCACCTCGGCCTCCTGAGTAGCTGGGAATACAGGTACTCATCACCACCCCCGGCTAAAGTTTTGTGGTTTTTTTTGTAGGATGGGATTTCGCCATGTGGCCCAGGCTGGTCTCAAACTCTTCCCGCTCAAGTGATCGTCCTGCTTCAGCCTCCCAAAGTGCTGGGATTACAGGTGTGAGCCACCATGCTAGGCCTGAACATTCTTTTATAAATTTCTGTGTGGCTGGGCATGGTGGCTCATGCCTGTAATTCCAGCACTTTGGGAGGCCAAGGTGGGCAGATCACCTGAGATCAGGAATTTTGAGACCAGCCTGGCCAACATGGTGAAACCCCATCTCTACTAAAAATTCAAAAATTAACTGGGCGTGGTGGCGGGTGCCTGTGATCGCAGCTACCCGGAAGGCTGAGGCAGGAGAATCGCTTGAGCCTGGGAGGCGGAGGTTGCAGTGAGCCAAGATCACACCACTGCACTCCAGCCTGGGCAACCATGCAAGACTCCATCTCAAAAAATAAAAAATACATTTTTATGTGGACATTTGTTTTCATTTCTCTGTGCCTAGGAGTGGAATCCCTGGGCCACATGGTAACACTGTGCTTGACTTTTTTGAGGACCTGCCACACTGCTTCCCACAGCCGCTGCAGCAGTTTTCATTCCCGCCAGCAGTGCAGAAGGGTCCCATTTTGTCCTCATCCTCACCAGCACTTTAGTCTGTCTTTTGCTTACAGTCATCCACTGGGTGTGAAGTGGAACATCATCATGGTTTTGATTTGCACTTCTTTGGCAGCTAATGATGTTGAGCATCTTTGCATGGCCATTTGTGTATCTTCTTTGGAGAAATGTCTATTCAGATCCTTTGCCTTTTGTTTTTTGACACACAGTCTCACTCCGTCACCCAGGCTGGAGTGCAGTGGTGCTCTCAGCTCACTGCATCCTCTGCCTCCCGGGTTCAAGCAATTCTCATGCCTCAGCCTCCCGAGTAGCTGGGATTATAGGTGAGCGCTACAACACCTGGCTAATTTCTGTATTTTTAGTAGAGACAGGGTTTTGCCATGTTGGCCAGGCTGGTCTCAAACTCCTGGCCTCAAGTGATCCACCTGAGCTGGTGGATCTCCCAAAGTGCTAGGATTACAAACATGAGCCACTGCGCCCATCGGTATGTCGGGGTTTGGTTTTGTTTTTTTTCTTTTGAGACGTAATCTCGCTTTGTGCCCAGGCTGGAATACAGTGGCATGATCTCAGCTCGCTCGTTCCAACCTCCGCCTCCCGGGTTCAAACGGTTCTCCTGCCTCAGCCTCCCGAGTAGCTGGAACTACAGGCGCCCGCCACCACACCCGGCTAATTTTTTGTATTTTTAGTAGAGACGGGGCTTCACCGTGTTAGCCAGGATGGTCTCGATCTCCTGACCTCGTGATCCACCCTCCTCAGCCTACTAAAGTGCTGGGATTACAGGCGTGAGCCACCGCACCCGGCCAGTATGTCATCTTTTGAGAAGTGTGTGTTCATGTCCTTTGGCCATGATCGTGGCTCACTGCAGCCTCAACTTCCTGTTGCCCACTTTGTAATGGGATTTTTTTTTTGCAAAGTGGGTGTTCTTTGAGTTCCTTGTATATTCTTCTGCTCAGTTTTTCATTGGGATGCTGTCTTTTGTCGCTGAGTTGTGTATTAGTTTGCTAACAAAGTACCACTCACTGAGCAACTTAAAGTTATTTCTCACAGTAATGGAGGCTAGAAGTTCAAGATCAAGCTGTCAGCAGGTTGGATTTATTCTGAAGCCTCTCTCTCTGGCAAGGCAGTAGTGCCATCCCCCTTAGGTTTTTACAAAGCCCTCACTGGCTGGTGTCTTCACCCAGTGAATGGGGGACAGGGGTGGAAGCAGGGACACCAGTGAAGTGGCTACCATATTAGTCCCGGCAGGAGCTGGAGGTGGTCCTAGTGGTAGCAATAGAGGTAGCAAGAAATGGTTTTCACCAAGACAGGCTTCTACTCAATGGGTAGGCATGGATCCAGGGTGATCCTGAAATTTCATGGGGATTTCTTCTATGTCCAGAAGCTTCACAGGGATTTCTCTTCTGTTGGCAGGTCTCACAGATTTCAAGCCTGGCTACTGGATTGGTGTCCGCTATGATGAGCCACTGGGGAAAAATGATGGCAGGTAACAAGAATTCCCACTCAGGTGTCTGTGTGTGCATTTGTGTGTAAGTCCATGCGTGCTGCTTGCTGAGCTGCCCATGCCAGCTTCTAGAGTGGAGCCATGTGAGGGTCCTCTGACCACACCCACCCCTATCCTTTCCTGCAGTGTGAATGGGAAACGCTACTTCGAATGCCAGGCCAAGTATGGCGCCTTTGTCAAGCCAGCAGTCGTGACGGTGGGGGACTTCCCGGAGGAGGACTACGGGTTGGACGAGATATGACACCTAAGGAATTCCCCTGCTTCAGCTCCTAGCTCAGCCACTGACTGCCCCTCCTGTGTGTGCCCATGGCCCTTTTCTCCTGACCCCATTTTAATTTTATTCATTTTTTCCTTTGCCATTGATTTTTGAGACTCATGCATTAAATTCACTAGAAACCCAGAAAGTATTTAGAGGACTTCATGATTTGGGGACCCACTGGGTAAATAGTGGCCCTTCGGTATCAGGGGCCAGCCTCTGTCTCCTCATATCTTGCTGTTCCCCCATCTTCTCATCATTCCCACCTCATCTGCTGTAGCTACCAGGAAGAAAGGGAAGGGAAGGGAGGGGATATCCTTTGCCTTTAAAAATGATGTACAGCCAGCTGGGCACGGTGGCTCACGCCTGTAATCCCACACTTTGGGAGGCCAGGGCGGGTGGATCACGAGGTCAGGAGATCGAGACCATCCTGGCTAACACGGTGAAACCCTTTCTCTACTAAAAATACAAAAAAATTAGCCGGGCATGGTGGTGGGTGCTGTAGTCCCAGCTGCTGGGGAGGCTGAGGCAGGAGAATGGCGAGAACCTGGGAGGCGGAGCTTGCAGTGAGCCAAGATCATGCCACTGCACTCCAGCCTGGGCGACAGAGCGAGACTGTCTCAAAAAAAAAGATGTACAACTCTGGCTGGATGTGGTGGCTCACACCTATAATCCCAGCACTTTGGGAGGCCGAGGCAGGCGGATCATGAGGTCAGGAGATCGAGACCATCCTGGCTAACATGGTGAAACCCCATCTCTACAAAAAATAAAAATAAAAAAATTAGCCAAGCATGGTGGCGGGCGCCTGTAGTCCCAGCTACTCAGGAGGCTGAGGCAGGAGAATGGCGTGAACCCGGGAGGCAGAGCTTGCAGTGAGCTGAGATCACGCCACTGTACTCCAGCCTGGGCAACAGAGCGAGACTCCGTCTCAAAAAAAAAAAAAAAAAAAAAAAAAAAAGATGTACAACTCAGCCAGGCACAGTGGCTCATGCCTGTAATCCCAGCACTTTGGGAGGCCGAGCTGGCAGGTCGCTTAAGCCCAGGAGTTTGAGATCAGCCTGGACAACATGGTAAAACTTCATCTCTACAAAAATGCAAAAAATGAGTCAGGTATGGTGGCGCATGCCTGTAGCCCCAGCTACTTGGGAGGCTGAGGTGGGAGAATCACTTAAGCCCAGAAGGTCAAGGCTACAGCGAGTTATGGCACCACTGCATTCCAGCCTGGATGACAGAGCAAGACCCTGTCTCAAAACCAAAAAAAAAGAAAAGAGGCCAAGCACGGTGGCCCACGCCTGTAATCCCAGCATTTTGGGAGGCCGAGGCGGGAGATCGAGATCATCCTGGCCAACATGGTGAAACCCTGACTCTACTAAAAATACAAAAATTAGCTGGGTGTGGTGGCGCGTGCCTGTAATCCCAGCTACTCAGGAGGCTGAGGCAGGAGAATGGCTTGAACCCAGGAGGTGGAGATTGCAGTGAGCTGAGATCGTGCCACTTCACTCCAGCCTGGGGACAAGAGTGAGACTCCGTCTCAAAAAAAAGAAAAAAAGCCAGGCATGGTGGCTTATGCCCATAATCCCAGCACTCCGGGAGGCCGAGGAGGGCAGACCACTTGAGTTCAGGAGTTCAAGACCAGCCTGGGCAACATGGCAAAAACCCTGTCTCTACAAAAAATACAACAACAACAAAAATTAGCCGGGTGTGGTGGCACGCACCTGTAGTCCCAGCTACTTGGAAGGCTAGGTGGTAGGATCACTTGAGCCTTGGGAGGTAGAAGCTGCAGTGAGCTGTGTTCACACCACTGCACTCCAGCCTGGGTGACACAGCGAGACTCCATGCCGTGACACCAGCACGTGGCGTGTCACATTATTAAGGATTATACAGCCAACAGTTACTGGGCTGGTTTCCTTTAATCCTCACAGCAGGCCCTGTCCGCAAGTCTTTCACCGTTTCCCGTCAACACTCCACCTTTCCTGCCCAAAGTTTGGGGTTGGGAGGGAATTCCCAGGGGTTCCCAGGACTTGGGCTCGCCTCCCAGATCCCGCAACCTTTGCGTGCCTAGCCTCGGCAATGACCGCCCATCTGCCACGAGGGGGCGGCAGCGCACCGTTCAGACGCTGCGCCCCTGGTGCATTATGGGTCGCGTAGTCTCAAAGGTGGCATAAGCATCCTGGAACGCAAACGGCATTTCCCAGAAAACTACGCGACAATCTGAGCCTGGTCTTGCCCAGAGCTGGAAGCTGAGGTCTCGCCCCTGCCGGCGTTGCGGGGGATTGTGGGATGTAGGCATTTGGCTCCGCGCTCCGCGAAGGGCGGTGCAGCGCAGGCGCGGGCATCCGGTACAGACAGCCGAGCTTAATCTGAGGCGGGGAACCAGCGTCCCGGGGGAGGCGCCGAAGCTGACTTTCTGGCCGCAGTGGAAGTGAGGCGAGCGAGCTCCCTTAGTGGCTGGAGCCGGCTGGGCCTCCTTCCTGTCCTCCTGCTTTCCTGCATCTCTACTTGTCCCTTTCCCCGGGCTCCTGGTCCGCTCCCAAGCCTGTTCAAGCACGAGGCGTTTCCATCTAAAAAAAGAAAAGAAATCTCTTTTGCCGGGCGAGATGTCAGAGCCCCGGGAGCGAAAGTGTTGGTAATGTTAGACAGAATGAGTTCCTCTTCAAAAATCTAACTTCCTTGTCCTTTGCTCTATGAACTGTCCTTCCTGCAGAAACTGCCCTTACCGGGGAAACTGCCCCTCCCCGCCGCTGCAACCCATACCCCGCCTCTATTAGAAATAGGCAATCGGAATCAGCTTAGATTGTGAGGTCCAACCCTAGCCAACGGGGGTTAAAAACCCCTGCTCTCCTTTATTAGGTGTGCTTTTGGTACAGGTCTGGGCAGCACGCTTCTGCAGAAGTAAACTTTGCCTTGCTAAGAAACTTTTCTCCGAGTGCTGGTCTCTCTCTGTGGCACCAAGAACTTATTTCTAACAGTAAGAAGAATTTACTGAGGACAGCGTAGGCTTGAAAAAGAAAAGTTTTACTAGAAAGAATGCTGCCGGGCACTCACGCCTGTAATCCCAGCACTTTGGGAGGCCGAGGCAGGTGGATTGCCTGAGCTCAGGAGTTCGAGACCAACCTGGGCAATACAGTGAAACCCCATCTCTACTAAAATACAAAAAACTAACTGGGCATGCCAGCATGTGCCTGTAGTCCCAGCTACTTGGGAGGCTGAGGCAGGAGAATTGCTTGAACCCAGGAGGTGGAGGTTGCAGTGAGCTGACATCATGCCACTGCATTCCAGCTTGGGTGACAGAATGAGACTCCATCTCAAAAAAAAAAAAAAAAAAAAAAAATGAAGGAAAGAATGCTGCAGGCCAGGCAGGGTGGCTCACACCTGTAATCCCAGCACTTTGGGAGGCCGAGGCAGGCGAATCACCTGAGGTTGGGAGTTCAAGACCAGCCTGACCAACATGGAGAAACTACTAAAAATACAAAATTAGGCGGGCATGGTGGCCCATACCTATAATCCCAGCTACTTGGGAGGCTGAGATAGGAGAATCGCTTGAACCCAGGAGGCGGAGGTTGTGGCAAGCCAAGATCACACCATTGCACTCCAGCCTGGGCAACAAAAGCGAAACTCCATTTCAAAAAAAAAGAGCTGATTTTTTTGTTTGTTTTTTAGACAGCGTCTTGCTCTGTTATCCAGCCTGTGTGTGATCCCGGCGGTGTGATCTGAGCTCACTGTAGCCTCAACTTCCCGGGCTCAAGTGCTCCTCCCACCTCAGTAGGCCCCATGAATAGCTGAGACTACAGGCACATGCCACCACACCCAGCTAATTTCTGTATTATTTGTAGAGGTGGGGTTTCGCCATGTTGCTCAGGCTGGAGTGCAGTGGCACAATCTCGGCTCACTGCAGCCTCAGGCTCCTGGGCTCAAGCAATCCTCCCACCTCAGTCTCCCAAAGTGCTGGGATTCCAGGTGTGAGCCACTGCGCACGGCCAAGAATAAAGATTTTAATAAAGTAATGTGAAATTAACATGAAAAGCCAATAAGGAAACTGGGCAAATATTTGAAAAGACAATACATAAAAGAAACACCAATAGCCAAAAAACCATGAAAGCCAAGTTCACCCCCATTCATATTTGAAGAATGTTACATAAAATATTGAGACACCACCTTTTGCCTGTCAAATCAGGAAAGATGTTTATTTTTATTTTTTATTTTTGAGACAGGGTCTCTCTGTCATCCAGGCTGGAGTATGGGGCACAATTTCGTCTCATTGCAACCTCAAACTCCTGGGCTCCAGCGATCCTCCCACCCCAGCCTCCCAAGTAGCTAGGAGCACGGGCACACCACTATGCCTGGCTAATTTTTTCAAAACACTTTTTTGTAGAGATGGAGTCTTGCTATGTTGCCCAAACTGGTCTCAAACTCCTGAGCTCAAGTGATTCTCCCACTTCAGCCTCCCAAAGTGCTGGGATTATAGGCATAAGCCGCCATGCCACAAAATTTTACAAGAAAATTTCAGCCAGCATTTGACAAGATTCCAGGGGACATGAATGAAATACCTAAAGATAAAAGAGTTCCTTGAGGCCAGTTAAGGTGGCTCATGCCTGTAATCCCACCACTTTGGGAGGCCAAGGCAGTGGATCACAAGGTCAGGAGTTCAAGACCAGCCTGGCCAATATAGTGAAACCCTGTTTTACTAAAAATACAAAAATTAGCCTGGCATAGTGGCGGGCACCTGTAATCCCAGCTACTCAGGAGGCTGAGGCAGGAGAATCGCTTGAACTTGGGAGGTAGATGTTGCAGTGAGCTGAGATCACAGCAATGCACTCCAGCCTACAGAGCGAGAGACCCCTCTCAAAAAAAAAAAAAAAAAAAAAGGAGTTCCTTGACAAAAGAAATGTGGAATTTGCTGCCTTGAACTAAGTTAAATTAGCTGCTTTGTTGCAGGAATTTTCATTAATATGCTAGTCCATGATAACCTGTATAAAAGGATCCTCTTGGGCATTACTTTCTGGGTTTTTTGTTTGTTTTCAGAAACAGGGTCTTGCTCTGTCATCCAGGCTGGAGTGTCATGGTGTGATCATATATCATATCTCACTGCAGCCTCGAATTTCTGGGCTCAAGCTATCTTCCAGCCTGAACCTCCTGAGTAGCTAGGACTGCAGGTGTGTGCCACCATGCCCAGCTAATTAAAAAACTTATTTTTGTACAGATGAGGTCTCATTATGTTGCCTAGAGTGGTCTCTATTCCTGGGCTCAAGAAATCCTCCCCTCTCAGCCTCCCAAAGCACTGAGATAACGTGTGTGCCACTGTGCTTGGCCTGAATTTTTTATTTTAAAATACATTTTGTGAGCTGTGCTTAGTAATGCACACCTGTAGTCCTAGCTACTTAAGAGGCTGAGGCAGGGGCATCGCTTGAGCCTAGGAGTTTGAGACCAGCCTGGACAACACAGGAAAACCCCATCTTTACAAATAATCAAAAAATTAGCCATTACTCGGGAGGCTGAGGCATGAGAATCGCTTGAGCCTGAGAAGTTGAGCTGCAGTGAGCTGTGATTGCACCACTGCACTCCAGTCTGGCTGGGTGACAGAGCATGACCCTGTCTCAAAAAAAAAAAAAAAAGGAAAAAAAATTATTCAACAACAGTTGTTAAAGCACAGGAAGGGCTGGGCACGGTGGCTTCCGCCTGTAATCCCAGCACTTTGGGTGGCTGAGGCAGGCAGATCACATGAGGTCAGGAGTTCAAGACCAGCCTGGCCAAAATGGTGAAACCCCGTCTCTACTAAAAACACAAAAATTAGCTGGGCGTGGTGGCCCACACCTGTAATCCTAGCCACTGGAGAGGCTGAAGCATGAGAATCTCTTGAACTCGAGAGGCAGAGGTTGCAGTGAGCCAAGATCACGCCACTGCACTCCAGCCTAGGCAACAGAACGAGACTCCATCTCAAAAAATTAAAAAAATTAAAAATAGAATAAGGCACAGGAAAGGAAGGCTTTATTCAGAGCCATTACGATAGAGAGAGGGGCCACAGTGGCAGGGCCTTGCAGTGAGGGAGACAGGTTGGGCTCAACTCCAAATACTGCATGGGGAAGTGGGAATTCATAGCCCAGGATCGGGTGGGGCGCAGTGGATTGAAAGTTACTAAGAGGAAACATCAGGGGTAAGGGGGGATTCTGGCTAAACCAGCCTAACAGGATTCTTGCTGAAGACAGGCCCAGGTGATCAGACATCACATAGGGGCTGGTGGAGGATGAGGAACCTAATCAGATGTTGAAGATGGGAGAGGGTTCTCGATAAACTGACTTAGCAGGGTTCTTTGCTAAAACTGGATTTGACAAGGGAGTACACAGATGAGCCTAGCAGAAGATTCAGAGACTTGACTAGTTTGGCCATGCAAGAATTTCTTTTTTGTTTTGTTTTTTTCTGTTTGTTTTGTTCGGCTCACTGCAACCTCCACCTCCTGGGTTCAAGCGATTCTCTTCCCTCAGCCTGTGGAGTAGCTGGAATTACAGGTGCCTGCCACCACACCCGGTTTGTGTGTGGGTGTGTGTATTTTTAGTAGAGATGGGGTTTTGCCATGTTGGCCAGGCTGGTCTCGAACTCCTGACCTCAAGAGATCCACCCACCTCAGCCTCCCAAAGTGCTGGGATTACAGGTGTTGAGCCACCTCGCCCGGCCCAAGCAAATAATTTTTATCAGGGAATTGACTCCAAAGAAAAACAATAGGAGAGGAGGTCCTGCAGGGTCACAGCCCATACAAGAGTCTGGCCGCAAGGAAGCCTGGTAAGAGGAGAGGGAACAGAGCGGTGCTGACCTGCTGAAGGGAAGGCAGAGGTCGGACAGGTACCCGGATTAGTCATCACATAACAACTTGGCATCAGCCATGCTCTGCCATCTACTGTGTGGCCTCAGGCAAGTGACTCACTCTCTCTGAACATCCACTTCCTCTCATGTTGGTTTCTTTCTCAGAGGCTTGTGAGAGGCCTTGGCAAGCCATGGCCATAAAGCAATCACTGGCTGGGCATGGTCCCTCACGCCTGTAATCCCAGCACTTTTGGGGCACCGAGGTGGGAGGATCACTTGAGGCCAGGAGTTCAAGACCAGCCTGGGCAACATAGTGAGACCTGGTCCTTACAAAAAATAAAAAAATGATTCAGGTGTGGTGGTGCACACCTGTAGTCCCAGCTACTCTGGAGGCTAAGGTGGGAGGATCCCTTGAGCCTAGGATTTTGAGGTTGCAGTGAGCTATAATTGTGCCACTGCCCTCCAGCCTGGGTAATGAAGTGAGACCCTGTCTCACTTTTTTTTTTTTTTTTTTTTGACATGGAGTCTTGCTCTGTCACCAGGCTGGAGTCCAGTGGTACGATCTTGGCTCACTGCAACCTCTGCCTCCCGGGTTCAAGTGATTCTCGTGCCACAGTCTCCCGAGTAGCTGGGATTACAGGCACTCACCACCACACCCAGCTAATTTTTGTATTTTTAGTAGAGACGGGGTTTCACCATATTGGCCAGGCTGGTCTCCATCTCCTGACCTAGTGATCCACCCGCCTTGGCCTCCCAAAGTGCTGGAATTACAGGTGTGAGCCACTGCACCTGGCCAAGAAAAAAATTTCTTGCTTATACAAAGTCAGCTGTGGGTCTGGGTGACTATCAAGAGCAGAAGTGCTCGATGCCAGGGCTCGGCCCTCTTCCTTCATGTGGCACCTCCAGGTTTGCTCAGCTCCTAGTGTGACCCGGGCAGGAGAAAACAGAGCATGGAGCATTCTGCACTGCCTTCCCCTGCGCCCGCCATAAACACAAGGTCTTGCTCTGTCCACTGGGCTGGAGTGCAATGGTTGCACTGGTTTTTAAATGCTTCTACAAGGAGCATTTAAAGTGTTCTACATCCAACACTTCTACTTACATTTTATTGGCCAAAGTAAGTCAGATAACTCCTGAGTTCAGCAGATCCTGGGAGATGGCGGAGGGCATTAGTAATGCTTGCCCTACTGTCTCACTGCTGGTGCTGAAAATCCAATGAGAAAATACACACAAAACATATTCATTCATTCAACAAATGTTTACTGGGCACCTATGATGTGCCAACCACTGTTCTAGGAACTGGATACATACCTCTGAGTGAGTACATAGCAGTGAACAAGACATATAGAAATCCCAGTCCAGCCGGGTGCAGTGGCTCACACATGTAATCCCAGCACTTTGGGAGGCCAAGCGGATGGATCACCTGAGGTCAGGAGTTCAAGACAAGCTTGGCCAAGATGGTGAAACACCATCTCTACTAAAAATACAAAAATTAGCTGGGCGTGGTGGCGGGTGCCTGTAATCCCAGCTACTCGAGAGGCTGAGGCAGAGAATTGCTTGAACCCAGGAGGTGGAGGTTGCAGTGAGCCGAGATCGAGCCACTGCACTCCAGCCTAGGCAACAGAGTGAGACTCCGTCTCAAAAAAAAAAAAAAATAGAAGTCCCAGTCCGTGGCAAGCTCACATACTAGCGGAGGAGACAGAAATCTGGATCAATATGTAAAGTACACAGGGCTGGGCGTGGTGGCTCATGCCTGTAATCTAAGCACTTTGGGAGGCTGAGGTGGGTGGATCACCTGAGGTCAGGAGTTCGAGACCAGCCTGGCCAACATGATGAAACCTTGTCTCTACTAAAAATACAAACAAATTAGCCGGGTGTGGTGGTGGACACCTGTCATCCCAGCTACTTGGGAGGCTGAGGCAGGAGAATCGCTTGAACCCAGGAGGTGGAGGTTGTAGTGAGCTAAGACCGTGCCATTGCCCTCCAGCCTGAGCAACAAAAATGAAACTCCATCTCAATAATAATAATAATAATAATAAAACAAAAAAAAAAGTACACAGTACGTGAGCGGGTGATAAAAGACAGGACCTTCCCGTGATCACTAGATGTGTAGACATGAAAGATCTGCTTCCCAGACCTGGGGCTGGAGAAGGTCTTGGTAAGGGAGTGGTGGCCTCATGTCTTCATGTCTGCCCTGAGAGAGGCTGTTTGGATGTTGCTGTGCTTGCAGGGCCTCCATGCTGAGTTTTGTCTCTGTTCAGCTGGGAACATGCAGGTGACCTTGCCAGGCAGGCATCTTCTCACTTTCTCCAGGGCGAAGAGATGAGGGCAGGGAGGTGACAGGACAGATCACTAGGGGTGGCTGTCATGAGAACTTTAGGCTGGAGTGCAGTGGTGCAATCAAGGCTCACTGCAGCCTCTACCTCCTGGGCTCAAGTGATCCTCCCACCTCAGCCTCCCGAGTAGCTGGGACTACAGGCACATGCCACCATGCCTGGCTAGTTTTTGGTATTTTTTGTAGAGATGGGGTCTTGCCATGTTGCCCAGGCTGGTCTCAAACTCCTAGGTTCAAGCGATCCTCCTGCCTCAGTCTCCCAAAGTGCTGGGATTCCAGGCATGAGCCACCGCACCTGGCCCTGTTGTGAGAACTTCTGACTCTTTCCTGGAGTGGGGTGCAGCCAGGGCAGGGCTCTGAGCCTACAGGGCCCTGACCTGACTCAGGTGGTCTCAGGCTTCCTCTGGCTCCACAAGAGGAGCAGACAGCAGGGAGCAGACAGAAGGGAGCAGGCTGTGGGGTGTCCAGGTGGGAAAGGATGGAGGCTGTGGCAGGGTGGGGACAGTGGAGGGGAAGAGTTTAGTTTCTGTAGGTGGAGCCAATAATATCTGCTGACAGGTTGGAGTGGGTGTGAAGGAGAGAGGTGAAGGACCACCCCGGAGTGTTTGGCCTCAGTCACTGGAAGGACAGAGCTGCCACTGACCTAGGTGGGGAAGGTAGTGAGGGAGCAGGTTCTGGAGGAAGGTCAGAAGCTCAGTTTAGGATATGTAAAGCTTAAAATGCCTCTAAGGGCCAGGTGCATTGGCTCACACCTGCAATCCCAGCACTTTGGGAGGCTGAGGCGGGTGGATCACGAGGTCAAGGGATTGGGACCATCCTGGCCAACATGGTGAAACCCCGTCTCTACTAAAAAATACAAAAATTAGCTGGGCATGGTTGCGCATGCCTGTAGTCCCAGCTACTCGGGAGGCTGAGGCAGGAGAACTGCTTGAACCTCAGAGGTGGAGGATGCAGTGAGCCGAGATCGCGCCACTGCACTCCAGCCTGGTGACAGAGCAAGACTCCGTCTCAAAAAAAGAAAAGAAAAAGAAAAAGGAAAAAAAAAGCCTCTGAGATCTTCCATCCTTTCCCATGGAAATGGTGAATATGATGCAGGATGTAGGAGCCTGGAGTTCGCAGGAGGTGTCTGGGCTGGAGATAGAAATTTGGGGGTTAGGGTTAGGGCCAGGTGCAGTGGCTCACGCCTGTAATCCTAGCACTTTGGGAGGCTGAGGTGGGAGGATCACTTGAGCTCAGAGTTCAAGACCAGCCTGGGCAACACAGTAAGACCTCATCTCTACAAATAATTAAAAAAGAAAAAAGATAAAGGAAATTTGGATGTTTGCCGGGCGTGGTAGCTTGTGCCTGTAGCAGTAGCTATTCAGGAGGTTGAGGCAGGAGGAGGATTCCTTGAGGCCGGGAGTTACAGGCTGCAGTGAGCTACATCACATCACTGCATTCCAGTCTGGGTGACAGAACCCCTGTCTCTAAGAACAACACAAAAAACTGGGCGTTGGCCGGGTGCTGTGGCTCATGCCTGTAATCCCAGCACTTTGGGAGGCCAAGGCGGGTGGATCACAAGGTCAGGAGATCGAGAACATCCTGGTTAACACGGTGAAACCCCGTCTCTACTAAAAATACAAAAAATTAGCCAGCGTGGTGGCAGGTGCCTGTAGTCCCAGCTACTCTGGAGGCTGAGGCAGGAGAATGGCGTGAACCCGGGAGGCGGAGCTTGCAGCGAGCAGAGATCGCGCCACTGCACTCCAGCCTGGGCGACAGAGTGAGACTCCATCTCGAAAGCAAAACAAAACAAAAAACTGGGCGTTGATAGCCTAGAGACAGGATTTAAGCTGTGCATGTAGGGGAGGCACCCCATGGCATGAGTGGTACAGAGAGGAGGATAGAGACCTAACACCTGGGGCTGCCGGGAATAAGGGGTTGGGGGCCAGAACTAGATGACAATATGGTTACGATTGGCAGTGAGTGCCATGAGAAAGTACAAGTCATTTTGAAAGCATATAACTGGAAGCCTCACCTAGTCTCAGGTTGGGTGGAGACAGGGAGGTCTTTCTGGAAGAGATGACTCCTGAGGTGACACCTGCAGCCTGAGTAGCTACACAATCAGGCCAGAAAAAAAAAGGCAGCAGGGGAGTTCCTGGCCGAGGGCATGAGGGCTGGCAGCAAGTGAGCCTCGGGAGAGGGCAGAGAGCTGGAGCAGTCAGTCTGGCAGGGAGGGGTGTGGTGAGAAGGGAATCTGGATTAGTCATCACCAAAAGATCTGTGCCAAGCCCGGGTTCAGATCTGGTTCTGCCACCCTCCGTGACCCTGCCTTTCAGAATCTCCATTCTCTCTCCTGCCCTGCAGACAAGGCTTGTGTAGCAGTTACCTTGGCCTGGCCCCAGCAAGGCCTCAGGAAACATCAGCTGCAACTAGTTTTGTCTGTTGTGATGTTGTTATTTGACCTATTATATTAATTATATTATTAACGCATAAGGGTAGTGGTTAAGGATACAGGCTAGGGAGAGTGACTGCTTGGGTTTAACCTCAGAGTCGGTTTACTTATCTGTAAAATGGGGATAATAAATAGCATCTATGTCACAGGGCTGTTAGGAGAACAAGGGAACTGATGGACGTCAAGCACTTGGAGGAGTGGTTGATGGTTACTTGTTTTTGTATCTTTTTTTTTTTTTTGAGACAGTTTCGCTCTTGTTGCCCAAGCTAGAGTGCAATGGCACGATCTCGAGTCACTGCAACCTCTGCCTCCCGGGTTCAAGCGATTCTCCTGCCTCAGCCTCCCGAGTAGCTGGGATTACAGGCACACGCCACCACGCCTGGCTGATTTTTTGTATTTTTAGTAGAAACAGGATTTCACCATGTTAGTCAGGGTGGTCCCAAACTCCTGACCTCAGTGATCTGCCCACCTCGGCCTCCCAAAGTGCTGGGATTACAGGCGTGAGCCACCACACCTGGCCTGTTTTTGTACTATTTAAGGAAGACTAAGAGTCTACCAGCTGAGGAATACAGCTGGCCTCGAGGCTGAGGGAACAGCATGAGCACAGACACAGAGCTAATGGGGGCATTTACAAAGCATTTATCACCAATTTATTTATTTATTTATTGGAGACGGAGTTTCACTCTTGTTGCCCAGGCTGGAGTGCAATGGTGCAATCTTGGCTCACTGAAACCTCTGCCTACTGGGTTCAAGCGATTCTCCTGTCTCAGCCTCCCGAGTAGCTGGGATTACAGGTATGCACCACCACATCCGGCTAATTTTGTATTTTTTAGTAGAGACAGGGTTTCTCCATGTTAGTCAGACTGGTCTCGAACTCCCGACCTCAGGTGATCTGCCCGCCTCAGCATCCCAAAGTCCTGGGGTTATTGGCATGAGCCACTGTGCCCAGTATTTATTTGAGACAGAGTCTCGCTCTGTCACCCAGATTGTAGTGCAGTGGCATGATCTCGGCTCACTGCAACCCCCGCCTCCTGGGCTCTGGTGATCCCCCCACCTCAGTCTCTAGAGTAGCTGGGACTAGGCGCATGCCACCACATTCAGCTAATTTCTGTATTATTTGTAGAGACAAGGTCTCACTATATTGCCCAGGCTGGAGTCAAACTCCTGGGCTCAAGAGATCCTCCTGCCTCAGCCTCCCAAAATGCAGGGAATACAGGCATGAACCACTTCACCCAGCCACCACTTAAGTTTTTTTTTTAATAATCAGTATTGCTGCAGATATCATTTAATTTTGATAGGGGGCCTAGTGGTATGGAGCAACCCATGTTCCCATTTTACAGATGAGAAAATCGCTGCTCAGGAATATCAAGCCACTCTTTTGGGGTTGTGCAGTTATTACAGGGCACAGCCAGGATTCAACTCAAGCCTAGCCAGCCTGCAGGGTAGGGGATAAGAGCCAGCCAGCCTGCCTGGGGGCCAGATTTAGCTCCCCCCGATGAGTCCTGAAAAAGTACTGGACTCCCGTGGCTCATGCCTGTAATCCTAGCACTTTGGCAGGCCGAGGCAGGTGGATCACCTAAGATCAGGAGTTTGAGACCAGCCTGGCCAACATGGTGAAACCCCGTCTCTACTAAAAATACAAAAATTAGCTGGGTGTGGTGGTGCATGCCTGTAATCCCAGCTACTCGGGAGGCTGAGGCAGGAGAATCGCTTGAACCTGGGAGGCAGAGACTGCAGTGAGCTGAGATGGCGCCACTGCACCCCAGCCTGGGCAACAGAGCAAGACGCTGTCTCAAAACAAAAAAAAAAAAAAAGAAAAGAAAAGAAAAGAAACCAGGCTATGTAAAAATATTATTGTAAAAAATTAAATTAAATCAAAAAAAGGCCGGTAGCCCATACCTGTAATCCCAGTACCTCACAGTACTTTGGGAGGCTGAGGCAGGAGGACGGCTTGAGGCCCGGAGTTCAAGAGCAGCCTGGGCAACATAGCGAGACCTCCGTCTCTATTATGTAAAAACAATAATATTTTTTAAGTAAATAAAGAAACCAGGCCGTGGCCAAAGGAATCTTCCTGTGTCTGGGGCCTTCTTTAGAGGCTAGCATACTGAGGACACTCTTTGGGCCAGTCCAGGAAGGAATGATTCTGGTGGCCCCTGACTGGGGCGGGGGCGTGGTAAGGTTCGCCTGGGAGGCGGCGCAGGCGCTGCCTGCGGTTTGACTGCCATCCGGGCTGCTGCAGGCACTGGGAAAGGCAATCCAGCCTCAATCCTCGCCACAGACACGGGCGACTGTCCCCCAGCGTGTGAGTCAAACCATACTCCAGGCCTCCAGGAGGTGTTTGTCGCGACAACACCTGCAGAGGGCCCGTGCGGAGTCCCTTAGTGAGCGGACCGAAAACCGCCACCCTGGAAGGATATTGGCATGCCCTAGGGTGAAAATTCACACTACGACACTCGGGGGGTGGGTCCCCTCCGAGTTCTCGTCCGCGGGTGCCTCCACCCAGACCTGAGGGGTGTCGGGAAGACCCCCGCCTACCGAGTCAGGGCGGGATTAAGACCTCCGGCGCTGGAAACGCGTAGGGCGGGGCCCAGACCTGGATCCAGCTAGCCGGGCGGTGTGGGGTGCGCATGCGCAATGTCCGCTTCGGCTCTAGGACCGCGCGGGCGACAGCAGGGCCGCGGTGCAGTGTCCGACCCGAGAGTTGCGGCCTGAGTCACCGGCCCCGCCCTCCGGAGCCGGACGCTGCGGGAGGCCCGGGAGCGGCAGTGGAACCGACTCCCAGAACTCCGGACGTGTGCGGCGGTAAGCGCCCGGCCCGTACCCCCTCCGCACCCCGCAACTCCGACTTTGGCGGCCCCCAGACCCGGCGAAACCGTGAAGTCTCGGCCTCAGGAGCCCCCCAGATCCATGGTCTCAGATTCGAACCCTCAGACCTGTTCGATCTCCTTTTATGCCGTCCCGGGGACCCTTCTCCACCCTCTGTCTCATGATCCAAAATACAGGCCCATAGGTTTCAGAGATACCCTGTGAATTCTTCCTTGGGGTGTCCTGAACCGCGATCGTAGATCTGTGCCCCCAGTTCCAGCGGGGAACCCCATTGTCCGGGAACCCAGAGCTCACAGCCACGATCTTAGACCCGAGCCCACAGAGCCAGAGGTGACACTGGAATCCTGCCGCTGGGAATACCTAAATTCTCAAGCCCACATTTGGGATTTCCTAAACCCCGCCCTGGGGCCCTTTAGGCCGTGGATGTTTGCTCCGCGCCCATGACCTGCCAAGGACCTCTACATTCAGGCTGGGCTCTGGATCTCACATTCTAGCGCCCAGACATGTCGGGAACGCCTTACGCCAACTTGGGGTCCCCACCAAGAGAACCCCCACCAGATCTGCACCCTCCCCTTCACGCGTGCACCCAGTCCAGGCTCCCTCAAGCCCCACGGGTGCCTTTTAGACCTGAGGAGGTTGCAAACCTGATCCCCCATACCTGCCCCACCCATCCGCGGACAACCCGCCCTCGCAAACTCAGACCCCCACCCGGAGGCTTCAGATTCCTCCCAGGTCCAGCTGCCGGAAATGCGTGTTTGAAGGGAGGGTGTGGGCTCAGGGGCGAAGCACCCACTGGTCCCCTTTTTTCCCCCCAGCAGTGAGTCGCAGCCATGTTCCTGGTTAACTCGTTCTTGAAGGGCGGCGGCGGCGGCGGCGGGGGAGGCGGGGGCCTGGGTGGGGGCCTGGGAAATGTGCTTGGAGGCCTGATCAGCGGGGCCGGGGGCGGCGGCGGCGGCGGCGGCGGCGGCGGCGGTGGTGGAGGCGGCGGTGGCGGTGGAACGGCCATGCGCATCCTAGGCGGAGTCATCAGCGCCATCAGGTAAGGCGGAGACTATCAGAGGGGCGGGGCCTGGGAATGGGAGGAGCCTCAGTGAGGCGTGGTCTGGGAGGGGCGTGGTCTAAAAATAGAATAGGATTAACCTGGAGGCTAACCTGGGTACATGAATTAGGCCGGGGAGGCCTGGTTTGAGAGTTCTGCTGTAAGGGGGTGGACCCCAGTGAGGCGGATATCAGTCATTGGGGGCGGTGCTTGATATGGGAGTAGTCTGATTGTGTGGGACCAGGACAATGTGGTCCTGAGGGGACTGATGTGGAGTTTTGGCGGGTGGGGCTTATGGGTCTGGGCTCAGCCTGCATTGGCTAACCTGGAGATGAACGTTAAAGGTGCGGAGCCAATGCGTCTGAGTGACATTTTACGGAAGGGGCTTGACTTATGAGTGTGGTCAGAGGTTTTAGGTGGGTTAATGAGGAGGTGAGCCCAGGAGGAAGCAAGACCTAATGGGGTAGGGTAAATGGCCCAGAATGGGCTGGGCTTGCTGGGAACTGGCTGGATTAATGGAGAAAAATGCCCTGGTAGGGATAGGGCAGGTTGGCTTAATTAGCCACGGCCACTTAGCAGTGATCCCTTGAAGGGGCGGGGACCAATGGCTGGGGTAGGATGTTGGGAAGACGGGCATTTAGGAAGCGGGCCATGGAGTAGGGTCTTGGGCAGATGGCACCTGAGGAGGATAAGGCCTTGGGAAGCTGGGGCAGAGCCTCTATGAAGTGAGCCCTCCAAGGGGCGGGGTCTTTTGATTCTACGTGGGATTTTTTAGGTTTAGGGTGGCCAAGATGACTGAAATCTGCCACTGGGTAGGTGTGCCTGGCAGGAGGGGAGCCTCCCAGGGGACCGGTCTCTGGGTTTCCTCGAGGGTGGGGTTGGCCTGAGGAAGGGAGAAGAGGGGCACGACCAGGGCAGTGTGGATTGGGACAGATGAGGACAAGAACAAATGAAAGGCACAGCAACCAAGTAAGGAAGATAACGGCTGGGGTCTGGAGCGTTGGGGCTGATGGTTCTGTAGTGCTGCCCGTTGGAGGCCCCGCCCCTGGCACTAACCCCTCCCCCTTATCTCTTCGCAGCGAGGCGGCTGCGCAGTACAACCCGGAGCCCCCGGTAAGCCCCCTCTGCAACCAGACCCCCTTCTCCTGCCAAGGCCTCTTCGAGGTCCCATCCCTGTTCCTGTAGAGAAGCCCCACCTTCCTCCCCTTCTTGTGAAATTCCTCTGCCAGTTCCTCCCATGCCGTGTCTGCAGCTTCGCCATGGGTCTTAGCCATGCCCCACATACGTGCACCCCATTCACTACCACCCCTCATTCTTTTCCTCATCAAGCTGCCCAGCCCACTCTGACTTCCCCACCCAGGGTACCTGGGTTTGGGGAGCCGTCCTGGCCGGGTTCCCCTCCCCCTGCTCTGAGCTCTCCTCCCTTTGCAGCCCCCACGCACACATTACTCCAACATTGAGGCCAACGAGAGTGAGGAGGTCCGGCAGTTCCGGAGACTCTTTGCCCAGCTGGCTGGAGATGTAAGTAACCTGGGGTCCCTGGCCCCGTCCTAACCGTTCCATCCCTTCCCTTGTGGCTGCCCTTGCACACACACCCTTGACCATGACAATCCCAGTGTTCCCATTCTCCATGACATTCTCAGACCCCTTTCAGTCACCCCTGACCTGCCCCTAACTTCCGCCCGCAGGACATGGAGGTCAGCGCCACAGAACTCATGAACATTCTCAATAAGGTTGTGACACGACGTAAGTGACCGGGGTTAAGGAATAGGGTAGATTCAGAGGCAGAGGGGTCAGAGAGGATTTGACCTCTGGCCTCTGACTTTCAACCTGTTACCCACAGACCCTGATCTGAAGACTGATGGTTTTGGCATTGACACATGTCGCAGCATGGTGGCCGTGATGGATGTATCCTTGGGGGCAGTGTGGGAGAGGCCCTGGGTGGACAGAGAGTTTTTTGAGAGTATGTTTGGGAAGCCAACATGTAGCTTTCATATCCACAGATGTGGAAATGCATTCATCAGAACACAGTCACCTGCAGACATGTGGCGGTAAATCATAACAATGCCAGCTGTCACAGCTGGCACTTTAATTATATAAAGTGACCGAACCGTCATAACCACCCTGTTGGACAGGCACAATTATTATATTCCATTTTACAGAAGAGGAAACTGAGGCTCAGTTTCCTGAAAGAAGCAGTCATTTGTCTCAAGTTATAGATAAAGGTCAGGCATGGTGGCTCATGCCTGTAATCCCAACACTTTGGGAGGCTAAGGTGGGCAGATCACCTGAGGTCAGGAGTTTGAGACCAGCCTGGCCAACATGGTGAAACCCCATCTCTATTAAAAATACAAAAATTGGCCAGGCACGGTGGCTCACACCTGTAATCCCAGCACTTTGGGAGGCCGAGGCGGGCGGATCACGAGATCAGGAGATTGAGACCATCCTGGCTAACACAGTGAAACCCTGTCTCTACCAAAAAAAAAAAAAAAATTAGCCGGGCGTAGTGGCGGGCGCCTGTAGTCCCAGCTATTCGGGAGGCTGAAGCAGGAGAATGGCGTGAACCCGAGAGGAGGAGCTTGCAGTGAGCCGAGATCGCGCCACTGCACTCCAGCCTGGGCGACAGAGCCAGACTCTGTCTCAAAAAATAAAATAAAAATAAAAATAAAAATAGGCCGGGCGCCGTGGCTCACGCCTGTAATCCCAGCACTTTGGGAGGCCGAGGCGGGCGGATCACGAGGTCAGGAGATCGAGACCATCCTGGCTAACACGGTGAAACCCTGTCTCTACTAAAAATACAAAAAAATTAGCCGGGTGCAGTGGTGAGCGCCTGTAGTCCCAGCTACTCGGGAGGCTGAGGCAGGAGAATGGCGTGAACCTGGGAGGCGGAGCTTTGCAGTGAGCCGAGATCGCGCCACTGCACTCCAGCCTAGGCGACAGAGAGAGACTCCGTCTCAAAAAAAAAAAAAAAGAAAAAAAAAGAAAAATAACAATAACAAAAATTAGCTGGGCGTGGTGGTGCACGCCTGTAGTCCCAGCTACTCGGGAGTCCCAGCTACTCAAGCAGGAGAATTGCTTGAACCCGGGAGGCGGAGGTTGCAGTGAGCAGAGGTTTCGTCACTGCACTCCAGTCTGTGGACTCAGGTCTTTTGGGCTTGAGAACCCACGTTTATAACAGCCACATGCGCATATACACACACACACACCTAAGAGCACACCCACATACGTGAAGGTGTATGAGGCAGTGTGCACAGGGACACACGTGTTATCTGTACATGGGCCAGCCATTAGCTGATCTTGGATACATGCATATTTTTATTTATTTTTGTTTTAAAAAATATTTTATAGAGAAAAGCTTTCACTATATTGACCTGGCAAGTCTCAAACTCCAGACCTTAAGCAATCCTTCCGCCTTGGCCTCCCAAAGTGTTGGGATTACAAGCTTGAGACACTGCGCCTGGCCTCATGCACATTTAACACATAGGGCAAACAGACACATACATAATATACATGTCATGTAATCACAGACATATTGCATAGAGCAAAGCAATCCCAACTCTACCTCTTAACCAGGTTATTGAACCGCTCTGTGCCTCAGTTTCTCTCTCTGTAAAATGGGTGAGTGATAATGGTGATACCGAATCGGAACTACATCCAAAAGGTTTAGCACAGTGTATAGCGCATAGTATGTGGTCTGTACACATTAGCTCTTAACTATGATCTTGGGTAGAGTTTTCAGCTTTGAATGTTTTCTTCTCTGGAAATAGTCCTGGTAGAACTGGTGTCCCAAGGATTTAGTGAGAAAGTGATGTTCCTGAGTGGACATCAGGTGGATCCTGAGTTCAAGCGATCCACCTGCCTTGGCTTCCCAAAGTGCTGGGATTACAGGCATGAACCACCATGCCTGGTCACACACTTGTTTTTCACATATCCTAACATTTTTATGAAATTGAGTTACTGTCAAGAATTTTCTTTTCTTTCTCTTTTTTTTTTTTTTTTTTTGAGACAGAGTCTCACTCTGTTTCCCAGGCTGAAGTGCGGTGGTGCCATCTTGGCTCACTGCTAACTCCACCTCCTAGGTTCAAGCAGTTCTCCTCCCTCAGCCTCCTGAATAGCTGGGATTACAGGTGTGCGCTACTACAGCTGGCCAATTTTTGTATTTTTAGTAGAGACGGGATTTCATCATGTTGGCCAGGCTGGTCTCGAACTCCTGACCTCAAGTGAACCGCCTGCTTCGGCCTCCCAAAGTGCTGGATTGCAGGCGGGAGCCACCGTGCGTGGCCTATTAAGAATTTTCTGAATGAGCAATTAACAACTCTTCAGGCAAGGAATTTGTACTTTAGAGTAGTTGAATATAATTCCTCATGGTTATGTTTAAAGAGAATCCCTATTTAGAAATGTAAGTGACAATATGTATGGATAAAATGAAAAATAAAACCGCACACCAGGTGATATGACTAGGACCAAGCGGGAGCTGGAGTTTCAGCCCTGGCTGCCCTGCTTGCTGTATCACCATCGTGTCCACAGTGCATGTGATGCATGCATCTGGGTGTAGCTGTCACTCTTCTTAACACCCTCCCACCAGAGCGACACCACAGGCAAGCTGGGCTTTGAGGAATTCAAGTACTTGTGGAACAACATCAAAAGGTGGCAGGTGTGTAGAAACCTCTGAAATCCCTGGCACCCAGACCCCCAAGCCATGGAGACACTATGCCCCACAATGCTCACTTGGACCCAATGTCTCTGTCCTCACAGGCCATATACAAACAGTTCGACACTGACCGATCAGGGACCATTTGCAGTAGTGAACTCCCAGGTGCCTTTGAGGCAGCAGGTATGGCTGGCAGGGACATGCTGGGGCTGGGAGTGGGATGGGTGAGAAAACCTCTACTCAGCTGGTCTGGGCCTGACTCCTGGGCATGGGAGTGGGTTGGGCCATGTGGCCCCCGCACCTGAAGGACTACATCCATCTTAGGGTTCCACCTGAATGAGCATCTCTATAACATGATCATCCGACGCTACTCAGATGAAAGTGGGAACATGGATTTTGACAACTTCATCAGCTGCTTGGTCAGGCTGGACGCCATGTTCCGTGAGTGACAACCCAGCTGTCTTCCTGGGTGGGGATTCCTATGACCTCTATGGACCAAGGTCTCCTCTAAGCCTGACTTTGAGGTGGGCGATGCTAGGGGCACAGTGGTGATTGAATCAGTTCCAGTTTCTGCCCTCATGGAGCTCACAGTCTGGTGGAGGAGACACAAGTCCCCAGACAGTGACAGTTCAGACTGGTGATGGCTGGGAGAGGGGAAGCTCAGGGCAGAGTGATGGGTTGTGATGGGGGCAGCACAGGCCGAGGGTCTAGGGCTCTGGTGAGGGGAAGAGTGAGCAGAGCGTGCTCAGATTGTGCTTGGGGAAGCCTAGAGGGCAAATCCAATCCAGGAGGAACCTGATGCAGCCCAAGGGGTCAGGGAGGGCTCACTGGAGAGGGAACATTGAGACCTGAGGGGATGAGGAGAGAACTTAGTGAGAAGGTAGGGAATACTGTTGCAGGCTGAGGGAACAGCCTGTGCAAAGGCCTAGAAGGGAAAGAAGATGGGGCTTCTGATGCTTTTTGTTAGATTTCTTTCTTTCTATTTTTTTGAGACAGAGTCTGCTGCTCTTGTTGCCCAGGCTGGAGTGCAGTGGCATGATCATGGCTGACTGCAGCCTCAACTCCTAGGCTCCAGCAGTCCTCCTGCCTCAGCTTACCGAATACCTGGGAGTACAGGCACACACCGCCATGCCTGGCTAATTTTTAAAATTTTTTGTAGAGACAGGGTCTTGCTATGTTGCCCAGGCTGGTCTTGAACTCCTGGGCTCCAGCAATCCTCCTACCTCAGCCTCCCAAAGCTTTGGTGTTACAGGCATGAGCCATTGCATGTGGCCTTCTGAGTGTTAGTGTACTGAATGCTGAAGACATGGCTGGGAAGTGGGGATTACTGTCCTTATTTTGTGAAGGAGGAACTTAGGATTCAAGGAGGCAAATTTTCATGCTCATAGTCACCCAGCTAGGAAGTTGTAAAGCCAGAATTTGAACTTGGATCTATCTGAGATCTGAGCTAAGTAAGAGAAGGTAGGAGCAGTGAGCATGATTAGGTCATGCAGGATTGTGGGTGCCAAGTTTGGGGGTGCTCAAACTCTACCAGAGACATTGGGGAGCCATGGCAGGTTCTAGGCAGAGGGAGGACAGGGTCAGGTTTGGCTTTAGAAAGATCCCTTGGCCTCGGCTGGGCACGGTGGCTCACGCCTGTAATCCCAGCACTTTGGGAGGCCGAGGAGGGCGGATCACGAGGTCAGGAGTTCGAGACCATCCTGGCTAACACAGTGAAACCCCATCTCTACTAAAAATACAAAAAATTAGCCAGGTGTGGTGGCGGGCGCCTGTAGTCCCAGCTACTTGGGAGGCTGAGGCGGGAGAATGGCATGAACCCAGGAGGCGGAGCTTGCAGTGAGCTGAGATCTGCCACTGCACTCCAGCCTGGGTGACAGATCGAGACTCCGTCTTAAAAAAAAAAAATCCCTTGGCCTCCAGGCCGGGTGCAGTGGCTTATGCCTGTAATCCCAGCACTCTGGGAGGCTGAGGTGGGCGTAAAACCTGAGGTCAGGAGTTCAAGACCAGCCTGGCCAACATGGCGAAACCCCGCATCTACTAACGATACAAAAGTTAGCCAGGCGTGGGGGCGTGTCTGTAGTCCCAGCTACTCAGGAGGTTTAGGGAGGGAGAATTGCTTGAACCCAGGAAGCGGAGGTTGCAGTGAGCAGAGGTCATGCCATTGCACTCCAGCCTCCAACCTGGGTGACAAGAGCGAGATTCCATCTCAAAAAAAAAAAAAGAAAAAAAGATCCCTTGGCCTCCAGAGAGCCCACAATGCATGAAAAGTAACAGAGGAAAAGAAGCAGGTATGTGAGATAGCAGGGAGGTGAAGGGAGTGGACAGACAAGGTTGATGCCACAAGTCACATAAGAGGGGCCAGGAAATAGCCACTGGATCTACCAGCAAGAAGGCTGATAGTCGGGAGGATCATTTGAGTCCAGGAGTTTGAGACCAGCCTGGGCAATGTAGTAGGACTCCATCTCTACAAAAAAAAAAAAATATATGTATATAGACATAGCCGGGCATGGTGGCACATGCCTGTGGTCTCAGTTGCTCGGGAGGCTGAGGTAGGAGAATCACTTGAGCCCGGGAGGGTGAGGCTGCAGTGAGCTATGATCTTGCCACTGGACTCCAGCCTGGGCCACAGAGACACCGTCTAAAAAAAAAAAAAAAAGGGCTGGGCATGGTGGCTCACTCCTGTAATCCCAGCACTTTGGGAGGCCGAGGTGGGCGGATCACCTGATGTCAGGAGTTTGAGACCAGCCTGGCCAACATAGTGAAACCCCGTCTCTACTAAAAATACAAAAAAATTAGCCAGGCGTGGTGGTGCACGCCTGTAGTCCCAGCTACTCAGGAGGCTGAGGCAGGAGAATCACTTGAACCTGGGAGGCAAAGGTTGCAGTGAGCCAAGATCGTGCCACTGCACTCCAGCCTGGGCAACAGAGTGGGACTCTGTCTCAAAAAAAAAAAGAAAGAAAGGCAGCCAGGGTGTGCAGGACGCTGTGGGTATGGACACCTGAGGGTGGTGGTAACTGAGCGGAGATAGTGTAGTCATCATGTCTAGATTCCCTGTGGGTGGGGAACATGGAGTCAAGTTTCAGGGCAGGCGTGGGGACCTACCTGTAAGACTCTAGGGGCAGGAAGTAGAGTGTGCAGAGCCTCCCTCTAGTAGCCTGTTAGGCTTAGAACTGGAGAGGATGGAGCATAGATGTCAGTAGGAGGCTGGGGCTGGGCAGAGGTGATATCAGTACACAGAGGCCATTATTGAGGAGGGTAACAGATTGGATTCCAATCCTGATTTCTTCACTTTCTTGCTATGTGACCTGGGGCATGGCCCCTCCCTTCCTGCCTCATTTCTTTTTTTCCTGTTTTTAATTTTTAGTTTTTTTAAAAAGCAGAGATGAGGTCTCTGTTGCCCAGGTTGGTCTCGAACTCCTGGGCGGCTCAAGTGATCCTCCCATCTTGGCCTTCCAAAGTGTTGGGATTATAGGTGTGAGCCACCACGCCCAGCCTGTGCCTCATTTTAAAATGACACTTATCTCACAGAGTTGGATTAAATCAGCCAATACCTGGAAAGCACTTTACCCCATGCTTGGCACACAGTAAATACTCAGTGAAGTGCCAGCTGCTATGATTGTCATCCCATGTATTTGTGTAATGTTATTATGCCAAAAACCAGTCTCCTTCCTTCCCTGCCGCCAAACCTCTGCATCTCCTCCTCCAGGTGCCTTCAAATCTCTTGACAAAGATGGCACTGGACAAATCCAGGTGAACATCCAGGAGGTAAGGACCCCCATATTGGGGTATGGGTGCCTGGGAGGACCCCACCCCTCAGCCCTTCATACCAGCTCTGAGCTGCAGTCCCCTTCCTCCTATTTTGCCAGCCGTCCCTGGGTGAGGGCAAAGGGGCTGGTGCTCTTGGGGTTCCCTGTCCTCACTCTCCACCCTCCTCTCCCCAGTGGCTGCAGCTGACTATGTATTCCTGAACTGGAGCCCCAGACCCGCCCCCTCACTGCCTTGCTATAGGAGTCACCTGGAGCCTCGGTCTCTCCCAGGGCCGATCCTGTCTGCAGTCACATCTTTGTGGGGCCTGCTGACCCACAAGCTTTTGTTCTCTCAGTACTTGTTACCCAGCTTCTCAACATCCAGGGCCCAATTTGCCCTGCCTGGAGTTCCCCCTGGCTCTAGGACACTCTAACAAGCTCTGTCCACGGGTCTCCCCATTCCCACCAGGCCCTGCACACACCCACTCCGTAACCTCTCCCCTGTACCTGTGCCAAGCCTAGCACTTGTGATGCCTCCATGCCCCGAGGGCCCTCTCTCAGTTCTGGGAGGATGACTCCAGTCCCTGCACGCCCTGGCACACCCTTCACGGTTGCTACCCAGGCGGCCAAGCTCCAGACCGTGCCAGACCCAGGTGCCCCAGTGCCTTTGTCTATATTCTGCTCCCAGCCTGCCAGGCCCAGGAGGAAATAAACATGCCCCAGTTGCTGATCTCTATGGGATCTGCCTCCTGATCTGACCCGAGAGAGGAGGGGTGGCTCGGGCTCTGGGTCCTGGGGAGCAGGGGAGGTAGTAGATTCGTCCCCAGGGCTGGATCCGTGGATTTCCTCGTCTTTTTCTCGTCGGCATTTTTTGTCTCATCCTGAGCTGTGGAGGCTGAGACAGGACCCAGAAGCCCCAGTGATCTCTGCTTCTGCTTCCAGAGTCTGGGCTGGAGGGAGGTCTCAATGCCACTCCTGGCCCTGTCCCCCAAGGCCATGTTTGCCCCTCTTGCAGCTTCTCCATCCACACTTGGCCTCTGCCTCTGTTGTGTCATGGACCATGCTCAGTGTCTTCCTTCCCACTTGAGGACACCACCCCACGTCCCCGGGTCCCGAGGGGGAGCCTATGGGTGCTGTTTGGGGTACTCAGCAGAGGGCTGAGAGGTAGCAACATCCTAGGAGTATCCCTGGTCCAGCATGAGGCACCGAGGGCTGGGGGCAGTGGGCAGTCCACAGGGCAGAGATCCCTGGCTGGTGGGAGGATGGGCTTGGTGGGGAGGGGTGGACACAAACACAGACACACACAGAGGCCAGCGTTTATTGACACTTGTTCAAGTCTCTCAGGCCCCCCAGGCTTCTTGGTCTTAATTCCTGGGGAAGGAGGCCCAGCCAAGGGAGTACAAGCTGTAGACAGTGCCTAGAAAGGGGAAGCGTTGGAGACAGAATGAGACCTAATCCCCTCCCTGGACATCCCAGGCTTTTAAGGCCTTCAGGCTCCCTGGTTCCCAGCCTGGACCCCAGCTCTAGTTCGGACTCCAGCTCCCTTCCCAGATTGGACTCCTATTGTAAAGCCCCCTGGCTTTGATCTAGACCGGGCTGGGAGCTTTCTCCCCGACTCCTCCCTGGGCCTCAGCCCCACCACTAACCCAGCCCCCGTCCTGGGACAAGAGCCCAAACCCTAGTTACTCCCCTCCCTGCAGGCCTGACTCCAGCTCAGTACTCGACCCCCTTCCTAAACGCCAACCCCCAACCCAGATCCTGGTCAGTCCTGCCCAGAAACCAGCCACCTCTTACTCTGGGTCCAGCCCCGCCTCCCCCGCAGCCCAGACGGGCCCTGCGCTCACCGCCCAGACACAGCGTCATTGTCACTCGGTACAGGATGTTGTCAACGATGCCGCCCTTCAGGTACAACGGGATGTCATTGTCCTCCTGGATGTGGGGGTGTCTGATGAGAAAGGGGTGCTGGCTGCTCCTTAGAGCGCGCCCCGCCTGCCCCGGCTCGGCGCGCTCCCGGCTGGCGCGTCGGATCCCCACCCCCCCCGACCCCCCACCTGGAAGAGCTTCTGTTTCTCGCGCACTCGGTTCTGAAAGCGGTTCCGGGCGGTGGAGCTGAAGGAGCGGATCAGCGCCTGGGACACCTGCGGGGTGGGAGGTGGGCGGGTATTGGAGGCACCTGGAGGGGTGTCCTGAAGTGGGACCCCGCTCTCTGAGGCCTGGACGTGGGGACAGCCCCATCCCTAGCGAGCGTCCCAAAGGCGAGGAGGGTAATAGCTTGGATTCTGTTACCCGCGAACTGCCAGCTGGGTTGGGAGGGGACTCGCCCTGGAGTCTGGCCTGGGGGTGACCGGGCTGCCTAGAGGGTCCTGGAAGGGAGAGGACCCAGAAGGACTTTGTTCTGGGGGGCCTAAGTCCTGAGATTTTTGTTGGGGGAGGGTTTCCTGGATTAAAGGGAGGAAACCAGGTCCCGGGAACGTGGGGACCGGAATGGAGGTCCCCGGGAGCGTCCAGGCTGCCTGAGAAGGCCCGGGTGAGGCCAGTGTTAAGGGTTCCCGAGATGTCAAGTTCAAACCCGGGGCTTTGGGCCGGGGTGGGGGTCCCCAGTTGTCTCCGAAGAGTGGATTGTGGGGGAAGGGACCCAGGCTGTTTAGCGGGGAGTCCCAGGCCCTGAAGGTGGCTCACGTTCCAAGGCCCTAGATGCGGGGGCACTTGGAGAGTCGCGTATTAGGGCGGGGTTTTCTGGGTGGGGGGCTCCGGCCCAGCCCATGGGGGCCTCACCCGAAGGGCCTGCATTCTGCCTTGTCCTCTTCCGCCGGAGTCACCTCCCTTCTCCGCCCAAGGACACGCGTAGTCCTCCTCTGTCCAGGAACCCCAGGCCCCACCCGCTGCGCGCAGCGTGACAGCTGGGGACGCGGCGGGGCTGGGGCTGGGGCTGGGGCTGGGTTGCGGGGAGTCCTGCTCCTCGGATTCGTCCACCACGGAGGAGGCGGTCCAGACCCGCACCCTGGGCCGCAGCGCGCATCCGTTTCGGTCTCGGAATTTCGCTTGGTCCCACCGGAGCCCAAAGCGGTACCAGGGAATACATTTTTGCAGATTTTTGGAGATTTCCGCCGGGGGCAAGTGCAACTCCTCCCCGGATCTCTCCCTGCCCGCTGGTATGTGAGAGTGAGGAAACGCATAAGGCCGTGTTCCAACTCCCTGTTCTGTCTACACAGCCAGAGATTGCACCTCCGAGCCTGTTTCCGTATCTGTAACGTGAGGGCTAAGGCAGGATCTTTCTCAGAGATTTGTTGAGACATTAAATGACCTTGTTTTTAGGAAACACAAGCTAAAGTCTTTGGGAGTAAAACGGTATTTTATGTTACCCTAAGAAACACATCATATCTATTTATAGCTCTCTAATTCTGGCAGTCAACGGGGTGCAGCACAGTTGTCCTAATGGTTTTAGCAACCAGGAAAGATCCTGGCCTAGTCTACAAGGTTTTCTTTTTCTTTTCTTTTTTTTCTTTTTTTTTTAGACAGGGTTTTGCTCTGTTGCACAGGCTGGAGTGCAGTGGTGCGGTCATAGCTCACTGCAGCCTCGACCTCCTGGGTTCAGCGATCCTCCTGCCTCAGCCTCCTGAGTGGCTGGGACTACAGGCGCCCACCACCATGCTCGAACTAATTTTCGTATTTTTTGTAGAGGCTGGGTTTCACCATGTTGCCCAGGCTGGTGTCGAACTCCTGAGCTCAAGAAATTTGCCGGCCTCATCGTGAGCCACGCACCCAGCCAGCAGACAATGTTTGTTTGTTTGTTTTTGAGGCAGTGTCTTGCTATGTTGCCCAGGGTGGTCTCCAACTCCTCCAAGTAATGTTCCTACCTCTATCACCCAAAGTGCTAGAATTAGAGGCATGAGCCACTATACCCAGCTTGTAAAAGGTTTTAACAATCTCTTTTATTTATTTATTTAATTTATATTTTTAGACAGAGTCTTGCTCTGTTGTACACGTTGGAGTGCAGTGGTGTGATCTCGGCTCACTGAAACCTTCTGCCTCCTGGGTTTAGGCAATTCTTGTACCTCAGCCTCCTGAGCAGCTGGGATTACAGGCACCCGCCACCACACCCAGCTCATTTTTGTATTTTTTAGTAGAGATGGGGTTACACCATGTTGGCCAGGCTGGTCTCAAGCTCCCAACCTCAGGTGATCCGCCCACTTTGGCCTTCCAAAGTGCTGGAATTACAGGCCTGAGCCACCGCTTCCAGCCACGGTCTCTTTTAAAGAGGGCTTTTATGATTATTAAATTCCCCTAACACTTTCAAACTATGCTTGTAAATTTAATGTTAGGTTTTTCCATTTAAGAGCCACAAGTAGGGCTGGGCGTGGTGGCTCACACCTGTAATCCCGGCACTTTGGGAGGCCAAGGCAGGTGGATCACTTGAGGCTGGGAGTTTGAGACCAGCCTGGTCAACATGACAAAACCCTGTCTCTACTAAAAATACTAAAATTAACCAGGTGTGGTCATGGGCGCCTACAATCCCAGCTGCTTGTGAGGCTGAGGCACAAAAATCGTTTGAACCCAAGAGGCACGGAGGCTGCAGTGAGCCAAGATTGCACCACTGCACTCCAGCTTGGGTGACAGAACGAGATTCTGTCTCAGAAAAAAAAAAAAAAAAAAGCTGACTTACCAGATAAACAGATGACTCTTTCTTCAATTCTTAAATAACTTTTATGAATAAAAAATTCATAAACTGTACATAAACAGATTTCAAGTAAGTCTTAGTCACCAGCTGAATTCCACATTTTACAATGGAATTACAAGATTGACCTGTTATTTGAATAGGCCAGTTTACCTTAAATATTACAAATTCTTAAAATACCAAGTATTCACAGATTCTCTAACACAAAGTTAATACCATGGGGGCCAGGCACTGTGGCTCACGCCAGTAATTCCAACACTTTGGGAGGCCGAGGTGGGTGGATCACCTGGGTCAGGAGTTCGAGACCAGCCTGGCCAGCATGGTGAAACCCCGTCTCTACTAAAAATACAAAAATTAGCCAGGCGTGGTGGTGGGTGCCTGTAATCCCAGATACTCCGGAGGCTGAGGCAGGAGAATCACTTGAACCTGGGAGGCGGAGGTTGCACTGAGCAGAGATTACGCCATTACACTCCAGCCCGGGCAAGAGAGCGAGACTCCATCTCAAAACAAAACAAAACAAACAAGTTAATACTATGGTTTTGACTGTCTTAATTTTCTTTTTTCTTTTTTGAGACGGAGTCTTGCTCAGTCACCCAGGCTGGAGTGCAGTGGCGCCATCTCGGCTCACTGCAAGCTCCGCCTCCCAGGTTCACGCCATTCTCCTGCCTCAGGCTCCCCAGTAGCTGGGACTACAGGCGCCCGCCACCACGTCCAGCTAAGTTTTTTTTTTGTATTTTTAGTAGAGACAGGGTTTCACCGTGTTAGCCAGGATGGTCTCAATCTCCTGACCTCGTGATCCACCCGCCTCGGCCTCCCAAAGTGCTGGGATTACAGGCGTGAGCCACCACGCCCAGCCTCTTTTTTTTCTATTTGAGATGAAGTCTCGCTCTGTCACCCAGGCTGGAGTGCAATGGCGCAATCTCTGCTCACTGCAGTCTCCGCCTCCCGGGTTCAAGTGATTCCCCTGCCTCAGCCTCCCAAGTAGCTGGGACTAGGTGCACGACACCACGCCTGGCTAATTTTTTGTATTTTAGTAGAGACGAGGTTTCACCATGTTGGCCAGGATGGTCACGAACTCCTGACCTCAGGTGATCCATCTGTCTCGGCCTCCCAAAGTGCTGGGATTACAGGCGTGACCCACTGTGCCTGTCCTGTTTTTCTTTCATTTTCTTTATTTGTTTATTTCATGCGCGTCCGTGTGAAGAGACCACCAAACAGGCTTTGTGTGAGCAACATGGCTGTTTATTTCACCTGGGTGCAGGCGGGCTGAGTCAGAAAAGAGAGTCAGCGAAGGGAGATAGGGATGGGGCCATTTTATAGGATTTGGGAAGGTAATGGAAAATTACTGTCAAAGGGGGTTGTGCTCTGGTGGGCAGGGGCGAAGGGGTCACAAAGTGCTCAGTGGGGGAGCTTCTGAGCCAGGAGAAGGAAATTCACAGGGTTAATCACTCAGTTAAGGTGGGGCAGGAACAAATCACAATGGTGGAATGTCATCAGTTAATGCGGGGCAGGGCCTTTTCACTTTTGTGATTCTTCAGTTACTTCAGGCCATCTGGGTGTATACGTGCAAGTCACAGGAGATGCGATGGCTTGGCTTGGGCTCAGAGGCCTGACATTCCTGCCTTATGTTAATAAGAAAAATAAAATAGTGTCGAAGTGTTGGGGTGGCGAAAATTTTTGGGGGGTGGTATGAAGAGAGAATGGGCGATGTTTCTCAGGGCTGCTTCAAGCGGGATTAGGGGCGGCGTGGGAACCTAGAGTGGGAGAGATTAAGCTGAAGGGAGATCTTGTGGAAAGGGGTGATATTGTGGGGATGTTAGAAGAAACATTTGTCGTATAGAATGATTGGTGATCGCCTGGATACGGTTTTGTATGAATTGAAAAACTAAATGGAATAAGAAAAGGAGCAAAACAGGTATAAAAGGACTAAGAATTGGGAGGACCTAGGACATCTGATTAGAGAGTGCCTAAGGAGATTCAGCATAGTCCTGCCAGCAAAGATTATTTATTTACTTCAAGAGTTAAGAGTGGCAGTTTGGGGATAGCATGAGGAGATATCAGCTGTGATGGCTTGGAGAAACTGTGTAAACTGGCAGTGTAAACAAGAGCAGGGCATGTATGAGTAGTTGAGAACGGTGAATAGGAGTATGACTAGACAGAAGATAGTAGGGATGACAAGTTATTCGGGGGCACAGTCTAAGTTGGTCTGGTGTCTGGAATGAGACTGGGGCCTAATAAAAAGGAGCGTCTATACAGGAGCTTAAATGGGCTGTAGCTTGTAGCATTCTGAGGACAGGTCTGACTTCTGAGAAGGGAAAGTGGTAAAAGTATTGTCCAGTCCTTTTTAAGTTGGTGGCTGAGCTTGGTGAGGTGTGTTTTTAATAGACCATTAGTCTGTCACTGAATACTAAGAGCTGGAAAAAATGCTTGGCTGATTTGACTAATAAAGGCTAGTCTGTTACCAGACTGTATAGAGGTGGGAAGGCTAAACTGAGGAATTATGTCTGACAGAAGGGAAGAAATGACTGTGGTGGCCTTCTCAGACCCTGTAGGAAAGGCCTCTCCCTATCTAGTGAAAGTGTCTACTTAGACTAAGAGGTATTTTAGTTTTTGTGACTCGGGGCATGTTGAGTAAAGCTAATTTGCCAGTCCTGGGCTGGGGCAAATGCTCAAGCTTGATGTGTAGGGAAGGGAGGGGGCCTGAATAATCCTTGAGGAGTAGTAGAATAACAGATGGAACACTGAGAAGTTATTTCCTTGAGGATAGATTTCTACAATGGAAAGGAAATGAAAGGTTCTAAGAGGCGGGCTAGTGGCTTGTACTATAGCATAGCCTGCCTTTGCTGGTGTGTGGCGATTAGGCCTGGTGGAACTGCCATCAATAAATCAAGCGTGATCAGGGTGAGGAACAGGGAAGAAGGAAATGTGGGGAAATGGGATGAACATCAGGTGGATCACAGAGATGCAGTCATGGGGGTCAGGTGTGGTATCCGGAATAATGTGGGAGGCTGGATTGAAGTCCGGGCCAGGAACAATGGTAATTGTGGGACTTAACAAAAAGTGAGAACAGCTGAAGGAGTCAGGGAGCAGAAAGTATATGCGTCAGGTGTGAGGAAGAAAATAGATTTTGGAAGTTATGAGAAATGTAGAGAGTGAGTTGAGCATAGTTTGTGATTTTGAGGGCCTCTAATAGTATTAAAGCAGTGGCAGCCGCTACACGCAGACATGAGGGCTAGGCTAAAACAGTAAGGTCAAGTTGTTTGCACAGAAAGGCTACAGGGTGCGGTCCTGGCTCTTGTGTAAGAATTCTGACCGCACTAACCATGCCTAGGAAGGGAAGGAGTTGTTGTTTTGTAAGGGATCGAGGTTTGGGAGATTAATCGGACACGAACAGCAGGGAGAGCACATGTGTTTTTACGAGAATTATGCCGAGATAGGTAACAGATGAGGATGAAATTTGGGCTTGACTGAAGTAATGGGGTCTGTCTGTGAAGCCTTGCGGCAGTACAGCCCAGGTAATTTGCTGAGCCTGATGGGTGTCAGGGTCAGTCCAAGTGAAAGGGAAGAGAGGCTGGGAAGATGGGTGCAAAGGAATAGGAAAGAAAGCATGTTTGAGATCCAGAACAGAATAATGGATTGTGGAGGGAGGTATTGAGGATAGGAGAGTATATGGGTTTGGCACCATGGGGTGGATAGGCAAAACAATTTGGTTAATAAGGCATAGATCCTGAACTAACCTGTAAGGCTTTTCCAGTTTTTGGACAGGTAAAATGGGGGAATTGTAAGGAGAGTTTATAGGCTTTAAAAGGCCATGCTGTAGCAGGCGAGTGATAACAGGCTTTAATCCTTTCAAAGCATGCTGTGGGATGGGATGTTGGCACTGAGCCGGGTAAGGGTGATTAGCTTTTAATGAGATGGTAAGGGGTGCATGATCGGTCACCAAGGAGGGAGTAGAGGTATCTTATACTTGTGGGTTAAGGTGGGGGGATACAAGAGGAGGATGCAAAGGAGGCTTTGGATTGGGAAGAAGGGCGGCAATGAGATGCAGCTGTAGTCCAGGAATAGTCAGGGAAGCAGATAATTTGGTTAAAATATCTCGGCCTAATAAGGGAACTGGGCAGGTGGGGATAACTAAAAATGAGTGCATAAAAGAGTATTGTCTAAGTTGGCACCAGAGTTGGGGAGTTTTAAGAGGTTTAGAAGCCTGGCTGTCAATACCTACAACAGTTATGGAGGCAAAGGAAACAGGCCCTTGAAAAGAAGGTAATGTGGAGTGGGTAGCCTCCGTATTGATTGAGAAGGGGACGGACTTACCCTCCACTGTGAGAGTTACCTAAAGCTCGGCATCTGTGATGGTCTACGGGGCTTCCGAGGCAATCGGGCAGCGTCAGTCTTCAGCCGCTAAGCCAAGAAGGAGTCAGTCAGAGAGCCTTGGGCAAGAGTTCCAGGGGCTCTGGGAGTGGCTGCCAGGTGAGTTGAACAGTCCGATTTCCAGTGGGGTCCTGCACAGATGGGACACGGCTTAGGAGGAATCCTGGACTGCAGGCATTCCTTGGCCTGGTGGTCAGATTTCTGGCACTTGTAGCAAGCTCCTGGGGGAGGAGGTTCTGGAGGAACGCCTGGCCGCTGCGGTTCAGGCGTTTGGAAGTTCTTGTGTGCTGGAGATGTGGCTGGGGTTTGTCTCACAGTGGAGGCAAGGAATTGCAACTTTTTTTTATTATTGTACACCTTAATTAAGTCCTGTTTTGGGGTTTGAGGGCCAGATTCCAATTTTTGGAGTTTTATTTAATGTCGGGAGCAGATTGGATAATAAAATGTATATTGAGAATAAGATGGCCTTTTGACCTTTTAGGGTCTAGGGCTGTAAAGCATCTCAGGGTTGCTGCCGAACAAGCCATGAACTGGGCTGTGTTTTTATATTTGATGAAAAAGAGCCTAAACGCTTCTGATTTGGGATAAAGAAAAAGCATTAACCTTGACTATGCCTTTGGCTCCAGCCACCTTTTTAAGAGTAAATTGCTGGGCAGGTGGGGGAGGGCTAGTCACAGAACGAAACTGTAAGCTGGACCAGGTGTGAGGAGGGGAGGTGATAAAAGGATTATAGGGTGGAGGAGCGGAGGCTGAGGAAGAATTGGGACCTAGCTCGGCCCGGCGAGGAGGGGAGAGGTCAGATGGGTCTGTAGAAAAGGAAGATTAGAAAGACTCAGCAATGCTTGGGGTTGGGAGTGAGGGGACAGGTGGGAGGGAAAGAAGGAAGATTTGGGACGAGTTGCACTGGGCACAGAGACTAGGAAAGGACTGATGTGTAAAAGAATGCCTGGACATCAGGCACCTCAGACCATTTGCCCATTTTACGACTAGAATTATTTAGATCTTGTAGGATGGAAACATTGAAAGTGCCGTTTTCCAGCTATTTGGAACTACTGTGGAGTTTGTATTGGGGTCAAGCGGCATTGCAGAAGAAAATAAGACGCTTAGATTTTAGGTCAGGTGAGAGTTGAAGAGGTTTATAAGTTCTTAAGAATACAGGCTAAGGGAGAAGGAGGAGGAATGGAGGGTGGAAACTTGCCCATAGTGAAGGAGGCAAGCCCAGAGAAAAGAGTAGAGACACGGAGAAGGGGCGGGGGTTTCTTGCCCTTCAGAAAAGCAGAGAAAGGGTTGGGGCATGGAAATAAGGGATTGGGGGTTCTTGCCCCCTAGAAAAGTGGGACTTACCACTAACGGTGAAGAAGGGGTTGAGGGGTTCTTGCTCCTGCCCCAGAAGAGCAGAGAAGGGGTAGAGACACGGAGAGAAGGGGTTGGGGTACTTGCCCCTCCCCGAGAAAAGCGGGACTTGCCACTAAGGGTGAAGGACCAAGGCAGGTGTCCCTGCGTGGTTTGACACCTTTGAAACGTGGGGGAATAATCAGAGAGGTGGCCCTGCAATGATTAAACACCAAGGGAAGGCTGCCTTCCCAGTCCGTGACCGGCGCCGGAGTTTTGGGTCCACGGATAAAACGTGTCTCCTTTGTCTCTACCAGAAAATGAAAGGAATTGAAATTAAGAGAATGGAGAGATTGAAGTGTGGCGCCAAGATTGAAAGGAGAAAGAGGTTGAGGGATAGGGAGGTTGGAGAAGAGAGTAAAAAGAGGCCGCTTACCGGATTTGAAATTGGTGAGATGTTTCTTGGGCTGGTCAGTCTGAGGACCTGAGGTCATAGGTGGATCTTTCTCACGGAGCAAAGAGCAGGAGGACGGGGGATTGATCTCCCAAGGGAGGTCCCCCGATCAGAGTCACGGCACCAAATTTCATGCGCCACATTTCATGCGCGTCCATGTGAAGAGACCACCAAACAGGCTTTGTGTGAGCAACATGGCTGTTTATTTCACCTGGGTGCAGGCGGGCTGAGTCGGAAAAGAGAGTCAGCGAAGGGAGATAGGGGTGGGGCCGTTTTATAGGATTTGGGAAGGTAATGGAAAATTACAGTCAAAGGGGGTTCTCTGGTGGGCAGGGGCAGGGGGTCACAAAGTGCTCAGTGGGGGAGCTTCTGAGCCAGGAGAAGGAAATTCACAGGGTTAATCACTCAGTTAAGGTGGGGCAGGAACAAATCACAATGGTGGAATGTCATCAGTTAATGCGGGGCAGGGCCTTTTCACTTCTTTTGTGATTCGTCAGTTACTTCAGGCCGTCTGGGCATATACGAGCAAGTCACAGGGGTTGCGATGGCTTGGCTTGGGCTCAGAGGCCTGACAGTTTATTTTTGCCTCTTGGTTCAGCGACACAAGGACCTCAAAATGTTCAGGTGGAAGTCTTATCTCCCAGTTGTTGGATCCATTGTTGTGTGCCCAGTGGAAGCATTCCTCTCCATGAGGACCAAAATCTCTAAACTAGCAGAGCTCAAAGCTGTTGAGGAGAGAAGCAATTATTCAAGTTACTGTGTGTAACAGAGAGAGGAACCATTTCTACTCACTTTCCCCCTGACTCCCAGTCCCATAAATTCTCACTATGGGGAAACATGGTAGAGTGGTCTCTCATTCAAAGCACAGGCCATGTCCTGTAAGACAATCCCATTTTTTCAGGGTATTGTTTCCCAGTTGGTACTTTAATGGAGTCATTGCTGACTCATTCTACCTTTCAGTTAGGCCAGTTGCTTCTGGGTGATGGGGAAGATAGTAAGATTCTATAAGATTCCATGGGCAGGAGCCCATTGCTGCACTTCCTTCGCTTTCAAATGAAATTTTTTTTTTTTTTTTTTTTAGAGATAAAGTACTTGGTCTGTCACTCAGGCTGGGGTGCAGTGGCACCATCATAGCTCACTGAAGCCTTGATCTCCTGGGCCAAAGTGATCCTCTTACCTCAGCTTCTTAAGCAACTGGAACTACAGGTGGGTCCCAGTATGCTTGGCTAATTTTTTTGGTGTTCTTAGTAGAGACAGGGTCTCACTGTGTTGCCCAAGCTGGTCTCAAACTCATGGTCTCAAGTCATGCTCCCACCTCAGCCTCCCAAAGTGCTGGGATTACAGGCGTGAGCCACCGCAGCCAGCCTCAGATGGATTTCTTGTTCTGACGCGATGCTGTGTGGAATGCCATGATGGTGGGTGAGCATGCTTTGAGTCTGCAGATGGTAGTGACAGCAAACGCATTAAAGGCAGGGAAGCACGTTCGTGTCTGGGATATCTGTCTATTCCAGTGAGGACAAATCTTTGCCCTCTTCATGACGGAAGAGGTCCAAGGTAATCAACTTGCCACCGGGTAGCAGGCTGATCCCCAGGGAATGGTGCCATATTGGGGCTCAGTGTTGGTCTCTGCTATTGGCAGATTAGGCGCTCAGCAGTAACAGTAGCCAGGTCAGCCATGGCAAGGGGAAGCTGACGTTGCTGAACCCATGCATAGCCTCCATCTCTGCCACCATGGCCACTTTTTTCATGGACCCATTGAGCAAGCATTAGGGTGGCTGGGAAAAGAGCCTGACTCTCATGCACACAAGTGTCATCTTGTCTGCCTGATCATTAAGAATTTTTGGGCCAGGACCGGACGCGGTGGCTCACGCCTGTAATCCCAGCACTTTGGGGGGCCGAGGCGGGCAGATCATGAGGTCAGGAGATCGAGACCATCCTGGTTAACACGGTGAAACCCTGTCTCTATTAAAAATACAAAAAATTAGCCGGGCGTGGTGGTGGGCGCCTGTAGTCCCAGCTACTCGGGAGGCTGAGGCAGGAGAATGGCGTGAACCCAGGAGGCAGAGCTTGCAGTGAGCCGAGATTGCGCCACTGCACTCCATCCGGCCTGGGTGACAGAGCAAGACTCCGTCTTAAAAAAAAAAAAAAAAAAAAAAAAGAATTTTTCGGCTGGGCATGGTGGCTCACACCTGTAATCCCAGCACTTTGGGAGGCCGAGGCAGGTAGATCATGAGGTCAGGAGATGGAGACTATCCTGGCTAACACAGTGAAACCCCACCTCTACTGAAAATACAAAAAATTAGCTGGGCGTGGTGGCGGGCGCCTGTAGTCCCACCTACTCAGGAGGCTGAGGCAGGAGAATGGCGTGAACCCTGGGAGGTGGAGCTTGCAGTGAGCCGAGATGGCGCCACTGCACTCCAGCCTGGGCAACAGAGCTAGACTCCTTCTCAAAAAAAAAAAAAAAGAAAAAAAGAAAAATCTGGGCCGGGCGCGGTGGCTCAAGCCTGTAATCCCAGCACTTTGGGAGGCTGAGGCGGGTGGATCACGAGGTCAGGAGATCGAGACCATCCTGGCTAACACAGTGAAACCCCGTCTCTACTAAAAATACAAAAATTTAGCCGGGCATAGTGGCGGGTGCCTGTAGTCCCAGCTACTCGGGAGGCTGAGGCAGGAGAATGGCGTGAACCCGGGAGGCGGAGCTTGCAGTGAGCCGAGATTGCACCACTGCACTCCAGCCTGGGTGACAGAGCCAGACTCTGTCTCAAAAAAAAAAAAAAAAAAAAAAAAAAAGAAAAATCTGTGGCTGGGTGCAGTGGCTCACACCTATAATCCCAGCACTTTGGGAGGCTGAGGCAGGTGGATTGCCTGAAGTCAGGAGTTCAAGACCAGCCTGGCCAACATGGTGAAACCCCGTCTCTACTAAAAATACAAAAATTAGTCGGGTGTGGTGGCGGGTGCCTGTAATCCCAGCTACTTGGGAGGTTGAGGCGGGAGAATCACTTCAACCCGGGAGGCAGAGGTTGCAGTGAGCCGAGATCGTGCCATTGTACTCCAACCTGGGAAACAGAGCGAGATTCCATCTCAAAAAAAAAAAAAAAAAAAGGAATTTTCACTTCAGTGGCTGCCCTTGGGTGGGCACTCCTATGGGACACAAATATCTTCACAGTCTGTGCAGAGACTGAGAGGCCCATCCATATGCCTCTCCAAGCTTCCTTGTCATTAATCTTTCAATCTTCTTCCTTCCACGTACTTGACCATCCACCCAAACCATTAGCAACTGCCCATAAATTAGTATAGATCTATACTTCTGGCCACTTCTCCCTCCAGGCATACTGGACAACTAAATGTGCAGCATGAAATTCTCTTTTTTCTTTTTGAAACAGAGTCTCGCTCTGTCGCTTAGGCAGGTTGCGGTGGCACAATCTCAGCTCGCTGCAACCTCCACCTCCCAGGTTGAAGCAATTCTCCCGCCTCAGCCTCCGCAGTAGCTGGGACTACAGGTGTGTACCACCACACCCGACCTACATGAAGTTCTGACCACTGCCCTGTAGGTTCATCCCTAAGGGAGGTTGTAATGCTGCCATTGTCCACTTTCGAGCGGTACCAGCATGATGTACAGACTAGCTGTAAGCCAGGCTCAAGTTTATAATTATTTTTTTTGAAACGGAGTCTCGCTTTGTTGCCAGGCTGGAGTGCAGTGGTGCGATCTCAGCTCACTGCACCCTCCACCTTCTGGGTTCAAGAGATTCTCCTGCCTCAGCCTCCCGAGTAGCTGGTACTATAGGTGCCTGCCACCATGCCCAGCTAATTTTTGTATTTTTAGTAGAGACGGGGTTTCACCATGTTGGCCAGGATGGTCTCAAACTCCTGACCTCGTGATCCACCTGCCTCAGCCTCCCAAAGTGTTGAGATTACAGGCGTGAGCCACCACGCCCAGCCAAGTTTCTTCCTCATTTCACTGGGCATAAGGAACATGCCAGAGGAAAAGTTTGGCTTGAAGTCTAGGAACCAATGCAACAGAGGTTAGTGTTGAAGGACTCTGACCTTGTTAATGGTAAAGCAGCTTCAAAAGCCGGCACGGTGGCTCAACGCCTGTAATCCCAGCACTTTGGGAGGCCGAGATGGGCAGATCACGAGGTCAGGAAATCGAGCCCATCCTGGCTAACACGGTGAAACCCCGTCTCTACTAAAAATACAAAAAATTAGCCGGGCGTGGTGGTGGGCACCTGTAGTCCCAGCTACTCGGGAGGCTGAGGCAGGAGAATGGTGTGAACCCGGGAGGCGCAGCTTGCAGTGAGCCGAGATCGCGCCACTGCACTCCAGCCTAGGGGACAGAGTGAGACTCCGACTCAAAAAAAAAAAAATTTTTGGCTGGGTGTGGTGGCTCACTCCTGTAATCCCAGCACTTTGGGAGGCTGAGGCGGGCAGATCACCTGAGGTCAGCAGTTCAAGACCAGCCTGACCAACATGGTGAAACCCCGTCTCTACTAAAAATAAAAAATTAGCTGGGTGTGGTGGCGCATGCCTGTAGTCCCAGCTACTTGGGAAGCTGAGGCAGGAGAATCTCTTGAAACCGGGAAGCGGAGGTTGCAGTGAGCTGATATCACACCACTGCACTCCAGCCTGGGAGGTTGCAGTGAGCTGAGATCGTGCCCCTGCACTCCAGCCTGGGCGACAGAGTGAGACTTCGTCTCAAAAAAAAAAATTTTAAAAAAGAGCAGCTTCTACTGCAGCCTCCTCTTACCCTATTGCCTTCTCTTGCTCTGGTCTCCACTCAAAGCATGCAGCCTTCTGGGTGATTTTGCAGATGGGTCAAAACAGCATACTCAATGTTGCCTCCCAAATAAAAAAACCTACCGACCATTGTACTTCTTTCTTTGTGGTAGGTACTGCAACTTGCAGCAACTTGTCTTTCACCTTAGAAAAGATATCTTTCTTGGCCGGGCGCAGTGGCTCACGCCTGTAATCCCAGCACTTTGGGAGGCCGAGGCGGCGGATCACCTGAGGTCGGGAGTTCGAGACCAGCCTGACCAACATGGAGAAACCCCAGTCTCTACTAAAAATACAAAATTAGCAAGGCGTGGTGGCGCATGCCTGGAATCCCAGCTACTCAGCCGGCTGAGGCAGGAGAATCGCTTGAACCTGGGAGGTGGAGGTTGCGGTGAGCCGAGATGGTGCCATTGCATTCCAGCCTGGGCAACAAGAGTGAAATTCCGTCTCAAAAAAAAAAGAAGAAGAAAAGAAAAAATATCTTTCTTTCTTGCTGGGTGTGGTGGCTCATGCCCGAAATCCCAGCACTTTGGGATGCCCAGGCAGGCGGATTGCCTGAGCTCAGGAGTTCGAGACCAGCCTGGGCAACAAAGTGAAACCCCTTCTCTACTAAAATACAAAAAATTAGCTGGGTGTGCTGCTGTGCGCCTGTAGTCCCAGCTACTTGGGAGGCTGAGGCAGAATTGCTTGAACCCCAGAGATGGAGGTTGCAGTAAGCCGAGATCATGCCACTGCACTCTAGCCTGGGTGACAGAGCGACACTCCATCTCCAAAAAAAAAAAAAAAAAAAAAGTAGAAAAGATATCTTTATTTCCCTCCCTCCCTCCTTTCCCTCTTTCCTTCCTTTTTGAGACAGGGTCTCACTTTGTCACCCAGACTGAAGCGCAGTGATAAAATCACAGCTCAGCAGCTTCAACATCCTGGGCTCAAGTGATCCTCCAATCTCAACCTCCTGAATAGCTGGGACAACAGTTGTGGACCACCATGCCCGGCTAATTTTATAGAGATGAGGTCCTACTCTATTGTCCAGGCTGGTCTCTAACTCCTGGGCTCAAACAATCCTCCCGCCTGAGCCTCTGAAGGGCTGAGATTATAGGCATGAGCCACTGTGCCTGGCCTGAAGATAATTTTAGATCCTTATCAGACTGGAGATGGTACCAGAGGAATCTACATTAACGAGTTTTCTTTTTTTTTTGTTGAGACAGAGTCTCACTCCGTTGCCCAGGCTGGAGTGCAGTGGTGTAATCTCGGCTCACTGCAACCTTCGCCTCCCGGGTTCAAGCGATTCTCCTCCTTCAGCCTCGTGAGTAGCTGGGATTACAGGCGCCACCACCGTGCTCAGCTTTTTTTGTTTTGCTTTGTTTTTTTTGTATTTTTAGTAGGGACGGGTTTCACCATGTTGGCCAGGCTGGTCTTGAACTCCTGACCACAGATGATTTGCCTGCCTCGGCCTCCCAAAGTGCTGGGATTACAGGCGTGAGCCGCCATGCCGGGCCAACAAGTTTTCAAACTAGGCTTCCTCTGCTTTTATTTGGCTTCTCACAAGTTACTACCCCTTTTCCTTTGTTCTATAATTTCTCTAAAAATTTTATGCTTTTTGTTGAAGACGCTGTATAAGCTGGAATTCGAAGCCACCTCTTTGAGAACTACTCATTCCCTGGGTGTCTCCCATGTGTATAAGAAATATACATGTTAATAAGCTTCTGTTTGTTTTTCTCTTATTATCTTTTGTTACAGGGGTACATTCCAACTAGGAACTTATGAGGATTAAAGAAAAAATATTTTTCAGGCCAGGCACCATGGCTCATGCCTGTAATCCCAGCACTTTGGGAGGCCGAGGCAGGTGGATTACCTGGGGTCAGGAGTTCAAGACCAGCCTGGATAACATGGCGAAATCCCGTCTCTACTAAAAATACAAAAATTAGCTGGGTGTGGTGGCATACACCTGTAGTCCCACTACTTGGGAGGCTGAGGCAGGAGAATCACTTGAACCCAGGAGACGGAGGTTGCAGTGAGCCGAGATCGCGCCACTTCACTCCAGCCTGGGCAACAGAGTGAGACTCTATCTCAAAAAAAAAAAAAAAAAAAAAGCCAGGCATGGTGGCTTACACCTGTAATCCCAGCACTTTGGGAGGCCGAGGCGGGCATATTACAAGCTCAGGATTTCGAGACCCGCCTAGCCAGCATGGTGAAACCCCATCTCTACTAAAACTACAAAAAATTAGATGGGCATGGTGGCACGCGCCTGTAATCTGAGCTACTCGGGAGACTGAGGCAGGAGACTTGCTTGAACCCGGGAGGCAGAGGTTGCAGTGAGCCGAGATTGTGCCACTGTACTCCAGCCTGGGCGACAGAGTGAGACTCTGTCTCAAAAATATATATATTTTTCTTCCCCTGTAACCCCCCAAAACTTCACTGAGGTGGGAGGGGGTCGCTGAATTTTGATGGTGACTTTCTCCAATTTTCTCATTCGTACATACCTTACTAAAGCATTTAAAGTACTTGCTATTTGTTGCTCGTCAGGACCAATCAGCATAATGTCATTCTTGTAGCAGACCGATGTGATGGCTTGTGAAATGTCAAAATGATCAAGATTTAGTGGACAATATTGGGGCAAAGAGCAGGAGAACTGCTGTAGCCTGGAAATACCACTCTCAAGGTATACTGTTGGGTCTGCCAATTAAAAGCAAACTGCTTCTGGTGGTCCTTGAAAATTGATATGGAGAAAAAGGCATTAGGCAGGTTAATAGCTGCATACCAATACCAGATTCTGTTGATTTGTTCCAGCAAGCATATTACATCTGGTACAGCAGCTACAATTAGAATAACTATCTGATTATGTTTACAATAGCCCACAGTCATTCCTCAAGTTATTCTTTTTTGACACGCTTATTTATTTATTTATTCATTTTTTCAAGACACGGTCTTGCCCTGCCGTCCAGGCTGGAGTGCAGTGGTGCAATCTTGGCTCACTGCAACCTCCACCTCCTGGGTTCAAATGACCCTTCCACCTCAGCCTCCCGAGTAGCTGGGATCACAGGCATGGGCCACCACACCTGGCTAACTTTTGTATTTTTAAAGAGATGGGATTTCGCCATGTTGCCCAGGCTGATCTCGAACTCTTGAGCTAAAGTGATCTGCCTACCTCAGCCTCCCAAAGTGCTGGGATTACAGGAGAGAGCCACCTTGCCTGGCCGTGATGCTTATTATTTTAAACCACTGTTTTGGGTGGCGGTGTTTTTGAGACAGAGTTTCGCTCTTGTTGCCCAGGCTGGAGCGCAGTGGTGCGATCTCAGCTCACTGCAACATCCACCTCCTGGATTCAAGTGATTCTCCTGCCTCAGGCCTCTCCAGTAGCTGGGATTACAGGTGCCTGCCACCACGCCCGGCTAATTTTTTGTATTTCTAATAGAGACAGGGTTTCCTCATGTTGGCCAGATTGGTCTCGAACTCCAGACCTCGGGTGATCCACCTGCCTCGGCCTCCCACAGTGCGGGGATTACAGGCGTGAGCCACCGTGCCAGGCCTGTTTTTGTTTGTTTTTTGAAACAGTTTCATTCTGTCTCCCAGGCTTGAGTGCAGTGGTGCGGTCTTGGCTCACTGCAACCTCCACCTCCCAGGTTCAAGCAATTCTCCTGCCTCAGCCTCCCGAGCAGCTGGGATTACAGGCATGTGCCACCATGCCCAGCTAATTTTTGTATTTTTAATAGAGATGGGGTTTCACTATGTTGGCCATGCTAGTCTCAAATTCCTGGCCTCCAGTGATCCACCGGCCTTGGCCTCCCAAAGTGCTGGGAATTACAGGGGTGAGGCACCGCACCTGGCCTTGGGTGTTTTTTAATATAACAAAAGCTAATTGACATAGGGACATGCATTTCTGCTTCACCAAAGTCCCCACCAACCCCTATTGTCTTCCATCTATTTCACTTACTCCTATTTCTGGCATGGTCCTTGTAGGCATTTGAGTTTGCCACTCATGGATAGGGCCTGGCATGGCAAACTGCCTGGACCTTCCGCACTGCTCCCTACCATCACCCTCCAATCCCAGTTCCTGGGAGGGAATCCCGGGTCTCATTCCACCCATTTCTCCTCCCCAGCACCTTCCCCAGTTCCTGCCCACCATCATCTTCTCGCTTCTGGCTCACTGCACCCATCTCTTCTCTGTTCTCCGTGTATACAGCTGTAATCATTATCTAGTTAATTGCTCCGACTCTGAGAGAGTAATAAAATTTCTCTTATCTCAACACAAAGTCTTTGGTTACAGCCTGGACAAGTTTCCTGGATTAAGCTCCAAGGTGCCAGGAAGTCTGGAACAATATCTCCATATCAAAAACAATGAAGCAGCTGGCACAGGGGCTCACGCCTGTAATCCCAGCCTGGGCGACAGAGCGAGTCCTTGTCTCTAAACAAAACAAAACAAAAACTGCTGCTGCCATAGCACAGGTCTCATTTAGGAATGGTTTTGTCAACTTGCGGGACAAATGAGCTCAAACTCAGTATAAATGGCCAGCTGGGGGATGCCATCTCTGCTGCTCTGTATCGGTTTACATGAGGACTTAGCTGCTAGAACAAAAAAGCACCAACATATGTGGTTTAAAGAACACAGAATTGCCAGGCATGGTGGCTCACGCCTGTAATCCCAGCACTTTGGGAAGCTAAGGCGGATGGATCACTTGAGGTCAGGAGTTCAAAATCAGCCTGGCCAACATGGTGAAATCTCGTCTCTACTAAAAATACAAAAATATTAGCCGGGCATGGTGGCGGGTGCCTATAACCCTAGCTACTCAGGAGGCTGAGGCAGGAGAATTGCTTGAACCTGGGAGGTGGTGGTTGCAGTGAGGTGAGATCGAGCCACTGCACTCCAGCCTGGGCAAGACTCCGTCTCAAAATAAATAAATAAATAAATAAATAAAAACAGAATTTACATACCAACGGATCTCAATATAGGGGTCTTATTTGGATCTTGATATAAACAAATATTTTAAAATTTATGACTTTTTTTTTTTTTTTTTTTTTTAGACAAGGTCTCACTCCAGCCTGGGTGAGGTGACAGAGTGAAACTATGTCTCAAAAAAAAAAAAAAAAAAGAGTCCTTATATCTTAGAAACACATAAACACATACTCATTTTTTTTTTTTGGTGGCATGGTGTGATGTATAGTGTATTAGCTATCTATTGCTAAGTAACAAATTTTACCCCCAAATGTAGCAGTTCAGTTGACTTTCTCTTGAGAGGGAGTCTCATTCTGTCGCCCAGGCTGGAGTGCAGTGGCACGATCTTGGCTCACTGCAACCTCCGCCTCCCGGATTCAAGCGATTCTCCTGCTTCAGACTCCCGACTAGCTGGGATTACAGGCGCCCGCCACCACGCCCTGCTAATTTTTGTATTTTTAGTAGAGATGGGATTTCGCCATGTTGGCCAGGCTGGTCTCGAACTCCTAAATTCAGGTGATCCGCCAGCCTCACCTTCTCAAAGTGCTGTGATTACAGGCATGAGCCACGGTGCCCGGCCACGCAGTTCAGAACAATACTTATTTATTATCTCAGTTTCTGCGAGTGTAGAATGTGTGGATGGTTCAGCCCTGCCACAATCACACAGCGGGTGGGAAGACCACAGGAGTTGCGGGTTGTAGGTGGGAAGGGGACCTGCCCTCGGGCGGACTTTGGTGCCGCTCTGCTGCCATCTTGTGGCGGGCACAGAAACAACTGCCCTTTCCACCTGGTCCTTCCCATACTCTAACCATTCTTGGTATTTTAGAACTTGCTATTCAAAATTTTTAGTTTTTATTCTCCCAGTTGCTGAACAGATGATAAAGTCACATGGTTTAAAATTCATGAGGATAAACAGGGTCTTCCTCTCCCTGGGGACTCTAGGTTTCTTTCCAGGGGAACTATTCTATGTTATTTCTTTTTTTCTTTTCTTTTTTTCTTTTTCTTTTTCTTTTTTGAGATGGAGTCTCGCTCTGTTGCCCAGGCTGGAGTGCAGTGGTGCGAACTCGGCTCACTGCAACCTCCGCCTCCTGGGTTGAAGCGATTCTTCTGCCTCAGCCTCCTGAGCAGCTGGGATTACAGGCGTGCACCACCACACCCGGCTTTTTTTTTTTTTTTTTTTTTGTATTTTTAGTAGAGAAGGAAGTTTTACCATGTTAGTCAGGCTGGTCTCAAACTCCTGACCGCAGGTTATCCGCCCGCCTCGGCCTTCCAAAGTGCTGGGATTACAGGCATGAGCCACCGCGCCCAGCCACTTACTTGTTTCTTGTGTATCTTTCTGGGAAAAGTTCATGTATATACAAAAGCAAACAACACACACATACACGACCAACAACAACAAGAGCACCCCCCAAAACATGCCCAGCCTTTCCCAGTAATAAAAGGATAATTTGTTCCTGGCCAGGTGTGGTGGCTCACACCTGAAATCCCAACATTTTGGGAGGCTGAGACAAGAGGACCACTGAAGCCCAGGAATTGGAGACCAGCCTAGGAAACACAGTGAGATCCCTTCTCAACAAAAATAAAAATAAAAAAATTAGCTGGGCGTGGTGGCCCATGCCTGTGGTCCCAGCTACTGGGAAAGGCTGAGGTGAGGGAATCACTTGGGCCTGAGAGGCAGAGGTTGCAGTGAGCCAGGATTGCACCACTGCACTCCACCCTGGGTGACAGAATGTGACCCTGTCTCAAAAATAAAAAATAAGGCCGGGTGCGGTGGCTCACGCCTGTACTCCCAGCACTTTGGGAGGCCGAGGCAGGCGGATCACGAGGTCAAGAGATCGAGACCATCCTGGCTAATGCGGTGAAACCCTGTCTCTACTAAAAATACAAAAAATTAGCCAGGCATGGTGGCGGGTGCCTGTAGTCCCAGCTACTTGGGGGGCTGAGGCAGGAGAATGGCGTGAACCCGGGAGGCGGAGCTTGCAGTGAGCCGAGATTGCGCCACTGCACTTGGGCCTGGGTGAAAGAGCCAGACTCCATCTCAAAATAAATAAATAAATAATAAAAAATAAAAAAAGGTTAGTTATTATGATCCTGCCAGCATCTCAGCTACATGAATGCGTGGAGTTTTTCAGTATTGTTCCCTGCTGATCTCCAGTGTCTGGAACAGTGCCTGACACACAGTAGGTGCTCAGGAAATATATTTCAGTTCGTAATGATGGGAAATGTCAAACACACAAAAACACAGCAAGTAGAATAATGAACCCCCTGTACCTATCACCGAGCCTCAGCAAACTTGCCTCATCTATACCCCACCCACCTTTTCCCCTCAATGGATTTTTAAATCAAAGCCAAGGCATCATCATATCCTTTCATCCATGAATACTTCAAATTCTATCTCTAAGAGACAACTCCATATCACACCTAAACAATTAACATGAATTCCTTAATACAACTAAATATCCAGTCAGGGTTCAATACCCATTTTTTTCCATTGGGTCATATAATATTTTTTGTTTGTTCAAAACATAAATATATTATTTGATTACTTGTTCAAATCAGTATCAATAAATACTGTTCCAGGCATAGTGGCACATCACGATAGTCCCAGCCACTCAGGAGGCTGAGGCAGGAGGACTTCTTTTTTTTTTGAGACAGGGTTTTGCTCTGTTCCCCAGGCTGGAGTTCAGTGGTGTGATCATAGCTCACTGTAGCCTTGATGTCCAGGCTCAAGTGATCTTCCCACCTCGGCCTCCCTAGTAACTTGGACCACAGGTGCACATCACCATACCTAGCTAATTTTTTTATTTTTATTTTTGTAGAGATGGGGGTCTCACTATGTTGCCCAAGCTGGTCTTAAACTCCCAGGCTCCAGTGATCCTCCTGTCTCGGCCTCCCGAAGTGCTGAGATTACAGGCGTGAGCCACTGTGCCTGGTCAAATGTGACTACTACTTTTTTTTTTTTTTTTTTTTTTAGACAGTCTCACTCCATTACCCAGGCTGGAGCACAGTGTTTCGATCTTGGCTCACTGCAATCTCTGCCTCCTGGGTCAAGCAATTCTTGTGCTTTAGCATCCTGAGTAGCTGGAATTACAGGTGTGTGTCACCACACTCGGCTAATTTTTGGATTTTTAGTAGAGACAGGGTTTCGCCATGTTGGCTGGCTGGTCTCGAACTCCTGACCTCAGGTGATCTGCCTGGCTCAGCCTCCCAAAGTGCTGGGATTAGTGGTGTGAGCCACCGCATCTGGCCCAAATGCGATTTCTTGAAGCTCTCCCTTACCTCAAAGAACAGAGTCTGGCTCTTCCATTCTGACAGTAAGCACAGGTCTATCATTGCCTTCAGTTGCCTTCAGGACCACTGGGGTCTGTTGCAGTCACTTTAGGGGATTGAGTCTTTGGCCACCTCTCAGAGTCCTTGAACAGTCTCAGCCAGCTGCTTAGGTTGAATGATCAAAGCAGCAAGTCCTGGCTTCACTGAACCAAAAATGTCCCTTCCAGAATTGGAAGCTGTTCTGGTGTTTTCTGCACAAAAGTGTAAACATAGATTCAAGTTCCAGTGCTTTCTGCATCCAACAGAATTCCATAGAAGGCCCTGGCTCTGACCTCGATGGAATGCATGGAAGACAGGAAGATACTCTTAAACCCAGCCTGCTGCAAACACAGGTTACTTCCAGCACGAAAAAGTTACACCCGAGGAGGTGGCCATTCTCTTCTCAAGAGGTGGTGAGTCTAGGCCCTTCTTGCAGAAGCAGAGCTGCACATACACATCTTTTTTTTTTTTTTTTTTTTTAAGACACGGTCTTGGTCTGTTGCCCAGGCTGGAGTGCAGTGGTGCAATCTCAGCCTTCTGGTTTCAAGCAGTCCTCCCGCCTCAGCCTCCTGAGTAGCTGGGACTACGGGTGCATGCCAGCACGTCTGGCTAATTTTTGTATTTTTTGTAGAGATGAGGTTTTGCCGTGTTGCGTATGCTGGTCTTGAACTCCTGGGCTCAAGCTATCTGCCTGCCTCAGCCTCCCAAAGTGCTGGGATTACAGACGTAAGCCATCATGCCCGGCCAAATTCCTTATCCTTATCTCTTTCTCTCTCTTTTTCTTTTTCTTTTTTTCTTTTTTGTTTGTTAAGACAGGGTTTCACTCTGTTGCCCAGGTTGGAGTACAAGAGGCAGGATCACAGCTCACAGCAGCTTCGAACTCCTGGGCTCAAGTGATCCTCCCTCCTCAGCATCCTGAGTAGCTGGGACTATAGGTGTGCCACTACACCTGGCCAATTTTTAAATTTTTTGGAGATAGTGTCTTGCTGTGTTGCCCAGGTTGGTTTTAACTCCTGGCCTCAAGCGATCCTTTCACTGGCCCCTCCCAAAGTGTTGGGATTATAGGAATGAGACACTGCACCTGACCTCCTTATTATTCTCTTTTTTTTTAGACGGAGTCTCGCTCTGTCACCCAGGCTGGAGTGCAGTGCTGCGATCTCGGCTCACTGTAACCTCTGCCTCCCAGGTTCAAGCGATTCTCTTGTCTCAGCCTCCCGAGAAGCTAGGATTACAGGTGCACGCCACCACGCCTGGCTAATTTTGAATTTTTAGTAGAGACAGGGTTTTACCATGTTGGCCAGGCTGATCTTGAACTCCTGACCTCAGGTGATCTGCCCACCTTGGCCTCCCAAAGTGCTGGGATTACAGGTGTGAGTCACCGCACCCGGCCCCTTCTCTTTTAAAGTAGAAAAAAAAAAGCCACCCACCAGAGACATAAATGGCAATGCATGCATCAGGCATGGTGCTAGGAACTTTATACACATGTAATCCTTTCAAAAATAGCTCTTTTAAGTAAGAAAAATATGACCCCTCCCCATATTAAATGAACAAGGGATATGAACATACAAGTAATTTATTCAATTAACAAATATTTATTGAGCACCTACTATATTTTAGGCACTGTGCTAAAATCAATTCCAATGGTCAACAAATATGTGAACAAATGGTAATCATTATTGAAGGAATGCAAATGTACAAAAAGTGACTTTTCCATTTTTCACCTATTCAATGGTCTATATTCAAAATAAATGATTCTCCAGGATTGGATGAGCGTGGCTTTGGGATCTCTTCTACTGTAGGTAGATGTACAGCTGCATAATCTTCCTGAAGGCACTTGAGCAATGTCTATAGAATGGCTTAAAATGCATACATATCTTAAAAATGGCCAACCAGGAGCAGGAAGCACTCCTAACAACCTGATTGTGGTTTCCAAATGCCATTTGGGAAAGTACCAAAATACCTAAAGGAAAGAAGAGGGCTCCTTGGAAAATGGCGACTTAAAGGTGAGAGACAGGAAATGAACAAGATGAACTTGGAACATCTTGTGGTGGCAGACGGGGCAAATAATCAAAGAGGACTGGGTCATAGCAAAAGGACACAGGAGCCAACTGGAAGAGGCTCTTCCACACCCAACATGGAGGCATTTGAGCATCACTGAGGGTGCAATTTAAATGGATTGAAACACATTAAACATCACACACACACACACACACACACACACACACACACACACACACACCTGCATCTAAATGCATCAGCTACCATGGCAGAATGCTGGGGGAGCCAATTCATTATTATTATTTCTGAGACAGTTTCGCTCTTGTCACCCAGGCTGGAGCGCAGTGGCGCGATCTCGGCTCACTGCAACCTCCGCCTCCTGGGTTCAGGCAATTCTCCTGCCTCAGCCTCCCAAGTAGCTAGGATTACAGGCACGCGCCACCACGCCTGGCTAATTTTTGTATTTTTACTAGAGATAGTATTTCACCATTTTGGCCAGGCTGGTCTCGAACTCCTGACCTCAAGTAATCTGCCTGCCTCGGCCTCTCAAAGTGCTGAGATTACAGGCATGAGCCACCCTGCCTGACCTCAACTCATTATTATGAAAACCAGTAAAGAGAAAGAAGCATTTATCCTGCAATTCTTTTCTTTTCCTTTTTCCTTTTTTTTTTTTTTTTTTTTTTTGAGACGGAGTCTCACTCTGTCGCCCAGGCTGGAGTGCAGTGGTGCGATTTCGGCTCACTGCAACCTCCGCCTCCCAGGTTCAAGTAATTCTCCTGACTCAGCCTCCTGAGTAGCTGGGACTACAGGCACACACCGCCAAGCCTGGCTAAGTTTTTGTATTTTAGTTGAGATGGCCGTGTTGCCCAGGCTGGTCTTAAACTCCTGAGCTCACGCAATCCACCCGCCTTGGCCTCCCTAAGTGCTAGGATTACAGGGGTGAGCCAAAACACCCAGCCTCCTGTGTTTCTTTACTATATCATTGGGTACTAAATAGTAGCTGAAGGAAAGTTTTTTCTTTTTTTCTTTTTTTTTTTTTTTTGAGATGGAGTTTCACTCTTGTTGCCCAGGCTAGAGTGCAATGGCACGATCTTGGCTCACTGCAACCTCTGCCTCCCAGGTTCAAGCGATTCTCCTGCCTCAGCCTCCCAAGTAGCTGGGATTACAGGCATGTGCCACCATGCCCAGCTAATTTTGTATTTTTAGTAGAGATGGGGTTTCACCATGTTGATCAGGCTGGTCTCGAACTCCTGACCTAAAGTGATCCACCTGCCTCAGCCTCCCAAAGTGCTGGGATCACAGGTGTGAGCCACCACACCAGGCCAGAAAGTTTTTCTTCATAAGAATATTCTAGCTAATAAGGAATGAATAATAAGATATCGCCATTTTGCAACCTCTAATGAACAGATTTATGAATGAAACATCAATGGTTGCCAACATCACAAAAAGAGCAACACCTAAATATTATGGCTTCCAATATTAACCACTGATAAATAATCTTAACAAAAAAAGAACCTCAATTTGACCAGTCCTCTCAATCTCAACTAATTTACAGGAAATACTAGGGATAGAGGAGCATGTTAAACTACACCATGCAGATGCAGCCGGCAAAAACTAGACTTGGAGAAGGCAAGTCTACAAGGCAAATTATCTAGTTTCTTCAAAAAACAAGAAGTTGCAAAAAAAAAGCCAGTAAAGGAGAATAGATTGAGAATAATAGAGAAATACAAGACATATCAACTGCAATTTGAGGACATCATTTGGATCCTGGGAATTTTTTATAAAACTGACATTTATGAAACAAAAATTTGAACACTATCATACATGTAATGGCATTAAGGTGGTAACATCTTTTTTTTCTTTTGAGACGCAGTTTCACTCTTGTCGCCCAGGCTGGAGTGCAATGGCGCAATCTCAGCTCACAGCAACCTCTGCCTTCTGTGTTCAAGGGATTCTCCTGCCTCGGCCTCCCAGGTAGCTGGGATTACAGGTGCCCACCACCATGGCTGGCTAATTTTTGTATTTTTAGTAGAGTTGGGGTTTCACGTTGGCCAGGCTGGTCTCGAGCTCCTGCCCTCAGATGATCCATCCACCTCGGCCTCCCAAAGTGCTGGGATTACAGGCATGAGCTACTGCACCAGGCCTGTTTTTTTTTTTTTTTAAGGAGTGAAAATATTTTCTAATGTTGTCATGTGCTTTAAAGATATGTATGAAATGTCTGTGGATGAAATAATATATCTGGTATTTACTTCAAAAATAACAGAGATGAGAGAAGTGGGTACACAGACAAAGCAAGATTGGCCATGAGCTGATAATTCTTGAAGCTGGTGATGAGGCCGCTGGAGTTCAATATAAGATTCTGTGTATTTTTGTATATGTTCAAATTTTTTCATGATAGAAAGTTTTAAAAAGTTACTTTTTTTTTGAGACGGAATCGCGCTCTGTTGCTAATTTTTTGTATTTTTAGTAGAGATGAGGTTTCACCATGTTGGCCAGGATGGTCTTTATCTCTTGACCTCGTGATCCCCCTGCCTCAGCCTCCCAAAGTGCTGGGATTAGGGATTACAGGTGTGAGCCGCTGCGCCCAGCCAAAAATTTACATTTTTATCTAGCATTTCCACTTCTAGGAATTTACCTTAAAGATATATTACACATGTACAAAATAATTTACGTGCAAGGGAAATATTATGGGATTGTTTGAAAGAACAAAAAATAATGGAAAGTCCAGGCACGGTGGCTCATGCCTGTAATCCCAGCACTTTTGAGAGGCCAAGGTGGGTGGGTCACTTGAGGTCAGGAGTTTGAGACCAGCCTGGCCAACATGGTGAAACCCTGTAGCTACTAAAAATACAAAAATTAGCCGGGCGTGGTAGCAGGTGCCTGTAATTCCAGCTACTCAGGAGGCTGAGGCAGCAGAATTTCTTGAATCCAGGAGGCAGAAGTTGCAGTGAGCCAAGGTCATGCCACTGCACTCCAGCATGGGCAACAGAGCGAGACTCTGTCTCAAAAACAAAACAAAAAAATGGCCGTGTGAGGTGGCTCACGCCTGTAATCTCAGCACTTTGGGAGGCCGAGGTGGGCGGATTACCTGAGGTCAGGAGTTTGAGACCAGCCTGGCCAACATGGTGAAACCCTGTCTCTACTAAAAAGACAAAAATTAGCTGGGCGTCGTGGCACACACCTGTAGTCCCAGCTACTTGGGAGGCTGAGGCAGGACAATCGCTTGAACCTGGGAGGTGGAGGTTGCAGTAAGCTGAGATCACAACACTGCACTCCAACCTGGGTGACAGAGCGAGACTCCGTCTCAAAAAAAAATTGATAATGTTAAATAAATTATGAAACACACAGATGATGGAATCCTCAGGAGTTGTTAAAAAAAAATAAGGCAGCTATATATGTACCAATATGGTCTAATCTTCAAGATGTATGCATAAGCAAAAATACCAATGTGTTGAAATTTGCTATCACTTGTGTAAAATATTTTTATAAAGAGTACATTATGCTTATGCAAATATTAATAATTATTATTCAGATGGAGTCTCCACTCTGTCACCCAGACTGGAGTGCAGTGGCAGGATATCGGCTCACTGCAGCCTCTGCCTCCTGGGTTCAAGTGATTCTTGTGCCTCAGCCTCCAAGTAGCTAGGACTACAGACATGAGCCACCACACCCGGCTAATTTTTGTATTTTTTAGTTGAGACAAGGTTTCACCATGTTGGCCAGGCTGGTCTCCCTGACCTCACGTGATCTGTTTTCCCTGGCCTCCCAAAGTGCTGGGATTACATGCTTATGCAAATTAAAAATCACCAACTATATACAAGAACTTGGTGTTAGTGATTGTTCCATAAAAGGTAATGTATGCAAATTAAAAATCACCAACTATATACAAGAACTTGGTGTTAGTGATTGTTCCATAAAAGGTAATGGGGTGGGAAAGGCATAGAGCTATTTTATGAAGATTCACTTATGTCTGCATACCATGTTGTAACTTTAGGCCAGGAAGTGGCTCACACCTTAATCCCAGCACTTTGGGAGGCTGAGGTGGGCAGATCACTTGAGGTCAAGGAGTTTGAGACCAGTGTGGGCAACATGGTGAAACCCCGGCTCTACTAAAAATACAAAAATTAGCTGGGCGTGATGGTGGGCGTCTGTAATCCCAGCTACTCGGGAGGCTGAGGCAGGAGAATCACTTGAATCCGGGAGGCGGAGGTTGCAGTGAGCTGAGATCAAACCACTGTACTCCAGCCTGGGTGAGACTCGGTCTCAAAAAACAAACAAAACAAAAAAACCCAACAACAACAAATTGTAACTTTAACAATTTTATCCTATGACTGTGCTTTAACTATTCAGAGTGACAAATTTTTTTTTTTTGAGACAGGGTCTCACTCTGTCGCCCAGACTGTTGTGCAGTGGCACGATCCCGGCTCACTGTGGCCTCCGCCTCCCAGGTTCCAGTGATTCTCCTGTCTGAGCCTCCCAGGTAGCTGGGATTACAGACACGCACTACCATGGCTAGCTAATTTTTGTATTTTTAGTAGAGACGGGGTTTCACCATGTTGGCCAGGCTGGTCTCGAACTTCTAACCTCAGGTGATCTGCCCACCTCGGCCTCCCAAAGTGCTAGGATTACAGGAATCCTACGAATCAATTTTGATATTTTTATAAAAATCCATTCTCTCCAGATTTTAAAACAGAAAAAAGTCATGCATAGTAAGCTATTTTTAAAAAATCTTTACCCCCTTTCTCATTCATAATATTTTTTCCTTAGATCACACTTGTAAATAGTCTTATTGTATTGTTAAACAAACAACCTTCAGATGAAATCTGTTTTTCCATTCTGTTTTCATTTTTAATAATTAATCTTACTGCTGACTTTGGTTTATATTGTAATTTTTTCCTAACTTTGAGAGTTGACTACTCATTCATTCAACATGTTTAGTATGTGACTGGCAGTGATGAGGTGCTGGGGATCTACACATGGAGCACAAAGCCACTAGCTTCAATTCTCAGGTTCTGATGGGAGTACAGCTTTGGCTATGCTAAACTAGTTCTTTTTTTTTTTTTTTTTCTTTTTTGAGACAGGGTCTGCACCCAGGCTGGAGTGCAGTGGCACAATCTCAGCTCACTGCAACCTCCGCCTCCCATGCTCAAGCAATTCTCCTGCCTCAGCCTCCTGAGTAGCTGGGATTACAGGCATGCACCACTCCACCTGGCTAATTTTTGTATTTTAGTAGAGACGGGGTTTCACCATGTTGGCCAGGCTGGTCTCAAACTCCTGACCTGAAGTGATCCGCCTGCCTCGGCCTCCCAAAGTGCTGGGATTACAGGTGTGAGCCACCTTACCCGGCCACTCTTCTGTTAATTTCTAATCTTCTGAATTTCTAACCTTTTGATTGAAGGCCTCATAATAATTATGCTTTCCCACTATTTTTCAGAATAAATGATCATAACAACTGGTTATGAAGACTTTTGGATATGTGATGTATTCATAAGGCTCTCCTCTCACATGAACTCCTTATCAGTGATACTAATAATAAAATTAATGACAATAGCTAGTATTTACTGAGCACTTGTGTGTGATAGGTATTACTTCTAAGGCTTTACATAAAATACCTCATTTAGTCCTCATAAAAGTTCTATTAGTTAGACATAATAATCACCACTTAAAAATAAGTAAACTGGGTTGGGCATGGTGGCTCACGCCGGTAATCCCAGCACTCTGGGAGGCCGATGTGGGCAGATCACGAGGTCAGATCAAGACCATCCTGGCCAACATGGTGAAACCCCGTCTCTACTAAAAATACAAAAATTAGCTAGGCATGGCGGCATGTGCCTGTAATCCCAGCTACTCAGGAGGCTGAGGCAGAAGAATCCCTTGAACCTGGAAGGCGGAGGTTGCAGTGAGCTGAGATCGCACCACTGCACTCCAGCCTGGTGACGGAGCTAGACTTTGTCTCAAAAAAAAAAAGTAAACTGAGGGACAGAGAGTTTGCATAACTTGCCCAATGCTATGTAGTCTATAATCGGGGGAAGTGAGCACTGCTAAGTAAAGTATACGCCATGATGAAAGGCACAGTCATAGAATCTTTTTTTTTTTTTTTTCTGAGATGGAGTCTTGCTCTGTCGCCGAGGCTGGAGTGCAGTGGTGCGATCTTGGCTCACTGCAAGCTCCGCCTCCTGGGTTCACGCCATTCTCCTGCCTCAGCCTCCCGAGTAGCTGAGACTACAGGTGCCCGCCACTAGGCCCAGCTAATTTTTTCATAGTTTTTAGTTGAGACAGGTTTCACTGTGTTAGCCAGGATGGTCTCGATCTCCTGACCTTGTGATCCGCCCGCCTCGGCCTCCCAGAGTGCTGGGATTACAGGCGTGAGCCACTATGCCCAGCCAGAACCTTTTTTTTTTTTTTTTTTTTTGAGACAGAGTTTTGTCCTTGTCAACGAGGCTGGAATGCAATGGTGGGATCTCGGCTTGCTGCAACCTCTGCCTCCTGGGGTCAAACGGTTTTCCTGCCTCAGCCTCCTGAGTAGCTGGGATTACAGGCACCCGCCACCATGCCTGGCTAATTTTTGTATTTTTAGTAGTGATGGGGTTTCGCCACATTGGCCAGGCTGGTCTCAAACTCCTGACCTCAAATGATCTGCCGGCCTTGGCCTCCCAAAGTGCTGGGATTACAGGCATGAGCCACCACGCCTGGCCACAGAATCTTTTAATCGGGTCATTTTTGTATTAGGAATTGTCAGAAATTTAACATATTTTGAATGGCAAGAAGCAGCTTTTCTATATTCATTTTTTTTTAGCATAGATTATCTGATGCTTAGGAAACAGTGAGTGAGGCAAAAAGAATTCCCACATTTATTTAATTTTCTTTGGGTGTGAGTTTTCTGATGTTCTATGATGGAAGTGACAGGTGTTTTCTGACATTAATTACACTACATTAAAAATTACCTAGTACTGAGCCAGATGTGAACTCCACATAAAGGCTTATCTTTATCCCTTACACTCAAGGCTTTCTAACCAGTATGAATTCTGTAGTGTTCAATGAGTTGTGAGCCAAGAATAAATGCCTGCCCACACTCTCTACATTCGTAAGGTTTGATACCAGGATGAATTCTCTGATGTTCGGTAAGTTGTGAACTACGAATAAAGGCCATTCCACACTCCCTGCATTCATAGGGTTTCTCACAAGTGTGAATTCGCTGATGATGAGTCAGTTGTGAAACACGAATAAAGGCCTTCCCACATTCCTTACATTCGTAGGGTTTGTCACCTGTATGAATTCTTTGATGTTGAATGAGGTATGAGCTACGACTAAATGCCTTCCCGCAGTCCTTACATTCATAGGGTCTGTCGCCAGTATGGACTCTCTGATGTCGTGTGAGCTGTGCGTGCTGTCTGAAGGCCTTCCCACATTCCTTACACTCATAGGGTTTCTCCCCAGAATGAATTCTTTGATGTCGAGTAACTTCTGAGCTGTGAATAAAGCCCTTTCCGCATTCCTTACACTCGTAGGGTTTCTCACCAGTGTGGATTCGCTGGTGTACAGTCAGCTGTGAGTGCTGTCTAAAGGCTTTCCCGCATTCTTTACACTCATAGGGTCTGGCCCCTGTGTGGATTCTCCGATGCACAGTGAGTTGGGAGCCACGAATGAAAGCCTTGCCACAGTCTTTACATACGTAGGGTTTCTCGCCTGTGTGAGTTCTTTGATGCAGAATCAGCTGTGAATGCTGCCTAAAGGTCTTCCCACATTCTTTACATTCATAAGGTTTGACACCAGTATGAAGTCTCTGATGTAGAATAAGTTCTGATGTACGACCAAAGGCCTTCCCACAGTCCTTACAGTCATAAGGTTTCTCACCCGTGTGAATTCTCTGATGCTGAACAAGGTGTGAGGCACGGCTGAAGGCCTTCCCACATTCCTTACATCCAAAGGGTTTTTCACCAGTGTGAATTTTCTGATGTTGAATAAGGTGTGAGCCACGGCTAAATGCTTTCCCACATTCATGACATTCCATCAGTTTCTCACCAGTCTCCCTGCTCTGACGTACAGTGTGAGACGTGTGATGCTGGAACACGGGCATATGTCCATAGGTGACGTTCACTTGCTTAAAATAGCACTCTTCATTGACTTGTCTCTCAAACTGGCCTTCGCATTCCCAGTCAGCTCTAAAATCGGAGCCCTCCAGGTCACTGCATTTAAGGCTTTCCATTATCTCCCAGTTGAATGCCCCGATTTCAAAAATGTCTTTTTGTAGAAATTTCTCACACCTGGACTCCAAGTCTGAAAAATAAGAAAAAGATAAATACAAGCTGTGATCCTTCTCTATGAGAAATAAAAAATTCTATAGTAGAGGCCAGGCACGGTGGCTCACATCTGTAATCCCAGCACTTTGGGAGGCTGAGGCGGGTGGATCACAAGGTCGGGAGTTCACCTGGCCAAGATGGTGAAACCCTGTCTCTATTAAAAATACAAAAATTAGCCACACTTGGTGGCAGGCACCTGTAATCCCAGCTACTAGGGAGGTTGAGGCAGGAGAATCGCTTGAACCTGGGAGGCAGAGGTCGCAGTGAGCCGAGATTGCGCCACTGCACTCCAGCCTGGGCGACAGAGCAAGACTCTGTCTCATAAAAAAAAAAAAAAAAAAAAAAAACTATAGTAGAACAGGGAGACAAAAATAAATAACCATAAAAAGTGAATGCCTTATATACATCTCAAATATTATGCAATTTCAAAAAAGCAGATGAAAGCACACCATGTGAAGAGCTCACATGGTGCCAGAAGGGAGCAAGAAGACAAATTAAGCCAGGGGTTCTAAATTTGTTTTTTGCTTTGAGACGGAGTCTTGCTCTGTCGCCCAGGCTGGAATGCAGTGGTACAATCTTGGCTCACGCAACCTCCGCCTCTTGGGTTCAAGTGATTCTCCTGCCTCAGCCTCCCGAGTAGCTGGGATTACAGGCACTGCTACCACACCCAGCTAATTTTTGTATTTTTAGTAAAGATGGGGTTTCACCATATTGGCCAGGCTGGTCTTGAACTCCTGACCTCAAACAATCCACCCGCCCTGGCCTCCCAAAGTGCTGGGATTACAGGCGTGAGCCACCTCGCCTGGCTGAGAACATTTTTATCACTCCAAATAGAAACCCCCCCACCCATTAAGCAGTCACTCCCCATTCCCTATTCCCTCCAGCCCCTGGCAACCATTACTGGCACAGAGCTACTAATTCTGTCTCTATAAATTTGCCTATTCTGGACATTTCATGTAAATAAGGCATCTATATTTTCAACACTTCCCACCACATAAAGTTGATGTCCATCAAAATGAAAATCTCTGCTTAAACATTTCACTGCCTTCCCATTTCGGTGCATTAAGAATTAATTCCAAAGGCCAGGCGAGGTGGCTTATGCCTTAATCCCAGCACTTTGGGAGTCCAAGGCAAATGGATCGCTTGAGGTCAGGAGTTCAAGACCAGCCTGGCCAACATGGAGAAACCCTGTCTCTACTAAAAAATACAAAAATTAGCAGGCATGGTGGCAGGCGCCTATAATCCCAGCTGCTTGGGAGACCGAGACACAAGAATCACTTGAACCTAGGAGGCAGAGGTTGCAGTGAGCCAAGATGGCACTACTGCACTCCAGCCTGGAAGACAGAGTGAGAGTCCATCTCAGAAAAAAAAAAAAGGGCTGGGTGCAGTGGCTCATGTCTGTAATCACAGCACTTTGGGAGACTGAGGTGGGTGGATCACCTGAGGTCGGGTGTTCGAGATCAGCCTGACCAACATGAAGAAACCCTGTCTCTACTAAAAATACAAAATTAGCCGGCCGTGGTGGCACATGCCTGTAATCCTAACTACCTGGGAGGCTGAGGCAGGAGAATCACTTGAATCCGGGAGGCAGAGGTTGTGGTGAGCTGAGATCGCACCACTGCACTCCAGCCTGGGTGACAGAGCGAAACTCTGTCTCAAAAAAAAAAAAAAAAAAGAATTACAAACTCACTGCCATGGCTCACAGGGCTCTTGGCAAAGCAGATCCCTGCTTGTTTTTGTCACCACTGTGTCTCAGCAAGAGCAGGGCCTCTTCACATTGAACATTCTCCCCTTTCCTCCCAGTGTACAAAACCACCAGCCATCTATGAGCATGTAAAATAAATCTAGGCCTTTTCCATCTCAGATCTCTCATCAGGTTCTTCCATCTATCAAGAATCCTGTCCTGGGCTTTTTGCTGCTTTTCTCATCCTTAAGGTCTCAGATGAAAACTCACTCTCTATTTTTTTTTTTTTTTTTTGAGACAGAGTCTTACTCTGTCCCCCAGGCGCTCACTGCAACCTCTGCCTCCCAGGTTCAAGTGATTCTCCTGCCTCAGCCTCCCGAGTAGCTGGGATTATAGGTGCCTGCCACCATGCCTGGGTAATTTTTGCTTTTTTAGTAGAGATGGAGTTTCACCATGTTGGCCAGGCTGGTCTCAAACTCCTGACCTCAGGTAATCCGCCCACCTCGGCCTCTCAAAGTGCTGGGATTACGGGCGTTTGCCACTGTGCCTGGCTTGTCTTTTTTTTTTAATATTTGACATGGGGTCTTGCTCTGTCTCCCAGGCTGGAGTACAGTGGTGCGATCTCAGCTCACCACAACCTCTGCCTCTGGGGTTCAAGCGATTCTCCTGCCTCAGCCTCCCGAGTAGCTGAGATTACAGGCATGTGCTGCCACGCCCGGCCAATTTTTGTATTTTTATTAGAGACAAGGTTTCACCATGTTAGCTAGGCTGGTCTCCTGAACTCCTGACGTCACGTGATCCAGCCGCCTTGGCTTCTAAAAGTATTGGGATTACAGGCGTCAGCCACCATGCCCGGCAAAAACTCACACTTTCAAGAAAGCTCTCAGCCTGACAGCCCTAAACACACGCCTTTATCCTTTCTCCCATTTCTTGTACTCTGTAACACTTTTGTTGTAATTAGATTTTCATTTACATATTCATCTGCTGTTCTGTTTGTTTTCTTGTTCCTGAATCTTCCCCAAAGATGGAAATACTGCCTTTTTCACTAACCATTGAAACCAACCCAGCTGGGCGTGGTGGCTCATGCCTGTAATCCCAGCACTTTAGGAGGCTGAGGCAGGTGGGTCACTTGAGCTCAGGAGTTCGAAACCAGACTGGGCAACATGGTGCAACCCCATCTCTACCAAAAACACAAAAAATTAGCTGGGCATGGTGGCAGGCACCTGTGTTTCCAGGTATTCAGAAGGCTGAGGTGGGAGGATGGCTTGAGCCCAGGGACAGAGGTTCAGTGAGCCGAGAATAGTGCCACTGCACTCCAGCCTGGGCAACAGAGCAAGAACTTGTTTAAAAAAAAAAGACAAGACGGCATTTGTCAGATTGGATAAAATACCAAAATCTAGGTGCACAGTAGTAACAAGTAACACACTTTAAGACATGAAGACCTAAGGTGTTTGAAAATAAAAGGTGTGGCCGGGTGCGGTGACTCATGCCTGCAACCCCAGCACTTTGGGAGGCTGAGATGGGTGGATCACCTGAGGTTGGGAGTTTGAGATCAGCCTGACCAACATGGAGAAACCCTGTCTCTATTAAAAATACAAAATTATCTGGGCATGGTGGCACATGCCTGTAATTCCAGCTACTCGGGAGGCTGAGGCAAGAGAATTGCTTGAACCCAGGGGGCGGAGGTTGCGGTGAGCCAATATCGTGCTATTACACTCCGGCCTGGGAAACAGGAGCGAAACTCCATCTCAAAAAAAAAAAAATAGACTTTAAAAACAGAAATCATCATTTTGGGTTAAGCAGGGTAGCTCTATAATCAAGAAAGTAATTCCATTCAGCAGGAAGATTTATGTTTCTAAAGTTATATACACCTAATAGCCTCCTAATATATATATTTATTTTTATTTATTTTTTGAGACAGAGTCTCTTTTTTTTTTCTGAGACGGAGTCTCGCTCTGTCGCCCAGGCTGGAGTGCAGTGGCGCGATCTCGGCTCATTGCAAGCTCTGCCTCCCGGATTCACGCCATTCTCCTGCCTCAGCTTCCCGAGTAGCTGGGACCACAGGCGCCCGTCACCACGCCTGGCTAATTTTTTGTATTTTTGGTAGAGATGGGGTTTCACTGACCAGGATGGTCTCGATCTCCTGACCTTGTGCTCCGCCCACCTCGGCCTCCCAAAGTGCTGGGATTACAGGCATGAGCCATGGTGCCCGGCCGAGACAGAGTCTTGCTCTGTCGCCTAGGCTGGAGTGCAGTGGCATAATCTTGGCTCACTGCAACCTCTGGCTCCCAGGTTCAAGTGATTCTCCTGCCTCAGCCTCCCGAGTAGCTGGGGCTACAGCCGTGTGCCACCACGCCTGGCTGATTTTTTGTATCTTTTAGTAGAGAAGGGGTTTCACTGTGTTAGCCAGGATTTTCTTGATCTCCTGACCTCATGATCTGCCCACCTCGGCCTCCCAAAGTGCTGGGATTACAGGCGTGAGCCACCGCGCCTGGCCCAGCCTCCAAACATATAATGCAAAATTCAAAAGACACACAAGAAGAAATTAACAAAATCGTCATCTTGGAGATTTCAATTCACCTTTCTCAGAAATAGGCCAAGATGATAAAAATTTATAAAGAATATAAATTTAGGGGCCAGGCGTAGTGGCTCACGCCTGTAATCCCAGCACTTTGGGAAGCCAAGACAGATGGATCATGAGGTCAGGAGTTCGAGCCCAGCCTGGCTAACACGGTGAAACCCGTCTCTACTAAAAATACAAAAAATTAGCCTGGCATGGTGTTGTGCACCTGTAGTCCCAGCTACTCAGGAGGCTGAGACAGGAGAATCACTTGAACCTGGGAGGCGGAGGTTGCAGTGAGCCAAGATCCCGCCACTGCACTCCAGCCTGGGCGACAAAGTGAGACTCAAGGGCTTCAAGGAAAAATAAAAGAGAGAGAGAAAAAAAAATTAAAAACAAAAAACAAACAACTCCAAGAACAGATGAGGGGGCCGCATGTGGTAGGTCATGCCTGTAACCCCAGCACTTTGGGAGGCTGAGGCGTGCAGGTCAGTTGAGGTCAGGAGTTCGAGACCAGCCTGGCCAATGTGGCGAAACCCCGTCTCTACTAAAAATGCTAAAATCAGCCAGGCATGGTGGCGGGTGCCTGTAGTCCCAGCTACTCAAGAGGCTGAGGCAGGAGAATCTCTTGCATCTGGGAGGTGGAGGTTGCAGTGAGCTGAGATCATGCCACTACATTCCAGCCTGGGCAACAGAGTGAGACTCCGTCTCAAAAAAAAAAAAAAACAAAACAACAACAACAACAAAAAACAGATGAGTGAATAAACAAAGTGTGTATATAATATGTACACATGTATATTAGTATTTATACATGTATACATCTACATACACACATACAATGGAATATTATTCAGCCATAAAAAGAATAAAATTCAGAGACATTCTACAACTTGGATAAAACATTATCCTTAGTGAAATAAGCCAGATACAAAAGGCCACATACTGGATGATTTACATGAGATACCTAGAATAGGCAAATTCATACAGACAAAAAGTAGAACAGAGGTGACCAGGGACTGGAGGAAGGAAAATAGAGTTATTGTTTAATGGGTACAGAGTTTCTGTTTGGGATGATGCATAAGCTCTGGAAGCAGAGTGTATAATGCTGTGAATGAACTAAATGCCACTGAATTATCTACTTAGCCAGGCATGGTGGCATGTGCCTGTAGCACCAGCCACTTGGGAACCTGAGGTGGGAGGATGGCTTGAAACTGGGAGGCAGAGGTTGCAGTGAGCCGAGATCGTGCTACTACACTCCAGCCTGGGCAACAGAGCCAGAACCTGTCTCACAAAAATAAATAAATAAATATTATGTAATTTTTTTTTTTTTTGAGACAGAGTCTCGCTCTGTCGCCCAGGCTGGGAGCGCAGTGGTGTGATCTTGGCTCACTGCAACCTCCGCCTCCCGGGTTCAAACAATTTTCCTGCCTCAGCCTCCCAAGTAGCTGGGATTACAGGCATGTGCCACCATGCCCGGCTAATTTTTTTTTTTTGTACTTTTCATAGAGATGGGGTTTCACCATGTTGGCCAGGCTGGCCTGGAACTCCTGATCTCAGGTGATCTGCCCACCTCAGCCTCCCAAAGTGCTGGGATTACAGGCATGAGCCACTGTACCCGGCCCCTTATGTAATGTATATTTTATCACAATTTTTAAAAATCTAATAAATAAAAGATTATTATTTTTCAGAACTGCAAGAAATTAGAAAACACACCAACCAAATATTCTGTGAAAGACAAGAACACTTTTATGGAATCAACAGCAATAGGCTTAATATTTTAATACGGAATTACAGTAGAGTCGTACCCATAAAGTTGTTTTTGTTTTATTTTGTTTTGTTTTGTTTTTGAGATGGAGTCTTGTTCTGTTGCCAAGGCTGGAATAAAGATGCGCGATCGATCTTGGTTCCTTGCAACCTCCGCCTCCCGGGTTCAAGCGATTCTCTTGTCTCAGCCTCCCGAGTAGCTGGGATTACAGGCACCTGCCACCACACATGGCTAATTTTTGTATTTTTAGTAGAGATGGGGTTTCACCATGTTGGCCAGACTGGTTTCGAACTCCTGACCTCAAGTGATCCACCTACTGGTCTCCCAAAGTGCTGGGATTACAGGTGTGTGCCACCGCGCCCGTCCATACATTGTTAATTTATGCATATTCAATTAACTTTGCTAAAAAAAATACATACAGAATGTGGTAGGTGGGATAACGGCACTCAAAGATGTCTGTGTCTTTATTCCTGGAACCTATGAATGTTGTCACACAGCAAGGGGAGTTGGAATTCAGATTGCTAATCAGGGCAGGGCACAGTGGCTCACGCCTGTAATCCCAGCACTTTGTGAGGCCGAGGAGGGTGGATCACCTGAGGTCGGGAGTTTGAGACCAGTCTGACCAACATGGAGAAACCCCGCCTCTACTAAAAATACAAAATTAGCCGGGCGTGGTGGTGGGCGCCTGTAATCCCAGCTACTCGGGAGGCTGAGGCAGGAGAATCACTTGAACCAGGGAGGCGGAAGTTGCGATGAGCGGAGATCTCGCCATTGCACTCCAGTCTGGACAACAAGGGCGAAACTCCATCTCAAAAAAAAAAAATTAAAAAAAAAAAAAGGCTAATCAGTTGACCACCACAAGATGGCGAGATTATCCCAGTTTATCTGGGTGGACACAATGTATTCACAAGGGTCCTTGGAAGTGAAAGTGGGAAGGCCAGGTGCGGTGGCTCATGCCTGTAATCCCAGCACTTTGGGAGTTTTGGGAGGCCTAGGTGGGTGGATCACTTGAGGTCAGGAGTTTGAGACCAGCCTGGCCAACATGGCGAAATCCTGTCTCTACTAAAAATACAAAAATTAGCTGGGCGTGGTGGCGCACTCCTGTATTCCCAACTACTTGGGAAGCTGAGGCAGGAGAATTGCTTGAACCTGGGAGGCTGAGGTTGCAATGAGCTGAGATCGTGCCACTGCACTCCAGCCTGGGTGACAGAGTGAGACTCTGTCTCAAAAAAAAAAAAAAAAAAACACATAAAAACAAACTTTTTCTGTGAAGGGCCCAATGGTAAATGTTTTAGGGTTTGTTGAACACATAAAGTCTCTACAGCATATTCTTTTTTTTTTTTTAACACTTTCAAAATATCAAAACTGTTCTTGGCTCTAGGGCTGTATGAAAAACTGGTTATGGACTGCATTTGACCCACAGATTGCAGTTTGCCGACCCCTGGTCTAGGGCACAGGGAAGTAAAAGATGGTATGGTAAAGATGTTAAGGTCTTGCTTTGCTCAGAAAAAGTTCAAAGATATGATCGATTTCCTACCATTTTTCTTTCTTTTTTTTTTTTTTTTTTCCCGAGATGGAGTCTCACTCCTGTTGCCCAGGCTGGAGTGCAGTGGGGCAATCTCGGCTCTCAGCTACCTCTGCCTCCTGAACCATTTTTCAATAAAAGGAACCAGCATTCTTTTGAGAACTGGCTGATTTCAGGGCTGAGGCAGGAAAAATCTGAAATAACCATGGAACATGCTGTGGTACCAGAAAATGTGGAAGTATATAAAAGAGAATGTGGGTGTGTTGAGAGAACCCAGGAGCCAAGCTTAACGAGTTTTCAAGGGCCAAAGCCTGAACGATTCGAGCAATGAAATAAACAATGAAAGTAGTGACTACAGCCCATAGAATAAAATAAATACCCACGAACTCATCGTGATATAAAGAAATCATTGAATGAACAAGTGAATGGAAGAGGGCTAGGGACAGTTCTTCCTTATTGAAGAATTCCAATTAATAAATGGTGAAGGAATAAGGGACACAGAAAATCAACATTAGACAAGTGACAGAGTAATAACTGGTGCAGACAAGGTCCAGTGATGGATGCCAAAATCGGAGTGGGAGGAGGAAAAGCAGCACATTTGCCTAGTGTGAAAGTATTTCGCCATAAGATATTTATCAATTACGGATGGAAACTTCACAGGGGAGAAACAAGACAGGCCCTATCTTACCAAGTGATCAAACTGAACAGCACCTATCTTTTTTTTTTTTTTTTCTGTTGCCCAGGCTGGAGTGCAGTGGCGTGATCTTGGCTCCCTGCAACCTCCGCCTCCCGGGTTCAAGCGATTCTCCTGTCTCAGCCTCCTGAGTAGCTGGGACTACAGGCACCCGCCACCACGCCCAGCTAATTTTTATATTTTCAGTAGAGACGGGGTTTCACCATATTGGCCAGGCTGGTCTCGAACTGCTGACCTTGTGATTCGCCCGCCTTGGCCTCCCAAAGTGTGAACAGCACCTATCTTACCAAGTGATCAAACTGAACAGCACCAGTAATAAGCCATGTTGATGTCTGATATGTGATATACAGAGAAGAACATAACATCACTTCTGTGATATTCTTGCTAAAATGCAGAATCTCACTGTGAGAAAACATTAGACAAACGTAAAGTGAGAGACAATCTACAAAAAAATACTCATTAAGAGGATCAGCTGGCTGGGTGCAGTGGCTCATGCCTGTAATCCCAGCACTTTGGAAGGTTGAGGTGGGCAGGTCACTTGAGCTCAGGAGTTTGAGACCAGCCTGGCCAACATAGTGAAACCCTGTATCTACTGAAAATACAAAAATTATCCAGGTGTGGTAGCGTGCACCTGTAATCCTAGCTACTCAGGAGGCTGAGACAGGAGAATTACTTGAATCTGGGAGGCGGAGGTTTTAGTAGAGATGGGGTTTTACCATGTTGGCCAGGCTGGTCTTGAACTCCTGGCTTCAAGTGATCTTCCCACCTTGGCCTCCCAAAGTGCTGAGATTACAGGCATGGGCCACTGTGCCCAGCCAATAAAATGGTTTTTTTTTTGGTTTGTTTTTTGAGATAGACGTTCACTTTTGTCGCTCAGGCTGGAGTGCAATGGCATGATCTCGGTTTACTGCAATCTCCACCTCATGGGTTCAAGAGATTCTCCTGCCTCAGCCTCCCGAGTGGCTGGAATTACAGGCACCCACAACCATGCTCAGCTAAGTTTTTTGTTTGTTTGTTTGTTTGTTTTTTGAGATGGAGTCTCGCTCTGTCGCCCAGGCTGGAGTGCAGTGGTGTGATCTTGGCTCACTGCAAGCTCTGCCTCCTGGGTTCACGCCATTCTCCTGCCTCAGCCTCCTGAGTAGCTGGGACTATAGGCGTCTGCCACCGCACCCAGCTAATTTTTTGTATTTTTAGTAGAGACAGGGTTTCACCATGGTCTCGATCTCCTGACCTCGTGATCCGCCCGCCTCAGCCTCCCAAAGTGCAGGGATTACAGGTGTGAGCCACCACGTCTGGCCAATTTTTGTATTTTTAGTAGAGACGGGGCTTCACCGTGTTGGCCAGGGTGGTCTTGAACTCCTGACCTCAGGTGATCCACCCACCTCAGCCTGCCAAAGTGCTGGGATTACAGGCATGAGCCACCATACCTGGCCAAGAAAATAAGTTTTTCTTTTTTCTTTTTTTTTTTTTTTTTGAGACAGAGTCTCGCTCTGTTGCCCAGGCTGGAGTGCAGTGGCGCGATCTCGGCTCACTGCAAGCTCCGCCTCCCGGGTTCACGCCATACTCCTGCCTCAGCCTCCCGAGTAGCTGGAACTACAGGCGCCTACCACCACACCCGGCTAATTTTTTTGTATTTTTAGTAGAGATGTGGTTTCACCATGTTAGCCAGGATGGTCTCGATCTCCTCACCTCGTGATCCGCCCGCCTTGGCCTTCCAAAGTCCTGGGATTACAGGCGTAGAGCCACTGCGCCCGGCCAAAAATAAGTTTTTCTAAGGGATGAAGACACTTGTAGAAAAAAGGATCTGGCTAGGTACCATGGTTCACACCTGTAATCTCACTTTGGCCTCCCAAAGTGGGAGGATCGCTTAAGCCCAAGAGATGGAGGCTGCAGTGAGCTATGATCACGCCACTGCACTCCAGCATGGGTGACAGAGTGAGATCCTGTCTCTTAAAGAAAAAGGATACAAAGTACAGGTAAAAAGTTGGCCACTGGGGAAGAAATAGGTACATCTCTTTTTAAAAAGAAAGGAAAATGTGAGAGAACAGAGACCAGAGAGGAATTAATGGGAGTAGGCCAAGGTTCTCTTGGAAGCTGACGCTAATAAAGTCTTTACTCGCCACATCTTCACGTTTCAGGCCTTTCTTCCACAGTAGGGCTTTGAGGGAACTTCCCACAGTAACTCAAGTTACTCCTGTCAGTCGACTCATCCAGGGACCTTCCCCTGTCGAAATCGGCCCTCGCTTACCTGGGCACCATGGTCCTGTCACATCATTTGCAATCATCCAGGGCTCTTTCCCTTGCTCCAATAAGGAGACGACATCAGGCTTAGAAATGGAGAGTCCTGTTTACAGGAAAAGAAATGGGGTGTGATCAGACCGCTCCAAAATCCAAACCCAGTTCCCTGGTCACCATGGAAAAGACGCAATTACAAGGTAGGTGGAAGGTTGTCCAAAGGATAGGAAGACCGAGCTGCCCAGCAGAATGACTTGTTTCTAGTTCCACAAAGCACAAAACAATTTTTCAGTCACCAGAAATTCAGTCAGAAACTTGTAAGTTGCCCTAGAAATTCATAATGAAGAAACCAGAAATTCCAGAAGGGTAGTCCTGAATTATGTGGAGTAAATGTGTGGTGATCACTCTCCATGAACCCCTCCTTCCCCTCCAATCTATTCCTTGATGCTCCTGGCCTTGTTCTGTGCCCAGCTCTGGGATCCCGACAGCTCACCGTAAGGACTGCATTACCCATGCCCTATGGCTTCTCATTGGCTTTGGCAGACAGAAAGCATCAGCTGGAGATCAGTGGACAGGAGGAGAGAGAGCACCAGGCATTTCTTACCCTCCTCTCTCCCTCCTTTGACCCAGGAGCTCTGGAAGTAGCTACAGCTATTGCTGGCCGGGCCTCTCTCTATGGCTGTAGTTTGTAGCGTCTCCTGTGACAGTTTCCTCTCCTCACCCATTTAGGCAGAGATGGAAACTGCACCCCATGGTTGTAGTCCCTGTTGCCTTGCTTTCCGTCTGGCCCGTGTGATACAATCTCCTTACCTAGTGAGGCCAAGTGACCAAAGTTCTCCAGAGTCACCTCCCTGTACAAGTCCCTCTGAGCAGGTTCCAGGCACTTCCATTCTTCCAGAGAGAACTCTATGGCCACGTCCCTGAATGTCACCAGTCCCTGAAACAATAAACCCACGCATTAGTGTACATTAAGAAACTTTTTTCATTTATTATGAAAATTTTCAAGATGCACAAAAGTACAGAGAATAGTTGACAGTAATGGCCCCCCGATATGCACCAGTCTGCTTCAACAGTTAACAAGGTGTACCCTGTTTTATCTCTTCCCTTCTATCTTTTATTCCCCATGTACTGTGAGGCAAATCCCACATGCCAAACATCATAATACTTCACCCACAGATACTTTAGTATCCAACAGATTATCAACAACTTCTCTTAGAAAAACACATAATAATCAGAATATCATTATCATACTTAATAAAAGTATCAATAATTTCCCAGTCAACAGATTAAATTCTAATTGCCCCAGTGTTCTCAATTTTTTTTCTTTTCTCTTTTTTTTTTTGAGACAGAGTTTTGCTCTTGTTGCCCAGGCTAGAGTGCAATGGCACGATCTCAGCTCACCACAACCTCCGCCTCCTGGGTTCAAGTGATTCTCCTGCCTCAGCCTCCCGAATAGCTGGGACCATAGGCGCGTGCCACTGTGCCCGGCTAATTTTTTGTATTTTTAGTAGAGAAGGGGTTTCATCATGTTGGTCAGGCTGGTCTCGATCTCCTGACCTCATGATCTGCACGCCTCAGCCTCCCAAAGTGCTGGGATTACATGCGTGAGCCCCGTGCCCAGCCCACCTGACCCATTTTAAATGAGGTTAAAATTGATGAGTAGGGTCAGGTTTTGACAAGCTAATTTATCCAGGAAATATCTTAATGAGAAGATGAAGAATTTTTTTTTTTTTTTGAGACAGAGTCTCGCTCTGTCACCCAGGTTGGAGTGCAGTGGCACGATCTTGGCTCACTGCAACCTCTTCCTCCTGGGTTCAAGCAATTCTTCTGCTTCAGCCTCCTGAGTAGCTGGGATTACAGGTGTGCGCCGCCACACTTGGCTAATTTTTATATTTTTAGTAGAGATGGGGTTTCACCATGTTAGTCAATCTTGAACTCCTGACCTCATGATACGCCCGCCTTGGCCTCCCAAAGTGTTGGGATGACAGGCGTGAGTCACTGCACCCAGCCTAATTTTGATTTTTAATATTTTGTTTGGTAGAGACAGAATCTCACTATGTTACCCAGGCTGGCCTCAAACTCCTGGTCTTAAGTGATCCTCCTGCCTCAGCCTCCCAAAGCACTGGGATTACAGGCCTGAGCCACTGCACTCGGCCAAGGACATTGGAGGAGATGAAGAAGGGTACTGGAGGAAGGAGGTAATGAAGCATGACAGAATCTACAGCTGCAGGCCTGTGGCATGAAGGAAGTATAATAAGCACAGTTATATGACTAGAGGTCTATATATTCTTGAGCATTCCTGTGGCTACACATAAACTATCTGCAGACAGCAGGACACTTCTATCTTCCATGGTCTGGGAATGATCAGGAAAGAGCTAAGTGGGGTCCCATAAATAAGCGAAATAGTGAAATACACAAAACACACAGCAAACCTGGGCCTGGCAAATCTAATGTCTTTCAAAAATGAGTCCAGGCTGGGCGTGGTGGCTTATGCCTGTAATCCCAGCACTTTGGGAGGCTGAGACGGGTTGATCACTTGAGGCCAGGAGTTCAAGACCAGCCTGCCAGCTGGGCACGGTGGTAATTCCAGCACTTTGGGAGGCTGAGGTGGGTGAATCACCTGAGGTCAGGAGTTCGAGAACAGCCTGGCCAACATGGCGAAATCCTGTCTCTACTAAATACAAAAAATTAGCTGCGCGTGGTGGCAGGTGCCTGTAATCCAGGTACTTGAGGGGCTGAGGCAGGAGAATTGCTTGAACCTGGGAGGCAGAGGTTGCAGTGTGCTGATTTGTGCCACCACACTCTAGCCTGGGCAACAAGAGTGAAACTCTGTTTAAAAAAAAAAAAAGAAGTCCAGCCTGGTCAACATGGCAAAACCCTGTCTCTACTAAAACTACAAAAAATTAGCCAGGCGTGGTAGTGCACACCTGTAATCCCAGCTACTTGGGAGGCTGAGGCAAGATAATAACTTGATCCCCGGAGGCAGAGGTTGCAGTGAGCTGAGATTGTGCTACTGCACTCCAGCCTGGGTGACAGAGCGAGACTCTGTCTCAAAAAAAACAAACAAACAACAACAACAACAACAAAACCCCCAAAAAAGAAATTAGCTGGGCATGATGGTGCGTGCCTGTAGTCCCAGCTACTAGGGAGGCTGAGGCAGGAGAATCGCTTGAACCCGCGAGGTGGAGGTTGCAGTGAGCTGAGATTGCGCCACTGCACTCCAGCCTGGGCGACAGAGCAAGACCCCATCTCAAAAACAATATAAATAAATAAATAAGAATGAAAGAAGGAAGAGAGAAGGAAGTTAGAAAGGAGGGCAGGCAGGCAGGCAGAAAGACAGAGACTGTTATTGGTTGCATAATATCGTATGTTATGTCTTGTAAGATACGTCGATTCCATTATTTTCGTGCACTTAGCTTAATTAAGATGTGTATGTTAAAGTGGCTTATATCTAAAAGAGAGGCAATAACAAATGCTAGTGAAGACGTGAACAGAAGGGAACCCTTGTACACTTTGTTGGGAATGTAAATCAGTAAAATCACTATGCAGAACAACTTGGAGGTTCCTCAAAAAACTAAAAATGGAGCTACCTTGTGGACCAGCGATACCACTGCTGGGTATCTACCCAAAAGAAAGGAAATCAGTAGGCCAGGCGTGGTGGCTCACGCCTGTAATCTCAGCACTTTGGGAGGCCAAGGCAGGCAGATCACCTGAGGTCAAGAGTTCGAGACCAGCCTGGCCAACATGGTGAAACCCCACTTCTACTAAAAATACAAAAAATTAGCTGGGCATGGTAGCGTGCGCCTGTAATCCCAGCTACTTGGGAGGCTGAGGCAGGAGAATCGCTTGAACCCAGGAGGCAGAGGTTGCACCACTGCCGGCATGGGCAACAAGAATGAAATTCCGTTTAAAAAAAAAAAAGAAAGAAAGAAAGGAAATCAGTATATCGAAGAGATATCTGCACTCCATGTTTGCTGCAGCACTGTCCACAATAGCCAAGATTTGGAATCAACCCAAGTGTCTGTCAACAGATGAATGGATAAAGAAAATGTGGTACATATACACAATAGAGTACTATTTAGCCACAAAAAGAATGAGATCTGGTCATCTGCAACATGAATGGAACTGGAGGTTATTATGCTGCATGAAGTAAGCCAGGCACAGAGAGACAAACTGCATGTTCTCACTTATTTGTGGATCTAAAAATCAAAACAATTCAACTCATGGTCATAGAGAGTAGAAGGATGATTACTGAAGGCTGGGAAGGGTAGAGGGAGGCTGAGTGGGAGGTGGGGATGGTTAATGGGTACAAAAAATAGAAAGAATAAGACCTACTATTTGATAGCACAACAGGGTGACTATAGTCAATAAGAACTTAATTGTACATTTTTTTTTTTTGAGATGGAGTTTTGCTTTGTCATCCAGGCTGGAGTGCAGTGGCATGATCTCGGCTCACTGCAACCTCTGCTCTGGGATTCAAGTCATTCTCCTGCCTCAGTCTCCAGAGTAGCTGGGATTATAGGTGCCCACCACCACGCCCAGCTAATTTTTGTATTTTTTAGTAGAGATGGGGTTTCCTCATGTTGGCCAGGCTGGTCTTGAACTCCTGATCTCAAGTGATCCACCTGCCTTGGCCTCCCAAAGTGCTGGGATTACAGGCGTGAGCCACCATGCCCAGCCTAAATGTACATTTTAAAATAAAGAGTGTAACTGGATTGTTTATAACTCAAAGGATAAATGCTTGAGGGGTTGGATACCCCATTCTTCATGATGTGCTTATTTCACACTGCATGCCTGTATCACAACATCTCATGTACTCCATAAATATATATACCATGTACTGACAAAAATTAAAAATTAAAAAAATTTAAAAACACAAGATGTGTAAAATCTTCAGGGTTTATTATACGCTTGCTAATATTCACATTCCTTCACTGTCCACTTTTCCTTGCTCCTGAAACCAGAAAGCTGATGGAGGGTATACCTGAGTTACATAAATGTGGCCCACAACCAACACATATGTTCAACCTCAAAATGGACCATTTTATGGTTATTCATCTCATACATATCCTTGCAAGACTGAAGAGTGTTCCGTCACTGAAGTTCCCAATCACAGCCCCCTTCCTAAAGGTCTCACAAAACAGATGTTACCACATACAGAGACCAACACCAATCACTACAACTCCTACCATGTCTATGTGGAGAGAGAAGGCTGTGGGCTTCTATTGCAAACACCCTGATAATGGGTAAAACATAACACCCTTTTAAATGAATTTCTTTCTTTCTCTTTTTTTTTTTTTTTTTTTGAGACAGGGTCTAAGTCTGTCGCCCAGGCTGCAGTGCAGTGGCATGATCTCGGCTCACTGCACTTCTGCCTCCCAGGCTCAAGAGATTCTCCTGTCTGAGCCTCCTGAGTAGCTGGGACTACAGGTGGCATGCCACTGCACCTGGCTAACTTTCGTATATACATATCTTTTGTAGAGAGAGGGTTTTCCCATGTTGTGCAGGCTGGTCTTGTACTCCTGAGCTCAGGTAATTCACCTGCCTTGGCCTCCCAAAGTGCTGGGATTACAGGTGTGAGCCACCATGCCTAACTTTGTGTTTTAAAATTTAAATTTAAATTTTTGTTTGTAGAGACGGGGTCTCACCCCAGCTGGTCTTGAACTCCTGGTCTCAAGCGATCCTCCTACCTCAGCCTCCCAAAGTGCTGAAATTACAGGGTGAGCCACTGGGCCTGGCCAGAACTTTTCTTAATGATGGTTATATCTATCAACATTTTCCCACCTTAGAAATTAAAAGAAAGAAATATAATTTTTTTTTTTTTGAGACAGAGTCTCATTCTATCAGCCAGTCTGGAGTACAGTGATGCAATCTTGGCTCACTGCAACCTCTGCCTCCCAGGTTCAAGCGATTCTCGTGCCTCAGTCTCCTGAGCAGCTGGAATTATAGACATGCGCCATCATGCCCGGCTAATTTTTGTATTTTCAGTACAGACAGAGTTTCATCATGTTGGTCAGGCTGGTCTCGAACTCCTGACCTCAGGTGATCTGTCTGCCTCAGCCTCCCAAAGTGCTGGGATTACAGGTATCAGACAATGCATCCAGCCGAGAAATTTTAAAAATATTTTAACAACAAATAAACCTGTTACCTGTTAATATCAGTAACATACATTTTATGAAACATAACTCTATTGTCAAAATCAAAAAATTTAGTGGCATTGTTTTACATTTTTGTAAATATCTTTAATGACTGGCCAACTAAAAGAAAGTTGGATTTTTTTTTTTTTTGAGATGGAGTCTCACTCTGTCACCCAGGCTGGAGTGCAGTGGCGTAATCTCGGCTCACTGCAACCTCTGCCTCCTAGGTTCAAGCGATTCTCCTGCCTCAGCCTCCCGAGTAGCTGGGACTATAGACACCTGCCACTGCACCCAGCTAATTTCTGTATTTTTAGTAGAGACGGGGTTTCACCATGTTGGCCAGGATGGTTTTGATCTCTTGACCTCGTGATCCACCCGCCTCAGCCTCCCAAAGTGCTGGGATTACAGGCAGGAGCCACCACACCCAGCATATATATATATTTTCTGAGACAGAGTCTCGCTGTGTCGCCCAAGCCGGAGTGCAGTGGCGTGATCTCTGCTTATGACAACCTCGGCCTCCTAGGTTAAAGTGATTCTCCTACCTCAGCCTCTCAAGTAGCTGCGATTATAGGCACCCACCACCACTGCACCCAGCCATATAAATATATATATATTTGACGGTATTAAGTGTCTTGTGACTTTTTAAAGAGGGGGTGACATTTAAAAATAGAATAAAGAATAAAGCAGTGGCTCATGCCTGTAATCCCAGTACTAGGAGGCTAACCAATTGAGCCCCGGAGTTTGAGACCAGTCTGGGCAACACAGTGAGACCTGGTCTCTACAAAAACTTAAAAAATTAGCTGGTAGTGGTGGCATGTGGCTCTGGTCCTAGCTACTTGGGAGGCTGAGGTGGGAGGATTGCTTAAGCCCAGGAGGTTGAGGCTGCAGTGAGCCATGACTGCACCACTGTGCTCCAGTCTGGGTGACAGAGCGAGACCCTGTCTCAAAAAACGAAACAAAACAAAAACACAGAAGAAAGAAACCACCCAAGACAATGGAAAAGATGAAACTACTTTATTTCATGTTTGGCCCCATTCAACCACAGTTATGATAAGGGAGACTCTCATATTTCTCTCAAGAGAAGGTATTTCTACTGTACTGGTGCTCTGCTAAGAGCATTTATTTATTTATTTATTTAGACAGAGTCTCGCTCTGTCTCCCAGGGTGGAGTGCAGTGGGGAAATCTTGGCTTCCTACAACCTCCATCTCCTGGGTTCAAACGATTCTCCTGCCTCAGCCTCCTGAGTAGCTGGGACTACAGGTGTGTGGTACCATGCCCGGCTAATTTTTGTATTTTTAGTAGAGACGGGGTTTCACCATGTTGTCCAGGCTGGTCTCGAACTCCTGGCCTCAAGCAATCGGCCCACCTCAGCCTCCTAAAGTGCTGAGATTACAGGCATGTGCCACTACGCCTAGCCTATGCTCTGCTAAGAGGACTACAGACACGTGGACAGTGCTGGAGAGGAGAGGGCCACCGAGGGACTTGGGCACCATTACTCATCTCCTGGAATGGACCAACTGTGAGAAGGATACAGGGAAGTTCCAGGATAAAGAACACAGTGTCCATATAATCTGGCGGGAAGACAGATCATTCTAAGGATAGAAGGAATTTCAACATACCTGGGCCATGGCTTTTAGAACTATTTGACCTGCTCTGATTTCTCTGGATTCTTCTCTTGGACAAGTGCAGAGTCCTGAAAAAGCAAAATGGGGGGAGATGGGGTAACCTCTGATAAACTGAGCTTGCCTCAGCACTCCCAAATAGATGAGCTTAAAAGAATTGTACTTCCAATGTCTCGGATCTGCTTCTCCCACCTCTCCATGTCCTACCACACAAGAACTAACATTAAGAACTACAGAGTTGGCCAGGCATGGTGGCTCACGCCTGTAAACCCAGCACCTTGGGAGGCTGAGGCACAAGAATTGCTTAAACCTGAAAGGTAGAGGTTGCAGTGAGCCGAGACTGCACCACTGCCCTCCAGCCTGGGCGACAGAGCGAGACTCGATCTCAAAACACACAAACAAAAAACAAAACAACAACAACAACAACAAAAAAAAACTGCAGAGTTAAGAAAACCCAGTCCCTTCCTAAAAAGTAAGGAACCCAAAAGCAGAAAGATGGTTTCAAGGCAGATGTGCTCCAGCACTGACACAGAACCCAGGCACCACCAAGGGAGGGATTACAGCTGACACAGTCCCCCATCTTAGTGATGCTAAACTTGGCCCTAGATGGGGCCTAGAAGGCTCCCACCTGCTCCAAATTACAGCAAGGATCTTACGACTCAGACTCACTCACTTGACCCCTAAGGATGAGGACAGCACCATCAGGCTAGGAACACAGACCATCTATGCAGGCCAAATCTTGAGTAAAAGACATCCCTAAACGAAGTCTTCTAGCTTCTCTGGGCTCAACAGGCAAAACCTCCTGGGCATCTCACTGGCTCCACTTCCTCCTTCCAAGTCCAAAATGGGACTACACCATGCATACCATAGGCTCTGTCAATGTCTCCAGCCCCAGCTATACTCACCAGACAGGAGCAAGAAAGCCTCAGTAATACAGGCATCTTGCTTGCATACCCGCACATCCAGAGTACTGCCCTCCATGGGAACTCAATTTCTAGAAGTCTCTTGGCCCAGCACTCTTTATTTCTCATCTGAGCCCTCCCTACTGCTTTCATTCTTTTTTAAAACTAGACAGCTGGGCACGGTGGCTCACACCTGTAATCCCAGCACTTTGGGAGGCCAAGGCAGGTGGATCACCTGAGGTCGGGAGTTCGAGACCAGCCTAATCAACATGGAGAAACCCCGTCTCAACTAAAAGTACAAAAAATTAGCGGGGCGTGGTGGCGCATTCCTGTAATCCCAGCTACTCGGGAGGCTGAGGCAGGAGAATCGCTTGAACCCGGGAGGCAGAGGTTGTGGTGAGCCGAGATCGCACCATTGCACTCCAGCCTGGGCAATAAAAACAAAACTCTGTCTCAAAAAAAAAAAAAAAAAAAGACAAGTACAGTAGTGAGAAGAGGGGGAAGAATAGAACAAGGAGTTCAATTCATAACTGACTGTGAACAATCAATGGAGATAACTCACTACCTTCCGACCATCTACTGCTTTTCTGCAGAACATCACTTCCCCATTGACTGTGAGGCTGGCAGTTGCTGAGTCCGAAGTCCTGTGAATGGCATACATCTCAAGGGAATGAGAAATCAGAGTTTTAAGGAGGGTTCTTTTTTTCCTTTTGAGACAGGGTCTCACTCTGTTGCCCAGGCTGGAGTGCAGAGGTGTGATCTCAGCTCACCGCAACCTCTGTCTCCCAGGTTCAAGTGATTCTCCCGCCTCAACCTCACAAGTAGCTAGGAGTACAGGCGCACACCACTACGCCTGGCTGATTTTTTGTATTTTTAGTAGAGACGCGGTTTCACCATGTTGGCCAGGCTGGTCTTGAGCTCCTCACCTCAGGTGATCCGCCCACCTTGGCCTCCCAAAGTGTTGGGGTTAGCAGGGTATGAGCTACTGTGCCTGGCCTAACAAGGGTATTAAATCTGATCTAATTAGAGGTCCAAGAAGCTTCCTGTAGGGGGTGTGTCAAAAGAAATACTTTTTTTTTTTTTTTTGAAATGGGGTTTCACTCTGTCACCAAGGCTGGAGTGCAGTGGCACAATCTCGGATCACTGCAACCTCTGCCTCCCATACTCAAGCGATCCTTCCACCTCGGCCTCCCAAGTAGCTAGGACCATAGGCATGCACCACCACGCCTGGCTAATTTTTGCATTTTTGGTACAGATTGGGTTTTGCCATGTTGGCCAGGCTGGTCTTGAACTCCTGAGCTCAACTGATCTGCCCACCTCGGCCTCCGAAAGTGCTGGGATTACAGGTGTGAGCCACCGAGCCCAGCTAAGGAAGACTAACTTAATGAATGGGAATGGTGTCAAGAAAACTTTTCTGTAAAATGTAGAATAGGAATTGGGTTCTGAAACCTCAGGGAAGTTTAATAGGCAGAAAAGGGACAGAGAATATTGTGAGCAGAGTGAAATGCAGTGGCAAAAACACTGGACTGAAAGCAAATGGTGTATTTGGGAGACTAAGAATGATTTGGAATGAGTTGTGTAGTTTGAAGAAAGGTCTAGACCAGTGCTGTCCAAATAATGTTCTGTGATGATGGAAATCTTCAAATCTGTGCTATAAATATTGTAGTCATAGATGGCTATTGAGCATATGAAATGTGGCTAGTATGTCTGAGAAACTAAAGTTTTTATTTTATTTTAATTAATTTAATTTAAATTTAATTAGCTCTAGAATCTAGAGGCAGATAATGCTGGAGATGACATCAGGGGTTAGAAAATGAAGGTGTATAGGCCAGGTGTGGTGGCTCACGCCTGTCATCCCACCACTTTGGGAGGCCGAGGTGGGCTGATCACCTGAGGTCAGGAGTTTGAGACCAGCCTGGCCAACATGGTGAAACCCTGTCTCTACTAAAAATACAAAAATTAGCCAGGCACGGTGGTGCGTGCCGGTATCCAGCTACTTGGGAGGCTGAGATGGGAGAACTGCTTGAACCTGGGAGGCGGAGGTTGCAGTGAGCCAAGATCACACCACTCCACTCCAGCCTGGGCCACAGAGTGAGATTCTGTCTCAAAAAAACAGAAAAGAAAATGAAGATGTATGAATGAAAAAACCATGAGGGCAAGGACCAGTGGGTCTGATCATCACTCTAACCATCACTCTTGCCACAGTGTCTGGAGGACATAGGTGACCAATAAATACAGGCTGATGCATAAAAGTTAGGTTCTTTGGGAAGCTGAGGTGTGTCGTTCGCTTAAGCTCAGGAATTTGAAACCACCCTGGGTAACATAGTGAGCCCTCATCTCTATTTTTTAAAAAAGGTAGGTTTTCAGCCGGGCACGGTGCCCACGCCTGTAATCCCAGCACTTTGGGAGGCCGAGGCAGGCGGATTACCTGAAATCAGGAGTTTGAGACCAGCCTGGCCAACATGGTGAAACTGCATCTCTACTAAAAATACAAAAATTAGCTGGCATGGTGGGGGGCGCTTATAATCCCAGCTACTCAGGAGGTTGAGGCAGGGAGAATTGCTTGAACTCAGGAGGCAGAGGTTGCGGTGAGCCGAGATGGCACCATTGCACTCCAGCCTGGGGAACAGAGTGAGACTCTCTCTCCAAAACAAAAAAGAAAGAAAAAGTAGGTTTTCACTTATTAATGAAATGGAAGGAAACCTAAGAATTTAAAGACAGAAGTGACAGGACCAATATGGCCAGGTTATTTTGGAGAGGTGTAACCTTGGAGTCAGAAAGATTGACTGAGAGGTACTTGTACTTTTCAGATGTAGGGGTGGGTTGCCCCTACACTTTTTCAGGCACGAAGAGGGCCTGACCCAGGACATTGGCAGCAGAAAAGAGGAGGAGAGAGATGAATTCAAAATGTAGATGAGATTAAATCAACAGGCTCTGGCATCTGACACATATGGAGGCAGAGAAAAGGAAGTCAGAATTCTTTCATATTTACTGGGCTCCTGTGTCAACTGGCACTGTTCTAGGAACGAGGAAAGAAAATAATTCAAGTCCCTGTCCCAGTTGATCTCACATTCTGTTTTTTTTTTTTTCTTTTTTTTGAGACAAAATCTTGCTCTGTCACCGAGGCTGGAGTGCACTGACGAGCTCTCGGCTCACTGCAACTTCCACCTCCTGGGTTCAAGCAATTATTTTGCCTCAGCCTCCCAAGTAGCTGGAATTACAAGCGTGCACCATCATGCTCTGCTAATGTTTGTAACTTTTGTAGAGACGGGGACTCGTCATGTTGGCCAGGCTGGTCTTCAACTCCTGCCTCAAGTGATATCCCCACTTCAGCCTCCCAAAGTGCTGGGATTACAGGTGTGGGCCATTGTGTCTGGCTGGACCTCACATCCTATGGGAAGAGACAACCAACAAACACTGACATACGGAGATAGATGGGATTGAGGGCTGGGCACAGTAGCTCACTCCTGTCATCTCAGCACTTTGAGGGACCAAGGCAGGAGGATAACTTGAGGTCAGCAGCTCAAGACCAGCCTGGGCAGCAAAGTAAGACCCCCATCTCTACAAAAAATTTGAAGAAAAAAAAAAGAAAAAAGATGAGATGTGAGTATTTAGGGTGGTATGGCCATAGACATGATATTGATATTCCTAATTATATGTCAGGTGGGGCCAGGCACAGTGGCTCATGCCTGTGATCCCAGCACTTTGGGAGGGCGAGGCACGCGGATCACTTGAGGTCAGAAGTTCTAGACCAGCCTGGCCAACATGGTGAAATGCCGTCTCTACTAAAAATACAAAAAATTAGCTGGGTGTGGTGGCGCATGCCTGTAATCCCAGCTACTCAGGAGGCTGAGGTGAGAGAATCACTTGAACCCAGGAGGAAGAGGTTGTAGTGAGTTGATATTGTGCCACTGCACTCCAGCCTGGGCAACAAAGACTCTGTCACAAACAACAACAATAACAACATATGTATATATAGATGTCAGGTGGCAAATGTCCTACAGATAAAAACAAAGAAGATTAAGGGGAGAGGGAGTTTTGGAGGAAGAGAGGGTGGTCTGAGAAGGTGACAGGTAAGCACAGCCTGAATGGATGAGTGAGAAATGCAGGTATCTGGGGAAGTGCACGCCTTGCACCAGGAGCGGCAATTGCAAGGGTCTGAAGGCAGGAGCAGGCTTTCCTCGATCAACAAGAGGAAGGAGACAAGGGCAGCTGGGATGGAACATGCGAGACGAAGAGGGTCAGAGAGAGAGCTAGAAGCCAGATCACAAGGAGCTTGTAAGCCACTGTAAGAACTTTGGATTTTATTCTTAAGGAAAACAGGAAGGTACGAAACTTTTAAAGCCAAGGAATGGCATAATCTGATTTATATTTAAAAGGGGCGGGGCACAGTGGCTCACGCCTGTAATCCTGGCACTTTGGAAGATCAAGGTGGGCGGATCACCTGAGGCCAGGAGTTAGAGACCAGCCTGGTCAACAGAAGCCCTGTTTCTACTAAAAATACAAAAGTTAGCTGCGTATGGTGGTGAGCACCTGTAATCCTATTTACTCGGGAGGCTGAGGCATGAGAATTGTTTGAAGCCAGGAGGCGGAGGTTGCGGTGAGCCAAGATTGTGCCACTGACACCAGCCTGGGTGACAGAGTGAGACTCCATCTCAAACAAAAAAAAAAATACATAACAAACAAACAACAAAACAAACAAACAACAACAAAAAGAAAAGAAAAGAAAAGAAATGGGTCTTAGCCAGTGTGGAAGACATTACTATGTTTCACCATTATCCAGTTTGGGGCACACAGAAAATGACATTTTCCAGCCCCTTGCACTTAGGTAGGGCCATGCACTGCTCTAGCCAATGAAATCTCAGCTGAGGTGATGACTGTCACTTCAGTTAGAGACAGACACCAGAAAGACTGCACAATTCTCCAATTTTTCTCTTCATGCATGTGGTGACCATCTGTTTTTCAAATGATGCAGCTAAAGGTGGCGGGCCTTCTTTGGTGTGGAACCCTGTCTCTGCTGATCCACACTGGACATGTACATGAGCAGAAATAAAATGTGACTCTGTAAGCCACTGAGATTCAGGGGTTGTTTGCCACCACAGCATAACTTAGCCTGTCCTAACCAGTACACAAATTAGGCCATACTTTGACTAGATAAAAATTCAGACTCAGACGCTTGGTCAATATGAGAAAGAGCAATTTTTAAAAAGAGGAAGCTTCAGAAATAAGAGCAGAGCTGTCCGATTCCAGCTCTATATGTCTCAAAGGGATTTTTCACAAACCCATAATGTGAAACAAAATGTGAATTATGAGTTACAGGACAATTTTTTTTTTTTTTTTTGGCAGGGCAGGGACAGGATCTCACTCTCACCCAGGCTGGAGGGCAGTGGCGCAATCACAGCTTCAGCCTCCTGGGCTAAGGTGATTCTCCCACTTCAGCCTCCCAAGTAGCTGAGACCACAGGCATGCCACTACACCTGGCTAATTTTAAAATTTTTTGTAAAGACAGGGTCTCAATATGTTGCCCAGTCTGGTCTTGAACTCCTGGCCTTAAATGATCCTCCCACTTCAGCCTCCTAAAATGCTGGGATTGCAGGTGTGAGCCACTGTGCCCAGCCAACAAGTTGATTCTGACCCAGCAAAACCATGCTGTTTTAGAGCTCCAACATCAAAACTTTGTACAAATCCTTCTGGAAAGTTGAGCTATCTCTACACCACCTAGTAAAACTTGAAGCTACGTGCCTAAATGTTCCCCATCTCTGCAATTCACAGACATTCTTTAGGGCCTGGGATCCCACATCACAAGGGCCTAGGCTCAGGGGCTGAGATAAGTTGGCCAAGTTATGGGAGCTAGACAGGTACAGGAATCTCCATCTTAACCTTAGTAATCTCTTCCTGAAAAAGCAATCACTCTGAGTAAAAACTCTAACAAAAGCCTTTTTCCCAATGTTTTTATTATTTATTTTTTTGAGGTAGGGTCTAATTCTGTCACTCAGGCTGCAGTGCAGTGGCATGATCACAGCTCATTGCAACCTTGACCTCCCAGACTCAAGAGATTCTCCTACCTCAGCCTCCCAAATAGCTGGGACTACAGGTGTGCATCACCACGTCTGGCTAGTTTTTAATTTTTTGTAGAGATGGGGTTTCGTCATATTGCCCAGGCTGGTCTCAAACTCCTGGGCTCAAACAATTTTCCCACCTCGACCTCCCAAAGTGCTGGGATTACAGGCGTAATCATTTACGCCTGTAATTTACCCTAAAATGGTAAATTCTTTGTTATGTTTATTTAACCATAAAACCAAGAAAGTAACATTATTGGTTACTGAAATAGGTAAGTGGGAACTGGGTAGAAAGAACAAAGAACCGGGGCTGGGCGCAGTGGCTCACACCTACAATCCCAGCACTTTGGGAGGCCGAGGCGGTTGGCAACTTAGTGAAAGCCCATTTCTACAAAAACACAAAAATTAGCTGGGCATGATGGTGGATGCCTGTAATCCCAGCTACTCAGGAGGCTGACGTGGGAAAATTGCTTGAACCCGAGAGGTGGAGGTTGCTGTGAGCCGAGATTGCGCCATTGCACGCTAGCCTGGGTGACAGAGCGGGACTCCGTCTCAAAACAAAAACAAAAACAAAAAACAAAAAACAAACCAACAAAAAACAATGGGCAATGGGATTGGGAGAGAAGAAATGATGACTCAGTAAATCCTTTTGTCTGATTCTGACTTTTAGAACAATGTGATTGTTTCACATACTCAGAAAAATCATTAAATTCAACCAGGATGTGAGGGGAACCCAAAATAAAATACAAACAGTAATAAATGAACAATCTATATTACACATAAATATTATGAATACAAAGGGTTTAGGGAAGAAAGTAGTTTTAGAAAACTGTATTTTCACTATATACTGTAAGACTAAAGACAAAAAGAACTGTATGGTACATGGAAGTCAGCAATTCTTAAATTACTTTTTACACAGGACTGAGCAAATATATTTATATATATTAATACATATAATGGTTAATAAATAAATTATATTATGGTTAATGTGAGCCACATTTTTCAATGTCAAAGAAAGGAGTTACAAAAAGGGAAATGGAGGCAAGACATGGTGGTTCACATCTATAATCCCAGAACTTTGGGATGCCGAGGAAGGAGAATCACCTGAGGCCAAGAGCTCAAGACCAGCCTGGGCAAATAGTGAGGCCCTTGTCTCTACAAAAAATCTTAAAATTATATTTAAAAAAAAGGAAATGGAGGCCAGGTGTGGTGGCTTATGCCCGTAATCACAGCACTTTGGGAGGCAGAGGCAGGAGGATCACCTGAGGTCAGGAGTTTGAGACCAGCCTGACTATCATGACGAAAACCCGTCTTTACTAAAAATACAAAAAAAATTAGCTGGGCGAGGTGGTGGGCGCCTGTAATCCCAGCTACTCGGGAGGCTGAGGCAGGAGAATTGCTTGAACCTGGGAGGTGGAGGTTGCAGTGAGCCGAGATGGCACCATTGCACTCCAGCCTGGGCAAGTAAAATTCTGTCTCAAAAAAAAAAAAAAAAAAAAAAAAATCTGGAAATGGAGAGAAGGCTAGAATGAACCCTGTAGTGTTGCACTGAAATTGGAGATACTATATGAACTCATGAATTATTTGTATATACATACATATAAACACATTTCATAGCTGAGAGGACCTAGAAGCAATGACATCTCAGAAGCAATGAAGATATCTAACCTTGGTTTCAAAAAATCATTTTTTTTTTTTTCCTGAGACAGGCTCTTGTTTCATCACCCAGGCTGGAATGCAGTGGTGTAATCTTGGCTCGCTGCAACCTCCGCCTCCCGGGCTCAAGCAATCCTCCCGCCTCAACCTCCCGAGTAGCTGGGACTACAGGTACTCGCCACCACACCTGGCTGAAAAAAAATCATTTTCTAATAAAAGGAACCAATGGTCCCCGGGAAATTTGTAGATTCCAGGACTGGGGCAGGGAAAGTACCACATCAACGTGGAACACCTTGTGGTGCCAGAAAATAAATAATAAAAATAGTAAATAAAGAGGCCACATTGAAAGGACACAGGAATCGACTTGAAGGGGCTCCCAGTGGCCAAATGTGTGATAATTTGAGCAAAAAAAAAAAATGATAGCAATGAATATATAACCTATAGAATAAAAGAGATTATAACCTATAGAAGAAATTCCAGTCTATACTTATAGAAATAATTTAGTAAATAAAAAAATGGGAAAGAAGAAAAATATCTTTCTAACAGTAAGATTCTAATTAATAAGGCCAGGCGAGGTGGCTCACGCCTATAATCCCAGCATTTTGGGAGGCCAAGGTGGGCAGATCACCTGAGATCAGGAGTTCGAGACCAGCCTGTCCAACATGGTGAAATCCCATCTCTACTAAAAATACAATTATTAGCCGGGCGTGGTGGTGTGTGCCTGTAATCCCAGAAACTTGGGAGGCTGAGGCAGGAGAATCGCTTGAATCCAGGAGGCAGAGGCTGCAGTGAGCTGAGATCATGTCACTGCATTCCCAGCCTGGGCAACAAGAGCCAAACTCCAACTCTCTCTCACACACACACACACACACACACACACACACACACACAATTCTAATTAATAAACATAGAAGTGGCCGGGCGCGGTGGCTCACGCCTGTAATCCCAGTACTTTGGGAGGCCAAGGTGGGTGGATCACGAGGTTAGGAGATCGAGACCATCCTGGCTAACACGGTGAAACCCCATCTCTACTAAAAATACAAAAAATTAGCCAGGCGCGGTGGCAGGCACCTGTAGTCCCAACTACTCGGGAGGCTGAGGCAGGAGAATCGCATGAACCAGGGAGGCGGAGCTTGCAGTGAGCCGAGCTCGCGCCACTGCACTCCAGCCTGGGTGACAGAGCAAGACTCTGTCTCAAAAAAAACAAAAAAAAAAAGAAGAAAAAATAAACATAGAAGTGATGATGGAAACAAACCCCAAAACCCCACCATTTGACAAATAGCTGGTAACAACTTTTTCAGGCAAGCGTCATCAACGGATAAGACTAATAGATGAAAGGAGGATAAGAAACGGGATATTCACATAGGCTTAAAGTATTTCTTCACAAGACATGTATCAATTATAATGGGAAAAACAGTGACTTTGCAGCAGAGAAATCTGGCAATCACCGTCTTAACCAAGCGGTTAAAATTAATACCACTCATAGTGTAACGAATTGACCTCGTGGGTCCCTGGCATGATGCGCCGAGAAGGGTACATCGCTTTCGGAGTATTCTTGCCCCAAAGGCAGAATCTGAATTTAATCAACAGGAAATATCAGACAATTCCAAAGAGAGGAACATTCTACACTGCAGACTCTACAAAACAAATGGCCAACATGGTGAAACCCTGTCTCTACTAAAAATACAAAAAATTGGCTAGGCGTGTCAAAGGAGTTACAAAAAGGAAAATGGAGACCAGACATGGTGGTTCACATCTCTAACCCAGCACTTTGGGATGCTGAGGGAGGAGGATCACTTGAGGCCAGGAGTTCGAGACCAGTCTGGCCAACATGGTGAAACCCCCCTCCCCCCGTCTCTACTAAAATTACAAAAAATCAGCTGGGCACGATGGCATTTGTCTGTAATCTCAGCTTCTCAGGAGGCTGACGCAGGAGAATCGCTTGAGCCTGCGAGGTGGAGGTTGCAGTGAGCTGAGATCACAGCACTGCACTCCAGCATGGGTGACAGAGCAGGACTCCGTCTCAAAAAAAAAAAAAGAGCAAATGGGAATTCTATTGTTGCTACATTTTAAAGTCTTAAATTCAAAATGAAAAGTAAAGAAAAAAATTTAAAAGAACATTAGGTATGCAGGGAGCAGGGAGGATATAGGCCTTTCAGTCCATCTCCAAGGCACGCAGTAAATTACTCCTATGGCAAATACTGGAGACCAGGTTACTTTGGTAGGGGTGAGGGTGGTGGTGGGGTGGTTCTGAAGTTTCAGAAGAAGGAAAGAAAAGCATGTCCTGAAAAACAAGAAGGATTTCAGAGAAATAAGAATAAAACCTGATGTACTTGAACTTGGCACCTTTCTTGGAGAAGGGTTAAGAGCAAGGAATCATGAACAACCAGGTCATTTTTGAACCACCATCCTCCTTACCTACCATATAGGGAAGTGTGGTCACAGAACACCAGGCATCTGCCTAAATCCAGTGTCACTCAGAAGGCTGAGGTCACTCCTGTCCAGGGCCAGAATCTGTCCTAACTTCAAAGGTTCTGCATGGGTCAAGCACTAGAGTCACTGGCACACTTGGTGCTGCACATACAGTCAGTGTCACACAAACATAACCACACATCCACTCTTTTATTTTTTTGAGACAGGGTCTCGCTCTGTCACCTAGACTGGAATGCAGTGGTTCAAACACGGCTCACTGCAGCCTTGACCTCTCAAGCTCGAGATCCTCCCACCTCAGCTTCCCGGGTAGCTGGGACCACAGGTGTGGGCCACCACACTCAGATAATTTTTAATTTTTTGTTTGTTTGTTTTTGAGACGAAGTCTCGCTCTTGTCCCCCAGGCTGGAGTGCGATGGCGCGATCTCGGCTCACTGCAACCTCTGCCTCCTGGGTTCAAGCGATTCTCCTGCCTCAGCCCCCTGAGCAGCTGGGATTACAGGCACCTGCCACCACGCCCAGCTAATTTTTGTATTTTTAGTAGAGACAGGGTTTTATCGTGTTGGCCAGGCTGGTCTAGAACTCCTGACCTCAGGTGATCCACCCGCCTCGGCCTCCCAAAGTGCTGGGATTACAGGTGTGAGCCACCGTGCCAGCCATTAATTTTTTTTTTTTTTTTTTGTACAGGCCAGGCTGGTCTCGAACTCCTGGGCTCAAGTGATCCTCCCACCTCGGCCTCCCAAAGGGCTGATGTGAGCCACCACACCCGGCCCTACATCCACTCCTGAGACACAGGACACAATCACAGACACCTCTATACCTTTCCAGTCACAATATCTTTCCAGTCACAATCACACACCCGCTAAGACACACCCAGTCACACAATCTACTCTCCACTGTGATACAGTTACTCCCGTATAGTCACAAGCCCCACACACCAACACCCACAAATGCCTCATATAGTCACAGTCACACACCCACTCAGGGGACACACGCCATCACTGGTACTTTACGGCACCCAGTCACAACTGAACTTTCACTGTGGACATACACACAGTCACACTCACACAAGCAACCCACACAAGCAGTGGCACCCCACTCCCGCATACACAGCACCACACACATACACACAAACACACACACCAAGGGATACAGGAATACACAAGCGGCGTCACCACACAGTCACAGGCACAGGCAATTGCACACGGCCACAGTGTCACACAACCAAAACCACGCACACACCTTGGAGACATGAATCACAACCGCACACCCGCAGTGGTCACACAGTCACAACTGTACTCACACCCCAGGAACAGGGCGAACAGGCCACATATACAACGGGGACACACGCAGTATCACCCCCGGTCACAAGGACCCTGCACCCCGATACTCTCTATCACACATGGTTACACAAAAACCACCAGACACCCTGGAGACAGGCGGTTACACGTGCACAGTTGCAGACACCCACACCCAGCCACACAGCCACAAAGACACATTCAGAACGGCGCATCCGCAGCCAGCTCCCGCCTGCGCGCACAGATTCGAGGCTCCGGACACGCCCCGGCCCCGCCCAGGACTCCCAGACCCCTCACCTTCTGCCTCCCCTGGTCGCGTCCGGGTCCTTGCGGAGCTAACTAGCTCGCCACGACGTCAAGAACGACGTAACGTCAGGCCGCTGTGGGCTCTGGGAATTGTAGTCCAGAGCTAGATCGGCCACGGACAGAATGGCGTTCTCTTATCTCTGAGTCGGGGCCTGGCTCGTTTTGACATTTTTGCGCCCACGAGTCTTCGGAGAGGGCGTCGCCACTCCAGACCTTCCAGCAAGCTTGAAGTCATCTGACGCTAAAGGACTACTTACCTCAAGAGCTCCATCGTCACAGAAGGAGGCGGCCAAGTTCGCGGGGGGAGGGGAGGAGACAGAGAGTCGACCAGTAAAGCCTCAAGGGAAATGTAGTCCAAGGCCTGAGAAGCGACGTTGCTGGTAATAGAAGGTAATTCAGTACCAGCCTGGGCCTGGCCGCGGTGACCGAGGCGGGCCGCGTCGCGGAGACTTCTGGGAGTGCTTCCTCGCTCTCCGAGTGCGCAAGCGCAGCGCACCGAGTGGACATTTTGGTCTTTGTCCGCGGGTCAGTACGGCCCCTGGGTCCACGTGGCGCGAAAGTAGGAGGTGGGATCTGGGCGTCTCGGGTCGGTCGGACCGGGGAGGTTAAAGGGGAGGATTCCTGATCTTTAGGGGCGCGGCGCGAGGGCAGGGAGTGGGTGTAAGAGCTTCTGGCCTACGTGCGGGGCGGAGATGGGGGCCTCTGAGGCGGGTTTGAGCGAGTGTGACCGAGTTTGTCCTCAAAGTTTGACCTGATGTTTGGGATTGTTGAGTGAATGTGAAACTGGGTGCGGGATTGTGTGTGATTGTGCCTAAGAGGGAGATGTAGGAGACCAGCATTGAGGTATAACGTTTGAGCTGCACTTCCCTTGTCGAAAGTGCTGATAATTATAACGGTGCCATCTTCCTGGAGCGTCTTTTTTACTTGAAAATTGAAGGGGTGGAAAAGCTAAGTGGTGAATAATTTTAAAACGAGTTTTTATATAAAAGCATTTCTTTTTAATTGGAGTGGCATGCAAATCACCGTGACTTTTTTTTTTAATTAAACGAGAGTGTTTCGAAGGAACTTTAGTTTCGGGGTGCCTACTTCAGACTATTCAAATCCCCATCTTTGGGGTACTTAAATAGGGCTGTTAAGCAAAGCCCTAGACTAAACAGCATTGTACGCTTTGAGAAGCAATCCCATATAACGGCGCCCAGGATGAGGGAGTCAACGGTTTTAGGTTAGGCACAGTTATCCTCATTTTTTGAAGAAAGCTTAATTGTTGCAGTGTTTATCTATGAGTCTGGACTAAATCCTAGGTGTCTTAATTCCTTAATGAGTCGAGGCGTTCTCAGGTTGTATGGATTTTGTGAAGTAATGGAGAATGCTACTGACGTCTCCAAAGATGCGTTTTCTAAGGAAATCACCCCGCCCCCGCTGTCGTCATTGACATAGTTTTAAATTACAAAAAGTTAAATAAAGTAATTGGGTACCAAGTTAATATCTATAAATAAATAGCCTTCTAATTTACAAATATCAGTTAGAATACATAGTTGAAGAAAACTAATATTTACAATAGCAGTAAAAAGATAAAGTATTGTGGAAGAAACTTAAAGGTTCAGAACTATTAGGAAAGAACTTTAAAATACTACTAAGGGGCATAACAAATGTGAACAAATAAATATACCATGTGACATTAAGAAGTGTGCGCAAACTTAAGTGAATGTATTAATTTACTGTGATCTTGGTCGGGTGCGGTGGCTCATGCCTGTAATCCTAGCACTTTGGGAGGCCGAGATGGGTGGATTACCTGAGATCAGGAGTTCGAGAGGAGCCTGGCCAACATGGTGAAACCCTGTCTCTACTAAAAAAAAATAAAATAAAAAAATACAAAAATTAGCCGGGCGTGGTGGCGGGCGCCTGTAATCTGAGCTACCGCGGAGGCTGAGGCAGGAAAATCGCTTGAACCTGGGAGGCGGAGGTTGCAGTGAGCCCAGATCTCGCCACTGCACTCCAGCCTGGACAAGAGCGAGATTCCGTCTCAATAATAGTAATAATGTGATCCTAATAAAAGTATGGACAGGCTTTTCTCTTTTGGAACTAGGGGAACTGATCCTAGACTTACTATGGAAAGAGACAAGCTGCAAGAGCCAGTACAGACTGAGAAAGAAAAGGCGTTGAGGTGTGGGGAGATGGGGACCCAACACATTTTAAATATAAAGCCTCAGGCCGGGCTTGGTGGCTCACACCTGTGAGCCAAGGCAGGAGGATGGCTAGAGTCCAGGAGTTAGAGACCAGCTTGGGCGACATAGTGAGATCTCCCGTAGTCCTAGCTGCTTGGGAGGCTGAGGTGGGAGGATCACTTGAGCCTAGGAGGTCAAGGCTGCAGTGAGCAGAGATCCTGGCGACAGCATTCCAGCTTGGTGGACAGCCAGTCCCTGTCTTTTTTTTTTTTTTTTTTTTTTTTTGAGATGGAGTCTCTCTCTCTTGCCCAGTCTAGAGTGCAGTGGCCCAATCTCTGCTCCCTGCAACCTCTGCCCCCCAGGTTCAAGCGATTCTCTTGGCTCAGCCTCCCGAGTAGCTGGGATTAGTTGCCTGCCACCACACCCGGCTACTTTTTTTGTATTTTTAGTAGAGACAGGGTTTTACCATGTTGGCCAGGCTGGTCTTGAACTCTTGACCTCAAGTGATCGGCCCGCCTCGGCTTCCCAAAGTGCTAGGATTACAGGCATGAACCACGGTGCCTGGCCGACCCTGTCTTAAGAAAGAAAGAAAGGAGAGAGAGAGAAGAAAGAAAAGAAAAACAGTTCATGCCCATCAGTGGGAGATTGGTGTACATCGATACAACAAAATAATACATAGCTGTACAAAAGAATGAGGAGGAAGCTCTTTATATACTGAGACAGAAATAACTTCAAAATGTATTGTTAACTGAGAGAAAGCAAGGTGCAGAATGTAGAGTATGATACACGATGCATTTGGAATAAGAAAAGGGGTAATAAGAATATGTATTTATAATCCCAGCACTTTGGGAGGCCAACGCAGGCGGATCACCTGAGGTCAGGAGTTTGAGACCAGCGTGACCAACATGGAGAAACCCCGTCTCTACTAAAAATACAAAATTAGCCAGGCGTGGCGGCACATGCCTGTTAATCCCAGCTACTTGGGAGGCTGAGGCAAGATAATTGCTTGAACCCGGGAGGCGGAGGTTGCAGTGAACAGAGATTGCGCCATTGCACTCCAACCTGGGCAACGAGAGTGAAACTCCATCTCAAAAAAAAAAAAAAAAATTCAAAAGATACATACGAAATAATAAAACTGGCTGTTGGGGTGGGGGTACTGGAATAGACAGGGCAAAGGCTTTGTATTTTTAGTAGAGACGGGGTTTCACCATGGTGACCAGGCTGGTCTCGAACTCCTGACCTCATGTGATCTGCCTGCCTCAGCCTCCCAAAGTACTGGGATTACAGGCATGAGCTAATTTTTTTTTTTTTTTTTTTAAATTAAAGGAAGACATAGGCCAAGGAGCCAGACTTCCTGTGTTAACTCCTTCCTCTGCCACTTTTTACCTTGGGGACCTCAGGTAGGTACTTAAACCTTGGGCCTCAGTTGCTCATTTCATAGTATAGAAATAATAGCAATATTTGATTCAAAGGGTGGTTGTGTAGCTCCAGAAGTTAATACATGTAAAGTTCTAAGAATAGTCCCCAGTGTGTAGTAAGTACTTGATTAATGTTAAATACTAGTACTTTTTATTACTAGCTGCAAAAAAAATGCTTCCTCAGAAAATATTATAGTCCTGTGTCTGGTAGGAATTTCTGAAAGAATAAGATATGTAGATGCACTTTTGTTATTAATATTTCTTTTTTTTTTTTGATGGAGTCTCACTGTCGCCCAGGCTGCAGTGCAGTGGCCTGATCTCGGCTCACTGCAGGCTCTGCCTCCCTGGTTCATGCCATTCTCCCGCCTCAGCCTCCTGAGTAGCTGGGACTACAGGTGCCAGCCACCACGCCTGGCTAATTTTGTTTTTGTATTTTTAGTAGAGATGGGGTTTCACCGCGTTAGCCAGGATGGTCTGGATCTCCTGACCTTGTGATCCACCTGCCTCAGCCTCCCAAAGTCCTGGCATTACAGGCGTGAGCCACTGCGCCCGGCCTAATATTTCTATATTTTAATTTTTTTACTTAAAATTTTCTTTTTTTTTGGTGGAGGGGGGGACAGAGTCTCGGTTTGTCGCCCAGGCTGGAGTGCAGTGGTGCTATCTTGGCTCACTGCAAGCTTCACCTCCCAGGTTCACGCCATTCTCCAGCCTTAGCCTCCCAAGTAGCTGGGACTACGGGCGCCCACCACCACGTCCGGCTAATTTTTTGTATTTTTAGTAGAGACGGGATTTCACCGTGTTAGCCAGGATGGTCTCCATCTCCTGACCTCGTGATCCGCCCACCTCGGCCTCCCAAAGTGCTGGGATTACAGGCGTGAGCCACTGCGCCTGGCCACTTAAAATTTTCTGTGGATATTTCCTTTTTTAACTGGAATCAGGAAGTTAGGTTTGTTTTTTGATTTTTGAGATGGGGTCTCACTCTGGCTCAGGCTGGGTGCACTGGTGCGATCACATCTCATTGCAGCCTCCACCTCCTGGGCTGAAGAGATCCTCCCACCTCAGCCCCACCCCCGCAGTGGTTGGGACTACAGGTGTGTGCCACCACGACCTGCTAATTTTTAAACCTTTTTTTGTAGAGATGGAGTCTTACTATGTTGCCCAGGCTGGAAGTTAGATTTCTGTGTTTGAGTTATGTTTATCTTTAGAAAGTCATCATTATCCGCTCCTTTGGAAGATTTGTTCTTTGATTTCTATGATTACTTTTGCATGGTTCTAATTCAGAATCTCTGATGATTTTTTTTTTAATTCTAATTGTGATTGATTTTTGGCCAGAATACATCAGAGGTGATCTTACATACTTCAAATTGCATACCATTAGGAGAGATATACCAGATGGCTGGTGATTGTTACTTCCCTTTGACCAAAATGTTATGTTTACTTTGGTTCATTCTCCATCAGTCATTTAGTGGATGGTTTTAAAACCAATACATAATTCTTGGCTGGATGAGTAAATTTCTACAGGTATTGTAAAGTGATGATTTTCTGTTTTTTTTGTTGTTGTTGTTTGTTTGTTTTGTGTAAAAATGTAGTAGTCTATACGTTAAGAGAAACTTCTGGGAACAAACTAGAAATGATCCCTGGAAGTATAGTCTTAATTTCTCTTGTCTTTTCATTCCTTTTACATTTGTTTCATTGTTACATCAAATTGTATCTTTTTTTCCCCCTGGCTTTTTCTTTCTTAAACATCATCCTAAAGTTGTGTATATTTAGCGTGTTCTAGAATCAGCTGCACTTTTTGATGCCAGTGGATACCCCTTCAGGTCATTCTTGTCTCATTTTGGCTGACATCATTGATCTTGGAAAGTTTTCCTGCACTGCAGGCTTGTATCTTCCTCCCAGACTTGGAATTGACCATTTCTCCAAGGAGCTCTGGTTCCTTTTATTGGAGAATGGTATTAGAGACAAGATCAAGGGTGTGCTCATTGCCCAGGGGTAACATTGTTTTAAGGCCATTTTAAATTGCAGAGCATTTAAAAAATACATTTTTAATGTATTTTTAAAAATCATGAGTCCATATTCGTATTTCTAATTCACTTTAAATGGTATAGTATTTTTACCTAATTTCTTAGCTCCTAGTTCTTTTTTTTAATTTAATTTTATTTTATTTTTGAGACGGAGTCTTGCTCTGTCGCCCAGGCTGGAGTGCAGTGGCACGATCTCAGCTCACTGCAATCTCCGCCTCCTGGGTTCAAGTGATTCTCCTGCTTCAGCCTCCCGAGTAGCTGGGACTACAGGTGCATGCCACCACGCCCAGCTAAGTTTTTGTATTTTTAGTAGAGATGGGGTTTCACCGTGTTAGCCAGGATGGTCTCGATCTCCTAACCTCAGGTGATCTGCCCACCTTGGCCTCCCAAAGCGCTGGGATTACAGGCGTGAGCCACGGCGCCCGGCCTCCTAGTTGTATTTTATAGTAAAAAATATGAAACAAGTTATAAGTACTTATTTTGTTTGCTTTATCCTGCAATATAAAGAAAATGGTTTCAGTAACAATGCTGATACTAGTAGTAACCATAAACATACTGTATCATGTTAAAAAATTCTTTCTTTAATATATGTAACTATTTTTGTTCTTAAAATGCATCTTTTTTTTTTTTTTGAGATGTTGTCTTACTCTTTTGCCCAGGGCAGAGTGCAGTGGTGTGATCTTGGCTCACTTGCAACATCTGCCTCCCCAGTTCCAGCGATTCTCCTGCCTCAGCCTCCTGAGTAGCTGGGATTACAGGTGCCCACCATGACGCCTAGCTAATTTTTGTATTTCTAGTAGAGACAGCGTTTCACCATGTTGGCCAGGCTGGTCTCGAACTCCTGACTTCCTACTCGTCTTGGCCTCCCAAAGTGCTGGGATTTCAGGCATGAGCCACTGAGCCCAGCTTTTAAAATGCATCTCACTAAAGATGTATGTAGTCAAAGAACTCTGTTCTAAAGTCATTTGAAATCGTTTTTCTGAGGAATTATGTTACTAAATTAACATACAGTTGGGTTCATTTGTTGTTTTCAGGTTAAGGGACTGCTTTTTTTTTTTTTTTTTTTTTTGAGACGGAGTCTCACTCTGTCCCCTAGGCTGGAGTGCAGTGGCGCAATCTCGGCTCACTGCAAGCTCCGCCTCCCGGGTTCACGCCATTCTTCTGCCTCAGCCTCCCGAGTAGCTGGGACTATAGGTGTCAGCCACCACGCCCGGCTAATTTTTTGTATTTTTAGTAGAGACGAGGTTTCACCATGTTAGCCAGGATGATCTTGATCTCCTGACCTCGTGATCCACCCGCATCAGCCTCCCAAAGTACTGGGATTACAGGCTTGAGCCACCGTGCCTGGCCAAGGCACTACTTTTTAAAAAATGAATTTGATTACTATTGAAGTAAGTAATGCATTTCTGTGATTCAACAAAGATCTATCTCACAGAGATATCTCATTCTGCTCCCTTCCCCCAGTCACATTCTTCTTTGTCTTATGTAAACATGTCTTGTTTTTTTTTGTTTGCTTCTTGTTTATCCTTCAAGTGGGTTTTTTGTTTTTTGTTCTGTCACTATTATATATTTCTCTTCACTCCTGTTTCCCTCCACCTTACATAAAAGATAGCATACCACATGCACCTCCCTATATCTCACTTTCTTTAATAACAGTATGTCCTAGAGATAGCCCTTCCTTTTTTCTTTCTTTTTTTTTTTTTTTTTTTTTTGAAATAGTCTCGCTCTGTCACCCAAGCTGGTGTGCAATGGTGTTAACATGGCATACTGCAGCCTCCAACTGCTGGGCTGAAGTGATCTTCCTGCCTCAGCCGCCTGTGTAGCTGGGACCACAGGCACACTCCACCACACCTGGCTTTTTTACTTTTTGTAGAGATGAGGTCTCACTGTTTCCCAGATTGGTCTCGAACTCCTGAGCTCAAGCAGTCCTCCTCTCTTGGCTTCCCAAAGTGTTGGGATTACAAGTGTGAGCCACTGCACCCAGCCAAGGTGTTCCTTCTTAATCATAATCTTTAAAAGAAATTTTTTTTTCAGCTGCTGTATAAATAAGATGTCATTATTTGGATGCACCATGGTTGATTCAGTTAATCCCGTTGTTGAGCATTTGGATTGTTTCCAGTCTTCTGCTGTTGCTAACAATGCAGTAATGAATAATTTTTTTATGTGCGCCATTTTATACTGACACAGGAGTAGCTCTAAACTAGACTGCTATTAATACAAATGGCGCTGCCCAGTGGGTAAGTACTTACACTCCCACAAGCCATGTGCGAGAGCGTCTTCCCCTTAAACTCACCATGAGTGTAGTGTCGAATATTTGGTATTTCGCTAGGGACATAAGAGACAATCTGAACTTCAGTGTAGGTTTCATTTACATCCCTTCTTATGAATGAGAATTTTTTTTTATATGTTTAAAGGCCTGTATGTATTAATCTAGGAACTGTCTATTCATATCCTTTTCACCATTTTTCTATGGGGTGTCTTCTCCTTAGAGGAGCTGTTTATAAATTAGAAAGGTTAGCCCTGTATGAAATGAGTGGTGGCTTTTTTTTTTTTTTTTTTTGAAGTTTTCATTTGCATTTGGACATTGTTCACAGTGGTTTCTTTTTTTTTTAATCTTGCAGAAATAAGAGGTTTTGTTTTAATTTAGTAATAATAGTTTCTTTTTTTACATAGCCGTGCTTAGAATGAGCCCCCTGTGGTTGGTGAGCACAGAGACATCCCCGCACCACACCAAAGACCTTTTTATTCATGTATTTTTTAGAGGCACAGTCTCACTGTGTTGCACAGGCTGGCCTTGAACCCCTGGGCCCAAGCAAGTCTCAGACTCCCAAGTAGCGGGGACTACAGGCAGTGCACCACCATGCTGCTATGGTTTTCTTTTTATTTTCAAAACTTTTGGCTGGGCGCGATGGCTCACGCCTGTAATCCCAGCACTTTGGGAGGCTGAGGCGGGTAGATCACTTGAGGTCAGGAGTTTGAGACTAGCCCGGTCAACATGGTGAAACCCCGTCTCTACTAAAAATACAAAAAATTTAGCCAGTCATTGTGGTGCACGAGATCACACCACTGCACTTTAGCCTGGGCAACAGAGTGAGACTCCGTCTCAAAAAAAAAAAAAAATCTAGTTACATTTTTTTCTTTTTGAGATGGAGTATCTCTCCGTCCCCCAGGCTGGAATGCAGTGGTGCGATTTCGGCTCACTGCAAGCTCCGCCTCCCGGGTTCACGCCATTCTCCTGCCTCAGCCTCCCAAGTAGCTGGGACTACAGGCGCATGCCACCACGCCTGGTTAATTTTTTCGTATTTTTAGTAGAGACGGGGTTTCACCATGTTAGCCAGGATGGTCTCGATCTCCTGACCTCGTGATCCGCCCGCCTCGGCCCTCCAAAGTGCTGGGATTACAGGCGTGAGCCACCGCGCGTGGCTGATTCATCAGTCTTTTATGGTTATCAGACTTTTCCACTCTTAAGTTTCACCGATATTTTCAAATTCTTATAAAGTTACAGTTTTTTGTTGTTTGATTGTTTTAGAGTTGGATCTTGATCTGTCACCCAGGCTGGGGTGCAGTGGCGTGATCACAGCTGACTGCAGCCTTCATATCCTCGCTAATTTAAAAAAAAAAAAATTGTAGAGATAAGATCTCCCTGTGTTGCCCAGGCTGGTCTCAAACTCCTGGGCCCAAGTGATCCTGCTACCTTGGCTTCCCAAGTCAGAGCAATAGTTTTTTTAAGATTTTGTTTTTATTTTAATTTATAATCCATTTAGATTTTATCCTGGTGTATGCTATCAGATATGCATCCAGCTTTACCTTTTTCCAATTGGCTACCACGTTCTTTGACATCATTTATTAAAAGGTCTTACCTGGCTGGGCACGGTGGCTCACGCCTGCAATCCCAGCACTTTGCAAGGCCAAGGTGGGTGGATCACTTGAGGTCAGGAGTTCGAGACCAGCCTGGCCAATATGGAGAAACCCTGTCTCTACTAAAAATACAAAACATTAGCTGGGTGTGGTGGCACATGCCTGAATCCCAGCTATTCGGAGGCTGAGACAGGAGAATCGCTTGAACATAGGAGGGCGGAGGTTGCAGTGAGCTGAGATTGTGCCACTGCACTGCAGCCTGGGCAACAAGAGCCAAACTCCATCTCACACACATTAAAAAAAGGTCTTATGTTTACTATTTTTAGGATGCCACTTTGATTATATACTAAATTCTCACATTTATTTGGTCTGTTTCTGGGTGTGAGCAGAAAGACTGAGGACACTGCTATAGCCCAGGTGTAACAACCAGGGAAAATATTTATCTTTTTACTATTGAGGCTTTATCATTGTGTTTTACTTTGTGGTATAGCTAGTCTCTTAATTGCTCGTCCTTTTCAGTGTTTCCTGGCTATTCTTGCCTGTTTATTTTTCTTTGTAAATTTTAGGATTAGCTTGTCTCGTTCCAGAGGGGGAAAAGGTAGAACTAGTTTGTTACTTTTATTGGGATTGCATTAAATTTATAAAATAACTTGGGAATAGGGACATTTTTATGACATTAAATATTCCTCTTTATGTACGTGATACGTATTCTCGTTTCTTTTTGGGTCCTCTAGGGTGTTTTAAAATTTTTTTCATACAGGTTTGGACACTTCTTACTAAGTTTATTTCTGGATGTTTTGTTTTATGTTGCTATGAATGGAGTCATTGTTGGCATATATGAAGCTGTTGATTTCTACATACTAATATTATTCCCTGCTTTCCTTAGTTATTTGTAATTAGATTATATAATTGAGGCAGTAGGCATCCTTGTCTGTTTAGAATCTAATAGAAATGCCTTCAGTGTTTTTCTATTACTTTTATTATCATGATTTGCTTTTCAGTGTTTTTACATTAGATAAGATACTGGCTTTTGTGGTCAGATACAGATTATGATTATATAAATATAGATTACCCATGCTGCCTGGGTCAGTGGGAGTGTGAGCAGAAAGACTGAGGACACTGCTAATAGCCAAGGTGCAACAACCAGGGAAAATCTGTTGATTGAGGAAACAACAATCCCTCAAAATTTCGTTATTGCATCCTTAAACAAAAAATCAAATGGGACAAAAATAAGATGTCTATTCCTATTCTTCTGTTTTCTGTCGATTCCCTTCTTTTGGGTGACTGTTTCTTTACTCATTTCCTCTGTTTATCTTTTGTGGTCTATTTATAGCTTTGCTTCCTTCTTAAAAGTTTTGTGTCTTAAGTTCATTTTGTTATGTTTCAGTTTTCATCTGCTTTGTGATTCTTACTTTTTTTTTTCTGGCTCACTGCAACCTCAACCTCCTAGGCTCAAGCAGTCCTTTTGTCTCAGCCTGTCAAGTAGCTGGGACTACAGGTGCATACCACCATACCTGGCTAGTTTTTTTGTATTTTTTTTTAGTGCTAAGCACGCTGGTCTTGAACTCCTGGGCTCAAGCAGTCTACCCACCTCAGTGTCTCAAAGTGCTGGGATTACAGGCATGAGCCACCAAGCCCTGCCCCTGCTTTGTGATTCTTTTTTTTTTTTTTTTTTTTTTTTTTGAGACAGGGTCTTGCTTTGTCACCCAGGCTGGAGCACAGTGGCATGATCACGGCTCACTGCAACGTCCACCTCCCAGGCTTAAGCAGTCCTCCTGCTTCAGGCTCCCAAGTAGCTGGGACTACAGGCATGTACCACCCCACACCCTGCTAATTTTTGGATTTGAATTTTTTGCAGAGATGGGGTCTTGCCATGTTGCCTAGGCTGGTCTTGAACTTCTGAGCTCAAGTGATCCTGCCCACCTCAGCTTCCCAAAGTGCTGGGATTAGTGGCATGAGCCACTGCGTCCAGCCCACGGTAACATTTCTCCCTGTGTCTTCAGCAGCAGTAATAGTCTGACAACTGGCAAGTTCCCATTTCTGTTCTAGCCCTATTCTGAGCTCCTGATCTGTATATCCAACTGCCTAATCGATCTCTCTGCCTGCATGTGTTCAGAAACCTACACTCTGAATGTATAGAGTCTCAAACTTGATCTCCCTCCTGCAAGTTGCTTCCAGCCAACTCACCTTCTCGTGTTTCTGTCATGTATGTTTCGGTTTAAATCATGCTCTAAGCCTTATATCTCTGACACACCCCATTAGGAATTGGGTGATCAAGCTTTTTCAACATACATAGTGGATGGGGGGTATATATGTGAAACTTAAATTTTTTATGATTATGCTTTTTTATATGATTACAACTTTATAGAAGAGTTGGAATAGTACAGAGAAGTCCCATGTATCCTTTACCCAATTTCACCAATCATTTACATTTTGGTTGTTTTATTTTTCCTTCTCTCTTTCTCCAAATGTGTATGATTTTTTTTTCCTGAACGATTTGAAACCAGTTGTGGACATGCTTCCTTTATCTATAAATACTTCAGCATGCATTTTGCAAGAACAAAAACATTCTTTTTCATAACTACAGTACAGTGATCAAAATCGGGAAGTTTAACATTGATACATTAGTATTATTTAATCCAAAGTCCATATTCAAATTTGGTCAGTCATCCCAATAATGTCTGCTATTGATTAAAAAAATTCTTTTGGGCCACGTGCAGTGGCTCACAACTGTAATCCCAGCCCTTTGGGAGGCCAAGGCAGGTGGATCACCTGTGGTCGGGAGTTTGGGAGTTCAGCCTAACACAGAGAAACTCCGTCTCTACTGAAAATAAAAAATTAGTGGGGCATGGTGGCGCATGCCTATAGTCCCAGCTGCTCCGGAGGCTGAGACAGGAGAATCACTTGGACCTGGGAGGTGGAGGTTGCAGTGAGCCGAGATCGCACCACTGCGCTCCAGCCTGGGCAACAAGAGTAAAACTCCATCTCAAAAAAAAAAAAATTTTTTTTTTGGCTGGGCGCAGTGGCTCACACCTGTAATCCCAGCACTTTGGGAGGCAGAGGTGGGCGGATCACCTGAGGTCAGGGGTTCAAGACCAGCCTGGCCAATGTGGTGAAACCCTGTCTCTACTAAAATTACAAAAATTAGCTGGGTGTAGTGGCGCATGCCTGTAATCCCAGCTACTCGGGAGGCTGAGGCAGGAGAATGGCTTGAACCCGGGAGGCAGAGGTTGCAGTGAGCAGAGATCACGTCACTGCACTCCCAGCCTGGGCAACAGAACGAGTCTCTGTCACAAAAAAAAAAAAAAAGATTTTTTTTTTTCTTTTGGAGTGCAGTGGCTATTCATAGGCATGATCATGTATTTGCAGCCTGGAAGTCCTGGGCTCGAGTGATCTTCCTGTCTCAGCCTCCTGAGAAGCTGGTACTGCATGTGCACACCACCACACCTGGCTTAAAAATGTTTTTTGAACTAATGGATGAACCTGTATTCCAGGTTGTTGCTTTTCTTTTTTATGACAAGGTCTCACTCTGTCAGGCCATCTTGAACTCCTGGGCTCAAGTCATCCTCCCACCTCAGCCTCTTAAGTAGCTGAGACTACAGGCGCACACCATTGCGCCCAGCTAATTTTGTATTTTTATAAGGACGGTGTGTCACTGTGTTGCCCAGCCTGGTCTTGAACTCCTGCACTCAAAACGATTCACCCACTTCCGGCCTCCCGAAGTGTTGGGATTATAGGTGTGAGCCACTGCACCTGGGCCAGGACATCTCTAATATGAAATAGGACACGGCACGGTGGCTTACATCTGTAATCCCAGCACTTTGGGAGGCTGAGGTGGGTGGATCACCTAAGGTCAGGAGTTCGAGACCAGCCTGGCCAACATGGTGAAACTCTGTCTCTACTAAAAATACAAAATTAGCCAGGTGTGGTGGTACACACCCATAATCCCAGCTACTCAGGAGGCTGAGGCAGGAGAATTGCTTGAACCCAGGAGGCGGTGGTTGCAGTGGGCTGAGATTGCACAATTGCACTCTAGCCTGGGCAACAGGAGTGAAACTGTCTCAAAAAAAAAAAAAAAAAAAGAAAGAATTTCACTCTCAGTATAATGCAAAGAGGGTAAATAGGACTTCAGGAAAATGTTTGAGTTTTTATTCTTGAGTACTGTCAGAACAACTTCTTCACATTGTGCCCATGTGCTTTAGTTCTGATGGGAACGTGTTAAAGTCAGACATGGGTGTTGAATTCATCCACGAATAAGGGCTGTAGTTAAAATCCTCTCAGGACCCTGAGTGGGAGTGTGGTGCTAGAGAAAAACAGCAATCACTCACACAAGGTGTGAACAGCTCTCCTGTGTAAGTAAAATTCTGAAAGGTAATTCTCCCTTTCTCCCATTTCTGGATGTGTGTAGACTTTAAATGGTTTAATGAGCATGGCTTTGAAGTTTAGGATTCTAATGGCCCTAGTCCCTTTGCCCACATGATTGTGTGTGCTTTAGTCACTAAGGCAGAAGGTCATTACTTTGTTCTGTGCATCTTTGGAAGTTGCACCCTCATTCTTCAGAAGGCCAGGAGACCCCAGGGCTCAGCCTGAGTTCTAGGATGGTACTTTGGACCCAGCATTAACATTGTAATACTGTGTCATTTTCCCAATAGTTAATATGATCCTCTGTTGAAGCAAGAAGACAAACTGTATGGTGGAGAAAGAAGTGGGAAGGATCTGCGCGGGTGAGTAAATGACAGGCAGGCCACAGTTTTTCAGTCAGCATTGAGTCCTCTGAAGTGCTTCAAAGGATGTTTTCTTCCAGGCTGTAGACATATAGAGTATTGCTTGGTATGAGATTTTTAGATTCCTGAATGACGCTTCCAGTCATCATTTTTGTGTGTTTCATTATTCTTCTTCTTTCACCAGATTCTAGAGGGGCCAGGCGCCCCTCCTGTTGCTGTTCTGATGTCAGCCTTCCTGCTTCGTCTGTGCCGCCACTGTGGTGGCTGTTCTCCTTCATCCACATACCTTTTCCTGTCCTCACACATTGTCCTTTATACTTTGTAAAACCTTACATATTGTCTGATATTCAGGTTCCTTTTTGTTACTACCTTCTCTCATCCTTTCTAGTGGCTGAATGCCTCAGAATTATATTTTACACCTGTTCTCACACTTCCCGTTGTCTTCTCACTCATCTCTGCCATCGTAGATCCATGGACTCCTCTGCCTACCTTTCTTCTGCTCCCATGTACCTCTGTCATAAGTTGTTGACCTAGAAATCAGTTTTTCCCTCTGCTACTTTTATGTGTGGGGGTCTATATGTATGGCACAATTACAGCTCACTGTGGCCTCAGCTTCCTGGCCTGAAGTGGTCCTCCTGCCTCAGACTCCCGAAAAAATCTCCTCTTAACTCTTGACTCTTAGTCCTGCAGTTTTTTTGCAAAGTTGTGGTCACGTTTACGCGTGTCACGTATATCCTTCTTGAGGTAACCTAGGAATAAGCCAGTATATTATATCTATGCTGCAAATATATATACATATAAGCCCTAATTTTTCCTTTTCATATAAATGGTGGTATATTATATATTCTATTATGTACATAAGTTTTTTTCTTAGAATTCTCTGTCAACACATAATTTGTTATTTATTTTCATTTTTTTGAGACAGAGTTTTGCTTTGTCACCCAGGTGGCAGTGCAGTGGCACAGTCTTGGCTCACTGCAACCTCCGCCTCCTGGGGTCAAGTGATTCTTGTGCCTCAGGCTCCCGAGTAGCTGGGATTACAGGCATGTGCCATCACACCTGGCTAATTTTTGTATTTTTCATAGAGATGGGGTTTTGCCATGTTGGCCAGGCTGGTCTCCAACTCCTATCCTCAAGTGATCTGCCTGCCTCGGCCTCTCAAAGTGCTGGGATTACAGGTTTGAGCCACCGCGCCTGGCTAACGCATAATTTAACCTGTCTCCTACTAATGGGCATTTAGGTTGTTTTCAGGCTTCTGCTATTGAAGACACAAGTGTGTATACTTGTTTATATTGCTTTGCAGAAATATGCAGAAACAACTACATAGCATTTACTTTTTAAGTGGAATACAGGGTCAAAGTTATGTTTATAAATTTAATTGAGATAAGCACATTGCTCTCAAAAGAAGTAAACCCATTTACGTTTCTACCAAGCTGATATATTCACATCCTACAAGTATTTATTGCATGATATGTATTAGGTACTATTTCAGATGCTAGGGAAATGTCAGCTATCAAAACAGTCAAAAATTTCTTCCTCCTAGGGACGGTGTTATAATGGGGAGACAGACAATGAGTAAATACTTAAAAAATGTATACTATCAGATAGTGATAAGTGCTATGGAAAAGAATAAAGTAAGGGAAAACCGGTATAGAGAGGGCTAGTTGGGGTTGTAATTTTAAATCAGCTTGGTGGGGAAAGGTCTCACTGAATGCCATTTGAAAAAAGATCTGAAGAGTGCGAGAGTGGGCGTGCAGCATTGGGTGGAAGATCATTAGCCAGAAGGAACAAAAGTGTTAAAAGCCCTAAGTCAGGAGAAGCTTGCTGTCCTGTTCAGAGAATAGTGATCAGGGCCGTGGGCTGGAAGAGAGAGGGCAAAAGGGAATAAGAGTAGCAGTGGTTAGGTAACAGGTCAAATCACAGGTTTCAACATTGATTCTGAGTGATTTGGGAGACCCAACAGAGGGCCAGCCTTCCTTCCTTTTCCTTTTCCTTTTTTTGAGACTGAGTCTTGCTCTGTCACCCAGGCTGGAGTACAGTGGTGCGATCTCGGCTCACTGCAACCTCCACTTTCCAGGTTCAAGCGATTCTCCTGCCTTAGCCTCCCAAGTAGCTGGGATTACAGGCACCTGCCACCACGCCGGCTAATTTTTGTATTTTTAGTAGAGTCGAGGTTTCACCATGTTGGCTAGGGCTTATATGTATATATATTTGCAGCATAGATATAATATACTGGCTTATTCCTAGGTTACCTCAAGAAGGATATACGTGACACGCGTAAACGTGACCACAACTGACTTTGGGAGGCCAAGGCAGGTGTATCACTTGAGGCCAGGAGTTCGAGACCAGCCTGACCAACATGGAGAAACCCTGTCTCTACTAAAAATACAAAAGTTCTTCTTTTTTTTGAGACATAGTTTCACTCTGTTGTCCAGGTTGGAGTGCGGTGGTGCCATCGTGGCTCACCGCAGCCTCTGCCTCCCGGGTTCAAGTGATTCTCCTGCCTCAGCCTCCTGAGTAGCTGGGACTACAGGTGCCCACCACCACACCCGGCTAATTTTTGTATTTTTTTGGTAACCAGTTTTCACCATGTTGGCCAGGCTGGTCTTAAACTCCTGACCTCAAGTGATCTGCCCGCCTCAGCCTCTCAAAGTGCTAGGATTACAGGCGGGAGCCACTACACCTGGACTCATTCTTAAGTTATAATTAACTATAATATCAATTCTTATTTTGGCATCTCCAGAGTTTCTGTCTTGCCTTACACAACTTTACCTGTTTATGGGACAGACAGCTGTCTAATTTCATTCTCATTGTGTCAGAATGCTACCCAAATTAAAATTTTCATCCTATTATTTTCAGATCCAGAGATTACCTCAGACCAGTTTCATGTTATTTCTGGATTATTTCTTTTCCCATGGTCTTTGTAATAGGATCAGTCAAGCCTTAAAAAGACACACTAAGCTCTCTTTAATAGAGAACAAAGGGCCAGGCACGGTGGCTCACATCTGTAGGCGAGGCGGCAGATCTCTTGAGCCTAGGAGTTCTAGACCAGCCTGGGCAGCGTGTTGAGACCCCGTATCTTTTTTATTTAAAAAAAAAAAGGCCAGACTCGGTGGTTCACCCCTGTAATCCCAACACTTTGGGAGGCCGAGGCAGGCAGATCACCTGAGGTCAAGAGTTTGAGACTGGCCTGGCCAACATGGTAAAACCCCGTTTCTATTAAAAATACAAAAACTAGCTGGGCGTGGTGATGCACACCTATCGTCCCAGCTACTCGGGAGGCTGAGGCAGGAGAATCGGTTGAACCTGGGAGGCGGAGGTTGCAGTGAGCTGAGACTGCACTCCGGCCTGGGCAACAGAGCGAGACTCCATCTCAAAAAAAAAAAAAAAAAACATACAAATTATGTGACTACAAATATGAACATATTTCTTTCTCTTTATAAAATTTTTGAATCTTGGCCTTTGATTATGAAATATTCTACTTATGTAGGTACTACTTATATAAACTTGAATTCAGTTTTCATTAAAATGTTTGTTACTTCTGCCTTTTTTCCTCTTCCCTCTGCTTGTCCATTACTTCATATTTTCCAGAGGAACTTACAAGTTCTCAGCAAATGATACCTTAAACATGGTTTTAGATTTTGCCGTCTATAGTCTGCATTATAATCCGGTTAAAAGGAAGGTCCATGTTTTATTTTTCTGATCAGTAGTTTGAGAACGCATGAGTTGCTGTTAAATAATCTATGAATTTTTTGTGTGGAAATACTGATCAGTTCTTTTTTCTTTTTTCTTTTTTTTTTTTTTCCCGAGACATAGTCTCCCTCTGTCACCCAGGCTGGAGTGCAGTGGTGCGATCTGGGCTCACTACAACCTCCACCTCCCGGTTTCAAGTGATTCTCCTGTCTCAGCCTCTTGAGTAGCTGGGATTATAGGAGCATGCCACCACATCCAGCTAATTTTTTGTATTTTTAGTAGAGACGAGGTTTCACCATGTTGGCCAGGCTTGTCTTAAACTCTTGGCCCCACAGTGCTGGGATTACAGGTGTGAGTCACCATGCCCAGCCATTCAATTATTTTTTCATATGAACATTTTTTAAATATAACAAATGCTGAAGGAATAGTTAAAGAATCTCTTATGTACCCCCCATGTGGATTGAATAATTAATATTTTGCCACGCTTTTGTATGTCCGTATCCATGTGTTTATTTTGTGTGCTGAGGCATCATGATGTTTTACTTCTAAAAAATTAAATATGTATTTTCTACCAAGAAAAGCAGCTCCTGGCCAGGCGTGGTGGCTCACGCCTGTAGTGCCAGCACTTGGGAGGCAGATACGGGCAGATCACCAGATGTCAGGAGTTCCAGACCAGCCTGGCCAACATAGTGAAATCCTGTCTCTACTAAAAATACAAAAATTAGGCGTGGTGATGCATGCCTGTAATCCCAGCTACTTGGGAGGTTGAGGCTTCAAGAATCACTTGAAGCCAGGAGGCCGAGGTTGCAGTGAGTCGAGATCGCACCACTGCACACCAGCCTGAAGGGGTGGGTTTCCCCTCCACAGCTGTGGGCGTTTCTCGTCAGGTGGAAGGACTGACTTGGAAAAGAAAGAGACACAGAAACAAAGTATAGAGAAAGAAAAATGGGCCCAGGGGACCGGCGTTAGGGAGGACCTGCATACGGAGGACCTCTCAAGAGGACCGGCCTCTTGAGTTCCCTTAGTATTTATTGATCATTATCGGGCGTTTCTCGGAGAGGGGGATGTGGCAGGACAATAGGGTAATAGTGGAGAGAAGGTCAGCAGGAAAACGTGAACAAATGTCTCTGCATCATAAACAAGGTAAAGAAAAAAGTGCTGTGCTTTTGATGTGCATATACATAAACATCTCAATGCCTTAAAGAGCAGTGTTGCTGCCAGCATGTCCCACCTCCAGCCCTAAGGCGGTTTTCCCCTATCTCAGTAGATGGAATATACAATCCAGCTTTACACGGAGACATTCCATTGCCCAGGGAAGAGCAGGAGACAGATGCCTTCCTCTTATCTCAACTGCAAAGAGGTCTTCCTTTTTTACTAATCCTCCTCAGCACAGACCCTTTACGGGTGTCGGACTGGGGGACGGTCAGGTCTTTCCCTTCCCGCGGGGCCATATTTCAGACTATCACATGGGGAGAAACCTTGGACAATACCTGGCTTTCCTAGGCAGAGGTCCCTGCGGCCTTCTGTAGTGTGTTGTGTCTCTGGGTACTTGAGATTAGGGAGTGGTGATGACTCTTAAGGAGCATGCTGCCTTCAAGCATTTGTTTAACAAAGCACATCCTGCACAGCCCTTAATCCATTTAACGCTGAGTTGACACAGCACATGTTTCAGTGAGCACAGGGTTGGGGGTAGGGTTACAGATTAACAGCATCTCAAGGCAGAATAATTTTTCTTAGTACAGAACAAAATGGAGTCTCTTATGTCTACTTCTTTCTACACAGACACAGTAACAGTCTGATCTCTCTTTCTTTTCCCCACACAGCCTGGGCGACAGAGCAAGACTGTCTCAAAAAAAAAGGGAGCTCTCCCATATAACAAAATACCGTTTCACACCTTAGAAGATTAACCATGTTGTCCTAATATTAGACTACCCAGTCTATGTTCACATTTTTCCAATTGTCCCCAGAATGCCTTCCATAGTTTTTTAAAATTACAGAATGTAATCAGGGTTCAAGCTTTGCATCTGGTTGCTCGCCACCACGCCCGGCTAATTTTTTGTATTTTTAGTAGAGATGGGGTTTCACTGTGTTAGCCAGGATGGTCTTGATCTCCTGACCTCGTGATCCGCCCACCTCGGCCTCCCAACGTGCTGGGATTACAGGCGTGAGCCACTGCGCCCGGCCAGCCAGCATCTTTTGTCTTCAGCTGCAGAATGGTGCTGCAGGTCTTACCATATATGTGGGTTTAATCTCTGATTTCCGTATAGCAGCTCATTCCTGTCATCTCATTTGCTGAATGCCCCTGAGCTCTGATTAAAATTCTGCAGGGGATAAACTTCCATTTCATATGAAGGTGTGTCCAGTCCTTTGTTCTCGTGACTGGACAGTGCATGTTCAACTGTTCCTTACACTTTTTTTTCAGCCACCATCCTTTATTCCTTTTGAATAAGGGAATTTGTACCATTTTCTCCTTATAATTTTAATGGGGTTTTGGGAGGAAGCACTTGTTGGTTGATCTATTCCTTTTCTTAGAAAGATGAGCATTATTTAGCCAGGTATGGTGGTGCACACCTGTAATCCCAGTTACTCAGGAGGCTGAGGCTAGAGAATTGCTTGAACCCAGGAGGCGGAGGCTGCAGTGAGCCGAGATCGCACCACTGCACTCCAGCCTGGATAACGAGCGAAATTCCGTCTCAAAAAAAAAAAAAGAAGAAAGAAAGATGAACATTATTTTTCTTCCTTAGCATCCCAGGTAGACTTTCTAATTTTCATCTTTTTCTTCTATTTGGCAATTCTTCATTATTTGTTATACAACTTGCTAAATTCTGAAATGGAAAGGTTATTTTTCAAGAGTACTTTCAGCTTTGTGGACCCATGAATGTTAATTTTCTACCTAGATCACCTCAAGTAGGGTTCCCTTCTCATAATTTAGTTGGAAGCATTAATAATATAGATTATTTTCATATTGGGAGATGGGCTACCAGAGTTAATCTCAAAAAATTTTATTGCTAGTAATGGGAAAATTAACAAATAAAAGTGATAGTAATATAAAGGTAAAATGAAGGGCTTACCATATGGCAGCCATGGTTCTGGGCACTTTATGAATTTAACTCCTTTGTGCTATGGTTCTTTGTACTCCATTTTAGAAGAAGCCTGAGAAGATGATGCACAGATAGAGAGGCACCAGGACTTGAGAGGCACCAGGACTTGGGAGGCATGTTGATCCATCTCCAGGAAAGACTGAGAAAAAGAGCGTTGAATATAAGAAAAAATACTTCCTCTGTTCTCAGATCGTATTTGTTTTAAGGCCACACCTTTTTGAAGTTTTCAGTTTGAAACACAACCTGGACTGAAATCATGAGGGAGGTTGTGTAGGAAAGAATCATCAAGGGACTTAGTTGGGAGCTTCTCTACCACAGCTTACTCCTTATGGTATTAACCCCCTTTAAGTGTAAATGTCTTTGGTTTAAAACGTTTGTACCTCATCTGTTACCAGAGTGTTCATACTGGAGAGAAACCCTATGAATTTACTGAATGTGGGGGAACTGTTACTCATATGTTGCATTTCGTCGAACGTGCAAGTCATGCTGAAGAGAAACCCTGTGCTTCTAAGGAGTATTGACAAGCCCTTAGCTAGATGACAATCTCATTGAGAAGCAGAAAATTCATGCTGGAGAGAAACTAGTGAAGGTAGCAATACTTCATTGAATATTAGAAAATTTTTCTAGAGAGAAAGCATTGAATATACTGAGTATGATAACATTTCCTCTCAAACCTTATCCCTTACTCTGCATTTGGGAGATCATACACAGAGAAGCCTTATAAATGTAAGAGATGTGGAAATATCTTCAGCCAAAAGTAAATCCTCACTCATCAAGAAATTTTTACTGGAGAGAAACCTTGTGAATGTGGGAAAGCTTCCATTCAGATGTCACACCTCAGCCAGCAGAGAATTTACAGTGGGGAAAACCCCTTTGCCTGTAAGGTATGTGGAAAAGTCTTCAGCCACAAATCAAACCTCACTGAGCATGAGCATTTTCACACGAGAGAGAAACCTTTTGAATGTAACGAGTGTGGAAAAGCCTTTAGCCAAAAGCAGTATGTCATTAAACATCAGAACACCCATACTGGCGAGAAGCTTTTCGAATGTAATGAATGTGGAAAATCATTTAGCCAGAAGGAAAACCTCCTTACGCACCAGAAAATTCACACTGGAGAAAAACCTTTTGAGTGTAAAGATTGCGGGAAAGCTTTCATTCAGAAGTCAAACCTCATCAGACACCAGAGAACTCACACAGGAGAGAAGCCCTTTGTATGTAAGGAGTGTGGAAAAACCTTCAGTGGCAAATCCAACCTTACTGAGCATGAGAAAATCCATATTGGAGAGAAGCCTTTTAAATGTAGTGAATGTGGAACAGCCTTTGGCCAGAAGAAGTACCTCATAAAACATCAGAACATTCACACTGGAGAGAAACCCTATGAATGTAACGAATGTGGAAAAGCCTTCTCTCAGCGAACATCACTTATTGTACATGTGAGGATTCATTCAGGTGATAAACCTTACGAATGCAATGTTTGTGGAAAAGCCTTCTCTCAGAGCTCATCTCTCACTGTGCATGTGAGAAGCCATACAGGGGAGAAGCCCTATGGTTGTAATGAATGTGGGAAAGCTTTCTCTCAGTTCTCAACCCTTGCTCTGCATTTGAGAATACACACAGGTAAGAAGCCTTATCAGTGCAGTGAATGTGGGAAAGCTTTCAGCCAGAAGTCACACCACATTAGACACCAGAAAATTCATACTCACTAAAAACCCCATGAAAGCCTTGAAAGTGGGAAAGCTTTCATTAGAAATTTGCACCTCATCATGCCCCAGAAATAATCCTTCTGAAGCAAAGCACCACGAATGAGGTTAACTTTAACAAGTACTAAAAACTTAAGGGACACCAGAAAATTTGTACTGAAGAGAAAGACATGCATATGATTAAAACCCTGTGTCCAACAGAGAAACCTGCAGCAGAGATAATGGTGAAAGTTTAGGCACATTTTCACTAAAAGTGGGAACAGAAAATGGAGGCCTGTTTTTTATTGCTACCACCATAGATCTGGAGATCTTCGCCAGTAACAAGAAAAATTAAGTTGTAAATATTGGAAAGGAACAGACAAAAATAGATGACATGGTCATCTACAACTAATATTAAGACTCCTGTGGTATTGATTGAGCAGAGCAGAAGAGATTTCAAAAAAAGACCTATGCATTTATTAGAATTTGGAATATGATACAAGTGGCATCAGGAAATGAGGAAATAATGGAACTATTTTTTTTAAGTGGAGGTAGTTTGTTCTCCAAGGGGGAAAAATAGACCATGAACTATACACAAAAGTGAATCCAGAGATTAAAAACAGAAATATGGAAAAGCTATGTACTAAAATGCATATGACCTTGGGAATAGGGAAACATTCCTTGGAACAATTTGAGAAATACTTAGCGGTTCTACTTATGAGTATGAATGCTCAGGAAATACGCACTAGGATATTTACTGTGGCTTGATTTGTAGTAGCCAAAAATTAGAAACAACTGAGAAAGCCCATCACGAACAATATGGGAAATTCTTATGTAATACTATATATCTGTAAAATGCAACAAATGAAATCCACATGTATTAACAGAAAGATCCCAGAATTGTTGAGGGGGGATCAAGTTGCAGAATGATACAGATAGTACAATGACTTTTTTGTAAATTTGAATTAAAAGTTTCCTCATAAAACTCAGTACTATCTATTGGTAATGGATGCATATATGTATGTACATGTTTTTGAAACGGATTGGAAGGATACAGACCAAACTCTTGATAGTGGTCACCTGTGAAGAGTGGAGAAGGGAAAATAATGAGTGTGGGAGGTGGGATGGGTATTGGTTAAAGGGGACTTCAGCTTTTTATATAAACATCCACTTCTCTTTCAAAAGACTTCAAGTAAATATAAGAAGATACTGATTGATTCTGGATTGTGGTATAGGGATATCTTGTCTTATTTTTTGTACTTTTCTGTATTTTTAAAATTTCTCAAAATAGGAATGGGAGTGAGGATGGGAATGCTGTATCTGTGGAAGTCATGTTATACTGGATTCATTTCCAATTAAATACTAAACATTTTATAGAAAATATTTCTAAAATTTTATCACGGATGAATGGATGGACTTGCTCTCTATGTAATATGAAATTAATCTATTTTATTAAAATTTAAAAGGACAGCACAATCCAAATCTGTTTTAATTATTTTAACATGGCATACACACTATATCGGGGTCCCCAGCTCCCCCCAGCTGCATGGCAGGAGGTGAGTGGCGGGTGAGCGAGCATTGCCACCTGAGCTCCACCTCCTGCCAGATCAGCGGTGGCATTAGTTCTCATAGGAGCGCGAACCCTATTGGGAACTGTGCATGTGAGGAATCCAGGTTGTGCGCTTCTTATGAGAATGTAACGCCTGATGATCTGAGGTGGAACAGTTTCATCCTGAAAACATCCCATCCCCATTCTTCTACCCCCACAAACCGTCCGTGGAAAAATTGTCTTCCATGAAACAGGTCCCTGGTACCAAAAAGGTTGGGGACCGCTGCACTATATGATCTCTGTCTTCGTATTTCTAACATTTTGCAGAATGAGCTTAGAAAACTTTAACTTTTTCTTTGTTCATACATGCACAGGCTTCATATAATTGGTCTTTTTCAGTTAGGCTGATTTTGGAATGTCAGTTTTCCTCTCCTGCATATTTCCATGGGAAACGTGTGCATTAAATATTAAATTTTTGATAATATCTTTTTTTTTTTTTTTCCCATCTTGCTCTGTTGCCCAGGCCAGAATACCATGGCAGGATCTTGGCTCACTGCAATCTCCTCTGCTTACTGGGCTCAAGCAGTCCTCCGACCTCAGCCTCCCAAGTAGCTGGGACTACAGGCACGCACCACTATGCTGTGCCAATTAAAAAAAAAAAATTGTAGCGATGGGGTCTCCGTATATTGCCCAGATTAGTCCCAAACTCCTGGGGTGAAGTGATTCTCCATGGCCTGTTCAAGTGCTGCCATTACATTACAGGTATGAGTCACCATGCCCAGCTAATTTTATTTTTAAAAAGAGAAAACAACTTCCCATAACTTCCACAGTTCAGTGCATTAGATACCAACACCTGCGTGTCTGTCTTAACCTGCGAGCTCTGTCACTCCTCCCACTGCTGTTACAGAGAGAGAATGGGACGGGTATGAGAAAAATGGCTCAGACCCTAGACAGAGTTCTATTTTGTAAACCAGCCCTTCATGAAAATTTTTTTATTCTTTGATCACATTATAATATAAAGAATATTATTAAAGGTTTTCTTGAATAATGGTGAATGTCAATAATATACAGCATTTGAGCTTGATTTTGAAACCTTAAAAAACTCATTAAATGGCACTGCATCACTGTATCTTTTAGCCTTTTTGGAGGAATTAGATACTTAAATGTCTAAATGAATCTGCCCTTTATATTATGATGTACCCCATCTTTTTCTCTGTTTTCCCTGTTTGCACATATATTTCACATTTAAAGGTGTTGTCTTTATGATACAGTTGGCCCTCTGTATCCATGGGCTCTGCATCCATTTATCAACGAACCCTGGATGGAAAGTGTTTAAAATATACAACAATTTTAAAAATACAAATGTTAATATACAACTATTTGGATAGCATTTACATTGTATTAGGTATTATGACTAATCTAGAGATGATTCTAGCTAGGCATGTGCCACACATCTGTAGTCCCAGCCACTTGGGAGGGTGAGCTGGGAGGATTGCTTGAGCCCAGGAGTTTGAGGCTGCAGTCAGCCGTGATTGCACCACTATATTGCAGCCTGGGTGACAGAGACCCTGTCGAAAACAAACAAAACCAGGAGGAAAAACACAGGGATGGAGACAGATCAGTGGGAAGAGAATTGAGAGTCCACAAATGCTATGGGTTGAATGTCCCACCCAAAACTCAATGTTGAAATTTAATTGCCATGGTAATGGCATGAAAGGTTGAGACCCTTAAAATGGCCATGAAGGGGCTGGTCGTGGTGGCTCACACCTGTAATCTCAGCACTCTGGGAGGCCGAGGCGGGTGGATCACCTGAGGTCACGAGTTCAATACCAGCCTGGCCAACATGGCAAAACCCCGTCTCTACTAAAATTACAAAAATTAGCCGGGTGTAGTGGCACACACCTGTAATCCCAGCTACTTGGGAGGCTGAGGCAGGAGAATTGCTCCAACCCAGGAGGCAGAGGTTTGCAGTGAGCCAGGATCGTGCTACTGCACTCCAGCCTGGGAGACAGAATGAGACTCTATCTCAAAAAAAAAAAAAAAGATGTCCATGAAGTCTCCACTTTCATGAGTAGGATTGGTGTCATGATAAAAGGGCAAGTTTTGTCCCCACTTGCTGTCTCTTGTCTTTCCTCCATGGGATGACATAACAAGAAGGCCCTTGCCAGATGTCAGTCTCTCAGTTGTGGACTTCCCAGCCTCCAGAACTGTGTACCAATATGTTCTTGTTCCTTATACGTTAACCAGACTCAGGTATTCTGTTATACCAACACAAATCAATTGATACACTGTGGGCAACTGATTTTCAACTAGAATGCCAAACTTATTTAATGGAGGAAAGAATAATTCCCTTAAAAAATGATGTCGGGGGCAGTGGCTCACGCCTGTAATCCCAGCACTTTGGGAGGCCAAGGCGGGCGGATCACAAGGTCAGGAGTTCGAGACCAGCCTGGCCAGCATGGCAAAACCCCGCCTCTACTAAAAATACAAAAATTAGCCAGATGTGGTAGCGGGGGCCAGTAATCCCAGCTACTTGGGAGGTTAAGGCAGGAGAATCGCTTGAACCCAGGAGGCAGAGGTTGCAGTGAGCCGAGATCGTGCCGTTGAACTCCGGCCTGGGTGACAAGAGCAAGACTCTGTATTAAAAAAAAAAAAAAAAAAAGTGTTGGGGCCGTGCGCAGTGGCTCACGCCTGTAATCCCAGCACTTTGTGAAGCGGAGGCGGGTGGATCACCTGAGGTCAGGAGTTCAAGATCAGCCTGGCCAACATGGTGAAACCCTGTCTACTAAAAATACAAAAAATTAGCTGGGCGTGGTAGTGGACACCTATCATCCCAGTACTTTGGGAGGCTGAGCTAGGAGAATCGCTTGAACCCAGGAGGTGGAGGTTGCAGTGAGCTGAGATTGTGCCACTGCACTCCAGCCTGGCAAGAAGAGTGTCAAAAAAAAAAAAAAAAAAAAAAGCTGGGACAATTGAGGTACAAAGATGAATTTGGACTCTTGCTTCACACCGTATACAAAACTTAACTCAAAAGTGTCCAAAGACCTAAACATAAGAGATAAACTCTTGGAGGAAAACATAGGAACATAGGAGTAAATCTTCATGACCTTAGATTTGGCAACGATTTTGTAAATATAATACCAAATATAATACCAAAGTATAAGCAGGAACAACAAAAGTAGATAAATTGGATTTTGTAAACATTTAAAACTTTGTGTATCAGACACTATCAAGAAACTGAAGTTCAACATGCAGAATGGGAGAAAATATTTAGAAATCATCTATCTGGGCCAGGCACGGTGGCTCACGCCTGTAATCCCAGCACTTTGGGAGGCCGAGGCGGGCGGATCACCTGAGATCAGGAGTTCAAGACCATCCTGGCCAACATGGTGAAACCTTGTCTCTACTAAACATAAAAATTAGCCAGATGTGATGGTGCATGCCTGTAGTCTCAGCTACTTGGGAGGCTGAGACAAGAGAATGACTGAACACGGGAGGTGGAGGTTGCAGTGAGGCGAGATCAAGCTATTGAACTCCAGCCTGGGTGGCAGAGCGAGACTCCATTTCAAAAAAAATAAAGAACAACCTATTAAAAATGGGCAAATTTCTGGGCACGGTGGCTCACACCTGTAATCCCATCACTTTAGAGGGCTGAGGTGGGTGGATCACGAGATCAAGAGCTCGAGACCAGCCTGGCCAACATGGTGAAACCCGTCTCTACTAAGAATACAAAAATTACCAGGCATGGTGGCACGTGCCTCTCATCCCAGCTACTTGGGAGGCTGAGGCAGGAGAATCACTTGAACCTGGGAGGCGGAGGTTGCAGTGAGCCAAGATCATGCCACTGCACCCCAGCCTGGGTGATAGAGCAAGACTCTGTCTCGAAAAAATAAATAAAATGAAAATTAAAATGGACAAATAAATAGAATCATTTTTTCCAAAAAAGATATACAGGTGTCCAGCAAGCACATGAAAAGATGTTCATAAATCATTGTGTAAGTCCAGTATCTGTTTCTTCTTGACATGGTCATCTGCTGATTTTCTTTTCCCCTGATAATTCATCACATTTTCCCAGTTCTTTGTATTTCAAATAATTTTAGATTGCACCCAGTGCATTTTAAGTATTATTTTCTAAGACTGTGTTCTGTTCAGATTATCTGAGAGTAAATGTTGGGTTTTTGGTTTTGGTCTTTTTGTTTGTTTGTTTTTGAGGCAGAATTTCGCTCTTGTCCCCCAGGCTGGAGGATAATGGGGTGATCTCAGCTCACTGCAACCTGTGCCTCCCGGGTTGAAGTGACTCTCCTGCCTCAGCCTCTTGAGTAGCTGGGATGACAGGCGCCCTCCACCACGCCCGGCTAATTTTTGTATTTTTAGTAGAGATGGAGTTTTGTCCTGTTGGCCAGGCTGGTCTCAAATTCCTGACTTCAGGTGATCCACCCACCTCGGCCTTCCAAAGTGTGGGGATTACAAGCGTGAGCCACTGTGCCAGGCCCAAACTGGATAATTTCAAATCCTCAGGGAAGGCAGACTTCCATTACTGGCCAAGATGGGATAAGCACATTTCAGCATCTCTCTCACTGATTTCTATTTAACACCCCAGAGTGAATACAAAAAGAAACCACCTGAAGATTCAGAAATACAAGTAATAGCAGGCAGATGTGAAGGGAGTTAAAAACGAGAAGAATGGACACGATGACCATATGTTTGCTGGGGGATTTTCCTCCTTTATCTTTTGGCTTTGGAAGGAGGGAAGTCTCAGAGCTGTGTGATGGGTTCAGGGAGCATAAATTATGAGAGAAATGCCTTCCTTCCAGCCAGAGGAGTCCAAAAGAGGACCTGGTGTGACAGAGTGAGAGAGGGGTTCTTTTTTTTAATTGAGACAGGGTCTTGCTATGTCACCCAGGCTGGGGGTGGGGGTGGCACGATCTTGGCTCAGTGCAGCCTTGACCCCTTGGGCTCAAGTGATTCTCCCACCTCAGCCTCCTGAGTAGCTGGGACTAGAGGCATGAGCCACCACACCCAGCTACTTTTTAAAATTTTGTAGAGACAGGGGTCTCACTCTGTTGCCCAGGCTGATTTCAAACTCCTGAACTCCAGGAATCCACCCTCCTTGGCCTCCCAAAGTGCTGGGATTACAGGTGTGAACCACCACACCCAGCCTTCCCTTTTTTCTGTTTTTCTTCTTTTCTCTACTGGCCTTGCACCAAGAACAGCCCCAGTCATTAGGCTGCTCTGCCACTGCCGTAGCTGTCAACCAAACCAAGAAAAAAGACCCATGGGATCCCATGTCTGTGTGTCTGAGTGGCTGGGGGCAGGGGGTGTCCTCTCTTTCTCTCTCTCTATTCTTGCCACCTCACCACAAAGTGGAGCTAGGTCTGGTCTTGTGAAAACGTGCCTGTTGGGGGCGCTGGGAGGGCAGCTGAAACTCTGACAGAAGGCCGGATGCGGTGGCTCACGCCTGTAATCCCGGGAGGCCGAGGCGAGCGAATCAGTTGTCAGAAGTTCAAGACCAGTGTGGTCAAAATGGTGAAACCCTTCTCTACTAAAAATACAAAAATTATCTGGGCGTGGTGGTGGGTACCTGTCATCCCAGCTACTCAGGAGACTGAAGTAGGAGAATTGCTTGAACCTGGAAGGTGGAGGTTGCAGTGAGCAAGATCGTGCACTCCGACCTGGGCAACAGAGCAAGACCCTAAAGAAAAAGTTTATTAATTTTTTTTTAAAAAGGAGGCTGGGCACGCTGGCTCACGCCTGTAATTTCAGCACTTTGGGAGGCCGAGGCCGGTGGATCACGAGGCCAAGAGATCGAGACCATCCTGGCAAACATGGTGAAACCCCGTCTCTACTAAAAATACAAAAATTAGCCGGGTGTGGTGGCATGCGCCTGTAATCCCAGCTACTCGAGAGGCTGAGGCAGGAGAATCGCTTGAACCCGGGAGGTGGAGGTTGCAGTGAGCCGAGATCGTGCCACTGCCCTCCAGCCTGGCGACAGAGCAAGACTACGTCTTAAAAAAAAAAAAAAAAAAGGAATTGTCGAATTCTACGCCTTAGATTAGAACGTGTCTTTTTCATCCACTGTGGTTGGTACTCGATAGGCTTGTATCTTGTTGACGGTCAGTTTTGGGACCTTTTCTCGTATTATGTGGTAATTTTCATTGTTGTGTTTTGTTTTCTTGAATCCCTACTGTTCAGTGGCTAGGCTAGAAACTGTTGGAAACTCTTAATTTATCATGTGACGTTTTATTTCTTTTGAGTTTAGGGATCCACAGCCTGAGACCCGGCGAGCCTCGCTGCCCTTGCGAGAGCCATGGATTCGCATTTGCGCAGAGTCGGGGTCTGTTGCTACGGGTCCCCTGGGCTCCTTTGAATCGCTTTGGCAGCTCCCTCGGTTTAGAGCTACAGGGTTTTCTCCCTCCCCTGAGACTCTAACGCGTGCACCAACTCGCGCCTAGAGGGCGTGTATGACCCCAGCTCAGTTCTAAGCCGAGGGGCTGCTGCCGGACATTCTAGGGTCTGATCTGGCGGGCTCGAAGGGAGGACAGTCACTGCGACCCGGAAAGCTCCGCGCTTACGACGCCCACCCAGAAAATCCGGATCACATTTCCCGTGGTCCACCGCGCATCTAGGAGGTTACCTGCGTCCAGGCGGTGACTTGCGAGGGACCACCTTTCCCAGGGTCCACGGCGCATTTAGGTGGTGGCTTGCTCTGGACTACATTTCCCAGGGTCCACCGCGGATCTAGGAGGAGGCTTGAGATGCAGCCTCCCAGCTTCGAGGCTACCACCTGCCCGAATTGGTGCTTTGGCAGAGTCTCTGGTGCCCGGGTGAATGGGTTCAGGGTCTCTTAAGGACCCTCCGTTGACGATGCCTCGAGCTATGACCCACCCTGGCTCCGTCCACGGTTGTCGGGGTCCCGGGCTGCTTTTCTTGGAGGGCTCGGTGCCGGAGGCTACTCTTGAGTCCCGGTTCCTTCGCCCAGCTGCGGGCCTCGGGCTACTGGATCCGCTGTCTCGGTTTGGGTGCGGGGCCTTGGCTCAGGCGGAACCCGACCGGGATCGCCCCGCGAGATGCAGTCGTTGAGGGAGTCAGGAGCCCGGGTCTGGGCGGGGACCCCAAGGCTGCTGGAGCCGGAGCTGGCGCGGGGGAGACGTGTGTGTGCGCGCGTGTGTCTCTCTGTGCGCGCGTCAGTGTGTGCACGCGTGTGTCTGTGTTTGCATCTCTGTGTGTGCACACGTGTGCCTGTGTGTGCGTCTCTGCACGTGTCTGTTTGCCTGTGGTGCACACGCGTGTCTGTGTGCGTCTCTGCGCGTGCCTGTTTGCCTGTGTGCACACGTGTGTCTGTGTGCGTCTCTGTGCGCACGTGTCTGCGTGCGCGTGTCTCTGCACAAGTGGGTGTGCGCGCACGTCTCCGTGTGTGCGTGTGTGTGTGTGTGGCGCTAGCCCTAGCCAGCTGTTTGACGTGCATGATTGTGACAGCAGCATGCATGATTGTGACAGCAGCATTAGGTGTGTGGCCACTTGTAACCACGTGAATGGCTTTTCTTGACTGTGTGTAACTCTTGCTTATGTTATTGACTGTATGTGAATAGTTACAGAGGGAGTGTCTGTATTGCCGAAGTAGTGAGAGCATGATGGTGTGTCATGAGCAGTTTTAGTGAAAGGTAGGAAGCAACCAGGGTGTTTTTCTTTCTACATTTACACACACCACTCACCAATGTGTGGAGTTTTTTTCTCCCACACTAAACAGTTCTTCAGCGGACACCAACTGGGTGTGCTACAGTTCAGTGCAATTCCAACTGTACCTGGAGATAGCAGCAGAACCCATCGGTTAAGGGCTTAGTCCCAAAATACTGCCCCCGCTTCAGATGCCAATTGCAGGTCCCAGGATGTGACCTGTGCTTCTGACCTACTGGCTATAAATCAAGGTTGCCATGACCCCTCAAGTTTGAGTATTTTGCTAGAGTGGTTCACAGAACTCTGAGAAACACTTTATTTATGTTTACCCATTTATTATAAAGGATATTGACAAGGATACAGATTAACAGCCAGAAGGAAGAGATGCATAGGGCAAGATATGGGGGAGGGGTGCAGAGCTTCCATGCCGTCTCTGGCTGCACCACCCTCCAGGAACCTTTACGTGTTCAATAATCCAGGAGCCCTCCAAACCCCTTAGTTTAGCAGTTTAGTTTAGTTTAGTAGTTTAGTTTTAGTTTAGTTTAGTTTAGTTTAGTTTAGTAGTTTAGTTTTAGTTTAGTTTAGTTTAGTTTAGTTTATCCCAGTGTAGGGGTGGGTTGCCCCTACACACCTGTGGGTGTTTCTCAAAGAGGGGGATGTGTCAGGGTCACAAGACAATTGTGGGGAGAGGGTCAGCAGACAAACACGTGAACAAAGGTCTTTGCATCATAGACAATGTAAAGGATTAAGTGCTGTGCTTTTAGATATGCATACACATAAACATCTCAATGCTTTACAAAGCAGTATTGCTGCCCGCAGGTCCCACCTCCAGCCCTAAGGCGGTTTTTCCCTATCTCAGTAGATGGAGCATACAATCGGGTTTTATACCGAGACATTCCATTGCCCAGGGACGGGCAGGAGACAGATGCCTTCCTCTTGTCTCAACTGCAAGAGGCATTCCTTCCTCTTTTACTAATCCTCCTCAGCACAGACCCTTTACGGGTGTCGGGCTGGGGGACGGTCAGGTCTTTCCCTTCCCACGAGGCCATATTTCAGACTATCACATGGGGAGAAACCTTGGACAATACCTGGCTTTCCTAGGCAGAGGTCCCTGCGGCCTTCCACAGTTTTTGTGTCCCTGGGTACTTGAGATTAGGGAGTGGTGATGACTCTTAAGGAGCATGCTGCCTTCAAGCATCTGTTTAACAAAGCACATCTTGCACCGCCCTTAATCCATTTAACTCTGAGTTGACACAGCACATGTTTCAGAGAGCACAGGGTTGGGGGTAAGGTCACAGAATCTCAAGGCAGAAGAATTTTTCTTAGTACATAACAAAATGGAGTCTCCTATGTCTACTTCTTTCTACACAGACACAGTAACAATCTGATCTCTCTTGCTTTTCCCCACACCCAGCTACTTGGGAGGCTGAGGCAGGAGAATCTCTTGAACCTAGGAGGCAGAGGTTGCAGTGAGCCGAGATCTTCCCACTGCACTTTAGCCTGGGTAACAGGGCGATGCTCAGTCTGAAAAAAAAAGATAAAGCAAAGAAAAAAGAAATTTACAGTTTATGAGCGAAAACAACATGGCTATAATTTCCGCAATGTAGACATTTCCAGGGTGTAATAAGATAGTTGGTTGAAAGCTGGGGATAAGGATATAGAAGATGTTTTGTGTCTACCTTGAGGAGGAAGAGGTGGGACATGACTGATTAGGGATAAAGGAGAGTAGAGTGCAGAGTCTTGGGAGACAGGACCTGGCTGTCCAGGCAAGTGTGGTGTGGGCGATGTTAATGACTTTCATGGGATGGACAGATGCCAAATTAAAGCAGCATATGCTAAAGGGTTGTTTTTTTTTTTTGAATAATGAGGGCAAACAGTGACATTTTGCAAAGATAAAATTCTCCCTTTTCCTAGACGAGGTCTCTCCTACTCTCACACCACTCAACACTCAATAAAGAACATTTCTGACACCAGATGTGTGGGTTTTTTCTCCACACACCAAGCAGTTCCCCATTAGACACCAACTGTAGGACTACAGTTCAGTTCAGTTCTGACACCACCTACCTGGAGATAGCGTCAGATCCCACAGGCTAAGGGACCAGTCCCACAAGATCCTTCCACTTCAGATGTCCATCTCAAGAGCCAGGTGGTGACCTGTACTTCTGACCAGCTATAAATTTGGGGTTTCCACATCCTCTCCTCAGGTGTGATTAATCTTCTAGGATGGCTCACAGATCTCAGGGAAACCATTTACTTAACATTAGTCCATTTAGTATAAAGGATATTACAGCTGGGCATGGTGTTGCCCGTCTGTAATCCCAGCACTTTCGGAGGCTGAGGTGGGCAGATCACTTGAGCCCAGGAGTTTGAGACCAGCCTCGGCAACATAGCAAAACCCTGTCTTTATTAAAATACAAAACTTAGCTTGGTGTGGTGGTGCACGCCTGTAGTCCTAGTACTAGGGAGACCAAGGTGGGAGGATTGAGCCTAGGAGGTTGAGGTTGTGGTCAGCCCAGATCTCACCATTGCACTCCAGCCTGGGCAACAGAGCGAGACCCTGTCTCAAAAAAAATTTTATTTATTTATTTATTTTAATAAAAAGGGCCGGACGCAGTGACTCACGCCTGTAATCCCAGCACTTTGGGAGGCTGAGGTGGGTGGATCACCTGAGGTGAGGAGTTTGAGACCAGCCTGCTCTCTACTAAAAATGCAAAAGTTAGCCGGGCATGGTGGTGGGCGCCTGTATTCCCAGGTACTCAGGAGGCTGAGGCAGGAGAATCGCTTGAACCCGGGAGGCAGAGGTTGCAGTGAGCCGAGATCGTGCCACTGCACTCCAACCCAGACAACAGAGAGAGAGTGTGTCTCAAAAAATAAAAAAATGAAAATAAATAAAAAGGATATTACAAAGGTTTTCGATGAAGAGGTACCTAGGGCAACATATGTGGGAAGTGGCATTGGGCTTCAATGCCCTCACCCCAGCACATCATCCTCCAGGAATCCCCACGTGTTCAGCAATCTGGAAGCTCTCTGAACCCAATCCTTTTGGGTTTTCATGGAGGCTTCATTACATAGGCATGATTGATAACATCATTGGCCATTGTCAGTCAACTCAACCTTCAGCTGCTGTCCCCTCCCCAGAGGTCAAGGGGTGGGGCTGAAAGTTCCAACCCTCATATCACATTCTGAGGCCATCCAGGAGCCCACCAAGAAGTCACCTCATTAGAACATACTATGCTCCTATCAGCCAGGAAATCCCAAGGGATTTGAGAACTCTGTGTCAGGAACTAGGGTCAAAGACCAGATATTAGAACAAATGATCCTCCTAGTACCCAAGGGTTTTAAGGAGCTCTAGACCAGGAGCTAGGGACAGAGACCAATATATGTGTATTTCTTTTTATTTTATATTCCCAGCTCCCCAAGGTTATCCATTTTAAAAGTCTAGTAAGTTTCCTTTACCTCTCTCCTTGCTCAAACATGCACATACATATATTGAGTGACTTTTATTCCCTTTTGCCTTTACTAGAATTATATGTAATTTTTTTTTTTAGCTTGTGTTTCTAGGGAAGACCTTATGGATGTCCTTCCAAATTAGTGCTTACTGATTTGCTGATTTGAGTAGTACTTGGAAGGACGTAATTTTTTTTTAATTCAAGCTTTTTATTATGGATACTTTCAACATTATATATGCAGAGAGCCTAGTACAGTGAATCCACCTTTGACAATTAACACATGGCGAGTTTTGCTTCATCTCTATTTCCACTTGATTATTTTAAAGAAAATTCCAGGCATTTCATCTATAAATATTTCAGTATGAAATATAGTTCTTTTAAGAACTTTTCTTAAAAGACAATTTTCGTATCATCATCTTAAGAAAATGAACAATTCCTGGCCAGGTGCCATGGCTCATGCCTGTAATTCCAGCACTTTGGGAGGCCAAAGCAGGAGGATCACTTGAGTCCAAGAGTTAGAGACCAGCATGAGCAACATGGCAAAACCTCGTCTCTACAAAAAAATACAAAAAATTAGCCTGGCATGGTGGTGCGCACCTGTAGTCCCAGCTACTTGGGAGGCTGAGGTGAGAGCATCACCTGAACCTGGGAATTTGAGGCTGCAGTGAGCCATGATTTCACCACTACATTTCAGCCTGGGTGACAGAGCAAGATCCCTGTCTCAAAAAAAAAAAAAAAAAAAAAGAAAAAGAAAAAAGAAAAAAAAGAAAAAAGACCAATTTCTTAAAATTACATAATCAGTTGCAGTTGATTTGTTCAAATTAGAATTAGTTTAGAGTTTAAACAAGATCTACACGTTGAGCTTAGAGGATAAAGCTCTTATATATCTTTTTTTTTTTTTTTTTTTTTTTTTTTTTTTGAGACAGAGTCTCTCTCTGTTGCCCAGGCTGGAGTGCAATGACACGATCTGGGCTCATTGCAACCTTCACCTCCCGGATTCAAGCAATTCTTCCCCCTCAGCCTCCCGAGTAGCTGGGATTACAGGTGTATGCCACCAGGCCTGACTAATTTTTGTATTTTTGTATTTTTTTTGTTTTTGTTTTTGAGACAGAGTCTTGTTCTGTCACCCAGGCTGGAGTGCAGTGGCGCGATATCGGCTCACTGCAACCTCTTTCTCCTGGGTTTAAGCGATTCTCTTGTCTCGGCCTTTCAAGTAGCTGGGACTACAGGCATGCACTATCATGCCCAGCTATTTTTTGTATATTCAGTAGAGGCAGGGTTTCACCTTGTTAGCCAGGCTGGTCTCAACTCCTGACCTCAAGTGATTTGCCAATCTTGGCCTCTCAAAGTTTTGTATTTTTGAAGAGACGGGGTTTCATCATGTTGGCCAGGCTGGTCTTGAACTTCTGACCACAGATGATCTGTCTGCCTCAGCCTCCAAAGTGTTGGGATTACGGGCATGAGCCACCACACCCAGCTGTCTCTTATATATCTTTTAATCTATTGACTTCCCTTTTTTCTTGCTATTTATGTTTTGGAGAAATCAAACACTAGATCATATAGAGTTTCCACATACTGCCTTTGAGTACACCCCCATGGTACTGATTAACAAATTAGATGCTCTGTATTTTCTCTAAAATATCTGGTAATTAACTAGAGCAGTGGTTCTCAACCAGTTGTGTTTTTTGTTTCTTTGTTTGCTTGTTTGTTTTCTCTAGAAGACATTTGGCAATGTTTGGAGATATTTTTGGTTGTCACAACTGGAAGGAAGGATGGTATTGCTGGCACCTATTGGCTAGAGGCCAGGGTGCTGCTAAACATCCTATACTGTACAGGACAGCCTCCTCCCATCCCAAAGAATTATCTGGTCCAAAGTGAAAATAGTGTCAGAGTTGAGAAACTGTGCTCTAGAGACTTGATCAAATTCAAGTTCAGTTATTTTGGCAAGATCTGCTTGTCACTATTTTGTGATCAGATTTGTTAGTGGGCTTAAGTGTCATCAATGTGATTTATCCATTGTAAAGTGATTGCCTTTTGCATAATGTCATGCATTCACTGATGATCAATGCCTAGATTCATTATGTTGTTAGGAGTTGCAAACTGATCACTTTCTTATTGTGTCTCTCTTTCAGCCATTACTGGAATCCTTTTATTTCCATTACTGGAATTTCCATTACTAGAATCCTTTTATAAAAATAAAATCTGCCCACATCAACAATCTGATTACTCAGAGGGATAGCATGTGTAGGAAAGGGAGGATAAATGCTTGATTCTTTCCATTCATATTCATTAGTTTTCAGAATTACGAATTTCAGAATACTGCATTGGTTTCCTAGTTTCCAAAGGTGATTGCAGCAGATTGTATTTTCCAAAGATGGTTGCAATAATAGGCTTGTTCCATATGTTATTCTAGAATCTTGCCATTCCCACTTTAAGAGGTGGAGTCTAACTCCTCTGCCTTTGAATCTGGATTGGTTTATTGTTTATAACCAATGCTGTGTGACTCCCAGGGCTCAGTTTAAGAGGCACTGTGGCCTTCACCTCATTAGCTGAAACTCCAGTGTTTGAAATCTTGAGCCATTATCTAAGAAGGTCCAAGTGCTCTGAGCCGCCATGCTATGAGGAAGCCAAGTCACATGGGGAGGCTACTAGTCCAAGTCTTTGAGTCCTCCCACCCCAGGTACCAGACATGTGTGCAAAGCAGGCTTCATAGGTTTGCAGCCCTCAGGTATCAGGTTATTCCCAGCCTTTGAATCCTCCTGGTTGAGGCCACAGACATCAGGAGCAGGGGCAAACTATCTGCTCTGTGAGCTGTCTGAATTCCTAACCCACAGAATCAGTGAGCACAGTAAAATCATTGTATTATACTACTGAGTTTGGAGTGGTGTATTATACAGCATCAGTAACTGGTGAACAATGACTGATATACCCACACTTGTTTATGTCATATTACACACACACACACACACACACACACACACTTTTTTTTCTTTAGAGGTGGGGTCTTGCTGTGTTGTGCAGGCTGGTCTTGAACTCCTGAACTCAAGTGATCCTCCTATCTCAGCCTCCCAAAGTGCTGGGATTACAGATGTGAGCCACTGCACCTGGCCTATACTGACATATTTTATTTTACTTAAAAAATTTTTGGCTGGGCGCGGTGGCTCACGCCTGTAATCCCAGCACTTTGGAAGGCTGAGGTGGGTGGATCATGAGGTCAAGAGATCATCCTGGCCAACATGGTGAAACCTCATCTCTACTAAAAATACAAAAATTAGCTGGGTGTGGTGGTACACGCCTGTATTCCCAGCTACTTGGGAGGCTGAGTCAGGAGAATCGCTTGAACGCAAGAGTCGGAGGTTGCAGTGAGCTGATATGGCAGCATTGCACTCCAGCCTGGCAACAGAATGAGACTCTGTCTCAAAATAATAATAATAATAATATGAGCAAGAACAACTGCACCTAACAAATAAAAACTGATGGTAATACATAAGGTTACACAAATATTCAAAGACATATCATGATTCGAAAACCACATTAACTGTTCTCTTGGCTATCCCATACCAAGTGGAGCCAAAGGCTCTGCACAGGTTTCCAAACCCGAATCATAGCCATGATAGCAACTGTGGTCCTCTCCCTCCTGGTTACCTGCTCACCTGAAGCAGGTAAGAGCCTGCTTGGCTTCCTAGAGAGGCACTTCTGAGGCAGGAGAATAGGAAATTAGTATAACCAAGCCAGGCGCAGTGGCTCACGCCTGTAATCCCAACACTTTCAGAGTCCGAGGCAGGCAGATCATGAGGTCAGGAGTTCCAGACTATCCTGGCTAACAGGGTAAAACCCCGTCTCAACTAAAAATACAAAAAATAAGCCAGGCATGGTGGCAGGCGCCTGTAGTCCCAGCTACTCAGGAGGCTGAGGCAGGAGAATGGCGTGAACCCAGGAGGTGGAGCTTGCAGTGAGCTGAGATTCCGCCACTGCACTCCAGCCTGGGCGACAGAGCGAGACTCCGTCTCAAAACAAAAAGGAAAAGAAAATTAGCATAACCAAGGGTTAAGGTGGAAGCAAAAGAACAGCAGGTGCAGCAAGTTCTAGGCCAGGTTAAGCAGCACACAGGCCACATCCTCACTCCTGTGATGACAACACAGAAGTCTCCAGTTCAGCCTCTGGCCACGGGCCAATCCTTCATAGGGTGTAACCAATTGAAGACCTCGAAAAGGCACTTATGGGTGTTATCAAATTCTTTAGCTTAATAACTCTAAAGAACATTGTAATCTGGGCTCCTGAGCCGCTTGCTCTAGCCCACTCTGGCTCTGTAGAGTGGACTTTTGCTTCAATAAATCTGCAGTTTCGTTGCTTCTTTCTTCTTTCGTGGCTTTGATCTTTTGTTGCTTCGTGTAGTTTGTTTAATTCTTTCTTCAGTGAGCCAGAAACATGGACAACTTGCAGTCAAGACCTTCCATCCAGTAAAACTTCTACATTCTAGAAGTCTCAGTATTGCCAAGAGATGTCAAGGCATCAAGGGGTCAAGGTTAAGGCCTAAGATTAAGGCTCAATGTTATACGTGCCCTGACACTGGGGGAAAACAAGGAGGGCTGAATGGATTAACTGCAAATTCCCTGCCCCAATGTACTCCTTTGAATAAGGTGCCCTAGCCCAAGCACTTCCTTCAGAGGCCAGGCACAGTACCTGCTTACTGCGTAGTAGTGGGCGTCAGGTTCCAGCCAGCCTGCAGAATTATTCAAACAGGCCATTCACACCCTCCTTCAAGAACCAGGGGTTACCTCCCATACTCTTGGTACTACAAAGCCTCCTGGAATAGCCTCCACCTGATTACTGTGTTCCTGAGTGCAACACACTGTACCCCACATGGTGTGCTGGGCTCTCCTTCCCTGGGGCGAAAGTATGGGTAATTAGCAAACCAATGTTCATCTCATCTATCCAGTGTTAGCTACCATGTGCTTAGCAATAATCTGCACTTCCTTTCTAATTCTTGAGAGACATCCGGGTCCTCTGCTCCTGGGTGGAGGATTTTAGAAAAAAGGTCACTCAGAATGGGCAGGTGACTTGAACGCCTGCGGGTCCGACACAGCACCAAACCTCGCCAAGGCCTTCAGAAACCAAAAGTGCAACTGCCAGGAAAATGACTGCCCGTTCCAGTCACAGGACCGGCTACACGACCCAGGCAGAGACCGAGAAAGAGGCTCACCAAAAAGGCCAACATGCAAGAAACTGCCCTCCAGAGAACAGGGGACGTTTGTCCAAAGACATACATGCACACTCCCATTCACACACACAGCCCCAGCAATTTTTTTCAGGGGCTGCAGCCTGATCCAGAGCAGAGCGCAGTCAGCCTTGGCAAGGCGCATACACAAATCGCGAGCGGATGCTCACGTCACAGAGACCGCCACCGTTGCCTGGAGATGAGTTCTTCACTCTCTGCGAAGGAGGAGCCTTCTGTAGCAGCGCATCGGCTCGGGGCTAAGTCTAGTCCTCACTGGGGCGTCGACGGGATGGTATCCGGAGGCCAGGATTCGCGGAGGTTCGACCAGGAGGAAGAAACCTCAGGCGGAGCGTCTGGGAAGCAGCGCAGTATCCCAGGCTCAGGCCTGCGTGGACGGTGTGCCGGTGAGTCTCCCCAAAAGTCGTGCCCTTGCGATCTCCAGGACAGGTCTGCTTGTATGCCCAAGGGCTGCTCTCTCACCCCAGGGTCGTTGTCGCTCAGAGCAGAACCCAGAGGCTTCAGGGGCTGCCTGGAGATGAATGTTACTGTGCCACTGCAGTATGTCTGGGTTGTGTCTCTTTCTCTTATTTCTGTTTTCATTCTCCGTCTATCACTCTCTACCAGTTTCCGTCCGTGTGTGCGCGGGTGCGTGCGTGTGTTGGGATGCATGGGCAATGAAGGGCGGTTTCTTGTACCTTGGCCTTTCTTCTGGTGAGTCTCTCCTCGCATCTCTGTCTGGGTCATGTGGCCGGGTGTCATTCGTTTTCCAGGCGGTTACAGTTTGGGTTCGTGACCGGTGGGCAACGTGGGGAGCTACATGAGACACGGCGGGGATTAAATCAGCTCCCAATCATGAGCGGCCTCATTGCTAGAATCAAGACAACTACACCCCAGCAAAGGAAAAAATTCTCACAAAAGCTCATCATAAACCTGCTTATGCAGGTCGAGGTGCCCATCGACCTCACTCCTCTCAATCCTCTCGCGTGTGCCCTCACTGAGAAATCTAGCCACAGCTCGATACAGGGACGGAAAAGGAAGCCGGCAACGGGATGGGGCAAACATCTCTGTGGCTCCAACGCTGGCCTTCGTGGCCAAGTCACCCGTTTGGCACTCCTCCCCGGATGGCCGTGGTGGTGGCATTGCCGCCAATCCTGCCTGGGCTCTGGCCTCTGCTCTGTCCTCCCTCTTGCTCTGTCTGCCCTGTTTCTGAGAGGCCTAGGGGCTTGTTAGTCTGGCTCAATGTCTTCAACCCAGAAGACTTCCCAGTCCATCCGGGAGAAAGTTCCTGGGGGTCGGTGTCATGATTGTTTCCTTCTCCAAACCTCTTTCAGCATGATTGGGCAGGTGTGGTGATCCTGGAGCTCTGGGCTTTCATAGCTGTCTGGGACAGGGAAGCTTTCTGGGTCTCTGTGGCCCCGTGGTCGGTCCAGGAAGAGCGGGAGGCAACCCGACCGTTCCTGACATTTGCCTTCTAGGAAAGGCGGTGTGGCATGCCACCTGCACTTCCTCTCTGATTCTTGAGGGCCATCGGGTTCCTCTGCTCCTGGGGAAAGAGACTTCTAGCACTGAATCTTCTGGCTGCCACGGATGTCAGGGAGCCAAAGGGACTGGGTTTTGCTGGGTGCAGGGGAGGTCGCGTCGGGGGTACCTACCCGGTCGCGGGGTGGGGGTGGGGTGTAGTTTGTGGAAAGCTCTCGGCCCCTCTGGCAGGCATCTCTGAATGTGGCTTGGATTCGGGCGCAGGCCCTGTCTCGCAGGTTTTCAGGTGCGCTTGGCTTTTCCTCAGCTTTGTTGCGGAGGTCTCCCGTGGCCCCCGGGCGCACGGCTGGACACCACTGTCCGTCTCGCCATCGCCCCCTACGGCCTCAAAGACACCTGCTCACTCCATCTGCTTTTGGGGACGTCGGTGCCACGTGTGGTCACACTGGCTCCATCTCGGACTCGCCTATGTCTGTCTTTGCACGTGTCGCGGGAAGCAGTGTCGGTATGCCGGAGCCCCCGGGCCTTGGAGATGAAGGCAGGCCACTGCTCCACCCAGGAAGGAGGGAGGCAGTGGGCTCGTGTGTCAGTTCATTTTCCGCCGACAGCACGCCTTGGGGCTCTGGGGATCTTTCTGTGCCCCAGCGAGACCCTTCCCGCCTCACTGCATTGCAACCCCATTCTCGATCACCCGGTGGGATCCATCCTCGGAGCCGAAGAGGAGTCTGCACAGCCCAGCCGGCACCCTGAAGCTCCTCCTCCACTGGGAACGAAGCAGAAGACCGATCAAGGAGGTCCTGACGGCAGGACCCCTACGGGTCCGACCCTGGGTCTCCCGCAGGCCCCTCTGGCAATCCTCTTCCCACCCGCCGCCTCGGGCTGCGCTGCCTTCGCCGCCGCAAGCGCCGCCACCGCCGCCCCGGTCCCCGCAACCTGCCGCGTCGCCGCCATTTTTTAAAGGGTCCGCAGCCTGACTCTCTGGGGCGAGGGGCGAGTCGGCCTCTCCAGTGCGCATGCGCGAGGCCGGAGCCGCCGCTTTGGTCACAGGGATCACCACCGTTGCCCCGGGGTGAGTCCCTGAGACTGGGCCAAGTAGGAACCCTCTGTGACCGAGCGTCAGAGTCGGGGCTGAGATCAGTCCTGGCCAGGGCATTAACAGGATGGTCTCGGAGGCCGGGATTCGCGGAGGGTCGACCAGCAGGGAGAAGCCTCAGGAGGAAGAAACCTCAGACGGATCGCCGGGGAGGCAGCGCGGGATCCCAGCCTCAGGTGTGTGCGGACGGTGTGCCCGTGAGTCTCCCCAAAAGTGGTGCCCTTGTGATGTCGAGGACAGGTCTGCCCGTGTGCCCGTGGGCTGCTCTCTCACCGGTGGGTCGTAGTCGCGGAGAGCAGAACCCAGCAGCTTCAGGGGCTGCCTGGGGCTGGGTGTTACCTGCTGTATGTGTGTCTGCGTTTGGGGTGTGTGTGTGTGTGTCTGTGTGTGTCTGTGTGCCCACTTATGTCTCTCTCTGATATCTCTCTCTCTCCCTTCTCGCTCTTTCCATCGCTCTCTTTTACTATCTCTGTCCATCTGTGCCTGCGTGTTTGCTGGGACACAGGTGCCCTTTGCACCAGAGGGTGGTTTCTCCCACGTCAGCCTTTCCTGTGGTCAGCCTCTCCCCGGGTCTCTACCTGGGTTGTGTGGCCCGTTGGCAGACGTTTTCCCGGCGGTTCCAGTTTGGGTTTGTGAAGGCCTGGGCAACATGGGCACCTGCGTCGGACCCGCAGGGATTTTCATCCCCTCCCTATCCTGAGCAGCCTCTTTGCTGGGATCAAGACGACCACACCCCAGCCAAGGACAAAGTCCTCAGAGGGGCTCATTGTCCACCCGCAGGAGGGTGCCCACAGATCTTGAAGAAGACGCTTCTCACTCCTCTTGCCCTTTGCCCTCCTTGAGAAATGTAGCCACAGCTCGACACAGGGACGGAGAAGGAAGCCGGCAACGGGATGGGGCAAGCATCTCTGTGGCTCAAACGCTGGCCATCTTGGCCAAGTCACCCGTTTGGCACTCCTCCCCAGATGGCCGTGGTGGTGGCATTGCCGCCAATCCTGCTGGTCTCTGGCCTCTGCTCTGTCCTCCCTCTTGCTCTGCCTGCCCTGTTTCTGAGAAGCCTAGGGGCTTCTTAGTCTGGCTCAATGTCTTCAACCCAGAACTCTTCCCAGTCCATCCGGGAGAAAGTTCCTGGGGGTCGGTGTCATGACTGTTTCCTTCCCCAAACCTCTTTCAGCATAATTGGGCAGGTGTGGTGATCCTGGAGCTCTGGGCTTCCATAGCTGTCTGGGACAGGGAAGCTTTCTGGGTCTCTGTTGCCCCGTGGTCGGTCCAGGAAGAGCGGGAGGCAACCCGACCGTTCCTGACATTTGCCTTCTAGGAAAGGCGGTGTGGCATGCCACCTGCACTTCCTCTCTGATTCTTGAGGGCCATCGGGTTCCTCTGCTCCTGGGGAAAGAGGCTTCTAGCACTGAATCTTCTGGCTGCCACGGATGTCAGGAAGCCAAAGGGACTGGGTTTTGCTGGGTGCAAGGGTGGTGGGGTCGGGGGTACCTACCCGGTGGCGGGGTTGGGGTGGGGTGTAGTTCGTGGAAACCTCTCAGCCCCTCTGGCAGGCATCCCTGAATGTGGCTTGGATTCCTGCACAGGCCCTGTCTCGCAGGTTTTCAGGTGTGCTTGGCTTTTCCTCAGCTTTGTGGTGGAGGTCTCCAGTGGCCCCCCGGGCGCACGGCTGGACATCACTGTCCGTCTCACCCTCACCCCCTACGGCCTCAAAGACACCCGCTCACTCCATCTGCTCTTGGGGGACGTCGGTGCGCGTCCGTGTGAAGAGACCACCAAACAGGCTTTGTGTGAGCAACATGGCTGTTTATTTCACCTCGGTGCACGCCGGCTGAGTCCGAAAAGAGAGTCAATGAAGGGAGATGGATTATCATTAGTTCTTGTAGGTTTTGGGTTAGGCGGTGAAGTTAAGAGCCATGTTTTGCGGGCAGGGGTGGATCTCACAAAGTATATTCTCAAGGGTGGGAAGAATTTCAAAGAGCCTTCTTAAGGGTGGGGGATATTACGGAGTACATTGATCAGTTAGGGTGGGGCAGGAACAAATCACAATGATGGAATGTAATCACTTAAAGCTATTTTGACTTCTTTTGTGGATCTTCAGTTACTTCAGGCCATCTGGGTGTATACGTGCAAGTCACAGGAGATGCGATGGCTTGGCTTGGGCTCAGAGGCTGGACATTCCTGCCTTCTTATATTAATAAGAAAAATAAAATAGTGTTGAAGTATTGGGGCGGTGAAAATTTTTGGGGGGTGGTATGAAGAGAGAATGGGCGATGTTTCTCAGGGCTGCTTCAAGCGGGATTGGGGTGGCGTGGGAAGCTAGAGTGGGAGAGATTAAGCTGAAGGGAGATCTTGTGGAAAGGGGTGATATTGTGGGGATGTTAGAAGAAACATTTGTCATATAGAATTATTGGTGATGACCTGCATACGGTTTTGGATGGATTGAGAAACTAAATGGAAAAAGAGAAGGAGAAAAACAGGTATAAAAGGTCTAAGAATTGGGAGGACCTAGGACATCTGATTAGAGAGTGCCTAAGGAGATTCAGCATAGTCCTGCCAGCAAAGATTATTTATTTACTTCAAGAGTTTAGAGTGGCAGTTTGGGGATGGCACCAGGAGATATCAGCTGTGATGGCTTGGAGAAACAGTGTAAACTGGCAGTGTAAACAAGAACAGGGCATGTATGAGTAGTTGAGAACGGTGAATAGGAGTATGACTAGAGAGAAGATAGTAGGGATGGCAAGTTTTTTTGGGGCACAGTCTAAGTTGGTCTGGTGTCAAATGAGACTGGGGCCTAATAAAAAGGAGCGTCTATACAGGAGCTTAAATGCGCTGCACCTTGCAGCATTCTGACGACAGGTCTGACTTCTGAGAAGGGAAAGTGGTAAAAGTACTTTCCAGTCCTTTTTAAGTTGGTGGCTGAGCTTGGTGAGGTGTGTTTTTAAAAGACCTTTAGTCAGTTCTACTTTTCTTGAAGACAGAGGACCATAAGGGATATAAAAGTTTTACTGAATACTAAGAGCCTGAAAAACTGCTTGGCTGATTTGACTACTAAAGGCTGGTCTGTTACCAGACTGTATTGAGGTGGGAAGGCTAAACTGAGGAATTATGTCTGACAGAAGGGAAGAAATGACTGTGGTGGCCTTCTCAGACCCTGTAGGAAAGGCCTCTACTTATCTAGTGAAAGTGTCTACTTAGACTAAGAGGTATTTTAGTTATCTGACTTGGGGCATGTTGAGTAAAGCTAATTTGCCAGTCCTGGGTGGGGGCAAATCTTCAAGCTTGATGTGTAGGGAAAGGAGGGGGCCTGAATAATTCCTGAGGAGTAGTAGAATAGCAGATGGAACACTGAGAAGTTATTTCCTTGGGGATAGATTTCCACAATGGAAAGGAAACGAGAGGTTCTAAGAGGAGGGATAGTGGCTTGTACTATAGCATAGCCTGCCTTTGCTGGTGTGTGGCGATTAGGCCTGGTGGAACTGCCATCAATAAATCAAGTGTGATCAGGGTCAGGAACAGGAAAGAAGGAAATATGGGGAAATGGGATGAATGTCAGGTGGATGAGAGAGATAGTCATGGGGGTCAGGTGTGGTATCAGGAATAATGTGGGAGGCTGGATTGAAGTCTGTGCCAGGAACAATGGTAATTGTGGGACTTAACAAAGAGTGAGTACAGCTGAAGGAGTCAGGGAGCAGAAAGTATATGCATCAGGTATGAGGAAGAAAATAGATTTTGGAAGTTATGAGAAATGTAGAGAGTGAGTTGAGCATAGTTTGTGATTTTGAGGGCCTCTAAAAGTATTAAAGCAGTGGCAGCCGCTGCACACAGACATGAGGGCTAGGCTAAAACAGTAAGGTCAAGTTGTTTGGACAGAAAGGCTACAGGGTGCAGTCCTGGCTCTTGTGTAAGAATTCTGACACACAAACCATGCCTAGGAAGGAAAGGAGTTGTTGTTTTGTAAGGGATTGAGGTTTGGGGAGATTAACTGGACACGATCAGCAGAGAGAGCACGTGTGTTTTTCCGAGAATTATGCTGAGATAGGTAACAGATGAGGATGAAATTTGGGCTTGACTGAAGTAATGGGGTCTGTCTGTGAAGCCTTGCGGCAGTACAGCCCAGGTAATTTGCTGAGCCTGATGGGTGTCAGGGTAAGTCCAAGTGAAAGGGAAGAGAGGCTGGGATGACGGGTGCAAAGGAATAGGAAAGAAAGCATGTTTGAGATCCAGAACAGAATAATGGGTAGCAGAGGGAGGTACTGAGGACAGGAGAGTACATGGGTTTGGCACCATGGGGTGGATAGGCAAAACAATTTGGTTGATAAGGCGCAGATTCTGGACTAACTTGTAAGCCTTGTCTGGTTTTAGGACAGGTAAAATGGGGGAATTGTAAGGAGAGTTTATAGGCTTTAAAAGGCCATGCTGTAGCAGGTGAGTGATAACAGGCTTTAATCCTTTCAAAGCATGCTGTGGGATGGGATCTTGACATTGAGTGGGGTAAAAGGGTGATTAGGTTTTAATGAGATGGTAAGGGGTGCATGATCGGTCACCAAGGAGGGAGTAGGGGTATCTTATACTTGTGGGTTAAGGTGGGGGGATACAAGAGGAGGATGCAAAGGAGGCTTTGGATTGGGAAGAAGGGCGGCAATGAGATGCAGCTGTAGTCCAGGAATAGTCAGGGAAGCAGATAATTTTGTTAAAATATCTCGGCCTAATAAGGGAACTGGGCAGAGGGGGATAACTAAAAAAGAGTGCATAAAAGAATATTGTCTAAGTTGGCACCAGAGCTGGGGAGTTTTAAGAGGTTTAGAAGCCTGGCTGTCAATACCTACAACAGTTATGGAGGCAAGGGAAACAGGCCTTTGAAAAGAAAGTAATGTGGAGTGGGTAGCCTCCGTATTGATTAAGAAGGGGACGGACTTACCCTCCACTGTGAGAGTTACCAAAATCTCGGCGTCTGTGATGGTCTACGGGGCTTCCGAGGAGATCAGGCAGCATCAATCTTCAGCCGCTAAGCCAAGGAGTCAGTCAGAGAGCTTTGGGCCAGAGTTCCAGGGGCTCTGGGAGTGGCTGCCAGGTGAGTTGAACAGTCCGATTTCCAGTGGGTTCCTGCACAGATGGGACATGGCTTAGGAGGAATCCTGGACTGCAGGCATTCCTTGGCCTGGTGGTCAGATTTCTGGCACTTATAGCAAGCTCCTGGGGGAGGAGGTTCTGGAGGAACGCCTGGCGGCTGCGGTTCAAGCGTTTGGAAGTTCTTGTGTGCTGGAGATGTAGCTGGGGTTTGTCTCACAGTGGAGGCAAGGAATTGCAACTTTTTTTTTATTATTGTACACCTTGAAGGTGAGGTTAATTAAGTCCTGTTGTGGGGTTTGAGGGCCAGATTCCAATTTTTGGAGTTTTATTTAATGTCGGGAGCAGTTTGGGTAATAAAATGTATATTGAGAATAAGATGGCCTTTTGACCTTTTAGGGTTTAGGGCTGTAAAGCGTCTCAGGGTTGCTGCCGAACGAGCCATGAACTGGGCTGTGTTTTTATATTTGATGAAAAAGAGCCTAAACGCTTCTGATTTGGGATAAAGAGAAAGGAGTATTAACCTTGACTATGCCTTTGGCTCCAGCCACCTTTTAAACAGTAAATTGCTGGGCAGGTGGAGAGGGCTAGTAACAGAACGAAAGTGTAAGCTGGACCAGGTGTGAGGAGGGAAGGCGATAAAAAGATTACAGGATGGAGGAGCAGAGGCTGAGGAAGAATTAGGACCTAGCTCGGCCTGGCGAGGAGGGGAGAGGTCAGATGGGTCTGTAGAAAAGGAAGATTACAAAGACTCAGCGACACTTGGGGTTGGGACTGAGGGGACAGGTGGGAGGGAAAGAAAGAAGATTTGGGAGCAGTTGCACTGGGCACAGAGACTAGGAAGGGACTGATGTGTGAAAGAATGCCTGGACATCAGGCCTCCTCAGACCATTTGCCCATTCTATGACAAGAATTATTTAGATCTTGTAGGGTGGAAAGATTGAAAGTGCCATTTTTGGGCTATTTGGAACTACTGTGGAGTTTGTATTGGGGTCAGGCAGCATTGCAGAAGAAAATAAGACGCTTAGATTTTAGGTCAGGTGAGAGTTGCAGAGGTTTATAAGTTCTTAAGAATACAGGCTAAGGGAGAAAAAGGAGGAATGGAGGGTGGAAGGTTGCCCATAGTGAGGGAGGCAAGCCCAGAGCAAAGAGAGCATAGAGAGAGGGAGGGAAGGGGTTCAGGGGTTCTCACCCTCCAGAAAAGTGGGAAAGGGGTTGTAGCGTGGAAATAAGGGATTGGGGATTCTTGCCACCTAGAAAAGTGGGACTTGCTGCTAAGGGTGAAGGAGAAGGGGTTGAGGGGTACTTGCCCCTACCCCAGAAAAGCAGAGAAGGGGTAGAGACACAGAAGGGGTTGGGGTACTTGCCCGTCCCCTAGAAAAGTGGGACTTGCCACTAAGGGTGAAGGAGAAGGGGTTGAGGGGTTCTTGCTCCTGCCCCAGAAGAGCAGAGAAGGGGTAGAGACACGGAGAGAAGGGGTTGGGGTACTTGCCCCTCCCCCAGAAAAGCGGGACTTGCCGCTAAGGGTGAAGGACCAAGGCAGGCGTCCCTGCATGGTCTGACACCTTTGAAACATGGGTGAATAATCAGAGAGGTGGGCCTGCAATGATTAAACACCAAGGGAAGCCTGCCTTCCCAGTCCGTGACCGGCGCCGGAGTTTTGGGTCCACGGATAAAACGTGTCTCCTTTGTATCTAATAGAAAATGAAAGGAATTGAAATTAAGAGATGGGAGAGATTGAAGTGTGGTGCCAAGATTGAAAGGAGAAAGAGGTTGGAGGGATAGTGAGAGAAGTTGGAGAGTAAAAAGAGGCCGCTTACCGGAAGTGAAATTGGTGAGATGTTTCTTGGGCTGGTGAGTCTGAGGACCTGAGCTCATAGGTGGATCTCTCTCACGGAGCAAAGAGCAGGAGGATGGGGGATTGATCTCCTAAGGGAGGTCCCCCGATCCGAGTCACGGCACCAAATTTCATGCCCGTCCATGTGAAGAGACCACCAAACAGGCTTTGTGTGAGCAACATGGCTGTTTATTTCAACTGGGTGCAGGTGGGCTGAGTCTGAAAAGAGAGTCAGCAAAGGGAGATGGATTACCATTAGTTCTTATAGGTTTTGGGATAGGTGGTGAAGTTGATAGCAATGTTTTGCGGACAGGGGTCGATCTCACAAAGTACATTCTCAAGGGTGGGGAGAATTACAAAGAAACATCTTAAGGGTGGGGGAGATTACAAAGTACATTGATCAGATAGGGTGGGGAAGGAACAAATCACAATGGTAGAATGTCATCAGTTAAGGCTATTTTGATGTCTTTTGTGGATCTTCAGTTACTTCAGACCATCTGGTGTATATGTTCAAGTCACAGGGGATGCGATGGATTGGCTTGGGCTCAGAGGCCTGACACTGGCCTTCCAGGCAAAGTCACCCATTTGGCACTCCTCCCTGGATGGCCCTGGTTGTGGGATTGCCGCCAGTCATGCCTGGGCTCTGGCCTCTGCTCTGTCCTCCCTCTTGCTCTGCCTGCCCTGTTTCTGAGAAGCCTAGGGGCTTCTTGGTCTGCCTCAATGTCTTCAACCCAAAAGACTTCCCAGTCCATCCGGGAGAAAGTTCCTGGGGGTCGGTGTCATGATTGTTTCCCTCTCCAAACCTCTTTAAGCATGATTGGGCAGGTGTGGTGATCCTGGAGCTCTGGGCTTCTATAGCTGTCTGGGACAGGGAAGCTTTCTGGGTCTCTGTGGCCCAAGTGATGGCTGCGTGGTCCGTCCAGGAAGAGCGGGAGGCAACCCGACCATTCCTGACATTTGCCTTCTAGGAAAGGCAGTGTGGCATGCCACCTGCACTTCCTCTCTGATTCTTGAGGGCCATCGGGTTCCTCTGCTCCTGGGAAAAGAGGCTTCTAGCGCTGAATCTTCTGGCTGCCACGGATGTCAGGGAGCCAAAGGGACTGGGTTTTGCTGGGTGCAGGGGAGGTGGCATCACGGGTACGTACCCGGTGGCAGGGTGGGGGTGGGAGTGGGGTGAAATTTGTGGAAACCTCTCGGCCCCTCTGGCAGGCATCCCTGAATGTGGCTTGGATTCGGTCGCAGGCCCTGTCTCGCAAGTTTTCAGCTGCGCTTGGCTTTTCTTCAGCTTTGTGGCCGAGGTCTCCCGTGGCCCACGGGCGCACGGCTGGACATCATTGTCCGTCTCGCCACGCCCCCTACGGCCTCAAAGACACCCGCTCACTCCATCCGCTCTTGGGCGACGTCAGTGCCACGGGTGGTCACACTGGCTCCATCTCAGACTCGCCTCTGTCTGTCTTTGCATGTGTCGTGGAAAGCAGTGTCGGGATGCCCGAGCCCCCGGGCCTTGGAGATGAAGGCAGGCCACTGCTCCACCCAGGAAGGAGGGAGGCAGTGGGCTCGTGGGTCAGTTCATTTTCCGCCGACAGCACGCCTTGCGGCCCTGGGGATCTTTCTGTGCCCCAGCGAGACCCTTCCCGCCTCACTGCATTGCAACCCCATTCCCGATCACCCGGTGGGATCCATAGTCGGATCTGAAGAGGAGTCCGCACAGCCAAGCCGGCACCCTGAAGCTCCTCCTCCACCGGGAACCGAAGCAGAAGACCGATCAAGGAGGTCCTGAGGACAGGACTCCTACTGGTCCGACCCTGGGTCTCCCGCAGGCCCCTCTGGCAGTCCTCTTCCCACCCGCCGCCGCAAGCGCGCCACCGCCGCCACCGCCGCCCCGGTCCCAGCAACCTGCCGTGTCGCCGCCATTTTTTAAAGGGTCCGCAGCCTGCCTCTCCCGAGCGAGGGGAGAGTCGGCCTCTCCAGTGCGCATGCGCGAGGCCCGAGCCGCCACTTGCGTCAGTGATCACCACCGTTGCACCGGGGTGGATTCCTGAGACTGGGCCAAGTAGGAGACCTGTGTGACCGTGCGTCAGAGTCGTGCCTGAGACCAGTCCTGGCCAGGGCGTTAACAGGATGGTCTCCGGAGGCCGGGATTCGCGGAGGGTCGACCAGCAGGGAGAAGCCTCAGGAGGAAGAAACCTCAGACGGATCGCCGGGGAGGCAGCGCGGGATCCCAGCCTCAGGTGTGCGCGGACGGTGTGCCCGTGAGTCTCCCCAAAAGTGGTGCCCTTGTGATGTCGAGGACAGGTCTGCCCGTGTGCCCGTGGGCTGCTCTTTCACCTCTGGGTTGTAGTCGCGGAGAGCAGAACCCGGCAGCTTCAGGGGCTGCCTGGGGCTGGGTGTTACCTGCTGTATGTGTTTGTGCTTAGGGGTGTGTGTGTGTGTGTGTGTCTGTGTGTCTGTGTGCCCACTTATGTCTCTCTCTGATATCTCTCTCTCTCGCTTCTCACTCTTTCCGTCGCTCTCTGTTACTATCTCTGTCCGTCTGTGCGTGCGTGTTTGCTGGGACACAGGTGCCCTTTGCGCCGGAGGGTGGTTTCTTGCACATCAGCCTTTCTTGTGGTCAGCCTCTCCCCGGGTCTCTTCCTGCGTCGTGTGGCCCGTTGGCAGTCGTTTTCCCGGCGGTTCCAGTTTGGGTTTGTGAAGGCCTGGGCAACGTGGGCACCTGCGTCGGACCCGCAGGGGTTTTCATCCCCTCCCTATCCTGAGCAGCCTCTTTGCTGGGATCCAGACGAACACACCCCAACCAAGGACGAAGGACTCAGAGGGGCTCATTGTCCACCAGCAGGAGGGTGCCCACAGATCTTGAAGAAGACGCTTCTCACTCCTCTTGCCCTTTGCCCTCCTTGAGAAATCTAGCCACGGCTCGACACAGAGACGGAGGAGGAAGCCGGCAACGGGATGGGGCAAACATCTCTGTGGGTCAGACGCTGGCCTTCGTGGCCAAGTCACCGGTTTGGCACTCCTCCGCGGATGGCCGTGGTGGTGGCATTGCGGCCAATCCTGCCTGGGCTCTGGCCTCTGCTCTGTCCTCCCTCTTGCTCCGCCTGCCCTATTTCTGAGAAGCCTAGGGGCTTCTTAGTCTGGCTCAATGTCTTCAACCCAGAACTCTTCCCAGTACATCCGGGAGAAAGTTCCTGGGGGTCGGTGTCATGATTGTTTCCCTCTCCAAACCTCTTTCAGCATGATTGGGCAGGTGTGGTGATCCTGGAGCTATGGGCTTCCATAGCTGTCTGGGACGGGGAAGCTTTCTGAGTCTCCGTGACCCAAGTGATGGCTGCGTGGCCGGTCCAGGAAGAGCGGGAGGTAACCCGACCGTTCCTGACATTTGCCTTCTAGGAAAGGTGGTGTGGCATGCCACCTGCACTTCCTCTCTGATTCTTGAGGGCCATCGGGTTCCTCTGCTCCTGGGGAAGGAGGCTTCTAGCGCTGAATCTTCTGGCTGCCATGGATGTCAGGGAGCCAAAGGGACTGGGTTTTGCTGGGTGCAGGGGAGGTGGCGTCATGGGTACCTACCCCGTGGCGGGGTGGGGGTGGGAGTGGGGTGAAATTTGTGGAAACCTCTCGGCCCCTCTGGCAGGCATCCCTGAATGTGGCTTGGATTCGGACGCGGGCCCTGTCTCGCAGGTTTTCAGCTGCCCTTGGCTTTTCTTCAGCTTTGTGGCTGACGTCTCCCGTGGCCCACGGGCGCACGCCTGGACATCACTGTCCGTCTCGTCGTCGCCCCCTACGGCCTCAAAGACACACGCTGCCTGCATGTGCTCTTGGGGGACGACAGTGCCACATGTGGACACACTGGCTCCAGCTCGGACTCGCCTCTGTCTCTCTTTGCCCGTGTCGCCGGAAGCCGCGTCGGGATGCCGGAGCCCTCGGGCCTTGGAGATGAAGGCAGGCCCCTGCTCCTGCCAGGAAGGAGGGAGGCAGCGGGCTCATGGGTCGGTGCCTTTGCAGCCAACAGCACGCCTTGCGGCCCTGGGGATCTTCCTGTGCCCCGGCGAGACCCTTTCCGCCTCACTGCATTGGAACCCCATTCCCGATCACCCGCTGGGATCCATCATCGGACCCCAAGAGGAGTCCGCGCAGCCCAGCCGGCACCCCGAAGCTCCTCCTTCAGCGGGAACCGAAGCAGAAGAGCGATCAAGGAGGTCCTCACCACAGGACTCCTATGGGTCCGACCCTGGGTCTCCCGCAGGCCCCTCTGGCAGTCCTCTTCCCACCCGCCGCCTCGGGCTGCGCCTTCGCCGCCGCCGCCGCAACCTCCAGCACCGCCGCCCCAGGCCCCGCAGCCGCCGCGTCGCCGCCATTTTTTAAAGGGTCCGCAGCCTGACTCTGCGAAGTAAGGGCGGGTGGAGCGGGGGAGTCGGCCTCGCCAGCGCGCATGCGCAAGGCCCGAGCCGCCGCTTGGGTCACAGTGAAAGCCACCGTTGCCCGGGGATGGGTCCCTGACACTTGGGGAAGTAGGAGCCCTGTGTGATCGTGCGTCTGAGTCTGGGCTGAGACCAGTCCTGGCCAGGGCAGTTACCAGGACGGTCTCCGGAGGCCGGGATTCGCGGAGGGTCCAGCAGCAGGAAGAAACCCCAGGAGGAAGAAACCTCAGACAGATCGCCGGCGAGGCAGCGCGGGATCCCAGCCTCAGGCGTGCGCGGACGGTGTGCGGGTGAGTCTCCCCAAAAGTGGAGCCCTTGTGATGACGAGCACAGGTCCGCCTGCGTGCCCGTGGGCTGCTCTCTCACCGGTGGCTCTCAGTCGCGGAGAGCAGAACCCGGCAGCTTCAGGGGCTGCCTGCGGGTGGGTGTTCCCTGCTGTACGTGTGTGTTCGTCATGGGTGTGTGTGTGTGTGTGTTGGGGGGGGTGCGTCTGTGTGTGTGCGCGCGCAGTGCCTGTCTGTGTGTCGACTTCTGTCTCTCTCTCACGTCTCTCTCTCTCTCTCTCTCTCTCTCTCTCCCTCTCCCTCTCTCCCTTCTCGCTCTTTCCGTGGCCCTCTCTTTCTGTCTCTGTCCGTCTGTGTGTGCGTGCGCCTCGGGACACATGTGCCCTGTGCGCCGGAGGGTGGGTTTCTTGCACGTCGGCCTTTCTTCTGGTCAGCCTCTCCCCGCGTCTCTGCCTGGGTCGTGTGGCCGGTTGGCAGTCGTCGTCCCGGCGGTTCCAGTTTGGGGGTCTGTGAAGGCCTGGGCAACGTGGGCATCGGCGTCGGACCCGCAGGGGTTTTCATCCCCTCCCCATCCGGAGCAGCCTCTTTGCTAGGCTGGATCCAGACGAGCGCTCCCCAACCAAGGACAACGGCCTCCCAGGCGCTCATCGTCCACCCGCAGGAGGGTGCCCGCAGAGCTTCAAGAAGGTGGTTGTCACGCCTGTCGCCCTCTGCCCTCATCGAGAAATGTAGCCACAGCTCGACGCAGGGACGGAGAAGGAAGCCGGCAAGGGGATGGGGCAAGCATGTCTGTCTCTCAAAGGCTGGCCTTCCTGGCTGAGTCACCCGTTTGACACTCCTCCCCGGATGCCGGTGGTGGTGGCATGGCCCCCCCGTATCCTGCCTGGGCTCTGGCCTCTGCTCTGACCTCCCTCTTGCTGTGTCTGCCCCGTCTCTGAGAAGCCTGGCGGCTTCTTAGTGTGGCTCAGTGTCTTCCACAAAGAAGACTTCCCCGTCCATCAGGGAGAAACCTCGTGGCGGTCCGCGTCATGCTTGTTTCCCTCTCCACACCTCTTTCTGGATGATTGGGCAGCTGTGGTGATCCTGGAGCTCTGGGCTTCCATACCTGTGTGGGACAGGGAAGCTCTCTCGGTCTCCATGGCCCAAGTGATGGCTGCACGCTCGGTCCAGGAAGAGGCGGAGGCAAGCCCACCGCTCCTGACATTGGCCTTCTAGGAAAGGCGGTGTTGCATCCCACCTGCACTTCCTCTCTGATTCTTGAGAGCCAACCGCTTCCTCCGCTCCTGGGGAAAGTGCCTTCTAGCACCGAATGTTTTGGCTGCCACGGATGTCAGGGAGCCAACGGGACTGGGTTTTGGCTGGGTGCAGGGGAGGTTGCGTCAGGGGTACCTAGCCGGCGGCGGGCTGGGGGTGGGGTGTACTTTGTCCAAACCTCTCGGCTCCTCTGGCGGGCCTCCCTGAACGTGGCGTGGACTCGCGCACAGGCCCTGTCTCGCAGGTTTTCAGGTGCGCTTGGCTTTTCCTCCGCTTTGTGGGGCAGGTCTCCAGTGGCCCCCCGGGCGCACGCCTGGACATCACTGTCCGTCTCGTCGTCGCCCCCTACGGCCTCAAAGACACACGCTGCCTGCATGTGCTCTTGGGGGACGACAGTGCCACATGTGGACACACTGGCTCCAGCTCGGACTCGCCTCTGTCTCTCTTTGCCCGTGTCGCCGGAAGCCGCCTCGGGTTGCCGGAGCCCTCGGGCCTTGGAGATGAAGGCAGGCCCCTGCTCCTGCCAGGAAGGAGGGAGGCAGTGGGCTCATGGGTCGGTGCCTTTGCAGCCGACAGCACGCCTTGCGGCCCTGGGGATCTTCCTGTGCCCCGGCGAGACCCTTTCCGCCTCACTGCATTGGAACCCCATTCCCGATCACCCGCTGGGATCCATCATCGGACCCCAAGAGGAGTCCGCGCAGCCCAGCCGGCACCCCGAAGCTCCTCCTTCAGCGGGAACCGAAGCAGAAGAGCGTTCAAGGAGGTCCTCACCACAGGACTCCTATGGGTCCGACCCTGGGTCTCCCGCAGGCCCCTCTGGCAGTCCTCTTCCCACCCGCCGCCTCGGGCTGCGCCTTCGCCGCCGCCGCCGCAACCTCCAGCACCGCCGCCCCAGGCCCCGCAGCCGCCGCGTCGCCGCCATTTTTTAAAGGGTCCGCAGCCTGACTCTGCGGAGTAAGGGGGGGTGGAGCGGGGGAGTCGGCCTCGCCAGCGCGCATGCGCGAGGCCCGAGCCGCCGCTTGGGTCACAGTGAAAGCCACCGTTGCCCGGGGATGGGTCCCTGACACTTGGGGAAGTAGGAGCCCTGTGTGATCGTGCGTCTGAGTCTGGGCTGAGACCAGTCCTGGCCAGGGCAGTTACCAGGACGGTCTCCGGAGGCCGGGATTCGCGGAGGGTCCAGCAGCAGGAAGAAACCCCAGGAGGAAGAAACCTCAGACAGATCGCCGGCGAGGCAGCGCGGGATCCCAGCCTCAGGCGTGCGCGGACGGTGTGCGGGTGAGTCTCCCCAAAAGTGGAGCCCTTGTGATGACGAGCACAGGTCCGCCTGCGTGCCCGTGGGCGGCTCTCTCACCGCTGGCTCTCAGTCGCGGAGAGCAGAACCCGGCAGCTTCAGGGGCTGCCTGCGGGAGGGTGTTCCCTGCTGTACGTGTGTGTTCGTCATGGGTGTGTGTGTTTGTGTGTTGGGGGGGGTGCGTCTGTGTGTGTGCGCGCGCAGTGCCTGTCTGTGTGCGGACTTCTGTCTCTCTCTCAGGTCTCTCTCTCTCTCTCTCTCTCCCTTCTCGCTCTTTCCGTGGCCCTCTCTTTCTGTCTCTGTCCGTCTGTGTGTGCGTGCGCCTCGGGACACATGTGCCCTGTGCGCCGGAGGGTGGGTTTCTTGCACGTCGGCCTTTCTTCTGGTCAGCCTCTCCCCGCGTCTCTGCCTGGGTCGTGTGGCCGGTTGGCAGTCGTCGTCCCGGCGGTTCCAGTTTGGGGGTCTGTGAAGGCCTGGGCAACGTGGGCATCGGCGTCGGACCCGCAGGGGTTTTCATCCCCTCCCCATCCGGAGCAGCCTCTTTGCTAGGCTGGATCCAGACGAGCGCTCCCCAACCAAGGACAACGGCCTCCCAGGCGCTCATCGTCCACCCGCAGGAGGGTGCCCGCAGAGCTTCAAGAAGGTGGTTGTCACGCCTGTCGCCCTCTGCCCTCATCGAGAAATGTAGCCACAGCTCGACGCAGGGACGGAGAAGGAAGCCGGCAAGGGGATGGGGCAAGCATGTCTGTCTCTCAAAGGCTGGCCTTCCTGGCCGAGTCACCCGTTTGACACTCCTCCCCGGATGCCGGTGGTGGTGGCATGGCCCCCCCGTATCCTGCCTGGGCTCTGGCCTCTGCTCTGACCTCCCTCTTGCTGTGTCTGCCCCGTCTCTGAGAAGCCTGGCGGCTTCTTAGTGTGGCTCAGTGTCTTCCACAAAGAAGACTTCCCCGTCCATCAGGGAGAAACCTCGTGGCGGTCCGCGTCATGCTTGTTTCCCTCTCCACACCTCTTTCTGGATGATTGGGCAGCTGTGGTGATCCTGGAGCTCTGGGCTTCCATACCTGTGTGGGACAGGGAAGCTCTCTCGGTCTCCATGGCCCAAGTGATGGCTGCACGCTCGGTCCAGGAAGAGGCGGAGGCAAGCCCACCGCTCCTGACATTGGCCTTCTAGGAAAGGCGGTGTTGCATCCCACCTGCACTTCCTCTCTGATTCTTGAGGGCCAACCGCTTCCTCCGCTCCTGGGGAAAGTGCCTTCTAGCACCGAATCTTTTGGCTGCCACGGATGTCAGGGAGCCAACGGGACTGGGTTTTGGCTGGGTGCAGGGGAGGTTGCGTCAGGGGAACCTAGCCGGCGGCGGGCTGGGGGTGGGGTGTACTTTGTCCAAACCTCTCGGCTCCTCTGGCGGGCCTCCCTGAACGTGGCGTGGACTCGCGCACAGGCCCTGTCTCGCAGGTTTTCAGGTGCGCTTGGCTTTTCCTCCGCTTTGTGGGGCAGGTCTCCAGTGGCCCCCCGGGCGCACGCCTGGACATCACTGTCCGTCTCGTCGTCGCCCCCTACGGCCTCAAAGACACACGCTGCCTGCATGTGCTCTTGGGGGACGACAGTGCCACATGTGGACACACTGGCTCCAGCTCGGACTCGCCTCTGTCTCTCTTTGCCCGTGTCGCCGGAAGCCGCCTCGGGTTGCCGGAGCCCTCGGGCCTTGGAGATGAAGGCAGGCCCCTGCTCCTGCCAGGAAGGAGGGAGGCAGTGGGCTCATGGGTCGGTGCCTTTGCAGCCGACAGCACGCCTTGCGGCCCTGGGGATCTTCCTGTGCCCCGGCGAGACCCTTTCCGCCTCACTGCATTGGAACCCCATTCCCGATCACACGCTGGGATCCATCATCGGACCCCAAGAGGAGTCCGCGCAGCCCAGCCGGCACCCCGAAGCTCCTCCTTCAGTGGGAACCGAAGCAGAAGAGCGATCAAGGAGGTCCTCACCACAGGACTCATGGGTCCGACCATGGGTCTCCCGCAGGCCCCTCTGGCAGTCCTCTTCCCACCCGCCGCCTCGGGCTGCGCCTTCGCCGCCGCCGCCGCAACCTCCAGCACCGCCGCCCCAGGCCCCGCAGCCGCCGCGTCGCCGCCATTTTTTAAAGGGTCCGCAGCCTGACTCTGCGGAGTAAGGGGGGGTGGAGCGGGGGAGTCGGCCTCGCCAGCGCGCATGCGCGAGGCCCGAGCCGCCGCTTGGGTCACAGTGAAAGCCACCGTTGCCCGGGGATGGGTCCCTGACACTTGGGGAAGTAGGAGCCCTGTGTGATCGTGCGTCTGAGTCTGGGCTGAGACCAGTCCTGGCCAGGGCAGTTACCAGGACGGTCTCCGGAGGCCGGGATTCGCGGAGGGTCCAGCAGCAGGAAGAAACCCCAGGAGGAAGAAACCTCAGACAGATCGCCGGCGAGGCAGCGCGGGATCCCAGCCTCAGGCGTGCGCGGACGGTGTGCGGGTGAGTCTCCCCAAAAGTGGAGCCCTTGTGATGACGAGCACAGGTCCGCCTGCGTGCCCGTGGGCTGCTCTCTCACCGGTGGCTCTCAGTCGCGGAGAGCAGAACCCGGCAGCTTCAGGGGCTGCCTGCGGGAGGGTGTTCCCTGCTGTACGTGTGTGTTCGTCATGGGTGTGTGTGTGTGTGTGTTGGGGGGGGTGCGTCTGTGTGTGTGTCTGTGTGTGTGCGCGCGCAGTGCCTGTCTGTGTGCCGACTTCTGTCTCTCTCTCACGTCTCTCTCTCTCTCTCTCTCTCTCTCTGTCTCTCTCTCTCTCTCTCTCTCTCCCTTCTCGCTCTTTCCGTGGCCCTCTCTTTCTGTCTCTGTCCGTCTGTGTGTGCGTGCGCCTCGGGACACATGTGCCCTGTGCGCCGGAGGGTGGGTTTCTTGCACGTCGGCCTTTCTTCTGGTCAGCCTCTCCCCGCGTCTCTGCCTGGGTCGTGTGGCCGGTTGGCAGTCGTCGTCCCGGCGGTTCCAGTTTGGGGGTCTGTGAAGGCCTGGGCAACGTGGGCATCGGCGTCGGACCCGCAGGGGTTTTCATCCCCTCCCCATCCGGAGCAGCCTCTTTGCTAGGCTGGATCCAGACGAGCGCTCCCCAACCAAGGACAACGGCCTCCCAGGCGCTCATCGTCCACCCGCAGGAGGGTGCCCGCAGAGCTTCAAGAAGGTGGTTGTCACGCCTGTCGCCCTCTGCCCTCATCGAGAAATGTAGCCACAGCTCGACGCAGGGACGGAGAAGGAAGCCGGCAAGGGGATGGGGCAAGCATGTCTGTCTCTCAAAGGCTGGCCTTCCTGGCCGAGTCACCCGTTTGACACTCCTCCCCGGATGCCGGTGGTGGTGGCATGGCCCCCCCGTATCCTGCCTGGGCTCTGGCCTCTGCTCTCACCTCCCTCTTGCTGTGTCTGCCCCGTCTCTGAGAAGCCTGGCGGCTTCTTAGTGTGGCTCAGTGTCTTCCACAAAGAAGACTTCCCCGTCCATCAGGGAGAAACCTCGTGGCGGTCCGCGTCATGATTGTTTCCCTCTCCACACCTCTTTCTGGATGATTGGGCAGCTGTGGTGATCCTGGAGCTCTGGGCTTCCATACCTGTGTGGGACAGGGAAGCTCTCTCGGTCTCCATGGCCCAAGTGATGGCTGCACGCTCGGTCCAGGAAGAGGCGGAGGCAAGCCCACCGCTCCTGACATTGGCCTTCTAGGAAAGGCGGTGTTGCATCCCACCTGCACTTCCTCTCTGATTCTTGAGGGCCAACCGCTTCCTCCGCTCCTGGGGAAAGTGCCTTCTAGCACCGAATGTTTTGGCTGCCACGGATGTCAGGGAGCCAACGGGACTGGGTTTTGGCTGGGTGCAGGGGAGGTTGCGTCAGGGGTACCTAGCCGGCGGCGGGCTGGGGGTGGGGTGTACTTTGTCCAAACCTCTCGGCTCCTCTGGCGGGCCTCCCTGAACGTGGCGTGGACTCGCGCACAGGCCCTGTCTCGCAGGTTTTCAGGTGCGCTTGGCTTTTCCTCCGCTTTGTGGGGCAGGTCTCCAGTGGCCCCCCGGGCGCACGCCTGGACATCACTGTCCGTCTCGTCGTCGCCCCCTACGGCCTCAAAGACACACGCTGCCTGCATGTGCTCTTGGGGGACGACAGTGCCACATGTGGACACACTGGCTCCAGCTCGGACTCGCCTCTGTCTCTCTTTGCCCGTGTCGCCGGAAGCCGCCTCGGGTTGCCGGAGCCCTCGGGCCTTGGAGATGAAGGCAGGCCCCTGCTCCTGCCAGGAAGGAGGGAGGCAGTGGGCTCATGGGTCGGTGCCTTTGCAGCCGACAGCACGCCTTGCGGCCCTGGGGATCTTCCTGTGCCCCGGCGAGACCCTTTCCGCCTCACTGCATTGGAACCCCATTCCCGATCACCCGCTGGGATCCATCATCGGACCCCAAGAGGAGTCCGCGCAGCCCAGCCGGCACCCCGAAGCTCCTCCTTCAGTGGGAACCGAAGCAGAAGAGCGATCAAGGAGGTCCTCACCACAGGACTCCTATGGGTCCGACCCTGGGTCTCCCGCAGGCCCCTCTGGCAGTCCTCTTCCCACCCGCCGCCTCGGGCTGCGCCTTCGCCGCCGCCGCCGCAACCTCCAGCACCGCCGCCCCAGGCCCCGCAGCCGCCGCGTCGCCGCCATTTTTTAAAGGGTCCGCAGCCTGACTCTGCGGAGTAAGGGGGGGTGGAGCGGGGGAGTCGGCCTCGCCAGCGCGCATGCGCGAGGCCCGAGCCGCCGCTTGGGTCACAGTGAAAGCCACCGTTGCCCGGGGATGGGTCCCTGACACTTGGGGAAGTAGGAGCCCTGTGTGATCGTGCGTCTGAGTCTGGGCTGAGACCAGTCCTGGCCAGGGCAGTTACCAGGACGGTCTCCGGAGGCCGGGATTCGCGGAGGGTCCAGCAGCAGGAAGAAACCCCAGGAGGAAGAAACCTCAGACAGATCGCCGGCGAGGCAGCGCGGGATCCCAGCCTCAGGCGTGCGCGGACGGTGTGCGGGTGAGTCTCCCCAAAAGTGGAGCCCTTGTGATGACGAGCACAGGTCCGCCTGCGTGCCCGTGGGCTGCTCTCTCACCGGTGGCTCTCAGTCGCGGAGAGCAGAACCCGGCAGCTTCAGGGGCTGCCTGCGGGAGGGTGTTCCCTGCTGTACGTGTGTGTTCGTCATGGGTGTGTGTGTGTGTGTGTTGGGGGGGGTGCGTCTGTGTGTGTGTCTGTGTGTGTGCGCGCGCAGTGCCTGTCTGTGTGCCGACTTCTGTCTCTCTCTCACGTCTCTCTCTCTCTCTCTCTCTCTCTCTCTCTCTCTCTCTCTCTCCCTCTCCCTCTCCCTCTCTCCCTTCTCGCTCTTTCCGTGGCCCTCTCTTTCTGTCTCTGTCCGTCTGTGTGTGCGTGCGCCTCGGGACACATGTGCCCTGTGCGCCGGAGGGTGGGTTTCTTGCACGTCGGCCTTTCTTCTGGTCAGCCTCTCCCCGCGTCTCTGTCTGGGTCGTGTGGCCGGTTGGCAGTCGTCGTCCCGGCGGTTCCAGTTTGGGGGTCTGTGAAGGCCTGGGCAACGTGGGCATCGGCGTCGGACCCGCAGGGGTTTTCATCCCCTCCCCATCCGGAGCAGCCTCTTTGCTAGGCTGGATCCAGACGAGCGCTCCCCAACCAAGGACAACGGCCTCCCAGGCGCTCATCGTCCACCCGCAGGAGGGTGCCCGCAGAGCTTCAAGAAGGTGGTTGTCACGCCTGTCGCCCTCTGCCCTCATCGAGAAATGTAGCCACAGCTCGACGCAGGGACGGAGAAGGAAGCCGGCAAGGGGATGGGGCAAGCATGTCTGTCTCTCAAAGGCTGGCCTTCCTGGCCGAGTCACCCGTTTGACACTCCTCCCCGGATGCCGGTGGTGGTGGCATGGCCCCCCCGTATCCTGCCTGGGCTCTGGCCTCTGCTCTGACCTCCCTCTTGCTGTGTCTGCCCCGTCTCTGAGAAGCCTGGCGGCTTCTTAGTGTGGCTCAGTGTCTTCCACAAAGAAGACTTCCCCGTCCATCAGGGAGAAACCTCGTGGCGGTCCGCGTCATGCTTGTTTCCCTCTCCACACCTCTTTCTGGATGATTGGGCAGCTGTGGTGATCCTGGAGCTCTGGGCTTCCATACCTGTGTGGGACAGGGAAGCTCTCTCGGTCTCCATGGCCCAAGTGATGGCTGCACGCTCGGTCCAGGAAGAGGCGGAGGCAAGCCCACCGCTCCTGACATTGGCCTTCTAGGAAAGGCGGTGTTGCATCCCACCTGCACTTCCTCTCTGATTCTTGAGGGCCAACCGCTTCCTCCGCTCCTGGGGAAAGTGCCTTCTAGCACCGAATCTTTTGGCTGCCACGGATGTCAGGGAGCCAACGGGACTGGGTTTTGGCTGGGTGCAGGGGAGGTTGCGTCAGGGGTACCTAGCCGGCGGCGGGCTGGGGGTGGGGTGTACTTTGTCCAAACCTCTCGGCTCCTCTGGCGGGCCTCCCTGAACGTGGCGTGGACTCGCGCACAGGCCCTGTCTCGCAGGTTTTCAGGTGCGCTTGGCTTTTCCTCCGCTTTGTGGGGCAGGTCTCCAGTGGCCCCCCGGGCGCACGCCTGGACATCACTGTCCGTCTCGTCGTCGCCCCCTACGGCCTCAAAGACACACGCTGCCTGCATGTGCTCTTGGGGGACGACAGTGCCACATGTGGACACGCTGGCTCCAGCTCGGACTCGCCTCTGTCTCTCTTTGCCCGTGTCGCCGGAAGCCGCCTCGGGTTGCCGGAGCCCTCGGGCCTTGGAGATGAAGGCAGGCCCCTGCTCCTGCCAGGAAGGAGGGAGGCAGTGGGCTCATGGGTCGGTGCCTTTGCAGCCGACAGCACGCCTTGCGGCCCTGGGGATCTTCCTGTGCCCCGGCGAGACCCTTTCCGCCTCACTGCATTGGAACCCCATTCCCGATCACCCGCTGGGATCCATCATCGGACCCCAAGAGGAGTCCGCGCAGCCCAGCCGGCACCCCGAAGCTCCTCCTTCAGTGGGAACCGAAGCAGAAGAGCGATCAAGGAGGTCCTCACCACAGGACTCATGGGTCCGACCATGGGTCTCCCGCAGGCCCCTCTGGCAGTCCTCTCCCCACCCGCCGCCTCGGGCTGCGCCTTCGCCGCCGCCGCCGCAACCTCCAGCACCGCCGCCCCAGGCCCCGCAGCCGCCGCGTCGCCGCCATTTTTTAAAGGGTCCGCAGCCTGACTCTGCGGAGTAAGGGGGGGTGGAGCGGGGGAGTCGGCCTCGCCAGCGCGCATGCGCGAGGCCCGAGCCGCCGCTTGGGTCACAGTGAAAGCCACCGTTGCCCGGGGATGGGTCCCTGACACTTGGGGAAGTAGGAGCCCTGTGTGATCGTACGTCTGAGTCTGGGCTGAGACCAGTCCTGGCCAGGGCAGTTACCAGGACGGTCTCCGGAGGCCGGGATTCGCGGAGGGTCCAGCAGCAGGAAGAAACCCCAGGAGGAAGAAACCTCAGACAGATCGCCGGCGAGGCAGCGCGGGATCCCAGCCTCAGGCGTGCGCGGACGGTGTGCGGGTGAGTCTCCCCAAAAGTGGAGCCCTTGTGATGACGAGCACAGGTCCGCCTGCGTGCCCGTGGGCTGCTCTCTCACCGGTGGCTCTCAGTCGCGGAGAGCAGAACCCGGCAGCTTCAGGGGCTGCCTGCGGGAGGGTGTTCCCTGCTGTACGTGTGTGTTCGTCATGGGTGTGTGTGTGTGTGTGTTGGGGGGGTGCGTCTGTGTGTGTGTCTGTGTGTGTGCGCGCGCAGTGCCTGTCTGTGTGCCGACTTCTGTCTCTCTCTCACGTCTCTCTCTCTCTCTCTCTCTCTCTCTCTCTCTCTCTCTCTGTCTCCCTTCTCGCTCTTTCCGTGGCCCTCTCTTTCTGTCTCTGTCCGTCTGTGTGTGCGTGCGCCTCGGGACACATGTGCCCTGTGCGCCGGAGGGTGGGTTTCTTGCACGTCGGCCTTTCTTCTGGTCAGCCTCTCCCCGCGTCTCTGCCTGGGTCGTGTGGCCGGTTGGCAGTCGTCGTCCCGGCGGTTCCAGTTTGGGGGTCTGTGAAGGCCTGGGCAACGTGGGCATCGGCGTCGGACCCGCAGGGGTTTTCATCCCCTCCCCATCCGGAGCAGCCTCTTTGCTAGGCTGGATCCAGACGAGCGCTCCCCAACCAAGGACAACGGCCTCCCAGGCGCTCATCGTCCACCCGCAGGAGGGTGCCCGCAGAGCTTCAAGAAGGTGGTTGTCACGCCTGTCGCCCTCTGCCCTCATCGAGAAATGTAGCCACAGCTCGACGCAGGGACGGAGAAGGAAGCCGGCAAGGGGATGGGGCAAGCATGTCTGTCTCTCAAAGGCTGGCCTTCCTGGCCGAGTCACCCGTTTGACACTCCTCCCCGGATGCCGGTGGTGGTGGCATGGCCCCCCCGTATCCTGCCTGGGCTCTGGCCTCTGCTCTGACCTCCCTCTTGCTGTGTCTGCCCCGCCTCTGAGAAGCCTGGCGGCTTCTTAGTGTGGCTCAGTGTCTTCCACAAAGAAGACTTCCCCGTCCATCAGGGAGAAACCTCGTGGCGGTCCGCGTCATGCTTGTTTCCCTCTCCACACCTCTTTCTGGATGATTGGGCAGCTGTGGTGATCCTGGAGCTCTGGGCTTCCATACCTGTGTGGGACAGGGAAGCTCTCTCGGTCTCCATGGCCCAAGTGATGGCTGCACGCTCGGTCCAGGAAGAGGCGGAGGCAAGCCCACCGCTCCTGACATTGGCCTTCTAGGAAAGGCGGTGTTGCATCCCACCTGCACTTCCTCTCTGATTCTTGAGGGCCAACCGCTTCCTCCGCTCCTGGGGAAAGTGCCTTCTAGCACCGAATCTTTTGGCTGCCACGGATGTCAGGGAGCCAACGGGACTGGGTTTTGGCTGGGTGCAGGGGAGGTTGCGTCAGGGGTACCTAGCCGGCGGCGGGCTGGGGGTGGGGTGTACTTTGTCCAAACCTCTCGGCTCCTCTGGCGGGCCTCCCTGAACGTGGCGTGGACTCGCGCACAGGCCCTGTCTCGCAGGTTTTCAGGTGCGCTTGGCTTTTCCTCCGCTTTGTGGGGCAGGTCTCCAGTGGCCCCCCGGGCGCACGCCTGGACATCACTGTCCGTCTCGTCGTCGCCCCCTACGGCCTCAAAGACACACGCTGCCTGCATGTGCTCTTGGGGGACGACAGTGCCACATGTGGACACACTGGCTCCAGCTCGGACTCGCCTCTGTCTCTCTTTGCCCGTGTCGCCGGAAGCCGCCTCGGGTTGCCGGAGCCCTCGGGCCTTGGAGATGAAGGCAGGCCCCTGCTCCTGCCAGGAAGGAGGGAGGCAGTGGGCTCATGGGTCGGTGCCTTTGCAGCCGACAGCACGCCTTGCGGCCCTGGGGATCTTCCTGTGCCCCGGCGAGACCCTTTCCGCCTCACTGCATTGGAACCCCATTCCCGATCACCCGCTGGGATCCATCATCGGACCCCAAGAGGAGTCCGCGCAGCCCAGCCGGCACCCCGAAGCTCCTCCTTCAGTGGGAACCGAAGCAGAAGAGCGATCAAGGAGGTCCTCACCACAGGACTCATGGGTCCGACCATGGGTCTCCCGCAGGCCCCTCTGGCAGTCCTCTTCCCACCCGCCGCCTCGGGCTGCGCCTTCGCCGCCGCCGCCGCAACCTCCAGCACCGCCGCCCCAGGCCCCGCAGCCGCCGCGTCGCCGCCATTTTTTAAAGGGTCCGCAGCCTGACTCTGCGGAGTAAGGGGGGGTGGAGCGGGGGAGTCGGCCTCGCCAGCGCGCATGCGCGAGGCCCGAGCCGCCGCTTGGGTCACAGTGAAAGCCACCGTTGCCCGGGGATGGGTCCCTGACACTTGGGGAAGTAGGAGCCCTGTGTGATCGTGCGTCTGAGTCTGGGCTGAGACCAGTCCTGGCCAGGGCAGTTACCAGGACGGTCTCCGGAGGCCGGGATTCGCGGAGGGTCCAGCAGCAGGAAGAAACCCCAGGAGGAAGAAACCTCAGACAGATCGCCGGCGAGGCAGCGCGGGATCCCAGCCTCAGGCGTGCGCGGACGGTGTGCGGGTGAGTCTCCCCAAAAGTGGAGCCCTTGTGATGACGAGCACAGGTCCGCCTGCGTGCCCGTGGGCTGCTCTCTCACCGGTGGCTCTCAGTCGCGGAGAGCAGAACCCGGCAGCTTCAGGGGCTGCCTGCGGGAGGGTGTTCCCTGCTGTACGTGTGTGTTCGTCATGGGTGTGTGTGTGTGTGTGTTGGGGGGGGTGCGTCTGTGTGTGTGTCTGTGTGTGTGCGCGCGCAGTGCCTGTCTGTGTGCCGACTTCTGTCTCTCTCTCACGTCTCTCTCTCTCTCTCTCTCTCTCTCTCTCTCTCCCTCTCCCTCTCTCCCTTCTCGCTCTTTCCGTGGCCCTCTCTTTCTGTCTCTGTCCGTCTGTGTGTGCGTGCGCCTCGGGACACATGTGCCCTGTGCGCCGGAGGGTGGGTTTCTTGCACGTCGGCCTTTCTTCTGGTCAGCCTCTCCCCGCGTCTCTGTCTGGGTCGTGTGGCCGGTTGGCAGTCGTCGTCCCGGCGGTTCCAGTTTGGGGGTCTGTGAAGGCCTGGGCAACGTGGGCATCGGCGTCGGACCCGCAGGGGTTTTCATCCCCTCCCCATCCGGAGCAGCCTCTTTGCTAGGCTGGATCCAGACGAGCGCTCCCCAACCAAGGACAACGGCCTCCCAGGCGCTCATCGTCCACCCGCAGGAGGGTGCCCGCAGAGCTTCAAGAAGGTGGTTGTCACGCCTGTCGCCCTCTGCCCTCATCGAGAAATGTAGCCACAGCTCGACGCAGGGACGGAGAAGGAAGCCGGCAAGGGGATGGGGCAAGCATGTCTGTCTCTCAAAGGCTGGCCTTCCTGGCCGAGTCACCCGTTTGACACTCCTCCCCGGATGCCGGTGGTGGTGGCATGGCCCCCCCGTATCCTGCCTGGGCTCTGGCCTCTGCTCTGACCTCCCTCTTGCTGTGTCTGCCCCGTCTCTGAGAAGCCTGGCGGCTTCTTAGTGTGGCTCAGTGTCTTCCACAAAGAAGACTTCCCCGTCCATCAGGGAGAAACCTCGTGGCGGTCCGCGTCATGATTGTTTCCCTCTCCACACCTCTTTCTGGATGATTGGGCAGCTGTGGTGATCCTGGAGCTCTGGGCTTCCATACCTGTGTGGGACAGGGAAGCTCTCTCGGTCTCCATGGCCCAAGTGATGGCTGCACGCTCGGTCCAGGAAGAGGCGGAGGCAAGCCCACCGCTCCTGACATTGGCCTTCTAGGAAAGGCGGTGTTGCATCCCACCTGCACTTCCTCTCTGATTCTTGAGGGCCAACCGCTTCCTCCGCTCCTGGGGAAAGTGCCTTCTAGCACCGAATCTTTTGGCTGCCACGGATGTCAGGGAGCCAACGGGACTGGGTTTTGGCTGGGTGCAGGGGAGGTTGCGTCAGGGGTACCTAGCCGGCGGCGGGCTGGGGGTGGGGTGTACTTTGTCCAAACCTCTCGGCTCCTCTGGCGGGCCTCCCTGAACGTGGCGTGGACTCGCGCACAGGCCCTGTCTCGCAGGTTTTCAGGTGCGCTTGGCTTTTCCTCCGCTTTGTGGGGCAGGTCTCCAGTGGCCCCCCGGGCGCACGCCTGGACATCACTGTCCGTCTCGTCGTCGCCCCCTACGGCCTCAAAGACACACGCTGCCTGCATGTGCTCTTGGGGGACGACAGTGCCACATGTGGACACGCTGGCTCCAGCTCGGACTCGCCTCTGTCTCTCTTTGCCCGTGTCGCCGGAAGCCGCCTCGGGTTGCCGGAGCCCTCGGGCCTTGGAGATGAAGGCAGGCCCCTGCTCCTGCCAGGAAGGAGGGAGGCAGTGGGCTCATGGGTCGGTGCCTTTGCAGCCGACAGCACGCCTTGCGGCCCTGGGGATCTTCCTGTGCCCCGGCGAGACCCTTTCCGCCTCACTGCATTGGAACCCCATTCCCGATCACCCGCTGGGATCCATCATCGGACCCCAAGAGGAGTCCGCGCAGCCCAGCCGGCACCCCGAAGCTCCTCCTTCAGTGGGAACCGAAGCAGAAGAGCGATCAAGGAGGTCCTCACCACAGGACTCCTATGGGTCCGACCCTGGGTCTCCCGCAGGCCCCTCTGGCAGTCCTCTTCCCACCCGCCGCCTCGGGCTGCGCCTTCGCCGCCGCCGCCGCAACCTCCAGCACCGCCGCCCCAGGCCCCGCAGCCGCCGCGTCGCCGCCATTTTTTAAAGGGTCCGCAGCCTGACTCTGCGGAGTAAGGGGGGGTGGAGCGGGGGAGTCGGCCTCGCCAGCGCGCATGCGCGAGGCCCGAGCCGCCGCTTGGGTCACAGTGAAAGCCACCGTTGCCCGGGGATGGGTCCCTGACACTTGGGGAAGTAGGAGCCCTGTGTGATCGTGCGTCTGAGTCTGGGCTGAGACCAGTCCTGGCCAGGGCAGTTACCAGGACGGTCTCCGGAGGCCGGGATTCGCGGAGGGTCCAGCAGCAGGAAGAAACCCCAGGAGGAAGAAACCTCAGACAGATCGCCGGCGAGGCAGCGCGGGATCCCAGCCTCAGGCGTGCGCGGACGGTGTGCGGGTGAGTCTCCCCAAAAGTGGAGCCCTTGTGATGACGAGCACAGGTCCGCCTGCGTGCCCGTGGGCTGCTCTCTCACCGGTGGCTCTCAGTCGCGGAGAGCAGAACCCGGCAGCTTCAGGGGCTGCCTGCGGGAGGGTGTTCCCTGCTGTACGTGTGTGTTCGTCATGGGTGTGTGTGTGTGTGTGTTGGGGGGGGTGCGTCTGTGTGTGTGTCTGTGTGTGTGCGCGCGCAGTGCCTGTCTGTGTGCCGACTTCTGTCTCTCTCTCACGTCTCTCTCTCTCTCTCTCTCTCTCTCTCTCTCTCTCTGTCTCCCTTCTCGCTCTTTCCGTGGCCCTCTCTTTCTGTCTCTGTCCGTCTGTGTGTGCGTGCGCCTCGGGACACATGTGCCCTGTGCGCCGGAGGGTGGGTTTCTTGCACGTCGGCCTTTCTTCTGGTCAGCCTCTCCCCGCGTCTCTGCCTGGGTCGTGTGGCCGGTTGGCAGTCGTCGTCCCGGCGGTTCCAGTTTGGGGGTCTGTGAAGGCCTGGGCAACGTGGGCATCGGCGTCGGACCCGCAGGGGTTTTCATCCCCTCCCCATCCGGAGCAGCCTCTTTGCTAGGCTGGATCCAGACGAGCGCTCCCCAACCAAGGACAACGGCCTCCCAGGCGCTCATCGTCCACCCGCAGGAGGGTGCCCGCAGAGCTTCAAGAAGGTGGTTGTCACGCCTGTCGCCCTCTGCCCTCATCGAGAAATGTAGCCACAGCTCGACGCAGGGACGGAGAAGGAAGCCGGCAAGGGGATGGGGCAAGCATGTCTGTCTCTCAAAGGCTGGCCTTCCTGGCCGAGTCACCCGTTTGACACTCCTCCCCGGATGCCGGTGGTGGTGGCATGGCCCCCCCGTATCCTGCCTGGGCTCTGGCCTCTGCTCTGACCTCCCTCTTGCTGTGTCTGCCCCGCCTCTGAGAAGCCTGGCGGCTTCTTAGTGTGGCTCAGTGTCTTCCACAAAGAAGACTTCCCCGTCCATCAGGGAGAAACCTCGTGGCGGTCCGCGTCATGATTGTTTCCCTCTCCACACCTCTTTCTGGATGATTGGGCAGCTGTGGTGATCCTGGAGCTCTGGGCTTCCATACCTGTGTGGGACAGGGAAGCTCTCTCGGTCTCCATGGCCCAAGTGATGGCTGCACGCTCGGTCCAGGAAGAGGCGGAGGCAAGCCCACCGCTCCTGACATTGGCCTTCTAGGAAAGGCGGTGTTGCATCCCACCTGCACTTCCTCTCTGATTCTTGAGGGCCAACCGCTTCCTCCGCTCCTGGGGAAAGTGCCTTCTAGCACCGAATCTTTTGGCTGCCACGGATGTCAGGGAGCCAACGGGACTGGGTTTTGGCTGGGTGCAGGGGAGGTTGCGTCAGGGGTACCTAGCCGGCGGCGGGCTGGGGGTGGGGTGTACTTTGTCCAAACCTCTCGGCTCCTCTGGCGGGCCTCCCTGAACGTGGCGTGGACTCGCGCACAGGCCCTGTCTCGCAGGTTTTCAGGTGCGCTTGGCTTTTCCTCCGCTTTGTGGGGCAGGTCTCCAGTGGCCCCCCGGGCGCACGCCTGGACATCACTGTCCGTCTCGTCGTCGCCCCCTACGGCCTCAAAGACACACGCTGCCTGCATGTGCTCTTGGGGGACGACAGTGCCACATGTGGACACACTGGCTCCAGCTCGGACTCGCCTCTGTCTCTCTTTGCCCGTGTCGCCGGAAGCCGCCTCGGGTTGCCGGAGCCCTCGGGCCTTGGAGATGAAGGCAGGCCCCTGCTCCTGCCAGGAAGGAGGGAGGCAGTGGGCTCATGGGTCGGTGCCTTTGCAGCCGACAGCACGCCTTGCGGCCCTGGGGATCTTCCTGTGCCCCGGCGAGACCCTTTCCGCCTCACTGCATTGGAACCCCATTCCCGATCACCCGCTGGGATCCATCATCGGACCCCAAGAGGAGTCCGCGCAGCCCAGCCGGCACCCCGAAGCTCCTCCTTCAGTGGGAACCGAAGCAGAAGAGCGATCAAGGAGGTCCTCACCACAGGACTCATGGGTCCGACCCTGGGTCTCCCGCAGGCCCCTCTGGCAGTCCTCTCCCCACCCGCCGCCTCGGGCTGCGCCTTCGCCGCCGCCGCCGCAACCTCCAGCACCGCCGCCCCAGGCCCCGCAGCCGCCGCGTCGCCGCCATTTTTTAAAGGGTCCGCAGCCTGACTCTGCGGAGTAAGGGGGGGTGGAGCGGGGGAGTCGGCCTCGCCAGCGCGCATGCGCGAGGCCCGAGCCGCCGCTTGGGTCACAGTGAAAGCCACCGTTGCCCGGGGATGGGTCCCTGACACTTGGGGAAGTAGGAGCCCTGTGTGATCGTACGTCTGAGTCTGGGCTGAGACCAGTCCTGGCCAGGGCAGTTACCAGGACGGTCTCCGGAGGCCGGGATTCGCGGAGGGTCCAGCAGCAGGAAGAAACCCCAGGAGGAAGAAACCTCAGACAGATCGCCGGCGAGGCAGCGCGGGATCCCAGCCTCAGGCGTGCGCGGACGGTGTGCGGGTGAGTCTCCCCAAAAGTGGAGCCCTTGTGATGACGAGCACAGGTCCGCCTGCGTGCCCGTGGGCTGCTCTCTCACCGGTGGCTCTCAGTCGCGGAGAGCAGAACCCGGCAGCTTCAGGGGCTGCCTGCGGGAGGGTGTTCCCTGCTGTACGTGTGTGTTCGTCATGGGTGTGTGTGTGTGTGTGTTGGGGGGGTGCGTCTGTGTGTGTGTCTGTGTGTGTGCGCGCGCAGTGCCTGTCTGTGTGCCGACTTCTGTCTCTCTCTCACGTCTCTCTCTCTCTCTCTCTCTCTCTCTCTCTCTCTCTCTCTCTGTCTCCCTTCTCGCTCTTTCCGTGGCCCTCTCTTTCTGTCTCTGTCCGTCTGTGTGTGCGTGCGCCTCGGGACACATGTGCCCTGTGCGCCGGAGGGTGGGTTTCTTGCACGTCGGCCTTTCTTCTGGTCAGCCTCTCCCCGCGTCTCTGCCTGGGTCGTGTGGCCGGTTGGCAGTCGTCGTCCCGGCGGTTCCAGTTTGGGGGTCTGTGAAGGCCTGGGCAACGTGGGCATCGGCGTCGGACCCGCAGGGGTTTTCATCCCCTCCCCATCCGGAGCAGCCTCTTTGCTAGGCTGGATCCAGACGAGCGCTCCCCAACCAAGGACAACGGCCTCCCAGGCGCTCATCGTCCACCCGCAGGAGGGTGCCCGCAGAGCTTCAAGAAGGTGGTTGTCACGCCTGTCGCCCTCTGCCCTCATCGAGAAATGTAGCCACAGCTCGACGCAGGGACGGAGAAGGAAGCCGGCAAGGGGATGGGGCAAGCATGTCTGTCTCTCAAAGGCTGGCCTTCCTGGCCGAGTCACCCGTTTGACACTCCTCCCCGGATGCCGGTGGTGGTGGCATGGCCCCCCCGTATCCTGCCTGGGCTCTGGCCTCTGCTCTGACCTCCCTCTTGCTGTGTCTGCCCCGTCTCTGAGAAGCCTGGCGGCTTCTTAGTGTGGCTCAGTGTCTTCCACAAAGAAGACTTCCCCGTCCATCAGGGAGAAACCTCGTGGCGGTCCGCGTCATGATTGTTTCCCTCTCCACACCTCTTTCTGGATGATTGGGCAGCTGTGGTGATCCTGGAGCTCTGGGCTTCCATACCTGTGTGGGACAGGGAAGCTCTCTCGGTCTCCATGGCCCAAGTGATGGCTGCACGCTCGGTCCAGGAAGAGGCGGAGGCAAGCCCACCGCTCCTGACATTGGCCTTCTAGGAAAGGCGGTGTTGCATCCCACCTGCACTTCCTCTCTGATTCTTGAGGGCCAACCGCTTCCTCCGCTCCTGGGGAAAGTGCCTTCTAGCACCGAATCTTTTGGCTGCCACGGATGTCAGGGAGCCAACGGGACTGGGTTTTGGCTGGGTGCAGGGGAGGTTGCGTCAGGGGTACCTAGCCGGCGGCGGGCTGGGGGTGGGGTGTACTTTGTCCAAACCTCTCGGCTCCTCTGGCGGGCCTCCCTGAACGTGGCGTGGACTCGCGCACAGGCCCTGTCTCGCAGGTTTTCAGGTGCGCTTGGCTTTTCCTCCGCTTTGTGGGGCAGGTCTCCAGTGGCCCCCCGGGCGCACGCCTGGACATCACTGTCCGTCTCGTCGTCGCCCCCTACGGCCTCAAAGACACACGCTGCCTGCATGTGCTCTTGGGGGACGACAGTGCCACATGTGGACACACTGGCTCCAGCTCGGACTCGCCTCTGTCTCTCTTTGCCCGTGTCGCCGGAAGCCGCCTCGGGTTGCCGGAGCCCTCGGGCCTTGGAGATGAAGGCAGGCCCCTGCTCCTGCCAGGAAGGAGGGAGGCAGTGGGCTCATGGGTCGGTGCCTTTGCAGCCGACAGCACGCCTTGCGGCCCTGGGGATCTTCCTGTGCCCCGGCGAGACCCTTTCCGCCTCACTGCATTGGAACCCCATTCCCGATCACCCGCTGGGATCCATCATCGGACCCCAAGAGGAGTCCGCGCAGCCCAGCCGGCACCCCGAAGCTCCTCCTTCAGTGGGAACCGAAGCAGAAGAGCGATCAAGGAGGTCCTCACCACAGGACTCCTATGGGTCCGACCCTGGGTCTCCCGCAGGCCCCTCTGGCAGTCCTCTTCCCACCCGCCGCCTCGGGCTGCGCCTTCGCCGCCGCCGCCGCAACCTCCAGCACCGCCGCCCCAGGCCCCGCAGCCGCCGCGTCGCCGCCATTTTTTAAAGGGTCCGCAGCCTGACTCTGCGGAGTAAGGGGGGGTGGAGCGGGGGAGTCGGCCTCGCCAGCGCGCATGCGCGAGGCCCGAGCCGCCGCTTGGGTCACAGTGAAAGCCACCGTTGCCCGGGGATGGGTCCCTGACACTTGGGGAAGTAGGAGCCCTGTGTGATCGTGCGTCTGAGTCTGGGCTGAGACCAGTCCTGGCCAGGGCAGTTACCAGGACGGTCTCCGGAGGCCGGGATTCGCGGAGGGTCCAGCAGCAGGAAGAAACCCCAGGAGGAAGAAACCTCAGACAGATCGCCGGCGAGGCAGCGCGGGATCCCAGCCTCAGGCGTGCGCGGACGGTGTGCGGGTGAGTCTCCCCAAAAGTGGAGCCCTTGTGATGACGAGCACAGGTCCGCCTGCGTGCCCGTGGGCTGCTCTCTCACCGGTGGCTCTCAGTCGCGGAGAGCAGAACCCGGCAGCTTCAGGGGCTGCCTGCGGGAGGGTGTTCCCTGCTGTACGTGTGTGTTCGTCATGGGTGTGTGTGTGTGTGTGTTGGGGGGGGTGCGTCTGTGTGTGTGTCTGTGTGTGTGCGCGCGCAGTGCCTGTCTGTGTGCCGACTTCTGTCTCTCTCTCACGTCTCTCTCTCTCTCTCTCTCTCTCTCTCTCTCTCTCTCTCTGTCTCCCTTCTCGCTCTTTCCGTGGCCCTCTCTTTCTGTCTCTGTCCGTCTGTGTGTGCGTGCGCCTCGGGACACATGTGCCCTGTGCGCCGGAGGGTGGGTTTCTTGCACGTCGGCCTTTCTTCTGGTCAGCCTCTCCCCGCGTCTCTGCCTGGGTCGTGTGGCCGGTTGGCAGTCGTCGTCCCGGCGGTTCCAGTTTGGGGGTCTGTGAAGGCCTGGGCAACGTGGGCATCGGCGTCGGACCCGCAGGGGTTTTCATCCCCTCCCCATCCGGAGCAGCCTCTTTGCTAGGCTGGATCCAGACGAGCGCTCCCCAACCAAGGACAACGGCCTCCCAGGCGCTCATCGTCCACCCGCAGGAGGGTGCCCGCAGAGCTTCAAGAAGGTGGTTGTCACGCCTGTCGCCCTCTGCCCTCATCGAGAAATGTAGCCACAGCTCGACGCAGGGACGGAGAAGGAAGCCGGCAAGGGGATGGGGCAAGCATGTCTGTCTCTCAAAGGCTGGCCTTCCTGGCCGAGTCACCCGTTTGACACTCCTCCCCGGATGCCGGTGGTGGTGGCATGGCCCCCCCGTATCCTGCCTGGGCTCTGGCCTCTGCTCTGACCTCCCTCTTGCTGTGTCTGCCCCGCCTCTGAGAAGCCTGGCGGCTTCTTAGTGTGGCTCAGTGTCTTCCACAAAGAAGACTTCCCCGTCCATCAGGGAGAAACCTCGTGGCGGTCCGCGTCATGATTGTTTCCCTCTCCACACCTCTTTCTGGATGATTGGGCAGCTGTGGTGATCCTGGAGCTCTGGGCTTCCATACCTGTGTGGGACAGGGAAGCTCTCTCGGTCTCCATGGCCCAAGTGATGGCTGCACGCTCGGTCCAGGAAGAGGCGGAGGCAAGCCCACCGCTCCTGACATTGGCCTTCTAGGAAAGGCGGTGTTGCATCCCACATGCACTTCCTCTCTGATTCTTGAGGGCCAACCGCTTCCTCCGCTCCTGGGGAAAGTGCCTTCTAGCACCGAATCTTTTGGCTGCCACGGATGTCAGGGAGCCAACGGGACTGGGTTTTGGCTGGGTGCAGGGGAGGTTGCGTCAGGGGTACCTAGCCGGCGGCGGGCTGGGGGTGGGGTGTACTTTGTCCAAACCTCTTGGCTCCTCTGGCGGGCCTCCCTGAACGTGGCGTGGACTCGCGCACAGGCCCTGTCTCGCAGGTTTTCAGGTGCGCTTGGCTTTTCCTCCGCTTTGTGGGGCAGGTCTCCAGTGGCCCCCCGGGCGCACGCCTGGACATCACTGTCCGTCTCGTCGTCGCCCCCTACGGCCTCAAAGACACACGCTGCCTGCATGTGCTCTTGGGGGACGACAGTGCCACATGTGGACACACTGGCTCCAGCTCGGACTCGCCTCTGTCTCTCTTTGCCCGTGTCGCCGGAAGCCGCCTCGGGTTGCCGGAGCCCTCGGGCCTTGGAGATGAAGGCAGGCCCCTGCTCCTGCCAGGAAGGAGGGAGGCAGTGGGCTCATGGGTCGGTGCCTTTGCAGCCGACAGCACGCCTTGCGGCCCTGGGGATCTTCCTGTGCCCCGGCGAGACCCTTTCCGCCTCACTGCATTGGAACCCCATTCCCGATCACCCGCTGGGATCCATCATCGGACCCCAAGAGGAGTCCGCGCAGCCCAGCCGGCACCCCGAAGCTCCTCCTTCAGTGGGAACCGAAGCAGAAGAGCGATCAAGGAGGTCCTCACCACAGGACTCATGGGTCCGACCCTGGGTCTCCCGCAGGCCCCTCTGGCAGTCCTCTCCCCACCCGCCGCCTCGGGCTGCGCCTTCGCCGCCGCCGCCGCAACCTCCAGCACCGCCGCCCCAGGCCCCGCAGCCGCCGCGTCGCCGCCATTTTTTAAAGGGTCCGCAGCCTGACTCTGCGGAGTAAGGGGGGGTGGAGCGGGGGAGTCGGCCTCGCCAGCGCGCATGCGCGAGGCCCGAGCCGCCGCTTGGGTCACAGTGAAAGCCACCGTTGCCCGGGGATGGGTCCCTGACACTTGGGGAAGTAGGAGCCCTGTGTGATCGTACGTCTGAGTCTGGGCTGAGACCAGTCCTGGCCAGGGCAGTTACCAGGACGGTCTCCGGAGGCCGGGATTCGCGGAGGGTCCAGCAGCAGGAAGAAACCCCAGGAGGAAGAAACCTCAGACAGATCGCCGGCGAGGCAGCGCGGGATCCCAGCCTCAGGCGTGCGCGGACGGTGTGCGGGTGAGTCTCCCCAAAAGTGGAGCCCTTGTGATGACGAGCACAGGTCCGCCTGCGTGCCCGTGGGCTGCTCTCTCACCGGTGGCTCTCAGTCGCGGAGAGCAGAACCCGGCAGCTTCAGGGGCTGCCTGCGGGAGGGTGTTCCCTGCTGTACGTGTGTGTTCGTCATGGGTGTGTGTGTGTGTGTGTTGGGGGGGTGCGTCTGTGTGTGTGTCTGTGTGTGTGCGCGCGCAGTGCCTGTCTGTGTGCCGACTTCTGTCTCTCTCTCACGTCTCTCTCTCTCTCTCTCTCTCTCTCTCTCTCTCTGTCTCCCTTCTCGCTCTTTCCGTGGCCCTCTCTTTCTGTCTCTGTCCGTCTGTGTGCGTGCGCCTCGGGACACATGTGCCCTGTGCGCCGGAGGGTGGGTTTCTTGCACGTCGGCCTTTCTTCTGGTCAGCCTCTCCCCGCGTCTCTGCCTGGGTCGTGTGGCCGGTTGGCAGTCGTCGTCCCGGCGGTTCCAGTTTGGGGGTCTGTGAAGGCCTGGGCAACGTGGGCATCGGCGTCGGACCCGCAGGGGTTTTCATCCCCTCCCCATCCGGAGCAGCCTCTTTGCTAGGCTGGATCCAGACGAGCGCTCCCCAACCAAGGACAACGGCCTCCCAGGCGCTCATCGTCCACCCGCAGGAGGGTGCCCGCAGAGCTTCAAGAAGGTGGTTGTCACGCCTGTCGCCCTCTGCCCTCATCGAGAAATGTAGCCACAGCTCGACGCAGGGACGGAGAAGGAAGCCGGCAAGGGGATGGGGCAAGCATGTCTGTCTCTCAAAGGCTGGCCTTCCTGGCCGAGTCACCCGTTTGACACTCCTCCCCGGATGCCGGTGGTGGTGGCATGGCCCCCCCGTATCCTGCCTGGGCTCTGGCCTCTGCTCTGACCTCCCTCTTGCTGTGTCTGCCCCGCCTCTGAGAAGCCTGGCGGCTTCTTAGTGTGGCTCAGTGTCTTCCACAAAGAAGACTTCCCCGTCCATCAGGGAGAAACCTCGTGGCGGTCCGCGTCATGATTGTTTCCCTCTCCACACCTCTTTCTGGATGATTGGGCAGCTGTGGTGATCCTGGAGCTCTGGGCTTCCATACCTGTGTGGGACAGGGAAGCTCTCTGGGTCTCCATGGCCCAAGTGATGGCTGCACGCTCGGTCCAGGAAGAGGCGGAGGCAAGCCCACCGCTCCTGACATTGGCCTTCTAGGAAAGGCGGTGTTGCATCCCACCTGCACTTCCTCTCTGATTCTTGAGGGCCAACCGCTTCCTCCGCTCCTGGGGAAAGTGCCTTCTAGCACCGAATCTTTTGGCTGCCACGGATGTCAGGGAGCCAACGGGACTGGGTTTTGGCTGGGTGCAGGGGAGGTTGCGTCAGGGGTACCTAGCCGGCGGCGGGCTGGGGGTGGGGTGTACTTTGTCCAAACCTCTCGGCTCCTCTGGCGGGCCTCCCTGAACGTGGCGTGGACTCGCGCACAGGCCCTGTCTCGCAGGTTTTCAGGTGCGCTTGGCTTTTCCTCCGCTTTGTGGGGCAGGTCTCCAGTGGCCCCCCGGGCGCACGCCTGGACATCACTGTCCGTCTCGTCGTCGCCCCCTACGGCCTCAAAGACACACGCTGCCTGCATGTGCTCTTGGGGGACGACAGTGCCACATGTGGACACACTGGCTCCAGCTCGGACTCGCCTCTGTCTCTCTTTGCCCGTGTCGCCGGAAGCCGCCTCGGGTTGCCGGAGCCCTCGGGCCTTGGAGATGAAGGCAGGCCCCTGCTCCTGCCAGGAAGGAGGGAGGCAGTGGGCTCATGGGTCGGTGCCTTTGCAGCCGACAGCACGCCTTGCGGCCCTGGGGATCTTCCTGTGCCCCGGCGAGACCCTTTCCGCCTCACTGCATTGGAACCCCATTCCCGATCACCCGCTGGGATCCATCATCGGACCCCAAGAGGAGTCCGCGCAGCCCAGCCGGCACCCCGAAGCTCCTCCTTCAGTGGGAACCGAAGCAGAAGAGCGATCAAGGAGGTCCTCACCACAGGACTCCTATGGGTCCGACCCTGGGTCTCCCGCAGGCCCCTCTGGCAGTCCTCTTCCCACCCGCCGCCTCGGGCTGCGCCTTCGCCGCCGCCGCCGCAACCTCCAGCACCGCCGCCCCAGGCCCCGCAGCCGCCGCGTCGCCGCCATTTTTTAAAGGGTCCGCAGCCTGACTCTGCGGAGTAAGGGGGGGTGGAGCGGGGGAGTCGGCCTCGCCAGCGCGCATGCGCGAGGCCCGAGCCGCCGCTTGGGTCACAGTGAAAGCCACCGTTGCCCGGGGATGGGTCCCTGACACTTGGGGAAGTAGGAGCCCTGTGTGATCGTGCGTCTGAGTCTGGGCTGAGACCAGTCCTGGCCAGGGCAGTTACCAGGACGGTCTCCGGAGGCCGGGATTCGCGGAGGGTCCAGCAGCAGGAAGAAACCCCAGGAGGAAGAAACCTCAGACAGATCGCCGGCGAGGCAGCGCGGGATCCCAGCCTCAGGCGTGCGCGGACGGTGTGCGGGTGAGTCTCCCCAAAAGTGGAGCCCTTGTGATGACGAGCACAGGTCCGCCTGCGTGCCCGTGGGCTGCTCTCTCACCGGTGGCTCTCAGTCGCGGAGAGCAGAACCCGGCAGCTTCAGGGGCTGCCTGCGGGAGGGTGTTCCCTGCTGTACGTGTGTGTTCGTCATGGGTGTGTGTGTGTGTGTGTTGGGGGGGGTGCGTCTGTGTGTGTGTCTGTGTGTGTGCGCGCGCAGTGCCTGTCTGTGTGCCGACTTCTGTCTCTCTCTCACGTCTCTCTCTCTCTCTCTCTCTCTCTCTGTCTCCCTTCTCGCTCTTTCCGTGGCCCTCTCTTTCTGTCTCTGTCCGTCTGTGTGTGCGTGCGCCTCGGGACACATGTGCCCTGTGCGCCGGAGGGTGGGTTTCTTGCACGTCGGCCTTTCTTCTGGTCAGCCTCTCCCCGCGTCTCTGCCTGGGTCGTGTGGCCGGTTGGCAGTCGTCGTCCCGGCGGTTCCAGTTTGGGGGTCTGTGAAGGCCTGGGCAACGTGGGCATCGGCGTCGGACCCGCAGGGGTTTTCATCCCCTCCCCATCCGGAGCAGCCTCTTTGCTAGGCTGGATCCAGACGAGCGCTCCCCAACCAAGGACAACGGCCTCCCAGGCGCTCATCGTCCACCCGCAGGAGGGTGCCCGCAGAGCTTCAAGAAGGTGGTTGTCACGCCTGTCGCCCTCTGCCCTCATCGAGAAATGTAGCCACAGCTCGACGCAGGGACGGAGAAGGAAGCCGGCAAGGGGATGGGGCAAGCATGTCTGTCTCTCAAAGGCTGGCCTTCCTGGCCGAGTCACCCGTTTGACACTCCTCCCCGGATGCCGGTGGTGGTGGCATGGCCCCCCCGTATCCTGCCTGGGCTCTGGCCTCTGCTCTGACCTCCCTCTTGCTGTGTCTGCCCCGCCTCTGAGAAGCCTGGCGGCTTCTTAGTGTGGCTCAGTGTCTTCCACAAAGAAGACTTCCCCGTCCATCAGGGAGAAACCTCGTGGCGGTCCGCGTCATGATTGTTTCCCTCTCCACACCTCTTTCTGGATGATTGGGCAGCTGTGGTGATCCTGGAGCTCTGGGCTTCCATACCTGTGTGGGACAGGGAAGCTCTCTGGGTCTCCATGGCCCAAGTGATGGCTGCACGCTCGGTCCAGGAAGAGGCGGAGGCAAGCCCACCGCTCCTGACATTGGCCTTCTAGGAAAGGCGGTGTTGCATCCCACCTGCACTTCCTCTCTGATTCTTGAGGGCCAACCGCTTCCTCCGCTCCTGGGGAAAGTGCCTTCTAGCACCGAATCTTTTGGCTGCCACGGATGTCAGGGAGCCAACGGGACTGGGTTTTGGCTGGGTGCAGGGGAGGTTGCGTCAGGGGTACCTAGCCGGCGGCGGGCTGGGGGTGGGGTGTACTTTGTCCAAACCTCTCGGCTCCTCTGGCGGGCCTCCCTGAACGTGGCGTGGACTCGCGCACAGGCCCTGTCTCGCAGGTTTTCAGGTGCGCTTGGCTTTTCCTCCGCTTTGTGGGGCAGGTCTCCAGTGGCCCCCCGGGCGCACGCCTGGACATCACTGTCCGTCTCGTCGTCGCCCCCTACGGCCTCAAAGACACACGCTGCCTGCATGTGCTCTTGGGGGACGACAGTGCCACATGTGGACACGCTGGCTCCAGCTCGGACTCGCCTCTGTCTCTCTTTGCCCGTGTCGCCGGAAGCCGCCTCGGGTTGCCGGAGCCCTCGGGCCTTGGAGATGAAGGCAGGCCCCTGCTCCTGCCAGGAAGGAGGGAGGCAGTGGGCTCATGGGTCGGTGCCTTTGCAGCCGACAGCACGCCTTGCGGCCCTGGGGATCTTCCTGTGCCCCGGCGAGACCCTTTCCGCCTCACTGCATTGGAACCCCATTCCCGATCACCCGCTGGGATCCATCATCGGACCCCAAGAGGAGTCCGCGCAGCCCAGCCGGCACCCCGAAGCTCCTCCTTCAGTGGGAACCGAAGCAGAAGAGCGATCAAGGAGGTCCTCACCACAGGACTCCTATGGGTCCGACCCTGGGTCTCCCGCAGGCCCCTCTGGCAGTCCTCTTCCCACCCGCCGCCTCGGGCTGCGCCTTCGCCGCCGCCGCCGCAACCTCCAGCACCGCCGCCCCAGGCCCCGCAGCCGCCGCGTCGCCGCCATTTTTTAAAGGGTCCGCAGCCTGACTCTGCGGAGTAACGGGGGGTGGAGCGGGGGAGTCGGCCTCGCCAGCGCGCATGCGCGAGGCCCGAGCCGCCGCTTGGGTCACAGTGAAAGCCACCGTTGCCCGGGGATGGGTCCCTGACACTTGGGGAAGTAGGAGCCCTGTGTGATCGTGCGTCTGAGTCTGGGCTGAGACCAGTCCTGGCCAGGGCAGTTACCAGGACGGTCTCCGGAGGCCGGGATTCGCGGAGGGTCCAGCAGCAGGAAGAAACCCCAGGAGGAAGAAACCTCAGACAGATCGCCGGCGAGGCAGCGCGGGATCCCAGCCTCAGGCGTGCGCGGACGGTGTGCGGGTGAGTCTCCCCAAAAGTGGAGCCCTTGTGATGACGAGCACAGGTCCGCCTGCGTGCCCGTGGGCTGCTCTCTCACCGGTGGCTCTCAGTCGCGGAGAGCAGAACCCGGCAGCTTCAGGGGCTGCCTGCGGGAGGGTGTTCCCTGCTGTACGTGTGTGTTCGTCATGGGTGTGTGTGTGTGTGTGTTGGGGGGGGTGCGTCTGTGTGTGTGTCTGTGTGTGTGCGCGCGCAGTGCCTGTCTGTGTGCCGACTTCTGTCTCTCTCTCACGTCTCTCTCTCTCTCTCTCTCTCTCTCTCTCTCTCTCTCTGTCTCCCTTCTCGCTCTTTCCGTGGCCCTCTCTTTCTGTCTCTGTCCGTCTGTGTGTGCGTGCGCCTCGGGACACATGTGCCCTGTGCGCCGGAGGGTGGGTTTCTTGCACGTCGGCCTTTCTTCTGGTCAGCCTCTCCCCGCGTCTCTGCCTGGGTCGTGTGGCCGGTTGGCAGTCGTCGTCCCGGCGGTTCCAGTTTGGGGGTCTGTGAAGGCCTGGGCAACGTGGGCATCGGCGTCGGACCCGCAGGGGTTTTCATCCCCTCCCCATCCGGAGCAGCCTCTTTGCTAGGCTGGATCCAGACGAGCGCTCCCCAACCAAGGACAACGGCCTCCCAGGCGCTCATCGTCCACCCGCAGGAGGGTGCCCGCAGAGCTTCAAGAAGGTGGTTGTCACGCCTGTCGCCCTCTGCCCTCATCGAGAAATGTAGCCACAGCTCGACGCAGGGACGGAGAAGGAAGCCGGCAAGGGGATGGGGCAAGCATGTCTGTCTCTCAAAGGCTGGCCTTCCTGGCCGAGTCACCCGTTTGACACTCCTCCCCGGATGCCGGTGGTGGTGGCATGGCCCCCCCGTATCCTGCCTGGGCTCTGGCCTCTGCTCTGACCTCCCTCTTGCTGTGTCTGCCCCGCCTCTGAGAAGCCTGGCGGCTTCTTAGTGTGGCTCAGTGTCTTCCACAAAGAAGACTTCCCCGTCCATCAGGGAGAAACCTCGTGGCGGTCCGCGTCATGATTGTTTCCCTCTCCACACCTCTTTCTGGATGATTGGGCAGCTGTGGTGATCCTGGAGCTCTGGGCTTCCATACCTGTGTGGGACAGGGAAGCTCTCTGGGTCTCCATGGCCCAAGTGATGGCTGCACGCTCGGTCCAGGAAGAGGCGGAGGCAAGCCCACCGCTCCTGACATTGGCCTTCTAGGAAAGGCGGTGTTGCATCCCACCTGCACTTCCTCTCTGATTCTTGAGGGCCAACCGCTTCCTCCGCTCCTGGGGAAAGTGCCTTCTAGCACCGAATCTTTTGGCTGCCACGGATGTCAGGGAGCCAACGGGACTGGGTTTTGGCTGGGTGCAGGGGAGGTTGCGTCAGGGGTACCTAGCCGGCGGCGGGCTGGGGGTGGGGTGTACTTTGTCCAAACCTCTCGGCTCCTCTGGCGGGCCTCCCTGAACGTGGCGTGGACTCGCGCACAGGCCCTGTCTCGCAGGTTTTCAGGTGCGCTTGGCTTTTCCTCCGCTTTGTGGGGCAGGTCTCCAGTGGCCCCCCGGGCGCACGCCTGGACATCACTGTCCGTCTCGTCGTCGCCCCCTACGGCCTCAAAGACACACGCTGCCTGCATGTGCTCTTGGGGGACGACAGTGCCACATGTGGACACGCTGGCTCCAGCTCGGACTCGCCTCTGTCTCTCTTTGCCCGTGTCGCCGGAAGCCGCCTCGGGTTGCCGGAGCCCTCGGGCCTTGGAGATGAAGGCAGGCCCCTGCTCCTGCCAGGAAGGAGGGAGGCAGTGGGCTCATGGGTCGGTGCCTTTGCAGCCGACAGCACGCCTTGCGGCCCTGGGGATCTTCCTGTGCCCCGGCGAGACCCTTTCCGCCTCACTGCATTGGAACCCCATTCCCGATCACCCGCTGGGATCCATCATCGGACCCCAAGAGGAGTCCGCGCAGCCCAGCCGGCACCCCGAAGCTCCTCCTTCAGTGGGAACCGAAGCAGAAGAGCGATCAAGGAGGTCCTCACCACAGGACTCCTATGGGTCCGACCCTGGGTCTCCCGCAGGCCCCTCTGGCAGTCCTCTTCCCACCCGCCGCCTCGGGCTGCGCCTTCGCCGCCGCCGCCGCAACCTCCAGCACCGCCGCCCCAGGCCCCGCAGCCGCCGCGTCGCCGCCATTTTTTAAAGGGTCCGCAGCCTGACTCTGCGGAGTAAGGGGGGGTGGAGCGGGGGAGTCGGCCTCGCCAGCGCGCATGCGCGAGGCCCGAGCCGCCGCTTGGGTCACAGTGAAAGCCACCGTTGCCCGGGGATGGGTCCCTGACACTTGGGGAAGTAGGAGCCCTGTGTGATCGTGCGTCTGAGTCTGGGCTGAGACCAGTCCTGGCCAGGGCAGTTACCAGGACGGTCTCCGGAGGCCGGGATTCGCGGAGGGTCCAGCAGCAGGAAGAAACCCCAGGAGGAAGAAACCTCAGACAGATCGCCGGCGAGGCAGCGCGGGATCCCAGCCTCAGGCGTGCGCGGACGGTGTGCGGGTGAGTCTCCCCAAAAGTGGAGCCCTTGTGATGACGAGCACAGGTCCGCCTGCGTGCCCGTGGGCTGCTCTCTCACCGGTGGCTCTCAGTCGCGGAGAGCAGAACCCGGCAGCTTCAGGGGCTGCCTGCGGGAGGGTGTTCCCTGCTGTACGTGTGTGTTCGTCATGGGTGTGTGTGTGTGTGTGTTGGGGGGGGTGCGTCTGTGTGTGTGTCTGTGTGTGTGCGCGCGCAGTGCCTGTCTGTGTGCCGACTTCTGTCTCTCTCTCACGTCTCTCTCTCTCTCTCTCTCTCTCTCTCTCTCTCTCTCTGTCTCCCTTCTCGCTCTTTCCGTGGCCCTCTCTTTCTGTCTCTGTCCGTCTGTGTGTGCGTGCGCCTCGGGACACATGTGCCCTGTGCGCCGGAGGGTGGGTTTCTTGCACGTCGGCCTTTCTTCTGGTCAGCCTCTCCCCGCGTCTCTGCCTGGGTCGTGTGGCCGGTTGGCAGTCGTCGTCCCGGCGGTTCCAGTTTGGGGGTCTGTGAAGGCCTGGGCAACGTGGGCATCGGCGTCGGACCCGCAGGGGTTTTCATCCCCTCCCCATCCGGAGCAGCCTCTTTGCTAGGCTGGATCCAGACGAGCGCTCCCCAACCAAGGACAACGGCCTCCCAGGCGCTCATCGTCCACCCGCAGGAGGGTGCCCGCAGAGCTTCAAGAAGGTGGTTGTCACGCCTGTCGCCCTCTGCCCTCATCGAGAAATGTAGCCACAGCTCGACGCAGGGACGGAGAAGGAAGCCGGCAAGGGGATGGGGCAAGCATGTCTGTCTCTCAAAGGCTGGCCTTCCTGGCCGAGTCACCCGTTTGACACTCCTCCCCGGATGCCGGTGGTGGTGGCATGGCCCCCCCGTATCCTGCCTGGGCTCTGGCCTCTGCTCTGACCTCCCTCTTGCTGTGTCTGCCCCGTCTCTGAGAAGCCTGGCGGCTTCTTAGTGTGGCTCAGTGTCTTCCACAAAGAAGACTTCCCCGTCCATCAGGGAGAAACCTCGTGGCGGTCCGCGTCATGATTGTTTCCCTCTCCACACCTCTTTCTGGATGATTGGGCAGCTGTGGTGATCCTGGAGCTCTGGGCTTCCATACCTGTGTGGGACAGGGAAGCTCTCTCGGTCTCCATGGCCCAAGTGATGGCTGCACGCTCGGTCCAGGAAGAGGCGGAGGCAAGCCCACCGCTCCTGACATTGGCCTTCTAGGAAAGGCGGTGTTGCATCCCACCTGCACTTCCTCTCTGATTCTTGAGGGCCAACCGCTTCCTCCGCTCCTGGGGAAAGTGCCTTCTAGCACCGAATCTTTTGGCTGCCACGGATGTCAGGGAGCCAACGGGACTGGGTTTTGGCTGGGTGCAGGGGAGGTTGCGTCAGGGGTACCTAGCCGGCGGCGGGCTGGGGGTGGGGTGTACTTTGTCCAAACCTCTCGGCTCCTCTGGCGGGCCTCCCTGAACGTGGCGTGGACTCGCGCACAGGCCCTGTCTCGCAGGTTTTCAGGTGCGCTTGGCTTTTCCTCCGCTTTGTGGGGCAGGTCTCCAGTGGCCCCCCGGGCGCACGCCTGGACATCACTGTCCGTCTCGTCGTCGCCCCCTACGGCCTCAAAGACACACGCTGCCTGCATGTGCTCTTGGGGGACGACAGTGCCACATGTGGACACACTGGCTCCAGCTCGGACTCGCCTCTGTCTCTCTTTGCCCGTGTCGCCGGAAGCCGCCTCGGGTTGCCGGAGCCCTCGGGCCTTGGAGATGAAGGCAGGCCCCTGCTCCTGCCAGGAAGGAGGGAGGCAGTGGGCTCATGGGTCGGTGCCTTTGCAGCCGACAGCACGCCTTGCGGCCCTGGGGATCTTCCTGTGCCCCGGCGAGACCCTTTCCGCCTCACTGCATTGGAACCCCATTCCCGATCACCCGCTGGGATCCATCATCGGACCCCAAGAGGAGTCCGCGCAGCCCAGCCGGCACCCCGAAGCTCCTCCTTCAGTGGGAACCGAAGCAGAAGAGCGATCAAGGAGGTCCTCACCACAGGACTCCTATGGGTCCGACCCTGGGTCTCCCGCAGGCCCCTCTGGCAGTCCTCTTCCCACCCGCCGCCTCGGGCTGCGCCTTCGCCGCCGCCGCCGCAACCTCCAGCACCGCCGCCCCAGGCCCCGCAGCCGCCGCGTCGCCGCCATTTTTTAAAGGGTCCGCAGCCTGACTCTGCGGAGTAAGGGGGGGTGGAGCGGGGGAGTCGGCCTCGCCAGCGCGCATGCGCGAGGCCCGAGCCGCCGCTTGGGTCACAGTGAAAGCCACCGTTGCCCGGGGATGGGTCCCTGACACTTGGGGAAGTAGGAGCCCTGTGTGATCGTGCGTCTGAGTCTGGGCTGAGACCAGTCCTGGCCAGGGCAGTTACCAGGACGGTCTCCGGAGGCCGGGATTCGCGGAGGGTCCAGCAGCAGGAAGAAACCCCAGGAGGAAGAAACCTCAGACAGATCGCCGGCGAGGCAGCGCGGGATCCCAGCCTCAGGCGTGCGCGGACGGTGTGCGGGTGAGTCTCCCCAAAAGTGGAGCCCTTGTGATGACGAGCACAGGTCCGCCTGCGTGCCCGTGGGCTGCTCTCTCACCGGTGGCTCTCAGTCGCGGAGAGCAGAACCCGGCAGCTTCAGGGGCTGCCTGCGGGAGGGTGTTCCCTGCTGTACGTGTGTGTTCGTCATGGGTGTGTGTGTGTGTGTGTTGGGGGGGTGCGTCTGTGTGTGTGTCTGTGTGTGTGCGCGCGCAGTGCCTGTCTGTGTGCCGACTTCTGTCTCTCTCTCACGTCTCTCTCTCTCTCTCTCTCTCTCTCTCTCTCTCTCTGTCTCCCTTCTCGCTCTTTCCGTGGCCCTCTCTTTCTGTCTCTGTCCGTCTGTGTGTGCGTGCGCCTCGGGACACATGTGCCCTGTGCGCCGGAGGGTGGGTTTCTTGCACGTCGGCCTTTCTTCTGGTCAGCCTCTCCCCGCGTCTCTGCCTGGGTCGTGTGGCCGGTTGGCAGTCGTCGTCCCGGCGGTTCCAGTTTGGGGGTCTGTGAAGGCCTGGGCAACGTGGGCATCGGCGTCGGACCCGCAGGGGTTTTCATCCCCTCCCCATCCGGAGCAGCCTCTTTGCTAGGCTGGATCCAGACGAGCGCTCCCCAACCAAGGACAACGGCCTCCCAGGCGCTCATCGTCCACCCGCAGGAGGGTGCCCGCAGAGCTTCAAGAAGGTGGTTGTCACGCCTGTCGCCCTCTGCCCTCATCGAGAAATGTAGCCACAGCTCGACGCAGGGACGGAGAAGGAAGCCGGCAAGGGGATGGGGCAAGCATGTCTGTCTCTCAAAGGCTGGCCTTCCTGGCCGAGTCACCCGTTTGACACTCCTCCCCGGATGCCGGTGGTGGTGGCATGGCCCCCCCGTATCCTGCCTGGGCTCTGGCCTCTGCTCTGACCTCCCTCTTGCTGTGTCTGCCCCGTCTCTGAGAAGCCTGGCGGCTTCTTAGTGTGGCTCAGTGTCTTCCACAAAGAAGACTTCCCTGTCCATCAGGGAGAAACCTCGTGGCGGTCCGCGTCATGATTGTTTCCCTCTCCACACCTCTTTCTGGATGATTGGGCAGCTGTGGTGATCCTGGAGCTCTGGGCTTCCATACCTGTGTGGGACAGGGAAGCTCTCTCGGTCTCCATGGCCCAAGTGATGGCTGCACGCTCGGTCCAGGAAGAGGCGGAGGCAAGCCCACCGCTCCTGACATTGGCCTTCTAGGAAAGGCGGTGTTGCATCCCACCTGCACTTCCTCTCTGATTCTTGAGGGCCAACCGCTTCCTCCGCTCCTGGGGAAAGTGCCTTCTAGCACCGAATCTTTTGGCTGCCACGGATGTCAGGGAGCCAACGGGACTGGGTTTTGGCTGGGTGCAGGGGAGGTTGCGTCAGGGGTACCTAGCCGGCGGCGGGCTGGGGGTGGGGTGTACTTTGTCCAAACCTCTCGGCTCCTCTGGCGGGCCTCCCTGAACGTGGCGTGGACTCGCGCACAGGCCCTGTCTCGCAGGTTTTCAGGTGCGCTTGGCTTTTCCTCCGCTTTGTGGGGCAGGTCTCCAGTGGCCCCCCGGGCGCACGCCTGGACATCACTGTCCGTCTCGTCGTCGCCCCCTACGGCCTCAAAGACACACGCTGCCTGCATGTGCTCTTGGGGGACGACAGTGCCACATGTGGACACACTGGCTCCAGCTCGGACTCGCCTCTGTCTCTCTTTGCCCGTGTCGCCGGAAGCCGCCTCGGGTTGCCGGAGCCCTCGGGCCTTGGAGATGAAGGCAGGCCCCTGCTCCTGCCAGGAAGGAGGGAGGCAGTGGGCTCATGGGTCGGTGCCTTTGCAGCCGACAGCACGCCTTGCGGCCCTGGGGATCTTCCTGTGCCCCGGCGAGACCCTTTCCGCCTCACTGCATTGGAACCCCATTCCCGATCACCCGCTGGGATCCATCATCGGACCCCAAGAGGAGTCCGCGCAGCCCAGCCGGCACCCCGAAGCTCCTCCTTCAGTGGGAACCGAAGCAGAAGAGCGATCAAGGAGGTCCTCACCACAGGACTCATGGGTCCGACCATGGGTCTCCCGCAGGCCCCTCTGGCAGTCCTCTCCCCACCCGCCGCCTCGGGCTGCGCCTTCGCCGCCGCCGCCGCAACCTCCAGCACCGCCGCCCCAGGCCCCGCAGCCGCCGCGTCGCCGCCATTTTTTAAAGGGTCCGCAGCCTGACTCTGCGGAGTAAGGGGGGGTGGAGCGGGGGAGTCGGCCTCGCCAGCGCGCATGCGCGAGGCCCGAGCCGCCGCTTGGGTCACAGTGAAAGCCACCGTTGCCCGGGGATGGGTCCCTGACACTTGGGGAAGTAGGAGCCCTGTGTGATCGTGCGTCTGAGTCTGGGCTGAGACCAGTCCTGGCCAGGGCAGTTACCAGGACGGTCTCCGGAGGCCGGGATTCGCGGAGGGTCCAGCAGCAGGAAGAAACCCCAGGAGGAAGAAACCTCAGACAGATCGCCGGCGAGGCAGCGCGGGATCCCAGCCTCAGGCGTGCGCGGACGGTGTGCGGGTGAGTCTCCCCAAAAGTGGAGCCCTTGTGATGACGAGCACAGGTCCGCCTGCGTGCCCGTGGGCTGCTCTCTCACCGGTGGCTCTCAGTCGCGGAGAGCAGAACCCGGCAGCTTCAGGGGCTGCCTGCGGGAGGGTGTTCCCTGCTGTACGTGTGTGTTCGTCATGGGTGTGTGTGTGTGTGTGTTGGGGGGGGTGCGTCTGTGTGTGTGCGCGCGCAGTGCCTGTCTGTGTGCCGACTTCTGTCTCTCTCTCACGTCTCTCTCTCTCTCTCTCTCTCTCTCTCTCTCTGTCTCCCTTCTCGCTCTTTCCGTGGCCCTCTCTTTCTGTCTCTGTCCGTCTGTGTGTGCGTGCGCCTCGGGACACATGTGCCCTGTGCGCCGGAGGGTGGGTTTCTTGCACGTCGGCCTTTCTTCTGGTCAGCCTCTCCCCGCGTCTCTGCCTGGGTCGTGTGGCCGGTTGGCAGTCGTCGTCCCGGCGGTTCCAGTTTGGGGGTCTGTGAAGGCCTGGGCAACGTGGGCATCGGCGTCGGACCCGCAGGGGTTTTCATCCCCTCCCCATCCGGAGCAGCCTCTTTGCTAGGCTGGATCCAGACGAGCGCTCCCCAACCAAGGACAACGGCCTCCCAGGCGCTCATCGTCCACCCGCAGGAGGGTGCCCGCAGAGCTTCAAGAAGGTGGTTGTCACGCCTGTCGCCCTCTGCCCTCATCGAGAAATGTAGCCACAGCTCGACGCAGGGACGGAGAAGGAAGCCGGCAAGGGGATGGGGCAAGCATGTCTGTCTCTCAAAGGCTGGCCTTCCTGGCCGAGTCACCCGTTTGACACTCCTCCCCGGATGCCGGTGGTGGTGGCATGGCCCCCCCGTATCCTGCCTGGGCTCTGGCCTCTGCTCTGACCTCCCTCTTGCTGTGTCTGCCCCGTCTCTGAGAAGCCTGGCGGCTTCTTAGTGTGGCTCAGTGTCTTCCACAAAGAAGACTTCCCCGTCCATCAGGGAGAAACCTCGTGGCGGTCCGCGTCATGATTGTTTCCCTCTCCACACCTCTTTCTGGATGATTGGGCAGCTGTGGTGATCCTGGAGCTCTGGGCTTCCATACCTGTGTGGGACAGGGAAGCTCTCTCGGTCTCCATGGCCCAAGTGATGGCTGCACGCTCGGTCCAGGAAGAGGCGGAGGCAAGCCCACCGCTCCTGACATTGGCCTTCTAGGAAAGGCGGTGTTGCATCCCACCTGCACTTCCTCTCTGATTCTTGAGGGCCAACCGCTTCCTCCGCTCCTGGGGAAAGTGCCTTCTAGCACCGAATCTTTTGGCTGCCACGGATGTCAGGGAGCCAACGGGACTGGGTTTTGGCTGGGTGCAGGGGAGGTTGCGTCAGGGGTACCTAGCCGGCGGCGGGCTGGGGGTGGGGTGTACTTTGTCCAAACCTCTCGGCTCCTCTGGCGGGCCTCCCTGAACGTGGCGTGGACTCGCGCACAGGCCCTGTCTCGCAGGTTTTCAGGTGCGCTTGGCTTTTCCTCCGCTTTGTGGGGCAGGTCTCCAGTGGCCCCCCGGGCGCACGCCTGGACATCACTGTCCGTCTCGTCGTCGCCCCCTACGGCCTCAAAGACACACGCTGCCTGCATGTGCTCTTGGGGGACGACAGTGCCACATGTGGACACACTGGCTCCAGCTCGGACTCGCCTCTGTCTCTCTTTGCCCGTGTCGCCGGAAGCCGCCTCGGGTTGCCGGAGCCCTCGGGCCTTGGAGATGAAGGCAGGCCCCTGCTCCTGCCAGGAAGGAGGGAGGCAGTGGGCTCATGGGTCGGTGCCTTTGCAGCCGACAGCACGCCTTGCGGCCCTGGGGATCTTCCTGTGCCCCGGCGAGACCCTTTCCGCCTCACTGCATTGGAACCCCATTCCCGATCACCCGCTGGGATCCATCATCGGACCCCAAGAGGAGTCCGCGCAGCCCAGCCGGCACCCCGAAGCTCCTCCTTCAGTGGGAACCGAAGCAGAAGAGCGATCAAGGAGGTCCTCACCACAGGACTCATGGGTCCGACCATGGGTCTCCCGCAGGCCCCTCTGGCAGTCCTCTTCCCACCCGCCGCCTCGGGCTGCGCCTTCGCCGCCGCCGCCGCAACCTCCAGCACCGCCGCCCCAGGCCCCGCAGCCGCCGCGTCGCCGCCATTTTTTAAAGGGTCCGCAGCCTGACTCTGCGGAGTAAGGGGGGGTGGAGCGGGGGAGTCGGCCTCGCCAGCGCGCATGCGCGAGGCCCGAGCCGCCGCTTGGGTCACAGTGAAAGCCACCGTTGCCCGGGGATGGGTCCCTGACACTTGGGGAAGTAGGAGCCCTGTGTGATCGTACGTCTGAGTCTGGGCTGAGACCAGTCCTGGCCAGGGCAGTTACCAGGACGGTCTCCGGAGGCCGGGATTCGCGGAGGGTCCAGCAGCAGGAAGAAACCCCAGGAGGAAGAAACCTCAGACAGATCGCCGGCGAGGCAGCGCGGGATCCCAGCCTCAGGCGTGCGCGGACGGTGTGCGGGTGAGTCTCCCCAAAAGTGGAGCCCTTGTGATGACGAGCACAGGTCCGCCTGCGTGCCCGTGGGCTGCTCTCTCACCGGTGGCTCTCAGTCGCGGAGAGCAGAACCCGGCAGCTTCAGGGGCTGCCTGCGGGAGGGTGTTCCCTGCTGTACGTGTGTGTTCGTCATGGGTGTGTGTGTGTGTGTGTTGGGGGGGTGCGTCTGTGTGTGTGTCTGTGTGTGTGCGCGCGCAGTGCCTGTCTGTGTGCCGACTTCTGTCTCTCTCTCACGTCTCTCTCTCTCTCTCTCTCTCTCTCTCTCTCTCTGTCTCCCTTCTCGCTCTTTCCGTGGCCCTCTCTTTCTGTCTCTGTCCGTCTGTGTGTGCGTGCGCCTCGGGACACATGTGCCCTGTGCGCCGGAGGGTGGGTTTCTTGCACGTCGGCCTTTCTTCTGGTCAGCCTCTCCCCGCGTCTCTGCCTGGGTCGTGTGGCCGGTTGGCAGTCGTCGTCCCGGCGGTTCCAGTTTGGGGGTCTGTGAAGGCCTGGGCAACGTGGGCATCGGCGTCGGACCCGCAGGGGTTTTCATCCCCTCCCCATCCGGAGCAGCCTCTTTGCTAGGCTGGATCCAGACGAGCGCTCCCCAACCAAGGACAACGGCCTCCCAGGCGCTCATCGTCCACCCGCAGGAGGGTGCCCGCAGAGCTTCAAGAAGGTGGTTGTCACGCCTGTCGCCCTCTGCCCTCATCGAGAAATGTAGCCACAGCTCGACGCAGGGACGGAGAAGGAAGCCGGCAAGGGGATGGGGCAAGCATGTCTGTCTCTCAAAGGCTGGCCTTCCTGGCCGAGTCACCCGTTTGACACTCCTCCCCGGATGCCGGTGGTGGTGGCATGGCCCCCCCGTATCCTGCCTGGGCTCTGGCCTCTGCTCTGACCTCCCTCTTGCTGTGTCTGCCCCGCCTCTGAGAAGCCTGGCGGCTTCTTAGTGTGGCTCAGTGTCTTCCACAAAGAAGACTTCCCCGTCCATCAGGGAGAAACCTCGTGGCGGTCCGCGTCATGATTGTTTCCCTCTCCACACCTCTTTCTGGATGATTGGGCAGCTGTGGTGATCCTGGAGCTCTGGGCTTCCATACCTGTGTGGGACAGGGAAGCTCTCTCGGTCTCCATGGCCCAAGTGATGGCTGCACGCTCGGTCCAGGAAGAGGCGGAGGCAAGCCCACCGCTCCTGACATTGGCCTTCTAGGAAAGGCGGTGTTGCATCCCACCTGCACTTCCTCTCTGATTCTTGAGGGCCAACCGCTTCCTCCGCTCCTGGGGAAAGTGCCTTCTAGCACCGAATCTTTTGGCTGCCACGGATGTCAGGGAGCCAACGGGACTGGGTTTTGGCCGGGTGCAGGGGAGGTTGCGTCAGGGGTACCTAGCCGGCGGCGGGCTGGGGGTGGGGTGTACTTTGTCCAAACCTCTCGGCTCCTCTGGCGGGCCTCCCTGAACGTGGCGTGGACTCGCGCACAGGCCCTGTCTCGCAGGTTTTCAGGTGCGCTTGGCTTTTCCTCCGCTTTGTGGGGCAGGTCTCCAGTGGCCCCCCGGGCGCACGCCTGGACATCACTGTCCGTCTCGTCGTCGCCCCCTACGGCCTCAAAGACACACGCTGCCTGCATGTGCTCTTGGGGGACGACAGTGCCACATGTGGACACGCTGGCTCCAGCTCGGACTCGCCTCTGTCTCTCTTTGCCCGTGTCGCCGGAAGCCGCGTCGGGATGCCGGAGCCCTCGGGCCTTGGAGATGAAGGCAGGCCCCTGCTCCTGCCAGGAAGGAGGGAGGCAGTGGGCTCATGGGTCGGTGCCTTTGCAGCCGACAGCACGCCTTGCGGCCCTGGGGATCTTCCTGTGCCCCGGCGAGACCCTTTCCGCCTCACTGCATTGGAACCCCATTCCCGATCACCCGCTGGGATCCATCGTCGGACCCCAAGAGGAGTCCGCGCAGCCCAGCCGGCACCCCGAAGCTCCTCCTTCAGCGGGAACGGAAGCAGAAGAGCGATCAAGGAGGTCCTCACCACAGGACTCCTATGGGTCCGACCCTGGGTCTCCCGCAGGCCCCTCTGGCAGTCCTCTTCCCACCCGTCGCCTCGGGCTGCGCCGCCGCCGCCGCCGCCGCAACCTCCAGCACCGCCGCCCCAGGCCCCGCAGCCGCCGCGTCGCCGCCATTTTTTAAAGGGTCCGCAGCCTGACTCTGCGGAGTAAGGGGGGGTGGAGCGGGGGGAGTCGGCCTCGCCAGCGCGCAGGCGCGAGGCCCGAGCCGCCGCTTGGGTCACAGTGAAAGCCACCGTTGCCCGGGGATGGGTCCCTGACACTTGGGGAAGTAGGAGCCCTGTGTGATCGTGCGTCTGAGTCTGGGCTGAGACCAGTCCTGGCCAGGGCAGTTACCAGGACGGTCTCCGGAGGCCGGGATTCGCGGAGGGTCCAGCAGCAGGAAGAAACCCCAGGAGGAAGAAACCTCAGACAGATCGCCGGCGAGGCAGCGCGGGATCCCAGCCTCTGGCGTGCGCGGACGGTGTGCGGGTGAGTCTCCCCAAAAGTGGAGCCCTTGTGATGACGAGCACAGGTCCGCCTGTGTGCCCGTGGGCTGCTCTCTCACCGGTGGCTCGTAGTCGCGTAAAGCAGAAGTAGCAGTTTCAGCGGCTGACACTAAGAACAATGCATACTGGCAAAGTGAGGTGTCTCACATCTTTAATCCCAGCAGTTTGGGAGGCTGAGGCGGATGGATCACTTGAGGTCAGGGGATCACACCAGCCTAACCAACATGATGAAACTCCGCGTCTACTAAAAAAAAGTACCAGACAGTTAGCGCGGTGTGGTGGCATATGCCTGTAAATCCCAGCTATTTGGGAGGCTGAGGCAGGAGAATCGGTTGAACCAGTGTGGCCGAGGTTGCAGTGAGTGTAGATTGCACCACTGCACTCTAGCCTGGGTAACAAGCACAAAACTCTGTCTCAAAAAAAAAAAAAAAATTATCAGTGCAGAGTTAGGCCAGATTCATTTTCAGAGTAGGAGGGAATTTCAAATTATGGGTGAAATGTCCCAACTGCCGGAAGGTGAAAGTGTTCTGTGATGTAAAATTTAGGTCACACTCTATAAAGCTTCTCCTTATTCTATGTGTGAACAGCTAGTCTGTATCTTCACCTATGCATATTTAAAAATCAACCTTACGAAGGCTCTTGGCCACCATAATCCTTCCTACCCTGTAGCAAGAGCCCAGCCTCAGACTATGTTTCCTTCTGCCTCCGAGTGCAATGCCTTCCCCCGAGTCTCCAAGGTACCAAACCGGTCAGGGGCAGCTGAGACAGCTCTACTTGTACGAGTCCTCCCCAAGCCCTTGAAATCACAGGCATCTCTGCTGTCCCTGCCCTTTATCCACATCACTGAACAATTAAGCACACACATCTGTGTAGTTTTATTTAAACTGTTCCATGTGTGTTTGTTTACAATTAACAACATGAATGACTGCAGTATGGATGCAGCAGAAAGGAATGCTGAGGGAGGACTCCAGTTGGAATGAGCCACTTTTCCAGGACTAGGAATGAACTTTCCCCAGTACCAACAAGGCAGCCTCCAGGGCAAGAAATGGTAACAGAATCCATCCTGTTGACAGTCAAGATGGAATTACAGAGAATTCTCACCTCTTTTTTGACTCTCAGGTGGAAACCCCCTTCCCATGGGGTGAAGCGCAGTCTGCTCCAGAGACCCACTGTTAGGGTCGGGGATGTCACAGAAATTAACAGGGCAGCCAATTCCCATCCAGAGGGGCCCAGGATGACCCCGAACCCTCTAGCTCAGCCCCAAGCTCGGGCCAGGGAGTGAAGCCTTTGTCCCCAAGCAACAGAGTGAGGGTCTGTCTCTAACCCGGTGGGCTCCAGTGAAAGGAAAATGGCCTGGAGGTGCCCACAGGAGGGCGCCCTAGTTCTGAGACAGGTCTACGGCTCCCAGACTGCGTCCCCATGAGTAACAGAGGGACACGCAGAGGGGCATACTGAGTGCCTATAGGGGACTCACAGACTGCAGATGCACGCTGCGGATCCAGAAGCCGGTCAGGTAATGAGGTGCAGAGGTGTGGGGAAGACCTGGGTGCTTCCCTGGGTGCCAACCAGCCTAACCCGCCGGGGCCACCAAACAGAAGTGCTTCTGACATTAACGCGACACACAGAAGGTGTGTAGGGTGGGTAGTGGAAGTGACCGCAGAGGCCTCTGGGGATTGTAGTTTTGGAGCTAGAGAGGCGGGCAAGCAGTTGGCTTCGCCCACACGGTGTGCCTCTCACATCTGCACAGCGCACACAACCAAGCTTAGGAGCCGACTGTTAAGATGCCCCAGTGACACGGACAAGTTTCTCCTCTGCAACCCAATGAGAGCTGCTGACCACGAGAGCATCGCGGGACCGCCAAAGGATTCTGGAAAATGTGGTCCCGGGTGGCCAGTGTGCGCTGACCTTCACCTGAAGGTGAGCTGAGCTCACCATGCAAGTCTCCACCCTGGGGTGCCCTTCCCCAAGCAGATGCCAGGTTGGGGCAGAAGCAGTTCAGGGAGAAGCGATGCGCTCCTGGGACTGCCGGTTTGGGGGGCAACATCGGCCCTGTGTCCCCTAGAGTAGGAGGGTGTACCAGGATGGGGAACCCCAAGGCCGTTTTCAGGGAGAACAAGATTGGCTTGAGGCAAACTCCCGGAATGGAGATGGGGAGAGTCTGGTCGCATTTCCCCAGGAGTTTAGGGGATGAAGGCTGGACTTGGGTGAACAGCAAAAGATCCCCTGGTGATAGTGGTGGTGAGGATCAGAGGCTTGAGCCAGAAATTCCCGAGGTGTTTGTTTGTTTTGTTTTTTTTGAGACAGAGTCTTGATCTGTCTCCCAGGATGTAGTGCAATGGCATGCTCTTGGCTCATTGCAACCTCCGCCTCCCAGGTTCAAGCGATTCTCCTGCCTCAGCCTCCCAAGTAGCTGAGATTATAGGCACCTGCCACTGTGCCCACCTAAATTTTTTTTGTTTTTTTGTATTTTTAGTAGAGACGATGTTTCACCACATTGCCCAGCCTGGTCTCGAACTCCTGACCTCAAGTGATCCACCTGCCTCGGCCTCCCAAAGTGCTGGGATTACAGGCATGAGCCCCCACACCCAGCTCATTTTTATCTTTTAACTTAAAGGTTTTTATTTTTCTCTATTTTTACTCTTACAGGTACGGCTTGAAGGAAACTTCTGGAGGGTGGGGTGGTGTTGAAGAGAAGGCACAATTGTCACCATTTTGTTCAACATGGGCGTTTTCTTTGTGCATTGATTTGCATTTTTAAAGGTATTCCATTAAAAATATGTTTATCTATTTTAATGTTTTTTTTGGTGCCCCTTTAAATTCTCTATCCACAGTCCTGAGCCTTAATACGAAGTGAGGGCCTGGCCTCTGGGCATCAAGCAGCCAGAAAGTCCCTTAGGAGCTTTCTCTGAATTGTTGAATTGTGACTGATCTTTTCCTTTCCTGACTTCCTTAATATCCACAATTTCCTCGTAACCATCCCCCCAAAGCCACACCCACAAGGCACCTCCAAGACCTATCATGAAGCAGATATTCAAAGATTATTTGTAAATCTTCACACCCCACCCCTTCCAGAATGTCTTCCAACATCCCTTCGCCTGGAGAAATAAAACACAAGGTTTGCATGTTGAGTATCAGCCTCTCCCATTGGGTGGGTGTTTAGGAAAAAGAATCAGCCAAGAGCCCTATTCCAGCCCAGGTAAATGACTTTGCCAAAGATTTAATATCCACAAATGTACAATGCTCACTGGGAACCAAAGTCAGGCATGGGGCTGGGCTTTAAGGAGCACAAACAAAAAGGAGGGACTAGAAAACTTCAGAAAGGTATTGGTGGGGGATGTTGCGGGGGGACAGGGGACAGCGAGGATGTGGGATCCCGAGATCATCCAAATCCCTATGTGTAGACATATGTGTATAAAGGCCTTTAAGAGACTCAGGCTGATGGGGTATCTGTAATAAATCAAACATAATATAACAGCACGTCAAGTGATAAGGGGACTCTGGAAAAACAAGCAGCAAAAGGAGCAGTATCAAACTCCACAGAAATTCACAAACATCAAGACACCAAGAAAGCTGCATTCATTTAAATCAAGGTGACAGGCTGGGCTCTGTAGCTCCAGCCTGTAATCCTAGCACTTTGGGAGGCCAAGGTGGGCAGATCATTTGAGGTTCAAGACCAGCCTGGCCATTATGGTGAAAGCTCCTCTCTACTAAAAATACAAAAATTAGCTGGGCATGTTGGTGGGTGCCTGTAATCCCAGCTAAAGAGGCTGAGGCAGGAGAATCACTCTGAACCTGGGAGGCAGAGGTTGTAGTGAGCAGAGATCACGCCATTGCACTCCGGCCTCGGGGACAGAACCAAACTCCATCTCAAGTAAATCAATAAATCAAAGGTGACAGTTACTGAGTGATGCGGGCCAGGTACAATGATATACCTTCATCTGGATTACCCTCGTGAATCTGAATCACTTGTGTGATATCTGTGCTTTAACGAGTCCTATTTCCCATACTCTTAGCTGGCTTGAGATGTGAAAATCCACCTAAATTATAAACAGAGTGAAAAAAAAAAAAAAAAAACTAGTGATGTCCTTCCAGGGAACATGTCTAGTTAAAATTAACATAGATAAAAATCGGCAAAAAGATATTTTAAAAAATCTTTTGAAATTAAAAGCCATATAAACCACTGTGTCAATGATGAATTAAAAGAAGAAACTGACCTGCAAACCAGGAAATACATGGAAAGAAGCAATAGTGAAAATGCTTCAGATCTAAACCTGTGGAATGAGGCTACCTCAGTGTCCAAAAATATCATCACTTAAATATAGTGCCAAGGGGTGGGGTGTGGTGACTCACCCCTGTAATCCCAGTATTTTGGGAGGCCAAGGTGGGCGGATCACTTGAGGTCAAGAGTTCGAGACCAACCTGGCTGACATGGTGAAATGCCGTCTCTACTAAAAATACAAAAATTAGCTGGGTGTGGTGGCAGGCACCCATAATCCCAGCTACTCAGGAGGCTGAGGAAAGAGAACTGCTTGAGCCCGGGAACCGGAGGTTGCAGTGAGCTGAGATGGCACCACTGTACTACAGCCTGGGTGACAGAGCGAGACTCTGTCTCAAAAACAAAAAATTTCCAATGAATAAACTACCTAGCAAGACTTATAGAATGAGACTAAAACCATGGCTGGAGGAAAACTTTTAGCCTGAAAGTAGCCTATGACTTAGAAATTAAGGCAAAAAACTAAGGAGTAAGAAGTTACCCTTCAGGTTAGAAAACCAACAGCATAACAGGAAATGAGACAGGGAAGAAATAATCAGATGGGGCTGAGATGGGGGCTTATGGGGATGAAGGAGGCAGGAAGAGCATGTGAAGTTTGTGCATAAAGTCACTCCCTAAGGACAGTCCCTGGGAGGAAGGTGGGTGCACAATGATCGAGCTAGATGTAGAAGGTCTAGAAGGCAATCCTGGAGGGTACATTCAGGGGTTGACAGCAGATAAGAAAACAGGAGGGAAAGTCAAGCGTGGAGCCTTTCCTGTCCCCAGCATGGAAGACAGCAGGAGCTGGTGAGTGAAAGTGATAAACAGCCTTCTCATCACAAAAAAAGTCAAGTACTTGAGGTAACGGATAGGTTAATTTGATTCTCATTCCACACTGTATTGAAAAATCACAACATCATTTTATACCCCATAAATATATACAATTTAGAAGATACATAAAAATCAGCAAAAAAAAATAAACTATTCTTTGAAATATTTTTCAAACATGCAATTTATGGGGTACAACCTAATTCGTCTATATATATATATATATATATGTTTTTTAAACAGGGAGTCAATAAACACAGCAAACAGCCCCTTGGGAGGGAGATAAGGAAAATGGCCATAATGTGCCCTTAGAAAGACACAGCATTTAAATCCATGCATGTGAGAACTCCAGGGTTCAAGGTAAGACCAGGTCAGTGAAGAACAGCCGGCTTATCACCTATAGCCACAGGATGGCACCAACACCCACTGCTCCAGCCTGAGCTGGCCAGAGAGAGAAAACATTCAAGAAAAGCTGGGACTTCCCAGAAGGCCTGAGACCTGCAGGTCCCACACTGAAGTCCAGTGAGGGAGGAAGGTATGATATGAGGTGAAAAAAATACCATAGAGGTGTAGCTGAAATGAAACATTTAATAGTTATTAAATAGTCATTGTACTTCAGGTAAAAGTAGGTAAAATGACAGAAAACGAGACGAATGAGCCAGACACCACAGATATGTAATGATGGACAATGACCTGATGTGGAGTGTTCACCCACACATGCAGACTTTATATGTTCACATAAACATTTATCTGCATGCATCACCCCATAGAGATGTTTACACAAACTGCACTGACACTGTGAAGTCAACGAGGAGATAAAGTAAAAATCAAATAGTTATGGAGAGGGTTGATCTGTTTAGTGGGAAACCCTTCAGAACACGCACACAGCATCTCCCCTCCCTTCTGAATACCATCCATAGCCTGCAGTAGATGGCAAATCACAGCCTGGGCCACCCTTCCCAGAATGTCCCAAACATGGACATGCAGACCACAGAACTCACCAGATACTCAAGATGGGTGGTGCCGGGCTCTGAAAGACATGCTTCAAGTAAGAGGGACTAGAAAACTCTGCCAGGGAGCAAGAGGGATCGGGGATTCCAGGAGGATCCAGGGGCCTGTGCAAAGAGCAAGCAGTGAGCAGACGTGTGTGTCAGTGATTCGGTGGCATGAACTCAACACCATCTAATACAGCAGCTCACATTTCTGTGTGCATCAGACTCACCTGGGGACTTGTTAAATACAGATTGTTGGGTCTCACTCCTAGAGTTTCTTCTTCAGTATTCTAGGGAGCAGCCTGTGAATCTGTATTTCCAGCATGATTTTCAGGTGCTATTGATACTGTTGGTCCAAGGACCACACTATGATCTAATTTAGCACCAGGTTAGGGGAGGAACTAAGGAGCAAAGAAGCAACAGAAGAAGGGACCTGAAGCCTGTAGGTGCTTCTCTGTAAACTCCTCAAACATAAAAGCCTTCAAGACATTCAAAGAGCATTTACAGCATCATGTCTACAAATACAAGGCACCACGCAGGGAGTGCTCCATCAAGTAGAAGAGCCCACTGAGTGTCCCTCTCTTAGTCCGTTTGTGTTGCTATAACAGAATACCACAGACTGGGTGATTTATAAGCAAGAGTTCACTTGGTTTACGGTTCTGAACACTGGGAAAGTGAGGGGCCTGCATCTGGTGAAGGTCTCACTGTGCCGTCCTATGGTGGAAGGTGGAAGGGCAAGAGAGTGACCACATGTGAGAGGGGGGAGGGGGAAAGAGAAAGGGAAGGAAGCCAACCTCATCCTTTTATCAGGAACCCCCTCCCAAGATAACTAACCCACTCTAGCTTCATCCATTCATGAGGGCAGAGCCTTCATGACCTAATCACCTCTTAAAGGTTCCACTGGTCAACACTGTTGCATTAGGGGTTGAGTTTCCAACACATGAACTTTGGGGAACACATTCAAACCACAGCAGTCCTCATGTAAACCTTCCAGAAAACCTGTGTGCCTGGCACTCTGGAATCCCTCTTTTCCACCCCTTCCCACTGCAACTCTAACATCGTGTCCCCTCATCATTTTCCATTCGAGCATAGGAAAGAACACAATCACTACACCCATTTTTGATGAACCTTTCCTACATTAAAATAATTCTATCACTTAGAAATTTGCAAAAATAAATTTTCATTTTTGATATGAGCGAATATGAATTTTTTTTTTTTTTTTTTTTTTTTGAGAAGGAGTCTTGCTCTGTGGCCCAGGCTGGAATGAAGTGGCAAGATCTCAGCTCACTGCAATCTCTGCCCCCGGGGTCATGCGATTCTCCTGCCTCAGCCTTCCAAGTAGCTGGGATTACAGGCGTGCAACACCACACCCGGCTAATTTTGTATTTTTAATAGAGATGGGGTTTTCCCTTGTTGGCCAGGATGGTCTCGAACCCCTGACCTCAGGTGATGCGCCCGCCTTGGACTCTCAAAGTGCTGGGATTACAGGCATGAGCCACTATGCCTGGCCCTGAATATGAAATTCTGTATTAGTTTAATGAAATATCTAAAATATATAGAAAATAATTACCAAAAATGTTCAATGATGCAAAGCAACACATACAGTGAGATATTACATCCTAAAATATATAGACATAAATATGTTATTTAAAAAATCAAGCAGAAACATAAGGGGCTCTATACACACCTTTTAAAATAAGCTTTCTGGCCGGGTGCAGTGGCTGATGCCTGTAATCTCACACTTTGGGAGGCCGAGGCGGGCGTATCACCTGAGGTCAGGGGTTCGAGACCAGCCTGGCCAACATGGTGAAACCCCATCTCTACTAAAAATACAAAAATTAGCTGGGCATGGTGGTGGGCACCTGTAATCCCAGCTACTGGAGAGGCTGAGGTAGAGAGAACTGCTTGAACCCAGGAGGCAGAGGTTGCAGGGGTCCAAGATGTGCCACTGTACTCCAGCCTGGGAGACAGAGTAAGACTCCATCTCAAAAAAATTAATTATAGGCCAGGCGCGGTGGCTCACGCCTGTAATCCCAGCACTTTGGGAGGCCACGGCGGGTGGATCACGAGGTCAGGAAATTGAGACCATCCTGGCTAACATGGTGAAACCCTGTCTCCATGAAAAATACAAAAAATTAGCCAGGTGTGGTGGCGGGCGCCTGTAGTCACAGCTACTCAGGAGGCTGAGGGAGGAGAATGGCGTGAACCTGGGAGGTGGAGCTTGCAGTGAGCAGAGATTGCGCCACTGCACTCCAGCCTGGGCAACAGAGCGAGACTCCATCTCAAAAAAATAAAATTAATTATAATAATAAAATAAAATAAGCTTTCTAGGTTGGGCACAGTGGCTCACCCCTGTAATCCCAGCACTTTGGGAAGCTGAGGCAGGCAGATCACTTGAGGTCAGGAGTTCAAGACCAGCCTAGCCAAAATGGCAAAAAACTGTCTCTACTAAAAAGACAAAAATTAGCCAGGCATGGTGGTGCACATCTGTAATCCCGGGTACTCGGGAGGCTGAGGCAGGAGAATCACTTGAATCTGGAAGGCAGAGGTTGTAGTGAGCTGAGATTGCACCACTGCACTCCAGACTGGTTGCCATAGGAAGACTGTGTCTCAAAAAAAAAAAAAAAGATTTCTAGTTTAACGCTAGAATTAATTTGAAATTCTGTCAAGAAAGAGGTACTCAAAAAACATGAAAACTATGTAAGTCACTAATGTATCAAAGAAAACAATCATTCTTGTATTGCAAATAAATACCCAACCAAGACAAAAAGGCACGTCACGTGTTATGGGAAAAGACTGAAATGAGGGTGAGAGGAAAACTGTGACCCTTGAATGTAAGACAGAAAAAAATCAGCGCAGGATGTTAAGGAATTGGAAATAATTCTCCATATTAAAGAATTACAAGAGACAGAAAGAGAGGAGAGAGGGACACGATAGTCACAGACTGCAGGGGTGTGGGGTAGATGGGAATAAAGGAGGCAGAGAGAGCAGTGGGGATGTACATAAAATCACCCTCCAGAGCTGTGCTGTCCAATAAGGCAGCCACTTGCCACATGTGGCTGCTGAGCACTTGAAAGATGGCTAGTCCAACCTGAGAAATGCTGTAAGTGGAAAACACATTTTAAAAAAATTCTGAATACTCAGTATAAAAGAAAGAATGGGCCAGTGTGGTGGCTCACATCTGTAATCCCAGCACTTTGGAAGGCCAAGGCGGGAGGACTGCTTGAGCCAGAAGTTTGAGACTGGACTGGGCAACATAGCAAGACCTCATCTCTTCAGAAAAAAAAAAAATTAGGCCGAGTGCAGTGGCTCATGCCTGTAATCCCAACACTTTGGGAAGCCAAGGTGGGTGGATCACTTCAGCTCTGGAGTTCAAGACCAGCCTGGACAACATGCCGAAACCCTGTCTTAACAAAAAAATACAAAAATTATTCAGGCGTGGTGGCACATGTTTTTGGTCCCAGCTACTTGGGAGGCTGAGGTGGGAGGATCATTTCAGCCCCGGAGATCGAGGCTGCAGTGAGCCGAGATTGTGCCACTGCACTCCAGCCCGGCTGACAGAGTGAGACCCTGTCTTTAAAAAAAAAAAAAAACTAGCGTGGCATGGTGGTGTGTGCCTGTAGTCCGAATACTAGGAAGACTGAGGCAGGAGGATCTCAAGCCCAGGAGTCTGAAACTGCAATGAGCTATGCTGGTGCCACTGCATTCCAGCCTGGACCACAAAGCAAGACCCTGTCTCAAAGAAAAGAAAGACTGTAAGCTATCTCATTAATAATTTTTATTTTGATAAGATGTTGAAGTGATATTTTGGATAATGCTAACATTTTAGGTGAAATAAAACTAATTTCACCTGTTTCTTTGTAACCTTTTTTTTTTTTTTGAGATGGAGTCTCCCTCTGTCGCCCAGGCTGGAGTGCAGTGGCGCTATCTCGGCTCACTGCAAGCTCTGCCTACCGGGTTCACGCCATTCTCCTGCCTCAGCCTCTCGAGTAGCTGGGACTACAGGCGCCTGCCACCACGCCCAGCTAATTTTTTGTATTTTTAGTAGAGAGGGGGTTTCACCATGTTGGCCAGGATGGTCTCGATCTCCTGACCTCGTGATCCACCCACCTCAGCCTTCCAAAGTGCTGGGATTACAGGTGTGAGCCACTGCAGCTGGCCTCTTTTTCACTTTTCTAAAGTGACTACTAGAAAATCTAAAATGACGTATGTGTCTGGCATTGTATTTCTATTGGAAACTACTGCTGTAGAGAGAAATGGTCTCTAGGGAGGCAGAAACATGAGAACCACAAGAAAGGTGGATGGAGGGCAGTGACAGACACATCTGGTGGGTACCTTCAGGTGCGGACAGCGGGAACCCAGGAGATTTGGGTGTGGACAGGCCCCCATCTATGCACAGCAGGAGAGTAGCATGACTGACACTAGGGGTGCTGAGCTGACATACAGAACTATTCAGCTTTATAAACATGTGAAAAACACCGCTAAGTCACTGACATTCCACAGAACAAATCATAATAGAAATGAAAAAACAGCCAGGTGCGGTGGCTCATGCCTGTAATCCCAGCACTTTGAGAGGCCAAGGCGGATGGATCATGAGGTCAGGAGATCGAGACCATCCTACCTAACACAGTGAAACCCCGTCTCTACTAAAAATACAAAAACAAAATTAGCCAGGCGTGGTGGCGGGAGCCTGTACTTCCAGCTACTCCAGGGGCTGAGGTGGGAAAATGGCGTGAATCTGGGAGGCAGATTCTTGCAGGGAGCCGAGATCGCCACACTACACTCCAGCCTGGACAACAGAGCAAGACTCCGTCTAAAAAAAAAAAAAAAAAAAAAAAAGAGAGAGAGAATTAATCTTGATGGAAAATATAAAACACTTCTTCAAGAACATTAAAGAAAATTCTAACCACCAAAACATTTGGAATTAGGGTAACTGAAATGGCAGTTTAATCCTCCTGAAGGAATTTTAATTTCTCACTAACAGTACTTTAAAGCTAGGGGTAGAAAATTTTTTTTATAGCGTTTCACAAGCATTAAAGTTAAAAATCCAAAATCATGTTTTTCTCTGACAGGAACTCCTCCTCAAAACAGAAGAAGCCTATAGGATTTTAACCTGGAAACTACTCAGGGAATCTGGAATATTCCTTCCAGGGATATCTGCAGCTGAAACCTGGCAGTAATTTAAACAAAACCAGACAACTCTTGGGGTATGGTTGGAGCCTGAGGTCTACAGATGGGTCATTTTATATGCTGAGGTCTGAACAAGATGATTTTAACCCCTTAAAATGATGGAAACAAAATAAAACAGAATAAATTAGAAGACAACACAGGTGAGTAGTTTAAAGGGCCTACTTGCTGTGTTTTCTCTGGTCTTCAGGTCTCCTCACTGTGGCGGGATCCAGGCGCAGCTCTAGACCAAGAAATGGGAGGATTTTAGAGTGACTGATGATTTCTCTATCATCTGCAGTTAGTAAACATTCTCCACAGTTTATGCAAAAAGTAACAAAACCACTGCAGATGACAAACACTAGGTAACACACATACTATCTCCCAAATACCTACCCACAAGCTCAACAATTTTAAACTGTTAGGATCACTGGCTCTAATCACCATGACATGAGGTCACCACCAAACCATCAAGCGCTAAACAGACAGAATGTTTCCACTCCTGATCCACTGTGTGGAGAAGCACAGAGCTTACCCACTGGGGCCCTGCATCAGAAGAGATGCACATGCACCGGGGTGTGCATTTGAACGGAGCGATCAAACCACCATCCCCACAGCTCCTCTGTTCATGGGCACTGCAGTCTGTGGCCTCATGTCCTTTGGGGGACACAGTGGGAAGGTAACCCACATTTCAGTGACACCATCAAGAAAAACACACTGTGGCAATTTGCCCTGATTTCTCATGGGCCTTTTCTCTTTTCCCTTTGGGTTGTATAGACTTCCCTACTGTCCACCTGACCACTCTCATGCTGCCCAAAACCATAGCTTAAGTCATCAGCTAGGCGTTTCTTGGTGTAACTATCGAAAGGTGAGCCTTACCTGTTCAATCTCTAGCGAGATTTGTTCAAAATCTGGACCTAGAAGAATAAATAAACAAGATTTGCCTGAGTAGGTTTGGCTTTTTCCTTCTTGGGGAAAGCCCTTAAGAAATATCAGCCCCTTGGCCAGGCACCCACCTGTAATCCCAGCACTTTGGGAGGCCAAGGCGGGTGCATCACCTGACGTCACAAGTTCAAGACCGGCCTGGCCAACATGGTGAAACCCCGTGTCTACTAAAAATATAAAAAAATTAGCCGGGTGTGGTGGTGGGCACCTGTAATCCCAGCTACTCTGGAGGCTGAGGCAAGAGAATTGCTTGAACCCAGGAGACGGAGGTTGCAGTGAGCCAACACGGTGCCACAGAACTCCAGCCTGGGAAACAGAGTGAGACTCTGTTTCAAAAAAAAAAAAAAGGAAATATCAGACCATTTGCCCAACAACTCCTTGTGCCCTTCCTTTAGGAACACAGTGAAAATCCCCCCGGCTCCACACACTATAGCGCAGGACAGACCCACAGAGAACAAGACCCAAGAGAACCCACCATAATACAAACTCAGGGCAGGGTTTCCACCATCAAATGTTCAAGCCTGCAATGGGTTGGGGAGAGTGGTGGTTCCTGAGCTCCAGATTTTCGTGGAGGTGGGAGGTGGGCACTAGGCTTTGAGGAGATGTTACATCTGTGCAAACTCACACACAATGAAGATTACACCAGGTCGGGTGAGATGGTTCAGAAAAGACAGAAAGCAGAGGAAGAGGCTGAAAATATGGGTTTCTCTGTAAACTGTGAGGACAGAAAATACCAGCAACACCCCAGGAAGTGTTTACAGCCGCATTTCTTCAATTAACAGGGCAAAGTTAGAGCAGCAACAACCAGACAAGGGCCAGGCACTTCCCCTGGGGCAACTGATGTAAACCTGGAAATCAGCCACCCTCAGTGTCACCATTTCATGATGAATCAAATATACAGAGAAGTTCATTGATGGGTTTGGCATCACAAAGCTAAAAAATAAAGCCAGAGTCCCAGGCATATACTGAATGCTCATTGACTGAAAATCAACCTCACTGGATAAGCGCAAAAGAACTCATTTTCCACATCCCTTACGGTATCCTCTCTGGTGGCTATTTGCTCTGTAAATTACCTATGACAGAAGAAAAAGAAGGAAATGAAAACTCAGGAAAGTAAACACTCTTCTAAACTCATGAATAGTAAAATATGGAAATATCCCTGAGAATCTAGGAGAATATCCAAAGAAAATGCATTATAGGAGGGTAAAAAGGCCATTTGGCAAAGCCTACAAAATGAGTCCAAAATATGGTTCACAAGGAAACTTACCTTCCAATGCATCCAAAACAGAAGAACAGCAAAAGAAGCTCCTGATTCCTACTGAGGTGAGAATATCGGCACAAACAGAAGGAAATCAGGCCAAAAAAAAGTTACAGGCCAATTTCTAAACTGCTGTTAGATCTAAAACAAATGAGAAAGTCCTGCCCTAACCAATAAACCAGAGCAAACACTATGCATTTCAAACACTGGGGGACGTGGGCGGGGGTGAGCCTGTTCTGTGCAGGACCCTTCTAACATATGGGAGAGTCTTTGACCCCTCCTCAGAATAATGCCATAAACTATAAAAAAACACAATTCATAGAATTTCAAAGGAGACCAATTACTTAGAAATGCAGCTATCAGGATGCTTTAATTTTTTCTGACATATTAATATTGCTGTGATAGTTTTAAAAAATAGCTGAACATTTCTTGCCACTCCTCCCTTTGGGAGGCAGAATCGATGTCCTGTCTCCCCTATCCTGGGTGGATTTGCTGTGCTACCTCATAAAAGACCCCTCAGCATCTGCCCTGGAGCCCTGTGCCTCCTAAGAATTCTGACTACCCTGAGGCTGCCAGGCTGTAAGGAAGTCAAGGCCATATGGAAACACTACATATAGGCACTCAGTCTCAGCTCACCCCCTCTTCCAACATCCCAAGCCAGGTATCAGATGTGAGGGAACAAGCCTCCAAATGGTCCCAGACCCCAGCTGTTGAGTCTCCTGTGCTGAGGCCAGACATCATAGACAGAGACAAGTGGGCTACCCTTGTGCCCTGTCTGAAATCCTGACCTGACCATGAGAATCCACAAACATAATAAAATGATTGTTTGAGCCACTAAATTTTGGTGTAATTCCTGACATACTAATAGTGTCTGTAACAGCCACCTTAACACATTAAGTAACAATAGCAAGTAGCAAGTCATCACTGGGAAGTGTTATTTGGAATTGTCTTGGGAAGCAGTGACAACCATGAAGGCTATTTGGAGATGCTGTCAGATGACATAAAAACTGCTGTGGTCTCACTGTTAACAATGTCCCATACCCACGGGGTCTACAGCCTATATTCAAGATGGAAGGAAACACTACATTTTGGTTAGAGGAATGTGATTTATATACATATAAATCGGCTGGGTGTGGTGGATCACACCTGTAATCCCAGCACTTTCGGAGGCCGAGGCGGGCAGATCACCCGAGGCGGGGAGTTCCAGACCAGCTTGACCAACATGAAGAAACCCCATCTTTACTAAAAATACAAAATTAGCTGGGTGTGGTGGCGCATGCCTATAATCCCAACTACTCTCGAGGCTGAGGCAGGAGAATCGCTTGAACCTGGGAGGCGGAAGTTGCAGTGAGCCAAGATCGCACCATTGCACTCCAGCCTGGGCAACAAGAGTGAAACTCCTTCTCAAAAAAAAAAAATAAATAAATAAATAAATAATCAAAACCAGTATTACAGTTGATAAAGGAAATCCCAAAACCTCCTTAACTGGTTTCTTTCATAAAAGTTACTCTACATACGTGCCCTAAAAATAAGACGTTGGGGAAAATACTACCACGGTCGTACCTGAGCGAGTTAGAGAAAACGCCACACTTTGAGACACATGAAGAATCCGTTTATTTAGCTGGTGGCCAAGAGACGGCTAACGCTCGAAATTCTCTCGGCCTGAAGAAGGGGCTAGATTTGCTTTTATACTTTGGTTTAGAAAGGAGAGGGGGGGTCTAGTTAAAACAATTTTACAGAAATAAAGTAGGCAAAAAAGTTAAAAGGATAAATGGTTACAGGAACGTTAATAGTTCCAGGTGCAGGGGCTTTAAGATTATTACAAGGTGATAGACGCGGGGCTTTTGGGTGTAATCAATTGGACGAATTCCTGGGAACTGCGGATATAGCTTGCCACAGTATCTTATCAGTTAATTGCATTCTTGGATGTGCTGGGAGTCAGCTTGCACAAGTTAAGTCCTTGAGGAAGCGGCTGCCAGTGAAAGAGCCAAGATGGAGTCCATCTGGCGCTCTTAGCTAAGGGAGAGTCAATTCAGGTGGAAACAAGGCTGAGTGATTAAAGGAAAGGGAGAGTCTAAAAACAGGGTTAGTAAAAACCAGGTTGGACACTACATTCCCCACTTGTGTTTTTGGGGAATCAAATCATTGATTCCTCAGTTATAACAAGGGGGTTATATTGAGTCTTAAGATACATAAGTTTGACAGAAGCTATGCATTGTTTTACAAAATTAAGAAAAAGAATTAATCTAATGGCTTCACCCAACTTAGGTGCAGTTTTAAGGGGCCTGACCCAGCCCTGGGGACCCATGTTTCTAGTTGGGCTCCGTTGGCCTTTTTGATGCGGGAGTGATGAATCCACGCAGGAATGCCATCCACCTTCAGAGCCGTTGGCATCGTGATGACGGTGTGAGGTCTCTTCCAAGCAGGAGGGAGTCCTTCTCTCTGGAACTTTTTAACAAACAACAGGTCACCTGGCGGGAATGAATGGCAGGGCCCTGTCTGTTCAGGAATTGGATTGGGATGGGTTCCTCGAACAAGTGGCAGGATGATATCTTGTACCTGTTGGGGAGACTGTAGGTACTGTAATAAATTAGTTTGTGATATTTTTGCCAATTGGGCATCTCTTAGCTTAGGCAAGATAGGCAGCGCCCTCCCATACATGATTTCAAAAGGTAAGAACCCAGCCCAGTAAGGGGTGCACCTTACTCTAAGTAGGGCTAAAGGAAGGAGACTTACACAATTTACACCGGTTTCTAAGATTAATTTTGTAAGAGTGTTTTTTAGGGTGCAGTTCATGCGTTCTACTTGCCCAGAGCTCTGGGGTCGATAGGCACAATGGAGCTTCCATTGAATGTTTAACGCCTTACTGACTGACTAAACTATAGACAAGGCGAAGGCCGGTCCATTATCAGACCCTATGGCAACAGGCAGCCCATGTCGAGGGATGATTTCATTGAGTAAAAACTTAACTACCATATTGACAGTTTCGTTTTTGGTAGCAAATGCTTCAGTCCATCCAGAGAAGGTGTCTACCAGTACTAGAAGGTATTTGTACCCAGCCCGGTGTGGTTTTACTTCTGTAAAGTCAATTTCCCACTTTTCTCCTGGTGAGTTTTCTTGGAGACGGTGGCCTGGGCTGGGTTTAGGACCTTTTTTGGCATTTACCTGGGCGCAGGTTGTGCACCGGAGAGCTGCTTGATCTGTTAGGCTTTGAAGATGGGGGATCTTAAAACGGCTCCGGAGGAGCTGAGGTAGCTTTGCTCCTCCTAAATGGGTGGTAGACTGTAGGTGACTGATTAAAGTTTTCCCAAGAGTTCGGGGTATGAAGATTCTAGAGTCAGGAAGAATCCACCAACCTTCCTGATTTTTATTGGCTCTGAGTTCTGAGGCCAGTTTTCTTCTTCTGTTGAGTATGCGGGATTGTCAGGCAGATCTGGCTGTGGAAAGGAGACTGTGGGCAGCAAGTTTAGAGGCGTGACTGAAAGTCACACTGCATCTTGAGCTGCTGAATCAGCTTTCTGGTTACCACGGGCAACAGCCGTGTTTTCCTTTTGATGTCCTTTACAGTGGATTACAGCCACCTGCTGAGGTGAGTAGCCCACGCTCCTGGTAGATGGCTCCACGTACATGCACAGTAGCAAAGGCGTACCTGCTGTCAGTGTTAACGTTAATATCCTTACCCCATCGGAGAGCCTGAGTGAGGGCGATCAATTCAGCCTTTTGTGCTGAGGTGTTTGCTGGTAAAGCCTGAGCCCACAACACATCTGTCTCCATGGTAACAGCTGCACCGGCCTTTCGTAGTCCCTTCTCGAGGAAGCTGCTACTGTCTGTGAACACGGTGGCATCCACCTTTCCTAGGGGCACATTTTGAAGATCAGGTCGGCCAGTTTCAGTAGTTTCCAACAGTTCCTGACAGTCATGAACAGGAATAGTGGAGTTTGAGTCAGGAAGTAGTGTAGCTGGATTTAAACACCATGTGGGAGGGGAAGTCAAATGAGGCTGATCTAACAGTAAACTCTGATACTCCAGGATGCTTTATCAGTGGCTTTTTTCAGCTGCCTGAGCTGCTTGTTTTTGTTTTTCAACCTCTTGACTGTCAAAAACCTTTTAGGCTATCTCTAAAAGCTGACTGGTATTCATTCCAGCAAAATCCCTCTAGTTTTTGGAGTTTCCTTTTACTATCTGGGGCTGCCTGAGCCACAAATGCCAAATTAAGAGCATGGCTATTTTCGGGGGCTGCCAGGTCAAAAGGGGTGTAAATCCGATAAGCCTCCTGGAGGTGCTCTAAAAACACTCCTGGTGACTCATCATGCCCCTGGACGACTTCAGTCGCCTTAGACAAGTTTATAGGTTTCTGAGCAGCTCCCTGAATACCCACGAGGAGATACCGGTGGAAATCGTCAAAAGTTCTCCCTCCACTTGAGAAATTTGGGTCCCAATTAGGTCCCAATTGGGTCTCTAATCACTATTCCTCTAGCTTCCTCCTCCGGCCTATTGGTTGATGTGAGGTTGTACTTTTTGGCCTCTCTTTGGATACTTTCCCTCTCTTCAGAGGTGAAAAGGGTCAAAAGGAGCTGTTGACAGTCATCCCAGGTGGGCCAATGTGTCCAGAGTACAGACTCCATCAGTGAGGTCAAAGCCTGGGGCTTTTCAGAGAAGGGAGGATTATGGGTTTTCCAATTATACAAGTCAGAAGTAGAAAGAAGGGACATAAACCAGGAAGGGGGTGGAGCACTCATCACCCAGAGGGACTTGTGCCTCTCTCAGTGGTAGTAGAGGGGCTACTTCCTCCCACCACGGTTGCAACCAAGAGGCAATGGGTGATGAGCCTACAGGGGACATAGCCGAGGAGACATGGGATGACCCTAAGGGAGTAGGCTGGTTTTAAGGCGGTGGGACTGGGTGAGGGAGACTCTCCTCTTCTTCAGAGAGAGGCAGTACAGGGCGAGCTAAACCGGCTGAGGGTCGAGGCGAAAACACGGTCTGGCTCAGGAGGACCTTGGAGGTAAAATTATGAATGGTGCATGAGTGGAGCCATGGAAGGGGTGCTCCTGACCAAACTCAGCCATTGATCAATGTAGGGAAACTGATCAGGGAGGCCGGGAGTTTCAGTAACAACCCGCCACACAGCTTGAACAATTGTGAGGTTCAGTGACCCTTCAAGGGGCCACTCAACTCCAAACTTTGGCCATTCTACTTTGCAGAGTGTCCAGAGCTTGCCTTTTTTAAGGCGGACTCCATAATCCTCTGAGAAACCGAGAGAAAAATTCTGCAGCATATACTGGAGAGGGCTCCAACCCTTACAAGGCTGGGAGGAAGTGTTTCCCCTTTTTTTTTTTTTTTGAAGGCAATTTAATAAGATTTGAACATAGATATCAAACCCAGCACAGACAGAGAAACTCACTCCCTGGGGGGCTGGAGTATCGAAAGAACAGAATCAACATGACCAGAAAGAGCAGAAAAACCACAACAGCTAAATACCACTTGCCACATCACTGTAGCTTTAAGATTGAGGGAGGAGGACTAGAGGCCAGCCCGAGATCTCCTGGGTCAGTTGGATCTAGGTGTTCTCTCTCTTCTTCTAGATCTGTACCCTAAATACCTTTTGTGTCTCCATGACTCAAAGGCAAATAGCTCAAACCCAGCTTTTTCTTTTAAGGGTTCAAGGAGTGAGAGCAGAGCCAAGTCCTGGAGACGCTGAACTTGCTGTCGCACTGGAAAACGAGATGTGTGGGGTAGGGGGCAGGGAGGAGGAAAAGGACCACTTGGATCGTTTTTAAGATGGGAGAGTAGCCACAGAGGAACAGAGTAAGAATCTAAACGAAGTAAAGCAGTACGAGGGTAGGTTTCCCTACACAGTGTGCTATTTAAGGGCACAGGAAAAGTTACAGAATGACCAAAGAGGTGAGCAAGGAAATCTGCAGGGTGGCTGTTTTGAACCCACCACCAGTTTAGTTTAGAGGAGGTCCAATCAACCTGGATGTGGGGTATGACAATCTAAATACAACCATCATGGTGCCAGAAATCCCAATCAGGCGAATGTTTTTTTACACTCATTCCCGTAACAACACCTGACTTGCTTCTGGCAGAAAAGACAGGACTGTGGTGGCCAGCCTAAATGATTGATGAGAAATTTAACCTCCTGTGACAAAAAATCAGCACTAAGGACCTTGCAGAAGTTCTTACCCAGACGTCTTGGGCAATATCGACGTCCTGACATGCAAAACCTTGACAACCACTAAACAAGACAATAGACACCGAACAGAACAATAAACATAAAACAAACAGTTGACCCTAGGGCATGTAAACAGTTATGACAGTTTCTTCTTTTTTTTTTTTTAGACAAACAAGGGGAGGGGGTCCCGTGATGGGATCAGTCAGATGCCCGCCTGGCCGCTCCCCCTTAGGGGACTTGGGCTCCTCTTAGCATTGACAGGCCGGTATAAACCCCCGGCTCGGATCGAGCTATGCCGGATGCTGCCTTAAGCCTTATGAGGTCGCCACGGAACCGCAGGTGAGGGCCCACTTGAACTCCGTAGCTTTCGCCGTGGAGCTACAAACTGGAGGACAAGCGCAAGCCCTTGTCCTCCCCCATTCATTCACCATTCACACAGAGTTTATAACAGTTTTTCTTTTTTCTTTCCCAGAGATTCTCCAAGAAACCTGAACAAGGAAAGATTAGAGATAGAAAAAGAGAGAGAGAGAGACCAGTCTGCCAGAAACCAGGACTCAGTCCCCCAGCATCCTGGGATGTGGACTGACTCAAGGGATGGCCCCTGTCAGGGCCACTTCCCTCCCAGACAGAGACACAGAGGCGTCTAACAGAAAACCAGGGCTCTACCCTCTAGCATCCTAGAGAAATGGGCAGAGTCAAAAGAGGGACACCCTCATCAGGGTCGCTTCCCTCTGCCAGAACCAAAGTCAAATCTGACCTACCTGACCCCGGGGTCAGCAGTTGAGGACTCAGAGGTGGAATTTTTGTGGGCACCCACATGGTAGTCGATCCGCTGTCCTCCGGAAGACGGTCACCCTTTGGGGACCTGGAAATTTTTTTTTCAGGTGGCACTCCCCCCTACAAGCTGGCTGTCCTTCCGGGGGAGCACACAGCGGGCCCGGCTCTCGCCCGGTGACGTTTCTCCCGGTGACGTTTCTCGCTGGGGCCTCCAAATGTCGTACCTGAGCGAGTTAGAGAAAACGCCACACTTTGAGACAAATTAAAAGTCCATTTATTTAGCTGGCCGCCAAGAGATGGCTAATGCTCAAAATTCTCTCCGCTCTGAAGAAGGGGCTAGATCTTCTTTTATACTTTGGTTTAGAAAGGGGAGGGGAGGTCTAGTTAAAACAATTTTACAGAAATAAAGTAAGCAAAAAAGTTAAAAGGATAAATGGTTACAGGAAAGTTAATAGTTCCAGGTGCAGGGGCTTTAAGATTATTACAAGGTGATAGACGCGGGGCTTTTGGGCATAATCAATCGGATGAATTCCTCGGAACTGCGGATATAGCTTGCCACAGTATCTTAACAGTTAATTGCATTCTTGGATGTGCTGGGAGTCAGCTTGCACAAGTTAAGTCCTTGAGGAAGGGGCTGCCAGTGAAAGAGCCAAGATGGAGTCCATCTGGCGCTCTTAGCTAAGGGAGAGTCAATTCAGGTGGAAACAAGGCTAGGTGATTTAAGGAAAGGGAGAGTCTAAAAACAGGGTTAGTAAAAACCAGGTTGGGCATTACACTACTAAGATATCAAAACCAGGAACTTACTTCCTTTAAAACAATTCCAAACTAACTCGCTGTGCCTTACACAGAAATTTCCCCCAAGAAATATGGTTTTATAAAGCCTGAGAAGTTGTTGCTATTAGGACAAACACCAAAACTAAAAATTGGTTTAATTAGCAACAACAAAATTCCATTTTAACTGGCTGTCCTTATCAGAGACAGTCCACTAAATAATACAACTGGCAAAAAGTGAGATTTTGTAAAGGTTGGGGTGCTTTATTATAAACATAACATAAACCAGGAATGTATTTTAATAAACCTCAACCTGCGGGTCACTCCCTCCCAGGCGTGCAACAAAACACCTGCCTAGAAATCAAAAGGCGTTTTACCCGAGTGGGCTGAAAAAGCCCCGTTTTTACCTTTAATCTGGAGACAATACGGGTCAGAGGTCAGGAAACTACATCAGCGCCAGTGCGAGCGCCCACGAGTCCGGTGGACGGATGAGAAACGGCCGGGGGGCAGCCTGAGTCCCAGTTCCCGCCGTGGCAATGGCCAATTTCCCACCCGTGGACGCAAAAGGCCAGGACTCCACGCTGCTGACCCTCCAGCGTCCCATGTCCGGCAGGCACGTGGCCGAATAGCCCAAGACTGAGGACTCACACTTCCCACTTTGCACCTGGAGGCCACCTGCAGACCAACCTTGCGCCAGGCTTCCGGAAATGGGAGGGCGGGCTTCCGGAAACGGCGGCCAATGGGAAACGTGATCAGATGTTACTAGGCAGACAGTCCGTTTCCAGGCAACACAGAAGAAAGGAACGCGCTCAGTCAGCCTCAAATAGACGGAGATTTCAGCCAATGGATGTGCAGGTTCCCTCCACATTAGCCAATAAGAAGTGCTTGGGGCCTACCTGCCTACAAGCACAGCAAAAGCTTTCCTGCGCATTTTTGCGCTGGAATGGCTACCTGCCGCGCCAAATCAAAATTTACAATCACCCTTGGTGCTGTTTCCTGCACTTTCTTGGAGATTTGCACCAGGCGCTGGAGACCCTCCCACCTGGCCCATGCCTGCCACCCGGTGAACACCAAGACCCAACCTTCTGCACCACCAGTCTTGTTGTCAGCGAACAGGCTAGTAAATTATTGAAGGGGTGGCCTGCCCCTCCACACCTGTGGGTATTTCTCGTCAGGTGGAACGAGAGACTGAGAAAAGAAAGAGACACAGAGACAAAGTATAGAGAAAGAAAAGTGAGCCCAAGGGACCGGCGCTCAGCACACGGAGGACCTACAGGGACACTGGTCTCTGAGTTCCCTCAGTATTTATTGATCATTATCTCTACCATCTCGGAGAGGGGGATGTGGCAGGCCAATAGGGTAATAGTGGGGAGAGGGTCAGCAGGAAAACGTGAACAAAGGTCTCTGTGTCATAAATAAGTTTAAGGAAAGGTGCTGTGCCTTGATGTGCACTTATACAAACATCTCGGTGCATTAAAGAGCAGTATTGCCGCCAGCGTGTCTCACCTCCAGCCCTAAGGATGTTTTCTCCTATCTCAGTAAGTAGAACATACAATCGGGTTTTACACCAAGACATTCTATTGCCCAGGGACGAGCAGGAGACAGATGCCTTCCTCTTACCTCAACTGCAAAGAGGCCTTCCTCTTTTACTAATCCTCCTCAGCACAGACCCTTTTCGGGTGTCGGGCTGGGGGATGTCGGGCTGGGGGACAGTCAGGTCTTACCCTTCCCATGAGGCCATATCTCAGGCTATCACATGGGGAGAAATCTTGGACAATACCTGGCTTTCCTAGACAGAGGTCCCTGCGGCCTTCCGCAGTGTATTGTGTCCCTGGGTACTTGAGATTAGAGAATGGTGATGACTTTTAACAAGCATATTATCTTCAAGCACTTTTTTAACAAAGCATAGCCCTAAATCCATTGAACCTTGAGTCAACACAGCACATGTCTCTGTGAGCACAGGGTTGGGGCTAGGGTTACAGATTAACAGCATCTCAAGGCAGAAGAATTTTTCTTAGTACAGAACAAAATGGAATCTCTTATGTCTACTTCTTTCTACATAGACACAGTAACAGTCTGATCTCTCTTTTCCCCACAGAAGGGAAGGGAGGGAGGGAGGGAAAGAAAAAGAAACCTTAAGCATTTTTTACAGATGAGGGTTCTGCTCTCCCTTAGTTCAGCCATGCTGTGGGGGAAGGGGAAGGAGTGTGGTAAGATGGCAGAGGAGGAAATAAAATATGGATGGCTTCTGCCTTTTCAGTTCTTTTCCTCATTTCCTGGCTTACTGTCCCTGGTTTCTGACTGCTTTGTGGTGAAGCTTCAGAATTGGAGAGAAAAAGAGGCCAGAATTGGTGGCTTATGCCTATAATCCCAGCACTTTGGGAGGTCGAGGCAGGCAGATAACTTGAGGTCAGGTTATAAATGTTTAATACCTAAAATGATCAATACCTAAAAAAAAAATTTTTTTTTTGAGAGGGAGTCTCATTCTGTCACCCAGGCTGGAGTGCAGTGGCGCGATCTCGGCTCACTGCAACCTCTGCCTCCTGGGTTCAAGAGATTCTCCTGCCTCAGCCTCCCGAGTAGCTGGGATTACAGGTGAGCACCACCACGCCCAGCTAATTTTTGTATTTTTAGTAGAGATGGGGTTTCACCATGTTGGCCAGGCTGGTCTTGAACTCCTGACCTCAGGTGATCCACCTGCCTTGGCCTCTCAAAGTGCTGGGATTACAGGCGTGAGCCACCGCACCCGACCGATACTAAACTATTTTAAGAATCCTGAAAAATCAATAAATGAGAATGCAAAAAAAAATACAGCAAAGGCATCATTAAAAAGCACAGTAAACACGATTGGCCAATAAACGCATATGAACAGATGCTTGACTCACTTGTAATCAAGGTAATAATTTTTTTTTTTTTTGAAACCGGGTCTCACTCCAACACTCAGGCTGGAGTGCAGTGGCATGATCACAGCTTACTGCAGCCTTGACTTCCCAGACTCAAGTGATCCGTCCACCTCCGCCTCCCAAGTAGCTGAGACCACAGGCACATGCCACCGCACCCAACCAATTTTTGTATTTTCTGTAGAAATGGAGTTTTGCCATGTTGCCCAGCCTGGTCTCGTACTTCTGGGCTCAAGCAATCCTCCTGCCTTGGCCTTCCAAAGTGCTGGGATTATAGGTGTGAGCCACCGTGCCTGGCCCAGTGTAATAAATATTGAAACTTATAGCAGAGGTAGGGAAATATGAACACTGATATTCAATGATCAAAGGGATTCAAAACTGGAACAATGGTGGAGCCACAATTTGGCAATAAGCAGTGAAGCTGAAAGTGTATACAGCCTATAACGAACAATTTCATTTCTAGGTAATACCTTAGATTCTTGACTCTTTAAGGAAATTAAAAAATACACAAAATGATATTCAATATAGCATCTTTATTACCACAGAAACTCATTTATGTCCTTAATCATTGTTTAATATAATATATAAGCATGTTTAACACAAACATATCAAGGATCGGGCTGGAATCTTTTCCATTCTATAGAAAAGCACTAACCATCCATTAAAGCAGGTAGCTACTTTCAGAGCATGATATGAGCTGCAAAAAATTGCCCTGACTTATGCCGCCCCCAACACAACCACTCACCATATCTAAAATTACACCCTTGAAGACATTCATTGTGGTTATGGTAGCATCTAACAAAGCTGTTCCTATTCCAGATATTCGGACTGAGAATTCCACAATAAATTTGAGATACACTCAGTTAAATAAAAATGTCTTTACTAAATCTTTGGCAAACTGATCATGTATACTTTGAATTCCTCAAAAGTAGATTTTTATTTTATTTTATTTGAGACTGAGTTTCACTCTTGTTGCCCAGGTTGGAGTGCAATGGCAAAATCTCAGCTCACTGCAATCTCCATTTCCTGGGTTCAAGCAATTCTCCTGCCTCAGCCTCCCAAGTAGCTGGGATTACAGGTGCAAGCCACCACGCCCAGCTAATTTTGTATTTTTAGTAGAGACAGGGTTTCACCATGTTGGCCAGGCTGGTCTCAAACTCCTGACCTCAAGTGATCTGCTCGCCTTGGCCTCCCAAAATGTTGGGATTACAGGCGTGAGCCACCGTGCCTGGCCAAAAGTAGATGTTTTATGTTTTGCTTCATTTGCCTATTTTCCCAAGAAATCTTTTTTTCAAATACCATCGAGAATTAATATTCCTTGAAGCAAACTTCTGGAGAATGTTGAATTTAGGGGTCAAACACAGGCTTTCTGGAGGTATTTGGTGCTTGGGAAAAGAAACACTGACCTATTAGCAAAGATAGATTTTGTAATAAATTCTAAATAAACTTTATTTAGAATTGTGAAAAATAGAATCTTCATAATGAAGGTGGTCTAGAATTTGCTTTCAGAAACTATCTTCATCTAATTTTTATTAGGATTATTTTACCTTGCAGAATTAATTGGTAAAATCTTTAGGATTATCTATTCCTTAAAGTTTTTATAAGTATCAGATTTTTTAAACAGGGAGTTCACACACACACACACACACACACATTTTTTGTTAATCTATTTGGGTTATACGGTGAGTTAATTGTAAAACATATTCCTTTTGGGGGAAAAATGCAATCCTACATTTTTACTTGTACTGGAATGAATATACACGTTTGTGCATGTGTGCATGTATAGTTTTACCATATTATGTTTATTATTTTTGAGACAGGTTCTCACTCTGTCACCCAGGCTGGAGTGCAGTGGCGTGATCTTGGTTCACCGCAACCTCTGCCTCCTGGGTTCAAGCAATTCTCCTGCCTCAGGCTCCCCAGTAGCTTAGATTACAGGTGCCCGCCACCATGACAGGCTAATTTTTGTATTTTTAGTAGAGATGGGGTTTTGCTATGTTGGTCAGGCTGGTCTCGAACTCCTGACTTCAAGTGATCCACCCACCTCGGCCTCCCAAAGTGCTGGGGTTACAGGTGTGAGCCACTGTGCCCGGCCTAGTTTTGCCTTATAATTTTAAAAATCTGCTTGATATAATCTAGAGTTGTGTCTCTTTTATCATCATTAATACTCTAAATGTATTATCTTTCATTTTCTCTTCCTTGATTATAACTGCCAAAATCTAATCACTATTAACATTGAATCAAGTCTAATATTCTCCATTCTCTTAATTTCTACTTTCTACTGTTACTTGGCTGTTCCTTTTTTTTTTTTTTTTTTTTTGACAGACTCTTGCTCTGTTACCCAGGCTGGAGTGCAGTGGCGCGATCTCAACTCACCACAAACTCCGCCTCCTGGATTCAAGTGATTCTCCTGCCTTAGCCTCCCAAGTAGCTGGGATTACAGGCATGCACCACCATGCCTGGCTAATTTTGTATCTTTAATAGAGATGGGGTTTCTCAGTGTTGGTCAGGCTGGTCTCAAAATCCCGACCTCAGGTGATCCACCTGCCATGGCCTCCCAAAGTGCTGGGATTACAGGCATGAGCCACCGCACCTGGCCACTTGGCTGTTCTTTACTTGGGTTGGTTTTATTTTGTTGTTTCCTTTTTCTTGACGGAAATACTTATTCATTCCCTCAACACATTCATCTGTGTGACAGGCCTGGTGTTGCTGCTGTGGGTAAGTGAAGAAGATGAAGACTGTATCCACAAATAAGATTTCCTTACCACATTACAGGGCATTAATTTGTCACTGAACAGAACTTTGATTATATCTGACAAGGTTAGATGTGCAGGCATCTCACTGTCATTCATTTCTACATAGTCTATAATTTTGGTTTTGATTTTAAACATTTTATTATTGAAATTTCAAACACATACAAAAGTAGAAATATTAGAACAATAAGTCTCCATGAACAAAACACTCCACTTAAATTATCAACATGTTGCCAATTTAGTTTCCAGCTCTCTTTGCCAATTATTTCTTTTGCTAGAATATTTTAATCCAAATGTGTCTATCTTCATTTCATAGTATGTATCTCATATCATACGATCTTTTATTTTTTATAATCACACTGACATAATCCCTAACCAAATTAATATATGTAAATATCATTTAATATTTAGTCCATGTCCACACTTCCCTCACTGTCTCCAAAATGGCTTTTTATGTTTTGTTCAAACCAGGTCCAAGTAATGCCAACATACTGAATTTAGTTGATATGTCTCTTTAAGTCTCTTTTAATCTGTTAATGGTTGCCCTTCCCCTTGTATTTTCATGCTACCTGTTAGTTGAAGAAATCAGGTAATTTGCTCTGTAGAATTTCACACATTCTGGATCTGTTTGGCTTCTTCCTTGTGGTGCCCTTTATAGCCAGCCCTCCATATGTGCAGATTCAACCAATCTCAAATAGAAAATACTCAAAAAAAAACAATAAAAATAAAATACAATAAAAATAATGCAAATTGAAAAATACAGTATAACAACTATTTACATAGTATTTACATTGTGATAGGTATAAGTGATCTAAAGATAATTTAAAGTATACAGGAAGATGTGAGTAGGTAATATGCAAATACATACTATGCCATTTTATACAAGGGACTTGAGCATCCTCAGATTTTACCATCAGTGGAGGATCCTGGAACCAATTCCCCATGGATACCAAGGGATGACCATATACTGTTCATCTAGTCCCTGTCTGCTTTCAGTTCATTATTCCAGCAATAAGGCTTTGTAGATGGTGGTGTGGACTTCCTATTGCATTACGTCAGGAAGTGTGTTGTCTGATAGACCCATTTTTATTAAGGTTAAAACAGATCAAAGGGTTCAGAGGTGGCCAGTTTGATAGATCCACCATAAAAATCTCGCTATAAAATATTTCACCTATTAGTTGTAGTACCCATTGAAGATCATGTTTTCTGGACCCATTATTCCATTAAGGTCTAGAAAATGGTGATTTTTCTAATCCTCTAATTCCTTCTAGATTTATTAGACTTCTTCAAAAAAGAAAAACCCATTCAAAAAACAAATTTTTTTTTTGAGACAGGGTCTCACTCTGTCACCCAGGCTGGAGTGCAGTGGCACGATCTCAGCTCACTGCAAACTCTGCCTCTTGGGTTCAAGTGATCCTCCCACCTCAGCCTGGGACTACAGGTGTGTGCCACCATGCCTGGCTAAATTTTGTATTTTTAGTACAGACAGGGTTTCACCATGTTAACCAGGTTGGTCTCAAACTCCTGGCCTCAAGTGATCCACCCACCTTGTCCTCCCAAAGTGCTGGGATTACAGGTGTGACCCCTGTGCCAGGCCAAATTCATTTGAATTTGATGAACTTCTGGTGACCCTGAAATTTGGTTCACATGGGAAAAGGAAACTAAATGACAATTTTTCCTCTGATTTATTGATTTCAAGAATAATGAGTTGGGCTGGGTGTGGTGGCTCATACCTGTAACCCCAGCACCTTTGGAGGCCAAGGAGGGAGGATCACTTGAGCCCAGAAGTTCAAGACCAGCCTGGGCAACATAGTGAGACCCTTTCTCTAAAAAAAAAAAAAAAATTTAGGTGGAAGAATCACTTGAGCCCAGGAGGAACAGGGTACAGTGAACTGTGCTTGTACCACTGCACTCCAGCCTGGGGGACAAAGTGACACCCTGTCTCAAAAAAATTATACATTGGTGCTCTAGCATCTTTCATAGGTTACCAAATTATGCAGCCACAATCAAGTAAACTATCAAATTATTGGTGGGATCACATCAAAAACTCAACTTGAAACAACTCCTACTGGTTGAAGATATGGCATTTTGAGCATCCAAAAGTATACTGACTTATAGAATGATGTTTTGTTTCTTTCCCACAGGAGTTTTATACACACACATAAATATACACAACAATATTAAATTCCTAGGTGGTTAATTTCTTTTAAGCCACATTTTTGATAGTTTCTAATTAATTTTAAACTGTGGTCAGACAACAGGGATTGTAAGCCTTTTGCTTTCTGGAATTATGGGAAAATCATTTCCTATTTCCCTCTAATTCTTCAACAGCTGTATTACTAGTGACCTCACATTCATGAAATTCATTTTTGGCATGAAATTTCTAATGCAGCTCAAGTGCTGAAGAACTTCCTACATTCACTACAATCTAAATTTTACCTAGAATAAATTATGTTTAATAATTTCTGAGAGGTGACAGGAGGCATTTCTACATTTATTATGTCTACAGATCTTCCTTTTACGTGAATTCACTAATACTAATGACAATAATAACAATTACAGATAATATTTACAGAATACATGCTATATGACTGTGATTCCTCCAAGTATTAACTACTTACTCCTTGCAACAATCCTATTCCACAGTGTGGCAGGCTGACTCTAAACAGGCCCCCCAGTGGTCCTGTCTCCAGGACTTATTCACACTCTTGTATCATCCCGTTCTCTTGAGTGTGGACTATCCTAGTAACTTACTTCTACCAGTAGAAGGTGAGGGAATGTTACTTCCATGATTAGATTACACAAGATGGTAACTTCCATCTTGCTAGCAGACTGTCCTCCCTTTTGGCTTGCATGCCTTGATGAAGCAAGCAGCCATGTTGATGAGGCTATTGTGGCCAGGAGCTGCAGTCAGCGTTCAGCCAACAGCCAGCTAGAAACTGAGAATCTCAATGCAACAGGCCTCACGGAAATACATTGGGTAACAACTATGTTAGTCTGGATGTGGATCCTTCCCCAGTTGAGCCTTCAGATGAGACCTCAGCCCTGGCTGAAATCTGTAGCCTTGCAAGAGACCCTGAAGCAGAGGACCCAACTAAGTCATGCCTATACTCCTGATCCAAATTATAAGATATAATTATATGTTATTTTATGCTACTAAGTCTGTGGTAATTTATTACGCAGCAATAAATAACTAATACATATAAGTACTATTATTACCATTTTACAAGTCAGCAAAATGAGGCACAGAAGCTTAGTATCTTGTCCAATAAATCAAACTGGTAATCAAGTGGAGAAAGGGAGATAATGACAGATAAGGCTAAAGATTTTCCTACATTCATTACATTATTCTCTCATAGGAATTTGCTGAAGATAAACCATGTTTAAATGGTGTTGGAAGGCTTTTAAATCAACATATTCTTTCTCTAATATAAAATTTATTATGCTTGGAATTGAGCATGAAACACATTTTCTCAAAAATGAATTTTCTGATGTTCTGTAACATCATATACATTTGAAGGCTTTCTTCTATTAAATTCCATTATGAATCTTCTGATGCTGAGTAAGGTGTGAATGCTGTCTAAAGGCCTTCTTACACTCCTTACACTTGTAGGGCTTCTCACCAGTATGAATTCTCTGGTGTTGAGTAAGAAATGAATAAAGTCTAAAAGCCTTACCACATTCCTTACATTCATAAGGTTTCTCACCAGTGTGAATACTCTGATGTTGGGTAAGTTGTGAGAGCAGTCTAAAAGGTTTTCTACATTCCTTACATTCATAAGGTTTCTCACCAGTGTGAATACTTTGATGCTGAGTAAGTTGTGAGAGCAGTCTAAAGGCCTTTCCACACTCTTCACATTCATAGGGTCTCTCACCAATATGAATGCTCTGGTGTGAAATAAGCTGTGAGTAACTACTAAAGGTCTTCCAACATTCCATACATTCATAGGGTTTCTCACGAGTATGTATTCTCTGATGGCGAACTAGTTGTTGTCTTAATCTAAAAGTCTTCCCACATTCCTTACATTCGTAGGGTTTCTCACCAGTATGAATACTCTGATGAACAGTAAGTTGTTGGCATATTCTAAAAGCCTTTCCACACTCCTTACATTCATAGGGTTTCTCACCAAAATGAATTTTCTGATGTACTCTAAGGTCTGGACCACATACGAAGGCTTTCCCACATTCCTTACATTCATAGAGCTTTTCAGCAGTATGAAGTCTCTGATGGCGTGTAAGGTGTGTACACTGTCTAAAGGTCTTTCCACAGTCCTTACATTCATAGGGTTTCTCACCAGTGTGAATTCTCTGATGTCGAGCCAGTTGCTGATGTACTCTAAAGGCCTTTCCACATTCCTTACATTCATAGGGTTTTTCACCCGTATGAAGTCTCTGATGTTGAGTAAGTTCTTGGAGCACTGTAAAGGCCTTCCCACACTCCTTACATTCATAGGGTTTCTCACCGGTGTGAAGTTTGTGATGTCGAATAAGATGTGCACGCTGTCTAAAGGCCTGCCCACATTCCTTACACTTATAAGGTTTCTCACCAGTATGAATTCTCAGGTGTTGACTAAGTGTTGAGCGACGAATAAAGGTCTTCCTACACTCCTTACACTCATACACCTTTTCTCCATTATGAACGATCTGATACTCAGTAAGAAAATTGTGCCTTTTGTAAGTGGTCATTTTTTCAGAGGTAATTTTCACTTGCCCAAAATATCCCTCTTGTTGTTCCTTTTCCCCCTCAATCTTGCTTTTGCATTCCCAATCATTCCTAAAAATGGAACCCTGAAGGCTATAGCTTTTAATTCTTTCCATTATATCCCACTGAAATGAATATATTTCATAAATGTCCTTTTCTGGAGATAAAGTATTGGTCCTGTATCTGGACTCCAAATCTGAAAGAAAACAAGAAAGCAAATACATACTGTTTTCCTGTTCCAGAAAGAAAAAACAAACAAACAAAAAAACCACTTCTATAGAGAAAAGGCACCTAAAATAATGCCTGTTACAAATTGAATGGATTAGACAGATCTCAAACATAGACATTTCTGCCACAATCTTATATATGTGTACCTAAAAAACCTTATCTTCTACAAAAGTACACACTAAAAATTACTGTGTTCAGAAGAAAAATAGGCCCGGAGCAGGACCACTTAATTTTTTTTTTTTCTTTGGAGATGGAGTCTCGCTCTGTTGCCCAGGCTGGAGTGCAGTAGTGCGATCCCGGCTCACTGAAAGCTCCGCCTCCCGGGTTCACGCCATTCTCCTGCCTCAGCCTCCCAAGTAGCTGGGACTACCGGCACCTGCCACCACGCCCGGCTAATTTTTTTTTGTATTTTTTAGTAGGGACGGGGTTTCACCGTGTTAGCCAGGATGGTATCGATCTCCTGACCTCGTGATCCACCCACCTCGGCCTCCCAAAGTGCTGGGATTACAGGAGTGAGCCACTGCGCCCGGCGAGGACCACTTCATTCTATGCCTTTTTTTTTTTTTTTTTTTTTTTGAGACACAGTCTTGCTCTGTCACCCAGGCTGGAGTGCAGTGGCACAATCTCGGCTCACTGCAACCTCTGCCTCCTGGGTTCAAGCAATTCTCCTGCCTCAGCCCTCCTAGTAGCTGGGATTACAGGCACACACCCCCAAGCCCGGCTAATATTTTTGTGTGTATTTTTAGTAGAGACAGGGTTTCACCATGTTGGCCAGACTGGTCTCGAACTCCTGACCTCAGGTGATCCGCCCGCCTCAGCCTTCCAAAGTGCTGGGATTACAGGTGTGAGCCACCATGCCCAGCCAATTCTATGCATCTTTAATCAGTAGAACACTAACAAATAAAATAGTTGACATCTAAAGGGATAAACCAAAAGACACCTCAGCACTTCATGTGTATTAAAATGCACAAAAATAAAGAGACAATGCTAGACTTCAGGTCCTGAGACACTGTACATGAAAATAAAGCCCAGAGCCAGTGAGGACATCATTAAGGTGGGAGTAAGGTAAAGTGCAGCCTGTCTTTAGATAAGAGGCCATGCAAGGTTGATGGTATATTCCTCTGGGGAGGGAGACCTGGGTGCAGACATTTATTATTAATTTTCTTAAAACGGGTGAAAGGGCTCCTGATAATAAAGCATCATGTAGAAGGCCTTTGTCTTTCCTACTGAACATTATAAATATACCTCCACTAAGCTAGCTCCACTGGACTAGAAAAATTACTCATAAGCCAATCATCTACATTATACACAATTCTTTTGCCACTATTCTGCTAATGTGTACCATGGGACAGATTGCACTCTCATCATTTTGAAAAAGGGAAACACAGCAAATAAAGAGTCCAGGAGTGCAGGCAGGGCTGGTGATTAGGAAAGCAAGTCAAATCAGTGAAGCCCTGTTTTAAGTGTGGATAAGAATCACCTAGAGATTTGTTTAAACTATGCAGAGGTGTTTTTAACTGACTGAAACCATCTATAGGACAAAGTCCTGGGCAAGTAATTGTTTTGTTCTTGTTTATATTCTTCAAGAAATTATTGGGATGCTGATCAATATTTGAGTCTCTCTGTTTAAATGTTTTCAATGCTATCTCTTTACCATTATAATAAAATATAAATACCTGAGCATAAATAATAAAGCTGCTGCTTGTCAACAAATATCTTCTCCCATTTGTTCTCTCTGTTCATAGCATACTGGCCTCTTTCAACGCACAAAATGCCCCACAACTGTTCCAAATAAATAGGACTCTTCACAGGCTGCTCCTTCTTTGAGGAATCCTCTGACACTGCATGGTTGGCTGGTTTTCATTCTCAGCCTCAAATCAAAATCACTTCTTCACAAAGGCTAGTCCTGCTGGCCCTATTTAAGTCTATGCACTTTACGCTTGTCTTACTCCATTTTCTGTTGCTTATAATGAAGTATCTGAAAATGGATAATTTATAAAGAAAAGGAATGTATTATTATTATTTCTACTCTACTCTGACGGATTAAGGAGTTTATTTCTTAACAATTATGGGGGCTGAGAACTCCAAAGTTGAGGGACTGCATCTGGTGAGAGCCTTCTTGCTGGTGACAACCCTGCAGAGTCCCAAGGCAGCGCACAGACCATCAATGGGTAATGGGGGCTGAGTGTGCTAGCTCAGGTGTCTCTTTTGCTTCTTACGAAGCCATGTGTCCCACTCCCATAATAACTCATTAATCCATTAAGCCATGAAAGCCCTTGTGACCCATTCACCCCTCATAGATCCCACCCATTGGGGATTAAGTTTCAACATGAGTTTTGGAGGAGACAAACATTCAAACCACACTCTCTTAGCACACTCTTTCTCTTTTCTTTGTTTTTTTGAGATGGAGTTTCTTGTTGCCCAGGCTGGAGTGCAGTGGCACAATCTCAGCTCACTGCAACCTCTGCCTCCTGGGTTCAAGTAATTCTCCTGCCTCAACCTCCCCAGTAGCTGGGATTACAGGCACCCACCACCAGGCTCGGCTAATTTTTCTGTATTTTTAGTAGAGACGGGGTTTCACCATGTTGGCCAGGCTGGTCTCGAACTCCTGACCTCAGATGATCTGCCCGCCTCGGCCTCCCAAAGTGCTGAGATTACAGTGTGAGACACTGCACCTGGCCATGCACATTCTTTTTCATATTTATAACACTTTCTCCAATTTTTGAATCATATGTTTATTAATTTTCTCATATTATTCTGTTAGTTTAGTTAGTCTGTTAGTTAAGTGTTATCCTTGAACTACCCCCAGGGCAGAAACAATCTCTATTATCACCATTAATTAGCAAATCCCAAATACATAATAGATATTACCAGTTTAATTCTCATAATTATATAATCATTAATTAATAGGTATATCTGCCTCTAATCTTTATACCAGAGGTCCCCAACCCCCAGGCCACAGACCAGTCCATGGTCTGTTGGGAACCGGGCTGCACAGCAGAAGGTGAGCAGCAGGTGAGCGAGCATGACCGCCTGAGCTCGGCCTCCTGTCAGATCAGCGGTGACTAGATTCTCATAGGAGCGTGAACCTTATTGTGAACTGTGTATGCGAGGGATCTAGGTTGCACACTCCTTATGAGAATCTACTGCCTGATTATCTGAGGTGGAACAGTTTCATCCCAAAACCACGTACCATTTTCTCCCGCCCCAGTCCATGGAAACATTGTCTTCCACAAAACTGGTCCCTGGTGTCAAAAAGGTAGGGACTGCTACTTTATACCATATTATAATGATTTACTTATCTCTGCTAGAATTTATACTATGACTTATCAATGCTACACTTACTCAAACTTTTGTTGGCCGGGCACTGTGGTTCACACCTATAATCCCAGCACTTTGGGAGGCCGAGGGGGCAGATCACCTGAGGTCGGGAGTTCGAGAACAGCCTGACCCACTTGGAGAGAAACCCCATCTCTACTAAAAATACAAAATTAGCTGAGCGTTTTGGCAAATGCCTGTAATCTTAGCTACTCGGGAGGCTGAGGCAGGAAAATTGCTTGAATCTGGGAGGCGGAGGTTGGGGTGAGCCAAGATTGTGCCATTGCACTCCAGCGTGAGCAACAAGAGTGAAACTCCATCTCAAACAAAACAAAACTTTTGTTCCTTCATATCCTCCCCATGTGTGGTCCTATCCATTCCCATGTAGCCAACGCAACTAAAGTATTTTTTTTCAATCATGCTAACATTGAAAGGCTTATGAAATCCTGAGCAAAAGGTCATGGTAAATGTCAAGTACAGCAGAATGACTATCAAAAATGGAAGGGCATCTGGGGTCACCTGAATGCAACAGAGTAAAAATAAAGGCTATGTTGGATGTGGGCTTGAAGATCATGATCCAGATGGCGTACTTTCATGAAGAAAATCGAAAATGCTGAATGAAGTAAGCAAAGACATGGGTTGAGATGGTATAGGAAAGGAGGAGAATTTTTTTCTGTGACTACAGTATAAATGTGTAAAACTGGTGAAATGACCCAAAGAATAGTTTGTGATCACTGCAAGACAAAATAGGAAAAAACAAAATCATGAAACCAAAAGACATCTTCACTTCAGATTTTAAAACTCTTTCCTAAATATAGAACAGTAATATTGAAAAATACATTATAGAGAACCTATGAAATATAGCTACAGATCTCAGAAGAAATTTTATAGATACATTTAAATTCTTAGAGCAATAGAAATGAAGGAAAATATATGAGTATCCCACACAAAAGTTAGAAAAAGAACAACAAAGTATACTGAGGAACAAAGAATGAAGAAATAGATTAAAATGAAAGCAGAATTTCATTAATTAGATAACAGAAATGAAAGACATATAAAAAATCCAGGTTGGCCAGGCACGATGACTCATGCCTGTAAACCCAGCACTTTGGGAGGCTGAGGCTGGAGGATTGCTTGAGCCCAGGAGTTCAAGACCAGTCTGGGCAACATGGCAAAACCCTATCTCTACAAAAAATTAGCCAGGCATGGTGGTGCTTGCTTATAGTCCCAGCTACTCGAAAGACTGAGGGAAAGAGGATCGTCTGAGCCCGGGAGGCGGGCATTGCAATGAGCCATGATTATGCCACTGCCTGGGTGACAGAGCGACAACCTGTCTCAAAACAAACAAAAAACCCAGGTTGTTTGGAAAACAAAAACAAAAACAAAACAAAAAAACAAAAAACAAAAACAAAATCAGTGGAACATAACCATTAGCTAAGATAATAAGAGAAAAAGGAAAGCATTCAAACAAAATAAAAAATGGCCACTAGCTATTCAGTGACAACTCCCCATAGAGCTCTCACTTTTTTTTTTTGAGACAGAGTCTTGCTCTGTCGCCAGGCTGGAGTGTAGTGTGGCGCAGTCTCAGCTCACTGCAACCTCTGCCTCCCGGGTTCAAGTGATCCTCCTGCCTCAGCCTCCTGAGTAGGTGGGACTACAGGTGTTTCTACCATGCCCAGCTAATTTTTTGTATTTTTAGTGGAAACGGGGTTTCACCATGTTGGCCAGGATGGTCTTGATCTATTGACCTCGTGATCCACCTGCCTCAGCCTCCCAAAGTGCTGGGATTACAGGCGTAAGCCACTGCGCCCAGCCGCTCTCACATTTTTTGTACATCTTGTTGGCAGAAGCACTACCTACCTTTGTTCTGGGATATCTTTTCAAGAATGTTTCTATACTATAACAAACAGCCTTGCAAGGTAGAGATAACGTCTCTGTCTGGATCAATAGGCAGGTTCGCTTGCTTGTTCAGGATAATAAAGGTAATGTCTCCTTCCAAGCTAAGGCTACGTACACTTATTGCCCACGATGAATGATTTGGGTTCTTCAAGCTCAGTGTTCCTTTTCTATAAGGCAGCTCACTGCATGCTCAGGAACTATCTAGACCCATCCTTATCAGCCTCATGTGACTTGCAGGCAAGGAGGAACTGCTGGCTGTGCTGAGAGCAATCAAATCCTTTGTCTTTGACTGAGAGCATGTGTTTCCTGCCAGCATCCATGACACTACGGCAAGCTAACTTGTCAGCTTGCAAGTAGGGTGAAGTTGTAGAAATAATATAGTTCTTGACACATGTAAATAACTAACAAAACAGAATATTTTGAAAATTATAAGGGACTACTATGACAACCAAGGCTAATTACTAACAAAGTATAGAAAAAGTATTCAAGGCTGGGCGCAATGGCTCACGTCTGTAATCCCAGCACTTTGGGAGGCCGAGGAGGGTGGATTGCTTGAGGTCAGGAGTTCGAGACCAGCCTGGCCAATATGGTGAAACCTCATCTCTACAAAAACTACAAAAATTAGCCAGGTGTGCTGGAAGGCGCCTATAGTCCCAGTTACTCGGGAGGCTGGGGCAGGAAATGACTTGAACCCAGGAGGCAGAGGTTGCAATGAGCCGAGATCACGCCACTGCACTATAGCCTGGGTGACAGAGTGAGGCTCCATCTCAAAAAAAACAAAGAAAAGAAAGAAAAAGAAAAAGTAATCAAAGACCCACTCCAAAAATTATTTTGAAGATTATCAAAACTTGAGAAAGCACTCAATTATATTTAAAGTGGCCCAGAACATTTTATAAAGCCTAATACTCCAAGTTATCTTTGAGTATAAAAATGAAATCAGGCTGTGCGCAGTGGCTCACGCCTGTCAATCCAGCTCTTTGGGAGGCCAAGGCAGGCAGATCACCTGAGGTCGGGAGTTTGAGACCAGCCTGGCCAACATGGTGAAACTGTCATACTAAAAACACAAAAATTAGCTGGGTGTGGTGGCACGTGCCTGTAACCCTAGCTACTCGGGAGGCTGAGGCAGGAGAACCTCTTGAACCCGGGAGGTGGAGGTTGAGGTGAGCCAATATCATGCCACTGCACTCCAGCCTGGGCAACAGAGTGAGAAAAAAAAAAGTCTTCTTTCTCTTTGCCCACACATATTCCCTTAGAAAAGTCAATTTCTAATGGCTTTCTTTGGTCACCAGATAGTCACATAGAATAGGCAAAGCCTACAGAACAGAAAAATAAGTAATTGGGTGCCATGTAATAATACTACAGGGATTTGAATTAAGGATTGACATTTCATTTTAAATGAAATTGTGTAACTGGCTTTTAAGTACATTTTAAAAGGATTGGGTAGGTACTTGGGTCGATACTTCTGTTTGAGGTGTTCAAGCCACAAATATACAAATATATAGCTATCACTGATAAACCTGGGAAGCTGACCCCTTTAGGCTAAGTTGGCCTTCATGAGATCAGAATGCCCAGCACCTGTGTATCAGGGTAACACCAGCTGACTCCTTGATATAGAGGTTCTGGAGGATGTCTTACCAGGACAGTCAGGGAAGTCAGGATTTTGTTTGTTTGTTTGGAGATGAAGTCTCACTCTGTCACCCAGGCTGGAGTGCAGTGGCACAATCTTGGCTCACTGCAACCTCCGCCTCCTGGATTCAAGCGATTCTCCTGCCTCAGCCTCCCAAGTAGCTGGGATTACAGGTATGCACCACCATGCCCTGCTAATTTTTGTATTTTTGGTAGAGACGGTTTCATCATGTTTAGCCAGGCTGGTCTTGAACTCCAGAGTCAGGATTTGACCCCGCCTGTGCTGCAACCTTCTGGGACCTCCTGTAGGAAGTGCTATACCTGCTTTGGAAGAAGCAGCTCTCAGAGGAAATAACACCAATGGGTTCCTCCCCAAGAGATCCCAGAAACCAGAGGTGGAACTTAAGCTGGCTTGTATTTTTTTTATCAATGCTCTGACTCTGTATCTCAGTGGAAAATTCTATTCAACAAGAAGAGGAGGGCTGGGCACAGTGGCTCACACCTGTAATCCCAGCACTTTGGGAGGCCGAGGTGGGCAGATCGCCTGAGGTCAGGAGTTCGAGACCAGCCTGGCCAACGTGGTGAAACCCCATCTCTACTAAAAATACAAAAAATTAGCCGGGTGTAGTGCCACATGCCTGTAATTCCAGCTACTTGGGAAGCTGAGGCAGGAGAATCACTTGAACCCAGGAGAGGCGGAGGTTTCAGTGAGCCGAGATTATGCCATTGCATTCCAGCCTGGGCTATAAGAGGGGAACTCTGTCTCAAAAAAAAAAACAAAAAAAAAAAAACAAAAAAAAAAAAACAGGAAGAACATAATTTCTCCTCTAGAACTAAAAAATATTTGTATTTTATCAGAATAATATACCAGTTTAATTAATAATTCCCTTAACGCCCTTTGAAAATGTGAATTTACAGGCTGGGCACAGTGGCTCACGCCTGTAATCCCAGCACTCTGGGAGGCTGAGGTGGGTAGATCACCTGAGCTCAGGAGTTTGAGCCCAGCCTGGGCAACATGGCAAAACCCCATCTCTACTAAACATACAAAAAATTAGCCAGGCGTGGTGGTGTGCACCTATAATCCCAGCTACTTAGGAGGCTGAGGCAGGAGTATCACTTGAACCTCAGGAGGCAGAGGCCACAGTGAGCCAAGATGGCACCACTGCACTCCAGCCTGGGTCGCAGAGCAAGACTCTGTCTCAAAACAAAAAAAAAATATATATATATATAATATATATATAATATATACTATGTATATTATCTATAAATATTAAAATGAAAATGAAAAATCTAATGGACAGCTTTAACAACAGCTTAGACTTAGCACAAGAGAAGACTAGTGAATAGAGACATGGATTTGAAGAAGATTTCAAGGTTGAAAGGAATAAAAAAGAACAATAGATAGGCTGGGCGTGGTGGCTCACACCTGTAATCCCAACACTTTAGGAGGCCAAGGCGGGCAGACTGCTTTGAACTCAAACTCCACAAGTTTGAGACCAGCATGGCCAGCATGGTGAAACCCTGTCTCTACTAAAAATACACACACAAAAAAGTAGCTGGGTGTGGTGGTGCTTGAGCCCGGGAAGTGGAGTCTGCAGTGAGCTGAGATTGTGCCACTGCACCCCAGCCTGGAAAACAGAGCCACACTCTGTCTCAAAAAAACAAAACAAACAAAAAAAAAAAACAGAAAAGAACATAAAAGATACATGGGACAATGTTAAAGTGTCTAACATATGTGTAACTCACACAGAGAAAAGAACAAAAATGAGAAACAAACACTATCTGAAGATATAGTAACCAGAATTTTCCCAAACTGACAAAAGACATCAAACCCAAGATTTAAAAAAATTCCTAGCTGAGCCTAGTGACTCAGGCCTGTAATCTCAACAATTTGGGAAGCCAAGGAGGGAAAACTACTTGAGGCTAGGAGTTCAAGACCATCCTGGGCAACATAGGGAGACCCCCATCTCTAAAAAAATACAAAAGTTCACTGGGTGTGGTGGTGTGCACCTGTGGTCCAAGCTACTTGGGAGGCTGAGGTGGGAGGATCACTTGAGCCCAGGAGGGTGAGGCTGCCGTGAGCTGAAATCATGCCACTGCACTCCAACCTGGGCATCCAAGCAAGATCCTGTCTTTAAAAAACCAAAAAAAAACAAAAAACAGCTTCCTAAATACTTCAAGCAGATGACAACACAATATCCACCACACTACAAAACTACACCACAATATAATTGGGATTTTTACATTTCACTGCAATATAAAATTAGGCACACCACAGTAATCTGTTAAAAAAAAATCCAAAAGCAGCTAACGGGAAAAAATACCTCTAAAACAATATCTCTGAAGGAGTTACAATATAAGTGACAAACTACTACTCAATGGAAATAATGAAAGCCAGAAGACAAGGAGGGGATATTTGCTAAGAGAAAATAACTGCCAACTCAGAATTCTATTCTCCACAAAAATAAAGACAAAATTTTGTACCCTTTAAAAATTAAGACGTAATAAAGATATTTTCTAATAAAACCTAAGATAATTTATTGCCAGTGGACACAATAAAATAAATACTAAGTAAGTTCTTTGGGTACACAGAAAATGGTTCCAGATAAAAGCAATGCAATGCAGAAAATAATAAGGAGCACTGTAAAAGGTAAATGTGTGGGCAAATGTAAAAAAAATTCACTACTTATTACAATAAGAAATTAATGCCCTGTGGGGATTAAAATGTGGAATTAAGATACATGACAACAGAGCTGGGTACAGTGGCTCAGGCCTGTAATCCCAGCACTTTGGGAGGCTGAGGTGGGCGGATCACCTGGGATCAGGAGTTCAAGACCAGCCTGGCCAACATGGCGAAACCCCGTCTCTACTAAAAACTACAAAAATTAGCCGGCATGGTGGTGCATGCCTGTAGTCCCAGCTACTCTAGAGGCCGAGGTGGGAGAATTGCTTGAACCCAGGAGGCAGAGGTTGCAGTGAGCCAGGATCCCACCACTGCACTCCAGCCTAGGCAACAGAGCAAGACTGCATATCACAAAAAGAAAAAAAAAGGCATATGACAACAAATGCACAAAAAACTGAGGACACATAAAAGGAATTAAAATACTATTAAGGGTTGCGTACAGTGGCTTACGCCTGTAATCACAGTACTTTGGGAGGCTGAGACAGGAGGATCATCTGAGACCAAGAGTTTGAGACCAGCCTGGCCAACACAGTGAGACCCCCATCTCTAAAATAAAACAAATTAGCCGGGCATGGTGGTGTGTACCCGTAGTCCTACCTACCCAAGAGGCTGAAGTAGGAGAATTGCTTGAGCCCAGGAGTTTGAGGTTGCAGTGAGCTATGATCACACCACTGCACTCCAGCCTGGGTGATGCAGTGAGACCTTGTCTCTAAAAATAAATGAATACATTTTTTAAAGATTCTATTAAGATCCGGCCGGGTGTGGTGGCTCACGCCTGTAATCCCAGCACTTTGGGAGGCCGAGGCGGGTGGATCACAAGGTCAGGATATCGAGACCATCCTGGCTAACATGGTGAAACCCCGTCTCTACTAAAAATACAAAAAAATTAGCGGGGCGTGGTGGTGAGCGCCTGTAGTCCCAGCTACTCGGGAGGCTGAGGCAGGAGAACGGCGTGAACTCGGGAGGCAGAGCTTGCAGCGAGCCGAGATCGTGCCACTGCACTCCATTCTGGGCAACGGAGCCAGACTCTGTCTCAAAAAAAAAAAAATTCTATTAAGATCCCTACAATTTTGAACAAGATATAAAGAAGCTAATTTCAGATTCAATGCAATAAGTAAATAATGTACTTGTTATTGTCTAAGGCAACCACAAGAAGAAAAATAAATGTATGTATAATGATCATGTTATAAAAGGAAAAACTAGAATAAAAATGCTTGATTAATCCAAAAAAGGCAGGAGAATGAAAAAAGTAAGAACATATTAAGCAAACAGAAAAACACTGGGAAGACAGCAGATTTAAACCCAAATATGTAAGAAAATTAATGAAATGTAGATGCATAAAATACATCAATTAATAGACAAAAATGACTGGGCACAGTGGCTCACACCTGTAATACCAGCACTTCGGGAGGCCAAGGTGGGAGAATCCCTTGAGGCCAGGAGTTTTAGAGCAACCTGGCAACACAGTGAGACACTGTCTCTACAAAAAATGCTTAAAAATTAGCCATGTGGGCTGGGCGCGGTGGCTCACACCTGTAATCCCAACACTTTGGGAGGCCGAGGCGGGCGGATCACAAGGCCAGGAGATCGAGACCATCATGGCTAACACGGTGAAACCCCGTCTCTACTAAAAATATAAAAAATTAGCCGGGCGTGGTGGCAGGCGCCTGTAGTCCCAGCTACTTGGGAGGCTGAGGCAGAAGAATGGCGTGAACCCGGGAGGCGGAGCTTGCAGTGAGCCGAGATCGCGCCACTGCACTCCAGCCCGGGCGACAGAGCGAGACTCTGTCTCAAAAAAAAAAAAAAAATTAGCCATGTGTGGTGGTGCGCACCTGTAGTCCCAACTACTCAGGAGGCTGAGGTGGGAGGATCACTTGAGCCCAGGAAGTTGAGCCATGTTCATGTCACTGCCCTCCAGCCTGAGGCAACAGAGCAAGACCCTATCTCGAAGAAAAAAAAAAGATCTTCCTTACCCACACTGGGGATGGGATGCTGTTTCCATTACTGGAGGCAGCCTAGTGCAGGCTGTTGCAGTACAAGCACAGTAAGGGAAGTATTCAGAGAAGAGCAGCCCAGCATGTACCAGGCAAACCTATCAGGAATCTAACATTTTCTCTCAGCCTTCCACTAGTACCATTCTCAGCAAAACCACTATCATCTTCAATGTGGACAAATGAAATAGCCTCCTAGTGGGTCTTCAAACTATCCATCATGCCCTTATTCAATCTATTCTCTGTAGAGTGGTAATTATTTAAAAATCAGCTCATGTAGGCCGGGTGTGGTGGCTCACGCCTGTAATTCCAGCACTTTGGGAGGCCGAGGCAGGCAGATCACAAGGTCAGGCGTTCGAGACCAGCCTGACCAACACACTGAAACCCCATGTCTACTAAAAATACAAAAATTAGCTGAGCGTGGTAGCGTGTGCCTGTAATCCCAGCTACTCGGGAGGCTGAGGCAGGACAATCGCTTGAACCAGGAGGCGGAGGTTGCAGTGAGCCGAGATTGCGCCACTACACTCCAGTCTGGGTGACAGAGTGAGACTCCATCTCAAAAAAAAAAAAAAAAAATCAGCTCATGTTACTCCCCTGCTCAAAAATCTCCAGCAGCTTTCTACTACACTTAAAATAAAAAAAAGTCAGATGCAGCTGAGTGCAGTGGCTCACACCTGTAATCCCAGCACTTTGGGAGACTGAGGTGGGAGGATCGCTTGAGCCTAGGAGTTCAAGACCAGCCTGGGCAACATAGCAAAACTCCCGTCTCTACAAAAAATACAAAAATTTTCCAGCGGTGGTGGCATGCGCCTGTAGTCCCAGCTACTTGGGAGGCTGAGGTGGGACGATCACTTGAACCCAGGAGTTCAAGGCTGCAGTGAGTCATGATCACACCACTGCACTCCAGCCTGGGCAACAGAACAAGACCCTGTCTCAAAAAAAAAAAAAAAAAGCCGGGCACAGTGGCTCATATCTGTAATCCCAACACTTTGGGAGGCCGAGGCAGGTAGATTACAAGGTCAGGAGTTCAAGACCAGCCTGGCCAACATGGTGAAACCTTGTCTCTACTAAAAATACAAAAATTAGCCAAGCACGGTGGTGGGCACCTGTAATCCCAGCTACTTAGGAGGCTGAGACAGGAGTATCGCCTGAACCTGGGAGGTGGAGATTGCAGTGAGCTGAGATGGTGCAACTGCACTCCAGGCTGGGCGACAGAGAGAGATTCCATCTCAAAAAAAAAAAAAAAAAGTCAAATGCCTTCTCCTATGATATACAAACCATTACATGATCTCGCTCTTGCCTAACATTATCTTGTTTCTACACCTTTCACTTACCTTTTGAATAAGCATCTTAATCATCTTGGGCTTCTTGCAGTTCCTCAAAAATACAAAGCTCCCCTCAGCCCACCCAAAGCCTTTGTATTTGCTGTTCTCTGCCAGGAATGCCGTTGCTTTAGATATTCATATGGCCTGGGCTCTTTTTTCATGTCACTATTCAAGTATCACCTCCTCAAAATGTCCTGACCACCCTATTTAAAACATCCCTATCTCTACTTGCCAACTTCCATTCTCACCCAGGCTGGAATGCAGCAGCGCGATCTCGGCTCACTGCAACCTCCACCTCCCAGGTTCAAGCGATACTTCTGCCTTAGCCTCCTGAGTAGCTGGGACTACAGGCATGTGCCACCACGCCCAGCTAATTTTCGTATTTTCAGTAGAGACAGGTTTCACCATGTTGGCCAGGCTGGTCTCGAACTCCTGGCCTCAAGTGATCCTCCCACCTCAGCCTCTCAAAGTGCTGGGATTACAGGCACGAAGCCACTGCGCCTGGCCCTTCTTACTTTTCTTAATACTTGTCCCTACCTAATATTATGTATTGATGTACTTGTTTACTTCATGTCCTTACTCCTATTAAGATGTAAGCAACATGATTGCTGGGACCCATGATTCTCATTCACATCTGCTCCACTGGTGTCCAGCACAACACCTAGTTCCAACTAGGCACTCAAGTATTTGCCAAATAAATAAAGGAATATATTTCTAGCCAATGAAAGACATATCAACCTAATCATAATAGAAGCTAGAAAGAAACTGGGTCCTAAATATGGACTGAACTCTGTTCCCCTAAAATTTGAATGTTGAGCCCTAACTAACTGTATGTGGAGATGGGGCTTTTAGGAGGTAATTAAGGTTAAAGGAGGCCTAGAGGAGGGGTCCTAATCCACTAGAATTACTGGCCTTGTAAGAAGAAGAAGAGGGCCAGGTGCAGTGGCTCGCGCCTGTAATCCCAGCACCTTGGGAGGCAGAGGTATGAGGATCACTTGAGCCCAGGAGTTCAAGAACAGCCTAGGGAATACAGGGAGATCTCTGTCTCTATAAATTTTTTTTTTTTTAAATAGCTAAGTGTGGAGGCATGTGCCAGTAAACCCAGCTACTCAGGAGGCTGAGACGGGAGGATTGCTTGGGCCCAGGAGTTCAAGACTGCAGTGAGCTGTGATGGCACCATTGCACTCCAGCCTGGGCAACACAGTGAAGCCCTGTCTCAAAAAAAAAAAGAAGAAAAAAAAAGGAAGAGAGTGACCTCTTTCTCTCTCTGTGTCATATGAGGACACAACAAGAAGGCAGCTGCCTGCAAGCCAGGAAGAGAGACTTCACCAGAACCTGGCACCCTGATTTTGGACTTCCAGCATCTAGAATTGTGAGAAAATACATATCTGGTGTTTAAGCCACCCAGACTATGGTATTCTGTTACAGCAGCTTAAGATGATACAGATTTAAATAGAGATGAAACTGTAGTCACCGATCAAAAAAAAGAGTAGCCCCTCTCTTTGTCAAATCTTTTCCCCATTCCCCTCAACAGCATCCTTAAAATTTTTTTTATTTTAAAATAATTATAGATCCATGGGAAGTTGCACAAAATGTACAGAAAAGTCCTGTGTAGACTTCACCCAGCCCCTCCCAGTGTTAACATCTTAGGTAAGTATAGCACAATATTCAAAACAAGAAATTAATGGGGCTGGGCGCAGTAGCTCATGCCTCTAATCCTAGCACTTTGGGAGGCTGAGGTGGATGGATCACCTGAGGTCAGGAGTTCGAAACCAGACTGGCCAACATGGTAAAACTCCCTCTCTACTAAAAATACAAAATTAGGTGGTGGCGCATGCCTATAATCTCAGCTACTTGAGAGGCTGAGGTAGGAGAATCGCATAAACCTGGGAGGCAGAGGTTGCAGTGAGCCGAGATCCCGCCACTGCACTCCAGCGTGGGTGACAGAGCGAGACTGTCTCAAAAAAAAAAAAAAGAAAGAAATTAATGTTGGTATATTCCATAGAGCTTACTTAGACTTCACCAGTTCTATGTGCACTCATGTGTGTTTATTTGCATAGCTCTATGCAATTTTATCACAGGTAGCCTCGCAAAACCACCACCAAAATCAAGATACTCACCTGTACCATGACTGCAAGATTTCCTCATGTTACCCCTTTCTAACCCGAACCATCCTCTACGCCCTACATCCCTACCCTTGGAAACCACTAATTTGTTTTTCCATCTCTATGTGATTTTGCAAATATTACATAAATAAAGTCATGTAGTGCATAACCATTTGTGATTGATTTTGTCACTCAGCATAATTTCCTTGAAATTCACCCAAGTTGTTGCATGTATCAAGAGTTTATTGCTTACTGTTGCTCAGTTTATTCATGGTATTGGTGTGCCTTTCAATCAGTTTTAATTGGGCTACTTATCATTTAGCACTGAGCTGTGTATATACTAGATACTGGTCCCTTGTCAGATATGTTTTACCACTATTACTCTCCCAGTCTGTGACTCACCCATTCATCTGCTTATTGGTATATTCTGATGAGACAAAGTTTTCAATTTGGATAAAGTCTAATGTCTTAATTTTTTATTTATTTATTTTGAGACAGAGTCCCACTCTGTCACCCAGGCTGGAGTGCAGCGGTGTGATCTTGGCTCACTGGAACCTCCACCTCCTGGGTTCAAGCAATTGTCCTGCCTCAGCCTCCTGAGTAGCTGGGATTACAGGCGCATGCCAAGACGCCCAGCTAATTTTTGTATTTTCAGTAGAGATCAGGTTTCGCCATGTTGGCCAGGCTGGTCTCAAACTCCCAATATCAGGCGATCTGCCCGCCTTGGCCTCCCAAAGTGCTAGGATTACAGATGTAAGCCACTGCGCCCGGTCTGATTTTTTTATTTTTATGGTTATTGTTTTCACTCAAGAAACCTTTGCCTACTCCCAAGTCATAAGTTGGGACACTCATCACTGTCCTGTTTCCCTCTAAAAACTTTATGATTGTAGCTTTTATATGTAGGTCTAAAAACCATCTCAAATTAATTTTGGTATGAGGTAAAAGCTGAGAGGTTTGTTTATTTGTTTCCCCAGTTATTCCAGTACTATTTGTTGAAAAGCCTTTCTTCTCCCCATTGGAATGCTTTGGCATCTTTGTCAAACAATAAATGACCCTTTAGTGCGTGTGTGGCAGGGTATGTTTCTAGGACCTCTGTTGTGTTTTGTTCGGTAATCTTTGCCAATAACATACTGTCTTGATCACTGTAGTTTTAATAAATCCTGAAGTTTTTGTTTTTTGTTTTTTTTTTTGAGATAAGAGTCTCACTCTGTCACCCAGGGTGGAGTGCAGTGGTGTGATCTCGGCTCACTGCAACCTCCGCTTCCCAGGTTCAAGAGATTCTCATGCCTCACCCTCCCCAGTAGCTGGGATTACAGGCTTGCACCACCATGCCTGGCTAATTTTTGTATTTTTAGTAGAGATAGGGTTTTACCATGTTGGCCAGGCTGGTCTTGAACTCCTGACCTCAGGTGATCCACCTGCCTCGGCCTTCCAAAGTACAGGGATTCCAGGCATGAGCCACCATGCCCGGCTCTGATCTATCTATCTATCTATCTATCTATCTATCTATCTATCTATCTATCATCTATCTATCTATCTATCTATCTATTTTATTTTTTGAGATGGAGTCTTGCTCTATCGTCTGAGCTGGAGTGCAGTGGTGTGATCTCGGCTCACTGCAAACTCCGCCTCCCGGGTTCAACCAATTCTCCCACCTCAGCCTCCTGACTAGCTGGGATTACAGGCGTGCGCCACTACATCCAGCTAATGTTTGTATTTTTAGTAGAGACGGGGTTTCACCATGTTGGCCAGGCTGGTCTCGAACTCCTGACCTCAACTGATCTGCCTGCCTTGGCCTCCCAAAGTGCTAGGATTATATGTGTGAGCCACTGCACCCGGCCTGATTTTTTAATATTAACCTTATATCCCATGACCTTATTGTGATTTTTCAATTATTACTTCGAATAGTTGTTGTCTTGATTCCTTAGGACTTTCTATGTACACAATCATGTCATCTCCAAATACAGACTTATGTCTTCCTTTTTGATCTTTATGTCTCATTTCTTTTTCTTTTGATAATGGATTTTTATAGTTTATAATGTATTTTTTAAATAGGTGCCCCTTACCAGATTGAGGAAGTTCCCTTCAATTTCTAGTTTGCTGAGAGCTTTTTATCATGAATGGATGTTGGATTTTGTCATATGCTATTTTTACATCTATGAAGATGATTGCTATGGTTTGAATGTTTGTTGCCTCCAAAACTCATGTTGAAAATTAATTCCTAATGGCAATATTGAGAGGTGGGGTTTTTAAGAGGTGACTGGGTCATGAGGGCTCTGCTCTCATGAATGGATGAACCTATTCATGGATTGGTGAGTTAATCGATTAATGGGTTATCACAGGATTGGGACTGATGACTTTATAAGAAGAAGAGAGGCCTCAACTAGCACATTTGCATGTTCAGCCCACTTGCCATTTGATGCCCTGCAAAGCCTCGGAATTCAGCAGAGTCCCCACCAGCAAGAAGGCCCTCAATAGACACAGCCCTTTGAGGCTGGACTTCTCAACCTCCAAAACGGTAAGAAATAAATTCCTTTTCCTTGTAAATTACTGAATTTCAAGGTATTCTGTTATAAACAACAGAAAGTGAACTAAGACAATGATCATACGGTCTTTCATTTTTTCTGTTAATATGGTGAATTAACAGGTAGAAAGAAATCCTAATCATCATTTTTGTATATCATTATATTTGATTTGTTAATATTTTATTAAAATTTTTGTATCTATGTATGGAAAAGATGGGTTTATGCTTTTTTTGTAATGTCTTTCTTGGGTTATGGTATGAGTTATGTTGGCCTCATAAAATGCATTCCTTTTCTGAAGGAGTTTGTATAATACTGCTGCTATTTCTTCCTTAGATGTTTAATAGAATTCACCAGTGAAACCATCTGGGGCTGGCATTTTCTTTGTGGAAGGTTTCTGATAATGAATTCAATTACTTTAGCAGCATAAGGGTATTCAATTTCTTTTTTATCTTGTGTCAGTTCCGGTAAGTTGTACTTTTCCAGAAATTTTAAAATTTCATTTAAGTTATCAAATTTATTGGCATAAAGTAATTCATGGCATTCTCTTATTATTCTTATTATTCTTCTTTTTTGGAGTCGGGGTAGAGTCTCACTCTGTCACTCAGGCTGGAGTGCAGTGGCGTGATCTTGGCTCACTGCAACCTCCGCCTCCCGGGTTCAAGTGACTCTTGTGTCTCAGCCTCCTGAGTAGCTGGGACTACAGGTGCCCGCCACTATGCCCAGCTAATTTTCGTATTTTTAGTAGAGACAGTGTTTTGCTGCGTTGGCCAGACTGGTTTGGAACCCCTGACCTCAAGTGACCAGCCTGCCTCGGCCTCCCAAAACGCTGGGATTACCAGAGTGAGCCACCACGCCCAGCCTCTTATTATTCTTTTAACGGCTATAGGATCTAAAGTGAAAATCCCTCTTTCATTCCTGATGTTAGTAATTTATGTTCTTTAAAAAGAGAGAATGTAAATTACTAGGTGTTTACCATCTTTGCTGATCTTTTCAAGAAATCAATTTTTGGCTTTATTAATTTTCTTTATTTCTTTTCTATTTTGCTGATTTCTGCTCTTATATTTATTTATTTTTTCTTCTACCAGGAATAGTTCTTCTCTTTAAAGTAGGATAGAAATATGAAAGATGAGAAACAGTGTTGCATTCAAGATCAATAGAAAGTTCCTTTGCTAGTCCAGGCTTAAAAGATCTTAATTTGCTTCAAGTCCCAAGCCCTGCCTCCATAGGCCAGGGGCTTTTTGAAGAGAGACCCCAACATCTCAAGGGTGTGCCTCCACCCTAATCAGTTTAGCTATTACCTGCAGTAGTGATTTCTCAATGCCTGCTCAGCCCTCACTCACCAGGGCAGTATCTTCTTGTCCCTTCCCTCACAACCATCCCAGGTTCCTTCCTTTCTTCATCCAATAAGGTAATCACATCTGGTTTAGAAATGGAAGGTCCTGCTTAAAAGAAAAATGTGACATGGAATTATACACCAGAAAATCTTTAGATTTAGATTTGGTTAAATTTATAATTAACTACAGATCAATATGGCACTTTATAAAGCCTAGGAGCGAAGAATTGCAAGGGAGTTGAAGAATGCTCATATTAAGGTAACTTGAGGGTCACAAGGAATAGCCTGTATGAGGTTAAATTAAGTATACTAAGGCCATTATATTAACCATCTGGTCAAGAACAGGCCTTAATATAATTTAACCTCACACAAGCTCTGTTGAAAGGCAGTATTGTGTAGAGGGAAGAACACAGACTGGATCCAGACTGCCTGGCTTCACATCCTGCCTTTGTTTCTGTGTTACCTAGCAAATTATTAACCTTTTGTGTCTACGTTTTCTCAAATAAAATGAAGATAATAATATCTTCTCATAGCGTTGTTGTGAGGGTTAATTAATAATGAACAATGCTTAGAATAATGTTTAAGCCCAAATATATGGTGATGTTTATTAACATATACACATAATATATGTATTAGCTATTAGCTATTTACTGTTATCATTTTGATGAGTGCATACTAAAAGGTTTTTTGAGACATTCCCAGATCTTTTCTAGGATATTCATTCAATGTTAAATGCCAGGCTTTTAGATTTTAATTTTCAATTACAAAGTAGGTAGAACTGCATATGTCTGTTACAGGAAACAGAATGTGTTTCAGGGTTTTTTCTGTTTGAGACAGAGTCTCACTCTGTCACCCAGGCTGGAGTGCAATGGCGCGATCTCAACTCACTGCAACCTCAGTCTCCCAGCTTCCAGGAATTCTCCTGCCTCAGCCTCCCAAGTAGCTGGGATTATAGGCATGCGCCACCATGCCTGGCTAATTTTTGTATTTTTAGTAGAGATGGAGTTTCACCATGATGGCCAGGCTGGTCTGGAGCTCCTGACCTCAAGTGATCCACCCGACTCGGCCTCCTAAAGTGCTAGGATTACAGGCATGAGCCACCATGCCTGACCTTGAGGTTTTTTTGAGATGGAGTCTCACTCTGTCGCCCAGGCTGGAATGCAGTGGCGTGATCTCAGCTCACTGCAACCTCCGCCTCCTGGGTTTAAGTGATTCTCCTGCCTCAGTCTCCCGAGTAGCTGGGATTACAGGCACGTGCCACCATGCCCGGCTATGAGTTTTAAATAACCTTTCTGGATCCATCTCACACTATGTTCTACAGATTCCTTTGATTTTTAGAGAAACTCAGAACCCCTATGTCTAGGTATTCTACTTGCAGATGGTGTGAAGCATTTATGTCAATTCTGAGCTCCAATATAAGGTGAAGTCTGGTTTCTTGAACAATGCTTTTGCCATATTCAAATCCATCCCCTTGGATACTAAGGAAATCAGGAATTACAGAGTCTGAAGGAAGTCTGAAGGGCATAGCAGACTGGACATGATGAAATGGAGAGGCCTAGTTCCAACCTGACAAAGCTTAAATCATTCCTTTGAGAATAGAAAGTAGTTTTAGAGAGTTTTTCTAAATATAGTCCTGAAATTGACAGCAGAGAAAGCTAATATCATTTGGGATAAATAACCTTACCTAGTGAAATGAAGTTGCTGTAGTTCTCCCACATTACATCCCTATATAAGTCCCTCTGAGCAGGATCCAGGAATTCCCATTCTTCCTGTGAGAAGTCTATGGCCACATCCCTGAATGTCACTGAACCCTGAAAAAACAAACTCAGGTATTACTTGTGAAAATAAATTAAATACTTTTAAAATGGAAAGAGGGGAGATTGAGGATTGCATTGCAGAGAGGGGTCAGATAGCATGCAAACAGCATTGGGCTGAAAACTTGTGACATGAGTAGGGGCCAGTAAGAAAATTAGTATTTCTCAAGCACTGAGCCTACATGTTCTTGAATAGTCCTGTGGCTATAGATATGATTACATTTTCATCCAAACATTTCTAGAAATGAGTACATAACCCAAAAAAATCCTAATTAAATGAAATAGTGCACGCAAGCCTTTTGAATACTATGTGCCTCCACCATAAATTCTTTAAAAATATGAGGTCTTGAGGCCAGGTGCAGTGGCTCATGGCTATAATACCAGCACTTTGGGAGGCCCAGATGAGAGGATCATTTGAGCCCGTAAGTTCAAGACCAGCTTGATCAACATTAGCAAGACCCTGTCTCTACATAAAAAGAAATTTAAAAATTTAAAAATTTAAAAAAAAAGAAATATGAGGTCTTGGGCTCTCTTTTCCCTTTAATGATCATTTAAAAACATTGATAAAAATTTATCCCACATGTGCTACAAAATCCAAGAAGACAGATTCAAATTCATCACAAACTCGGGTTTTATTATAAACACTTTCTCTTTTATAACCAATTCTTTAGTAAACTTTCAAAAATTCGTTCGATGGCAGTCTACATTTTTAATATATTAGATTCTTTTTTCTTTAGATATTTTAATTCAATAAAATCTCGAAAGTCTTCCCCAATTCTCAACGTCTACAATATCTAATCTTTATGGATGTGAATAATCTTCTTGCTTGTCACTATCTATCATCTCTTGAACATTGTTTTTTTGTTCCTGAGTTACAGGACACTGAATCATGAAGATATCATAAAGATATCACCTGGACACCATTATCAATCATATTCTTTTCTTTTCTTTTTTTTTTTTTTTTTTTTTTGAGACGGAGTCTCGCTCTGTCGCCCAGGCTGGAGTGCGGTGGCGTGATCTCGGCTCATTGCAAGCTCCGCCTCCCAGGTTCACGCCATTCTCCTGCCTCAGCCTCCCAAGTAGCTGGGACTACACGCATCCGCCACCACGCCCGGCTAATTTTTTTTGTATTTTTAGTAGAGACGGGGTTTCTCCGCGTTAATTAGGATGGCCTCGATTTCCTGACCTCGTGATCCGCCCGCCTCGGCTTCCCAAAGTGCTGGGATTACAGGCGTGAGCCACCGCGCCCGGCCCCCTGTATCAATCATTTTCAATGAGGAGTCATTTTGCTCCCCAAAAGACATCCGGCCATATCTGGAGACAATTTTGGTTGTCACAATCGGAGGAAAGGGTGTGAGTGTTACAGGCATCTAATGGGTAGAGGCCAGGGACACTGTTAGACATCCTACAATGCACGGGACGGCCCCCTACAATAAAAGACTCCCCATCAAAATGTCAATAGTTCAGGCCAGGTGCAGTGGCTCAAGCCTGTAATCCCAGCACTTTGGGAGGCCAAGGCAGGCAGATCACTTGAGGTCAGGAGTTTGAGACCAACCTTGTCAACATGGTGAAACCCTGTCTCTACTAAAAACACAAAAATCAGCTGGGTGTGGTGGTGGGAGCCTGTAATCTCAGCTACTCAGGAGGCTGACGCAGTAGAATCACTTGAACCCAGGAGACGGAGGTTGCAGTGAGCTGAGATCACACTACTGCACTCCAGCCTAGGCGACAGAGTAAGACTCGGTCTCAAAAAAAAAAAAAAGTCAATAGTTCCAAGGTTGAGAAATCCTGCTCTAGACCAGCACATCCTGTAAAAATACACAATGGACCTCGTTCCTGGCATTCTTCTCCGCAGGAGGAAATCTCCATTGATTGAGGTATCTATTTGCAGTCCTATTCTGATCACATCCTATTCACCCTGTTGGTGAAGAAGGGATCCCTGCCCTAAAAAGTACAAGACAATCAAATAGCCCACACTGGACAGATGAGATTGACAGCAATTTGTTCGATGCATATATTCAGAGCCTGAGAGAGGACATCATACATCACGCAGGGGCACAAGGGGATTGCATTTAAGAACAGCATGAACAAGCAGGGGTATGGGAGGCAGGCTTTACAGTAATAACAAGGTGAGGTGTTCCCTGGTTCCTGCAGTGGTATGTGATTGGCTTGTTTGAATAATTCCATAGGCTAGCAGGGAGGTGAAACCCATTAGGTTGAGGACGACGAGGGGTGTAACTGGTCTAGCTCATAGGAGAACTAGCTGGGTAGGAAGCCTTTCCCGCTGGGTGTGGGCATATCGGGTAAGAGCAGGGGAACTCATGGTTAGGCCTTTAGGGTCTTGACAAAGTTGTCAAGGCACACATGAAAGTTTAGGCCTTATCTTATAAGGCCCAATTACATCCCTACCCAATCCACCTAAAAGCCTTACATAGTATAGGGTCTCAACATACATAAAAACTAAGGTCAGTCAACACTAAATCCTATCCTATATACTTGAAAAACTCAGATCTGTGGAGAAGTTTAGAGTTTTCCCTATAAGCAGTCAGATAAGACCAAATTCTCTCTTTCATCAAATCACAGATCTTAAGGAAAGCTCAAAATAGGGACCTCCCACTTAACATCAGTAATCCATTCCTGAAAATCAGACATTCTAACGATTAACCAGGTACCTATTTTCCCATCATTTTATTTACTTTCTTTCCTTCCTTCCTCCTTCTTTCTTTCTTTGCTTTCTTTCCTTTTTCTTTTTCTTTTTTTTTTTTTTTTTTTTTTTTTTTTTGACAGGGTCTCACTCTGTTGCCCAGGCTGTTGCCTAGGCTGGAGTGCAGTGATGTGATCACAGCTCACTGCAACATTGAATTCCTGGCCTCAAGCAATGGCCTCCCAAAGGAGGGATTACAGGCGTGAGCCACTACACACGGCCTCCCATTATGTGAAATCAGAGCATTATAATGAGTTATATGTCAATTCCATCCCTCCAACTAGCTTTGCACATTTTCCTCCAATATAGAACTATGGGACACAGTGGGTCAGTACACACACAACATCTTTGCTTTTAGTATTTTAATCATCTCTTTTACTAAATTCATTTTTCTCATTTGCTTGGTTTCTTTCTCCACAATTTTCTTCAATACTTTTCCAATCTTTTAGGAACTCATTTTACACTAGACAAAAATGAGGGCTATATGTGAAGCACAGTATGGAAAAGTGTTTCCAACAAGAACGTGATAGCGGGAACGGCTGACACTCAGGATGGTGCTCTGTTACCTCCTCAGTCACTAGCAGCACCAGGTACACACATGCCCTTGAATGATAGTTATACACATTTCAAAACATCTGCAGATGGTTCCATTGGTCTAACAACTGTATTTGGGATATAACAAGATTTTTCCTGGATGTTATTTTTGTTTTTTAAAAAAAAGCATTGTATTGGATCAGGTGCGGTGGATCACACCTATAATGCCAATACTTTGGGAGGCTAAAGTGGGAGAATCACTTGAGCCCAGGAGTTTGAGTTCAGCTTAGGCAACATAGTGGGACCCCATCTCTACAAAAAATTTTAAAAATTAGCCAAGAGTGGTGGCACGTGCCTGTAGTCCCCAGTACTCAGGAGGCTGAGGTGGGAGGATCACCTGAGCCTGGGAGGTCGGGGCTGCAGTTAGTTGGGATCATACCACCGCATTCCGGCCTGGGTGACTGAGTGAGACCTTCTGTCAAAAAAAAAAAAAGGCTGGGTGTCATGGTGGATGGTGGCTCATGCCTGTAATCTCAGCACTTTGGGAGGTCGAGGCAGGTGGATCACTTGAGGTCAGGAGTTTGAGACCAGCCTGGCCGACATGGTGAAACCCCGTCTCTACAAAAAAAAACACAAAAAATAGCTGGGAGTGGTGGTGGGCGCCTGTAACTCCAGGTACTCAGAAGGCTGAGGCAGGAGAATCGCTTGAACCCAGAAAGCGGAGGTTGCAGTGAGCCGAGATCCTGCCACTGCACTCCAGCCTGGGCGACAGAGCGAGACTCTGTCTCAAAAAAAAAAAATTGTATTGAACTATATGATTCCACTTGAACAAAGTTCTTGTTTTGTTTTGTCTTTTTGAGATAGGGTCTGGCTCTGTCATCCAGGCTGGAGTGCAATGGTGCGATCTCGGTTCACTGTAACCTCCACCTCCCGAGCTCTAGTCATTCGCCCACCTCAGCCTCCTGAGTAGCTGCGTCTATAGGTGTGCCACCATGCCCAGCTAGGTTTTGTATTTTTTGTAGAGACACGGTTTTGCCTTGTTGCCCGGGATGGTCTGGAACTCCTGAGCTTAAGCGATCTGCCCACCTCAGCCTCCCCAAGTACTGGGATTACAGGCATGAGCCACCACACCTGCCCCACTTGAACAAGGTTCCAAAAATAAGCAAAATTACATTATAGTGTTCGACATCAAGACAGTGGTTACCCTGGGCAGTAGGTGGGTGGGGAGTGACTGAAAGCATCTGAGGTGATTTCCTTTCTTGACCTGATAGCATAGATGTACTCAATTTATGAAAATTCATCCAGCCATACACTTATGGTTTGTATATTTTTTTGTATATATGTCATTCCTCCACAAAAAATTTCAAAAACGTTTTAAAAATGTCATATTGTGGCCAGGTGCAGTGGCTCATACCTGTAATCTTAGCACTCTGGGAGGCCGAGGCAGGCAGATCACCTGAGATGAGGAGTTCAAGACAATCCTGTCCAACATGGTGAAATCCCATCTCTACTAAAAATGCAAAAATTAGCCAGGTATGGTGGCGGGCACCTGTAATCCCAGCTACTTGGGAGGCTGAGGCAGGAGAATTGCTTGAACCCAGAAGGTGGAGGTTGCAGTGAGCCGAGATCATGCCACTGCACTCCAGCCTGGGTGATAAGAGTGAAACTCTGTCTCAAAAAAAAAAAAAATGTCATATTATGTATTGGGGACACCTATTTTTTCTATGTAAAACTAAGACAAAAAGCACTGTACTGAGAAAAATATACTTTTTCTGGAGTTTAAGTTTTAAAATGAAAAGCGGTTCCACTGGAAGATGTTAACAGGAGGACATTCTGCAGAGAATGCCTTCAATTTTCTCAAGGCATCTCATTTCCGCTTTCTCACAGCTATTGACAGAAGATTTTGTAGGTAGGAGATGCTCAACATTAGTGGGAGAAGAGATAGCCACATAGGATACTGGGCTATCTGTCCCAATCCTCACAGGAGGGAAAAGAACTGGAGTAGGTTCTTTTTTTTTTGAGATGGTGTCTTGCTCTGTCGCCCCAGCTGGAGTGCAGTAACGCAATCTCGGCTCACTGCAGCCTCTACCTCCCGGGTTCCAGCAATTCTCCTGCCTCAGCCTCCTGGGCGCCTGCCACCACACTGGCTAATTTTTGTATTTTTAGTAGAGACAGGGTTTCACCATGTTGGCCAGGCTGGTCTCGAACTCCTGACCTCAAGTGATCCGCCTGCCTCGGCCTCCCAAAGTGCTGGGATTACAGGCGTGAGCCATTGCGTCCAGCCATGGAGCAGGTTCTTGGATGAAGCTCTGGTAAGCAGGAAGTTTCAGAATAAAGAATGAATCTATATACATGATACAGAAATTGACAGTATTTCGAAAAGGACAGAGAAACATTAACTTACATGGGCCATGGTTTTAGAACTGCAAAAACTGGTCAGTCCTTTTCAAGATTTCTCTGTTGGAGAACTATGGAGTCCTGATAAGCCAGAGCTGAAAGAAGAAAAAGAAACCATGAAATAAGCTGCGCCACAGAGCTCCCAAAATGATGTACATCATAAATATGAAAACTTTTTTCTCTTCCATTCCTTCTCCCAAACTACTTCCATTGGCTTTTCCAAAGTACCACCCACCACTATGCCCATCCCTATCCTATACCCACATATAACTGGGGAAAAGTATAGGGAGTCTAAAGAGAAACAAGCTCTGGCCGGGCACGGTGGCTCTCGCCTGTAATCTCAGCACTTTGGGAGGCCAAGGCAGTTGGAGCACCTGAGGTCGGGAGTTCGAGACCAGCCTGACCAACATGCAGAAACCCTGCCTCTACTAAAAATACAGAATTAGCTGGGCGTGGTGGCACATGCTTGTAATCCCAGCTACTCGGGAGGCTGAGGCAGGAGAATCGCTTGAACCCAGGAGGCGGAGGTTGCGGTGAGCTGAGATTGCGCCATTACACTCCAGCCTGGGCAACAAGAGCAAAAAAGAAAGAAATACAAGCTCTGAAGAAATAGGTGACAAATGATGAACTTGGTGTAGAAGCCTAGCTACTTCTGCAAGAGGATTTCTGACCAGGTCGCCCTCTAGCAATGTGGATCTGGTCCAGACACTGGATTACTCAGATTTGTTCTGAGCAGCTCCTCCTCACTCTAGGACAACTTTTCAGGACTGAGAAGGGCCCTGAATCCTGCCCCTAGAATCCTGCCTGAACTACCTAAACACAGCAACTAAAAGACCACACAGATTGAACCTGGCAGCTTCTGCCAATGTGAGGCTACCCTTGCCTTCCCCAGCCAGGAAAGCTCGCCACTCCAGTTTTCCAATCAGGGCCTCCCATACCATGACATCCTTCACCACTCCTTCTCTTTTATTGATTAATTTTTTTTTAGATGGAATTTCACTCTGTCACCCAGGCTGGAGTGCAATGGCACGATCTCAGCTCACTGCAACCTCCATCTCCCGGGTTCAAGTGATTATCCTGCCTCAGCCTCCTGAGTACAGGTACATGCCACCACGCCCAGCTAATTTTTATATTTTTATATTTTTAGTAGAGACGGGGTTTCGCCATGTTGACCAGGCTTGTCTTGAACTCCTGACCTCAGGTGATCCGCCCGCCTCGGCCTCCCAAAGGGCTGGGATTACAGGCGTGAGCCACCGTGCCCGGCCCCACTTTCCTTTTAGTATCCAAGCTGGGGACAGAAGGGATTCATGATTCCTGCAGTTGGTCAACAATATTCATTGAGAACCTCTATGTGTTGGGTACTTCATACACATTGTCAGTTGTCCTCGGTACTGTTCTGCAATGTAGTGCTCTCCTTTTAATAGCTCAGGAAACTAATGCCCAGGGGTCAAATCAGTTAAGTTGCCAACATTTGTTTTGAATCTACATTTCTCTAACTAAAAAGCCCGTTTCTTTTTTCTTTTTTTGGTTTTGTTTTTTTTGTTTGTTTTTGCAGACAGAGCCTTGTTCTGTCACCCAGGCTGAACTGCAGTGGCATGACCATGGCTCACTGTAACCTCTGCCTCCAGGGTTCAAGCGTTTCTCCTGCCTCAGTCTTCCAAGTAGCTGGGATTACAGGCGCCTGCCACTACGCCCGGCTAATTTTTATATTTATAGTAGAGACAGGGTTTCACCATGTTGCCCAGGCTGGTCTCGAACTCCTGACCTCAATTGATCCACCCGCCTCAGCCTCCTAAAATGTTGGGATTACAGGCGTGAGCCACCACACCCAGCCTAAAAGCCAGTTTCTCTTTCAACTCAGGTATTTGTCTCTGAAGCAAGGATTTCTACTTCACCAGGAGAAATCTGATCATCAGCAATTCACTAAAAAAAAGAGGAATAACTAACAGTAGGTTTTGTTTTGTTTTGTTTTTTCAAAAACACGGTCTCACTCTGTTACCCAGGCTGGACTACAGTGGCATGATCTTGGCTCACAGCAGCCTCGACCTCCCGGGCTCAAGCAATCCTCCCACCTCAGATTCCCAAGCAGTTGGGACTATAGTTGGGCACCACCATGCCCAGCTAATAATCTTTCAAAAAATGCTAAATCTCAGAAGATAGCAAAATAGTTCTTTCCATCTATGGTCCACCTGCAGAAACATCAGTTTGAGCAATTATCCATCAACAAAAATGCCTTCACAATAGCTAAGGCAACCAGGTGAGAGATCGCAGTACTGGGTTGTAGCACAATAATAAGAAAAGAAGCATTGAAGAGTGCAGGAAGGACGGCTCGACATTACCCATGTCACCCCTCCCCAGCTCAAGGCAGCACAGTGTAGACAGAGGTATTGCCCACTTGGGGAAAAGTCAGGGAAGTGAGCACAGAACTTTGCCTGTTCCCTAACACCAGGCCCGCCATAGTAAAACCCAGCAACAGGGAGACTCCCAACCCCAGACTCCAGGCCAGTAGCCACAGACTGACCCTCTAGACCTGCTCTGGCATCAGGAAAGATCATGCAGCCCAGGCTTCAGGCTTGCATGATGAACTCCATCTCCAGGCTGCCACCACCATCAGGCTGACATCAGAGGCCCTGGGCTCCAACAGCCCTTAGCAACAGGCAAGCCTCAGTGGCCTCTGCAATCAGGCACATAACAGTATGGCACCAGTCACAGTGGTCTCAGGCTTTGAGCGTGCCCCAGCACTGCACCAGCCAGAGTGGCCCTGGGCTTGGGGCATGCTATGTGCAACACCAGAGAATGTGGTTCCAGCCTTTTGGAGCATCCCAGCACTATACCCACCGTAGCAGCCCCAGCCTTAAGGACCAAACCAGACAGGCTGCCCAGAACCACTGCATGGGCTATTGATGGGCTTTCCCAGATGAACCTCATTCTGCAAAGACTGGAATAAATACACAGTCCTTTCAAGTGTGCAGACATCAGTGCACGGTCACAAAGATCAACAACAATCAGGGAAACATGACATCGTCAATAGGACAACATAAAGTGCCAGTGATTGACTCTAAAGAAATGGAGATGTCTGAACTGCCTGATAAAGAATTAAAACAGGCTGGGCACAGTGGCTCACACTTGTAATCCCAGCACTTTGGGAGGCCGAGGCAGGCGGATCACGAGGTCAGGAGATCGAGTCCATCCTGGCTAACACGGTGAAACCCCATCTCTACTAAAAAATACAAAAAAATTAGGCGGGCATGCTGGTGGGTGCCTGTAGTCCAGCTACTCGGGAGGCTGAGGCAAGAGAATGCCATGAACCCAGGAGGCGGAGCTTGAAGTGAGTCAAGGTCGCGCCACTGCACTCCAGCCTGGGCGACAGAGCGAGACTCTGTCTCAAAAAAAAGGAAAGAATTCAAATAACTGTTTTAAGGAAGTTCAGTGAACTTCAAGAAATACAGAGAACTTTAAAAAGTGAGAAAAACAATATGTGATCAGAATGAGAAATTAAATAGATTGAAATAATTTTTAAAATCAAACATAAATTCTGGAGCTGAAAAATACAATGAAGGAAATTTTGAAAATGCAAGACAGAACATCAACAGCAGAATTGACCAAGCAGAGGAATGAATCTGTAAACCTGAAGACAAGTTATCTAAAAATATACAGTTGGATGGAAAAAAGGATGAAAAGAAATGCAGAAAGTTTATAGGATTCATGGGACAGCATCAAAATAGCAAATATTTGAGCAGTAGGAGTTAAAAAGGGAGAAGAGAAAGATAAACAAGTAGAAAGCTTATTTAAAGAAATAACAGCAGGCACAGAGGCTCATGCCTATAATCCCAGCACTTTGGGAGGCCAAGGTGGGATTACTTGAGTCCAGGAGTTTGAAACCAGCCTGGGCAACATAGCGAGACTCATCTCTACAAATAATTTTTTAAAAATAAGCCAGGTATTGTTGCATGTGCCTGTAGTTCCAGCTACATGGGCGGCTGAAGCAGAAGGATCACTTGGACCCAGAAGTTCAAGGTTGCAGTGAGCTATGATCATGCCACTACACTCCAGCCTGGGCAACAGAGTGAGATGAAAGGAAAGGAAGGGAGATAAGAAGGAAGGAGGGATGGAGGGAGGGAGGGAGGGAAGGAGGGAAGGAAGGAAGGAAGGAGAAAGAAAGAAAAAAGAGAGGAAAGAAAGAAAAAGAAGAAAGGAAGGGAGGGAGGTAGGGAGGAAAGGAGGAAGGAAGGAAGGAAGAAAGGAAGGAAGGAAGGAAGGAAAAAAGAAAGAGGAAAGAGAAAAAAAGAGTAGCAAAAAACTTTCCAAACCTGGGGAAAGGTAAGTATCCAGGTATGGCCCAAAGTTAGAAGGAAGAAAATAATAAAGATTAGGGCAGAAATAAATGACACAGACCAGAAAGCCAATAGAAAGAATCAATAAAATTAAGAGTTTTTTTTTTGAAAAAAGAAAAAACCCACAAAATTGACAAACCTAACTAAGCTATACTAACCAAGAGAAAACAGAAAATATTGAAAATATTCAAATAAAACTAGAAATGAAAAAGGAGACATTACAACTGATACAACAGAAATAGAAGAGACTATTATGAACAAACATACACCAGAAAATTGGATAACCTAAAATAAATGATTAATTCCCTGACACATACAACCTACCAAGATTGAATTATGAAGAAATAAAAAATCTGAACAGGCTGGGCATGGTGGCTCATGCCTGTAACCCCAACATTTTGGGAAGCCAGTCATTATGACAAACAGTATGGAGAGGCCTCAAAAAACTAAAAATAGAACTACCATATGATCTAGCAATCACACTACTGTATATATCCAAAGGAAATGAAATCAGAATGTCAAAGAGATCTCTGCACTTTCATGTTTATTATAGCATTATTCACGATGGCCAACACATGGTGTCCATCAATGGATGAATGGACAAAGAAAATCTGCTATGTAAATAAAATGTAATACCATTCAGCTATGATAAAGAAACAAAACCTGTCATTTGTGACAACACAGATGAATCTGGAAGGACGTTATGTTAAGTGAAATAAGCCAGAAACAGAAAGATAAACACCACGTGATCTCATTCATAAGTGGAATCTTAAAAAGTTGATCTCGACCAGGCGTGGTGGCTCACGCCTGTAATCCCAGCACTTTGGGAGGCCGAGGCGGGAGGATCACCTGAGGTCGGGAGTTCAAGACCAGCCTTACCAACATGGAGAAACCCTGTCTCTACTAAAAATACAAAATTAGCCGGGCATGGTAGCACACGCCTGTAATCCCAGTTACTCAGGAGGCTGAGGCAAGATAATCACTTGAACCCGGGAGGCGGAGGTTGTGGTGAGCCGAGATGGCGTCATTGCACTCCAGCCTGGGCAACAAGAGCAAAACTCCGTCTCAAAAAAAAAAAACAAAAAAACAACCAAACAAACAAACAAACAAAAACAACTTAATCTCATAGAAGTAGAGAGTAGAATGGTAGTTACCAGAATCTGGGGTAGTTGGGGGTGGGGGGAAATGGCAAGGTTGAGGAGATGTTGGTCAAACGATACAAAATTTCAGTTACATAGGAGGAATAAGTTCAAGAGATCTATTATACAACATGGTGATATAGTTAACAATATATTGTATTACTGAAAAAAGCTAAGACCTGTAAAGTGTTCTCACCACAAAAATGGTAACTATGTAAAAGGTAATTCATATGTTAATTAGCTAGATTTAGACATTCCACAATGTATATATACTTTAAAACACCATGATGTACATGATAAATACATGTAATTTTATCTGTCAAAAAATAATTTTAATACTAAAGCTCGGTATTAAGAAAATGACCAGCCTGGGCAACATAGTGAGACCTTGTCTCTACAAAAAAATTTTAAAAATTAGCCGGGCATGGTAGCGTGCACCTGTAGTCTCAGCTACCAGGAGGTTGAAGCAGGAGGATGGCTTGAGCCTGGGAAGCAGAGGTTGCAGTGAGCTGAGATGATGCCACTGCACTCAAGCCTGGGCAACAGAGTAAGACCCCATCTCAAAAAAAAAAAAAAAGAAAAAAATGAAAGAAAAAAGAACAGAAAAAAATGAAAGAAAAAAGAAAAGAAAAAAATGAAAGTTAAAGCAAACAAAATGTACCTTTTTACAATGACTGCATTGCAAGACCTAAAAGACTGATGATGCCCTATAGTAGCAAGGTTGTGGGGACACCGACACTAGGTCGGTCCACATTTAGAGCTATGTGAAGCAGCATTTCAATCCTGTAAACTCTGAATCAGAAGCTCCACTTCTGACACTAAAGGGACTGTATCTGTACATAAAGATTATGCAGAGCTATGGCCGGGGCAGTGGCTCACACCTGTAATCCCAGCACTTTGGGAGGCCAAGACAGGCGGATCACCTGAGGTCAGGAGTTCAAGACCAGCCTGGCCAACATGGTGAAACCCTCTCTCTACAAAAATACAAAAATTAGCCGGGCATGATGGCAGGTGCCTGTAATCCCAGCTACTCGGGAGGCTGGGGCAGAAGAATCGCTTGAACCCAGGAGACGGAGGTTGCAATGAGCCGATGTCGTGCCGTTGCACTCCAGCCTGGGTGACAGAGGGAGACTCTGTCTCAAAAAAAAAAAAAAAAAAGAAAAGAAAAAAGATTATGCAGAGCTATGCTGACAGCATGGTTTATAATGAATTAATGGATTAAAGTTGAAAAGAACCTAATTTCGGAATGATTCAATAACCTGTTGTTTATCCATACCATTGAAAATGATGCAACCATTAAAAATGATGTTGCCTTAATTTTGAATGGGTGAAGCCAGTGTGTTAAAAAAAGAAAATACCAGCATGTGTAGTGTGAAACTATTTTGACAGAAAAAAAAATCATGTTTCCCTAGCAGGACCAGTTAAAATGTTTACAGTCACAGCCAGCAACACGCACCACCACATTAAACAGAGTGTGAGCCTGAAATACCCAAATACTTCAAATAAGACTTTCCCGGCTCAAGTTCTTTCAGTCTTCCTTTTAACTGAGAAAAAAAGCTAAGGATACTGTAAAAACAGATGCTGTTTTTTCTGAGTGGCTTTTTTTTTTACTTCGGCTTCTCATTCATGAACCAACTCTATGATTTAATTTGCCCATGTGTGTTGGAGTACGGCCTAGAAAAGAATGGCAAAAAGTCTCTGACTGATGTCTTCTAAGCACTGAAGGCAGCCCCATGCTGCTTCCTTTCACATCTTCCTGATAAACAGGTTTATTTTGCTTCTGAACCAGTTCTTTTGGCTAAGATGCCTATGAAGCCCTCCAGCAGATGTTGGGTCTCCTTGACCAACTGGTCTCACTTTGCATATAACATCATTAAAATAAAAACTGTAAGGCATACATCTGTATGAAACCCAGTTACCTCCATAAAGACCCTGTAGCTTCAGTATAATCTGGACAAAACTTGACAGTGTGTGCCATCATGAGATTGATATCTCTTCCCTTCATCGTGAGATTGCTGAATAAAGCAGGAAGGAATTTTTTTTTTTTTTTTTTTTTGAGACAAGGTCTTGCTTTGCCACCCAGGCTGGAGTGCAGTAGCACGATCTCGGCTCACCACAACTTCCACCTCCTGGGTTCAAGCGATTCTCCTGCCTCAGCCTCCCGAGTAGCTGGGATTACAGGCGCATGCCACCACACCCAGCTAATTTTTGTATTTTCTTTTTTTTTTTTTTTTGAGACGGAGTCGTGCCCAGGCTGGAGTGCAGTGGTGCGACCTCGGCTCACTGCAAGCTCCGCCTCCCGGGTTCACGCCATTCTCCTGCCTCAGCCTCCCGAGTAGCTGGGACTACAGGTGCCCGCCACCATGCCCGGGTAATTTTTTGTATTTTTAGTAGAGATGGGGTTTCACCGTGTTAGCCAGGATGGTCTCGATCTCCTGACCTCGTGATCTGCCCGCCTCGGCCTCCCAAAGTGCTGGGATTACAGGCGTGAGCCACCGCGCCCCGCCTAATTTTTGTATTTTCAGTAGAGATGGGGTTTCGCCATTTTGGCCAGGTTGGTCTTAAACTCCTGACCTCGGGTAATGCACCTGCCTTGGCCTCCCAAAGTGCTGAGATTACAGACATGAGCCACCGCGCCCGGCCAGATTTTTTTTTTTAAGTATGCATAATGATGATATTTGGTATACTGTTGTAATTACCAATATATGCTTTTATTTTTCTGCATGATATTAGACAGGTTACTTTCCAGTTCCCCATATGAAATGGTGAGAACTACAGTTTCTACCTGAAAGGATTGTTATGAGAAATAAATAAGATACTACATATAAGGCACTTAGAGTAGTAAATAAGCATTTCATAAAAGTCAGCTATATTAATAAAGATGAAGAATACTACATATGCTTCTTCCCACAATTATTTTTAAAATTCTACTCAGGCCTGTAATCCCAGCACTTTGGGAGGCCAACACAGGCGGATCACTTAGATCAGGAGTTCAAGACCAGCCTGGCCAACATAGTGAAACCCCATCTCTACTAAAAATATAAAAATTAGCCAGGCATGGTGATGCATGCCTGTAACCCCAGCTACTTGGGAGGCTGAGGTAGGAGAATGGTTTGAACCTGGGGCGGGTGGCTGCAGTGAGCCAAGATCGTGCCACCGCACTCCAGCCTGGGTGACAGAGCAAAACTCTGTCTCAAAAAAAAAGAAAAAAAAAAAATTCTTCGCAGCCCTGCTCTTGATAGGCAATCCTTCTTGATTATCAACAATTTACAAAAGGAGGGTACAAAGATAAAACAAATGTGGTAGGATACCAATTTTTGGATCTGGGTGATGAGGAAAAATATTAAATTACAACCTAACGGTAACAAATCTACTGTGCACTTATTATGTGCCAAGCATTAGCTAAGGGTTTTGCATATATTAATTCCTCTACTCAGAGCCATCCTATATAGCAGGGTCTATCATTATCCTCATTTTGCAGATGATGAAACTGTGGCACAAAGAGATTAAATAAATTGCCCCAAGCTCAGGCAGCTTTAAGTGGCAGGTTGAGGACTAGAACCCCCCTACTTTAGCTCCATAACCCATACGACTGTCACTGTACTAAACTGCATCTCATGAGACCTGATAAATACGTGGCCTGAAACACTCATGCTGTCAAAAACTTCAAGCCACTTTCCAAATTTCTACTGTCTTCCCTTCCCTTCTAATAACCCCTTCCCTTGTTAACACAGACCTCTCCACTAAAAACCCCATCGTATTGTCACTCCTTAAAAGCCTCAAAAGCAGAAAAGATCCTGTCGCCAATCAAACCACCTCCTTTCCCTGCTTTTGAACTCAGGGCGGTGGGGATCAAAGAGACCTAGTGGGTAATTCCATCTAAACTGTAAACTCCTCAACTAATCACCATCGAATGAAAGTTCTACGTGGTGGCTCACGCCTGTAATCTCAACACTTTGGGAGGCTGAGGTGGAAGAATTCCTTGACTCCAGGAGTTCAAGATCAGCCTGTGCAACATAAGGAGACCTCATTTCTACAAAAAAATTTAAAAATTGCGCGTGGGACCACGTGCCTGTGGTCTCAGCTACTCAAGAGGCTGAGGTGGAAGGATCGCTTGAGCCAGGGAGGTCCAGGCTGCAGGGAGCGAGATCACTTCACTGCACTCCAGCCTGAGGGACAGAGTGAGACCCTGTCTCTAAAAAAAAAAAAAAAACTTAAGTAACAAAATAAAGCTCTGCAGTTAGCTTCTCTTCAGGAGGTTTACTTCCAGACCATCCAAATGATTAGAAAGAGGCAGCTCATAAGAGAAACTAAATTACTGCCAAATGCTCATGTCAATACCTACTGGAGGCCGGGTGCGGTGGCTCATCCCTGTAGTTCTAGCTACTTGGCAGGCTGAAGCAGGAGAATCCTGCTTGAACCCGGGAGGCGGAGGTTTCAGTGAGCACATCGTGCCACTGCACTCCAGCCTGGGTAACAGACCCAGACTCCATCTCAAAAAATACAAAAAAAAACAAAACAAAACAAACCTACTGGAAAGGGGTAGGAATTGGAATCTACCTTCATCACCCCATCATTCACTGGGAAGGAAGGCCAAAGCACCAGGTCAGTGGACAGGACATTTCAGGGGTTAAAGTCTAACTAGCTGAAGATTAACTGGAACAAGCCCGCATAGTCTGACAAAATCATATCTATTGACTGGCAGAAAGGGAGAAAATTCCACAGGAAGGGTTGGAATAGAATGGACGAGAGAGACGAGAAAAGCTCTTTCGTAAACGGTTGAGTTCCAGCTGAAAGATTCTAAGGAGGATCTAATGACAGCTGCAATCTGGAATGGCTGCTGTTTCCGAGGTGAGATTAGGAGAGGCAGGGATTAATGAGATATTGAATGCAATCATGAGTGTAATCAAGAGGGTATCCCCAGTAATAAAATGAAAACAGCAAAGCAAGTCTAGAACATCACTGGTAAGAAAACTGTAATCTCTCAAAGAGGGAGTCATTATGCCATTTTACAACTACTGCACCACCTGGGGAGAAATCATGTTTTCTATTAATTTTGCAACTGGCTTTATCTGTCTCTTCCTTCCTAGCCTGATTAATGACAGAGCTGCTTCATTGTTCAGTCCGAGCTGATTTTCATTCCACAGAAGAGGAAAGCAAATGCCCCCACGCCCAGAAAAAATAAAAATTACACTTCATGGAACAAAACGGAAACACAAACTCATCTGGATGTTGACTTGTCTATATGCAACAGCAATCATTTCCTCCTCTCCCCGCTGCCTTCCTAAAGAACAGCAGGATTGGGAAAGGAGACGGGAATCTTGAGACCGCGGGCCTTTCCTGGAGCCGGCCTTGGCTGAGCAGGACACACCCCCGCTAGCGCACTTGCTCCCTCCGTCTACTGCGCGCAAAACCCGATGGAAATAACAGGGAGCCTGGAATAAAGCTGACCCTTTCCCGTATCAGAGCGAAAGGCCAGGTACACGAAGACGGGGCTGGGATCTGTCTCCGAGTTCCCCGCAGTTTCCATGGGAGGGAGCTCGGGTAAAGCTGTGCAATCTGCAGTTCTTCAGACTGCGTCTTTTTGTTTGGGGGCCTTCATTCACTCCGGGGTTCCTGTATCTAACTCGGAGCCATTCCGGGCCGCTGGACCTGGGCGGCTCTGAAGCGAGAAGGCAGAGGACGCAACAGGGCACCCGGCGCCCAGTCAGCGCCACAAACTCCACAGCTACTGCCTCCTGGCTCACACTGAGGTCTGCGCCGCCCCCGCGCCACCCCCGCGCCCATTGCCTCGGTGCAAGCGACCAACTCACCTCTCGGAGCCGACACCAGCAGCGAAGCCGGAAAGAACTGCGAGCGGAGGCCTGTGGGAAATGTAGTCCGCCGATGGGAGGGACTGGTTCCAGCCCCAACGGGCTGCGCGGAGTGCGCATGCGCGGGGGCCGGAGCCCCGGGTGCGCTCGGGGCGGGAAGGCCCTCCGCGCTGCGTGGGGCTGAGGCGAGCTCGGGCTTGCGTTTGCTTTTGTCGCTGAGGAAGACTTTTATTTGTTTATTTTCTTGAGACAGGGTCTTACTCTGTCGCCCAGGCTGGAGTGCAGTGGCGTGATTAGAGCTCACTGCAGCCGCGACCTCCCGGGCTCAAGCGACCCTCCCACCCGAGCCTCCAGAGTAGCTGGGACTGCAGGCGCGCGCCACCACGCCCAACTCATTTTTTAAGTTTTTATAGAGACCAGATCTCCCTATGTTACCCAAGCCGGTGTCGAACTCCTGGGCTTAAAAGATCCTCCCGCCTGAGCCTCCCAAAGTGCTGGGACTACAGGCGTGAGCCACCAGGCTCAGCCGCGGAGGATTTAGAAAGAAGTTTTGGCACCAGCAGATGCCTAATATGTGTACTAAACACCTACCAGTTACTCACTGCATACACCCAAGCAAGGTGTGGGCACACATCAGGCATGCAATGAAAATACTCTCAAAGCCCACCAGAACCTGGAGCAGGACGTAAACCTAGAAAGGTCGCTCGTGCTCACTGCCCTCTCCCTTTCTCCCACTCTGTCTCTGTCTCTGTGTGTGTGTGTGTGTGTGTGTGTGTGTGTGTGTGTGTGTGTGTCTCGTATCTCCTGCAGTTGTGAATGTATTGTTCTACTAAAAATACAAAAAATTAGCCGGGCGTGGTCGCGCGCGCCTGTAATCCCAGCTACTCAGGAGGCTGAGGCAGGAAAATCGCTTGAACCCGGGAAGCGGAGGTTGCATTGAGCTGAGATCCGCCATTGCACCCCAGCTTGGGCAACAAGAGCGAAACTCCGTTTCAAAAGAAAAAGACTAACTGGAGAGGTCTGTCTCCAATGAGACTGAATTTGTCCTGTCCTGCGTTCCTTCAGGAAAGAAATGGGATAAGCCCACCAGGGACCACCCTGAGGCATCTTCTGTATCCCAAATTCTTTGATATATTAGTTAATACATGAAAGAATTTGTTCTTTCCTTAAGAATATAAAACTTTAGAAGATATTTGAAAATGCCTCGGCAATCTGGTTTCATTTTGCAAACAATAGGATATGCATGAAATAGGAGATAAATGAAAAATCTGAGCTACTTTATAACTACTAAGAAGGTGGCCAGACGCGGTGGCTGACGCCTATAATCCCATCACTTTCGGGGGGCCGAGGCGGGTGGATCACCTGAGGTCAGGGGTTTGAGACCAGCCTGGCCAACATGGTGAAACCCCGTCTCTACTAAAAATACAAAAAAATTTAGCTGGGCATGGTGACGCACACCTGTAGTCCCAGCTACTCGGGAGGCTGAGGCAGAAGAATCGCTTGAACCAGGGAGACGGAGGTTGCAGTGAGCCAAGATCGTGCAGCTGCACTCCAGCCTGGGCGACAGAGCAAGACGCCGTATCAAAACAAAAACGAAAACAAAACAAAACAAAAAAAACTACTAAGAAGGCCGAAGGCCCAAAGTATTTTTTTAATTCAAAATCACGGTCCTATGTACATGTTTACAATTAAATTTATGTAAGGAAATCAACACTCCATTAAAAAAACAATAAAAAGAATTATTAAAATAGCTCCTCCATATTCTCTGTTTTGACTAAGTTTTTTTTTTTTTGAAACAAAGTCTTGTTCTGTCACCCTACCTGGAGTGTGGTGGCACAATACTGTCTCACTGCAACCTCAGCCTCCCAGGTTCAAGGGATTCTCCTGCCTCAGCCTCCTGAGTAGCTGAAATGACAGGTGCCCACCACCACGCCCAGCTAATTTTTTGTATTTTTAGTGGAGACGGGGTTTCACCACGTTGGCCAGGCTGGTCTCAAACTCCTGGCCTCAAGTGATCCGCCTGCCTCAGCCTCCCAAAGTGCTGGGATTACAGGCTTGAGCCACTACACCTGGCCTCGTTTTGACTAAGTTTTGAGGCCTTCTGACACTAGGGGCTAAATTCTTCACACCCTCTCTGGTGAGGAGACTGCTGGTGAAGATAACTAACTGTAGGTCATTTTCCTTGTCCAACAGCCCCAGAGAATTAACGCCTGACTTCACTGAGGTACGATGGAGGGATTTTTGGAAAGGGCCCTGCTCTGCTCTGTGTCAAATGATGGGGCACTTGGTCCAATATCATGCTCACTGACCTTCTGAAATAGGATTTTCTTCAGATTGTTTCTCATGTCGTTTAGTTTGAAAAAAGCGATTTGGACCTTCAATTCATCATAATCATGCAGAATAAGAGCATTTCTTTCAGAGAGTTTCATTTCTTTTCTTAGTATCTAAATCTGTACTATTAATATTTTCAGTTGCCTCTCAGACATCCGCAGTTTCTCTTAGTAGGAAAAAAAAAAAAAAACCCACGTGTCAAATGCTCCATCATTTGACACAGAGCAGTGTCCTTTGTAAAAAACCCTTCCATTGTACCTCTAAAACCTGTCATTCTAACCTTTTTGTTGTTCTTATTAACAGTTCATGGACAGGCACGGTGGCTCAAGCCTGTAATCCCAGCACTTTGGGAGGCTGAGGCAGGCAAATGGCTTGAGCCCAGAAGTTTTAAGACCAGCCTGGGTAACATGGGGAAATCCCGACTCTACAAAAAAATACAAAAATTAGCCAGGCATGGTGATGCACATCTGTAATTCCAACTACTCAATTTTTTTCATATATATATATATATATATATACACACACACACATATATATCATATGTATATGATTTTAGTAACTTTGAAATCATAAAAACTAAAGATGCCTCAGCAGGAATTAAATCCATGTTATTTCTCAATATATTTCTGGAGTCTTCATTTATTCCAAAACTATATCTTGTGGATGTACTTCACATTAAGTTTGCAGATTGAGAAAGTGGCCCAACATATACCAAACCTTGTGTTTTAATCATTTGTGGTAATATCGTATAATTTATGACCTCAACTTTTGTTAAATACCTTCATGGCAAAGGCACTATCAGAAGCTGCTGCAAAACCTCACACCATCAGCACTGGTGAAGGAGAAAGCCGTTGCTTTCTGCTTTCTTCTGTCTTCCTAATCTTGCATGAGTTTATCTCACTGGAAGAACATAGATCACATCTGGAATTCTAGAGGCAAGAGGGTCTAAAAATTGTAGTGCTGAGGCTTCCAGCCTCTGTAGCACAAAAAAGAGCATGGGGCACAGAAGAATACTTATAACAAAACAACAACAACAAATGATATCCAGCACACTTGGTTTTTTAAACAATTTTTTATTTTTATTTTTTAGAGATGAAGTTTCATCTCGTCACCCAGGCTGGAGTGCAATGGCGCAATCTCAACTCACTGCAACCTCTGCCTCCCAGGTTCAAGCGATTCTTCTGCCTCAGCCTCCCAAGTAGCTGGGACTACAGGTGCGTGCCACCATGCCTGGCTAATTTTTTTTTTTTTTTTTTTTGTATTTTTAGTAGAGACGGGGTTTCACTATGTTGGCCAGGCTGGTCTCGAACTCCTGACTTCAGGTGATCCACCCACCTCGGCCTCCCAAAGTTCTGGGATTACAGATGTGAGCCACTGTGCCCAGCCGGTTTTTTAAACAATTTAATATCATCATTTAAAATTTGGCTTTTTTCTCAAAATTTCTCAAAAAAAAAAAGAAAAAAAATTTGTTTTGCTACCCCAATGCTAGAAAGATACTCTACATTTTCTCCTGAAGCCCTTCTTGCTTTACCTTTTACGATTAGATCACTCATGCATCTGGAATTGATTTATGTATAGTGTGAGGTAAGGGTCAAGACGAATTTTTTATCAAAACAGATACACAACTGATCCAGTGCTTTTTATTGAAAAGACCACCATTTCCCAACCACATGGCCGAGGAAACTTTATCACAAATTAGACAACCACATATATATAGAGAGAGAGATCTACTTCAGGGCTCTTTATTTTGTTCCATTGGTCTATTTGTTCATTCTTGCTCATCGAACATTCTGGTTCATTCTAACATACCTGCCTTAATGACTACAGTACAACTTGTCACATTAACAAACTCAAGGAGAAAAACATCATATCAATGAGCCAAAAAGGCATCTGACTATATTTAGCAGATATTTCTAATAAAAAAAAAAGTTAAACAAGAACTGAGACAACTGAGCTACAAAATCTATTTATCTCAGACCTAGAGTAAACATTACACCAAGTAATTTTCATTAAATTGGAGAAAATGACCAGATGCCTGGTATCACCATGAATACTAAACCTTGTTTTGGAGACTCTATTACAATAACAATAATTTAAAAAATAATCACTATATTTAGAAAAAAACAAAATTATATCTATTTGCAGTTGACACACCTGATTGCCTAGAAAACCAAGAGTCTAGTAAAAAATAAAATTTAAAAGATTATTAGGTAATAATGAAAGCTATGATTGTATCCACATTTAACGTATTCATATGACAATATCAACATAAATACAATATGGGAGAAGGTAAGTCCATTTATAACAAAGGACTACTATCTAGAATTTTATTTTTTAAGAATCTTATAATTCTTATATTTTAAAAGCTTTTTTAAAGGAACACAGGCAAAGACATAAATTGGCAAGTTACAGCGTTTAGCCAATATTCAGATGTGAAAATATGCCCAATTCACTATTAACCAGGAAAATATTACTATGCATACCAGAAGTAAGGATATAAGGAAATAAGGAAAACATATTTCACTGGTTGAAGGGATTGTGCACTGGGAGCATACTGATGCTCTCTACTTCTATGACAGTATCTAGTGAGGTTGAAAGTAAATATTAACTATGACTGAGCAATCCTACTTTTGATAAATACCTTAGAGAAACTCTTGCTTATGTACAGTAATAAACACAGACCTATTCAATAAGGTATTTTTCACAGTGAGAAAATGCTTATCACCTAAATATTGATCAATAAGAAAGTTTAAATACATATAATGTATATATAAAAGATAGGACTAGTGGGCTTTCTATTCTATTGAAAAGTATCATTCAAAAAAAGCAAGCAGCTGGTTACAAAGCATGATGGGAGTTGCTTTCCTCACCATACCAGTAATCATACATCTGCCATAATGCTGACATTTTCATCTTCGAAGTCCTTTTGGTTATCGCAGCATCTGCCAAAGTAGAATCACATCTGCAATAGGTATTGGGAATGGGAGTTCTATGGTGAAGTCTGAATTACACTGAGTTAAATAAAATAAAACTCCATTTTCTTTCATATTGATAGGCACATAATGTGACTTTTTCCCCCAAGAAATATAGTACACAGAGCTCTCATACATGTTTCACAAAATCATTTCCTTCAAGTAGGATTAAGTACTAGTGTTCTGTGGAACATAGTTTCAGAAATTTTGAGTAAAGGTACTGTCTCCAGAAGACCTCTGTTAATGTGAAAATGTTACCTAAGAGGAGAAACACATTGTCCTATTAGCAAAACCTAATTTTATTATAGCACTTAAAATAGTCTTCTTCATGTTACATTTTACTGTTTACAAATTAAAAACCATGTGAAATCTTGGGTGGACAAGATGTATTATTCTAGATGATTAATGACTAATTAATGACATCTGCCCAATCTGAGCAAACTGGACTTGGAGGTACAAATCTTAATCTATGAATAGAGTGACATTACAGAGATTTGGTTAAAAATAAAGAGTTGTGGCAATACTTACTTTTATTTTGTGGAAGGTGCTGTGGTTTGAATGTGTCCCCCAAAGTTCATTTCCAAGTTTTTGGGAGAAACTTGATCCCCAATGCAACAATATTAAGAGGTGGGACTGTTAAGAGGTGATTAGGCCATGAGGAGTCTGCCCTTAGGAATGGATTAATGTTGTTACCACAGGAATGGGTTTGTTATCACGTGAGTGGGTTTCTTATAAAAGGGTGAGTTTGGCCCCTTTTGCTGGCTTGCTCTCTCTCTCACCCCCTTTGCCCTTCCGCCATGAGATGACACAGCAAGAGGCCACTCATAAGATGTCAGCCTGTCAATCTTGGGCTTCTCAGTCTCCAGAACCATGAGTCAATAAATTTCTGTTTGCTGTGGATTACTGAGTCTGTAGTATTCTGTTATAGCAACACAAAACAGACTAAGACAGAAAATTGGTACTGGAAAAGTACGCAGTTGCTATAATGAATAACTGAAAGTGTGGAAGTGGCTTTGGAACTAGGTAATGGGTAAGAGCTGAAAAAGTTTTGAACTGGATGTCAGAAAAAGACTATTGCTGTGGGTGGAATGTTAAAGGGTGATTCTGGTGAGGGCTCAGAAGAGCTGTATGGAAAGTCTGAAACTTTTTAGAGATTACTTCAGTGGTTGTGATCAGAATGTTGATAAATATAGGGATGGCAAAGGCAATTCTGGTGAGGTCTCAGCTGGAAATGAGAAACAAGGTATTGGAAACTGGAATAAAGGCCATCCTTATTAGAAATTAACAAAGAATCTGGCTGAATTTGTGTCCATGCCTTGGGCTTTATTGGAAGGCAGAATTTAAGAGCAATGAACTAATATGTGGTGGAAGAAATTTCTAAGGAAAATACTGAAAGAGCTACATGGCTTCTTTTAACTGCATATAGTAAGATGTGAGAGGTAGAAATGATTTAAAGATAAAACATAATTAAAAGGAAGGCAGAACAAAAAGATATGGAAAATTTGCAGCCTGGCCATTTATGAAGTGAAAAGGTGTGTTTAGGAGTGCAAACCAAGGTTGTATACCCAGAGACTGCTGAAAAGATTAGTATGAATAGAAGGAAGACAGGAGCTATCAAGACAGTGGGAGAATGACCCTGAAGGCATTCTGGCGCTCTTTGAGGCTGCCCCTTCCATCACAGACAGCATTCACTGGCTCATGCTGCCTCATGACTCTGCTTCCCACATGCCAGTAGAGTGCCCTTGGCTGCCCCAGCCATTGGTTCCTGCTGGCTCAGGTGTGGCTCAGCCTGCCACTGGGCATAAGCTGTAAGCTTGTGGTGGCAGCATCAATGTGGTGCTAATTTGGCAGGAGTGCAGAATGCAAGAGTCACGGGGGCATGGCTTCCTTCACTTAGATTTCAAAGGATGCCTTGGGTAGCCTGGGGGCCCAGTCAGATTTGTCCATGAGCAGAACCACTGCAGAGAGTCCCCACTAGGACAGTGCCTAATGGAGAGAGGCCATCCCCAAGACCCCAGAACTGAAGACCTACCAGTGTAAAACTCCAACCTGTGACAGATGCTCTATGGCATAAGCCCAGCAAAGCCATGGGGGCAAGGCTGTCTGAGAACCAGCCCCCACCCCAGTGTGTCCAAGTAGGTCATAGAGTTAAGGAAGGGTCTTCTGGAGCCTTAAGAGTTAATGTTGTTTGGCTGGGTGCGCTGGCTCACGCCTGTAATCCCAGCACTTTGGAGGCCGAGGCAGGTGGATCACCTGAGGTCAGGAGTTCAAGACCAGCCTGGCCAACATGGTGAAACCCCATCTCTACTAAAAATACAAAAATTAGCTGGGCATGGTGGCAGATGCTGTAATCCCAGCTACTCGGGAGGCTGAGGCAGGAGAATCGCTTGAATCTGGAGACAGAGGTTGCAGTGGGCCGAGATCACGCCATTGCACTCCAGCCTGGGTGACAGAGCGAGACTCCGTCTCAAAAAAAAGAGTTAATGTTGTTTGCACTGTTGGGTTTTGGACCTACTTGGGACCAGTTATCCCCTTTTTCTTCCCTATTTCTTTCAGAATAGGAATGTCTAGGCTATGCCTGTCCCACTGTTGTGTTTTGGGAGTAAATATCTTGCTTGATTTCATAGACTAACAGCTGGAGGAAAATTTGCCTCAGGATAAATCATGCCTTGTCTCACAATAGCTGATCTAGATGAGATTGAACTTCTGAGTTTGTGCTTGAAAGAGTTAAGACTTTGGGGCAATCAGAATGGAGTGTATGTATTTTGCATGTGAGAAGAACATGAATTTGGGAGGCCAGAGAAGCCACGCTATAGTTTGAATGTGTCCCCCAATGCTCACCCCCAAGTTTTAGGGAAAAACTTGATCCCCAATGCAATAGTATTAAGAGGTGGGACCTTTAAGAAGTGATTGGTCCATGAGGACTCTGCTTTCATGAATGGATTAATGCCATTATCACAGGAGTGGGTTCTTTATCAAAAGATGAGTTGGGCTCCCTCTTGCCCTCTCTCTCTCTTATCCTCTCTGCCCTTCTGCCATAAGATGACGCAGCAAGAAGGTCCTTATCAGATGCCAGCCTCTTAATGTTGGAATTCCTACCCTTCAGAACTGCGAGCCAATTTCTGTTCATTGTAAATTACCCAGTCTGTGGTATTCTTTCCTTTTTCTTGAGATGGAGTTTTGCTCCTGTTGCCCAGGCTGGAGTGCAATGGTGCAATCTCAGCTCACTGCAACCTCCACCTCCCAGGTTCAAGCAATTCTTTCTCAGCCTCCCAAGTAGCTGGGATTACAGGCATGCGCCACCATGCCTGGCTAATTTTGTATTTTTAGTAGAGATGGGGTTTCGCCATGTTGGCCAGGCTGGTCTCAAACTCCTAACCTCAAGTGATCCACCCGCCTCAGCCTCCCAAAGTGCTGGGATTCCAGGCGTGAGCCATCACACCCAGCCAGTATTCTTTTATAGGAACACAAAACAGACTAAGAAAAAAGGTAATAATTTTTGTGTTGAATTCCTATTTTTATATGTATTGTTCATTCCTTTTGTAAAGTCAATGAAACTAAGATAAATGAGAATAGAAACCATCTAAAAGATACTGTGACTGAATCATGTCATTTTTTGTAACATTGTTGCATTGTTCAAGTCAGGAAACCTAAAATCTGGATACATATTTAAATGAGAACAGGCCAGGCCCCAGGGTATTCCTAGTAAATCATTTTATGTTTTATAATTGTTTTAATTGACTATTGAGTTCAATTTACTGATACTTTTTTGCGAATGTTTGCATATATCTTAAGTAAAATTGGCCCACATTTTGCTTTTTAGGAGGTATTTATCCTCATCTAATTTTATATTGGGATATTTGCCTTATATAACGATCTAGTAAAATTTTGTTATGGGTTATATATTCTTTAAAGCTTTTTACTGCCTGTAAATCTATAGATTCTAGTTTTTAAAAAACAAGATCATAACTGTACATATTTTCCCCTTTATGGATTAGTTCAGGGTTTTTTTTTGGTATCTGGGGTCAACTTTGATCATTTAGGTTTCTCTAGATTGAAACATATTGAAATATATGTATATAGTAATACTGAAACATTGAAATATATGTATATAGTAATATGTAACTTAAATTTTTAAAAAAACCTCATTATGTAGCTATTTCACTTTTTCCATACATAAAGCTGTGAGTCATGTTTTTCCCTCAATAACTGCCAATTCTATATTAATGTTCTTTTCAAAGAGAATATCCTTAGTCTGTTATTTTATTAACTATTCCATTAATTTATTTGATCATATAAACTACTTGCTGTTATTCACCTTAGTTTTTAAAAATTTCTAGCTTAAGTTAATCCTTATTTTTTCCCATAAATTGCCTGTTATGTGACAGGCACTGTAGGTGTGTGAACAGAATGGTGAACAACACAAATACTTATTTCTCAATCCAGATGTTCTAAATGCATTGCTTTAAATTTTCTACCAAGTAGAGCTTTGGTTGGTGATTTCCCCCAAGTTATCTGTAGGCAACATGTGATCATTCATCACTAAATAGTCTACAATTTCAGACTTGATTTTCTTTCTTTTTTTTTTTTTTTGAGATGGAGTCTCACTCTATTGCCAGGCTGGAGTGCAGTGGTGTGATCTCAGCTCACTGCAACCTCCGCCTCCTGGGTTCAAGCGATTTTCCTGCCTCAGCCTCCCGAGTAGCTGGGACTACAGGCGTGCCACCATGTCCAGCTAATTTTTGTATTTTTAGTAGAGACAGAGTTTCACCATGTTGGCCAGGATGGTCTTGATCTCCTGGCCTCAAATGATCCACCCACCTTGGCCTCCCAAAGTACTGCGATTACAGGCATGAGCCACCACGCCTGGCCCAAACTTGATTTTCTACTTTAAAAAACTTTATTATGGAAAATTTAAAATATATGTAAAGATAGTAAGAACGGCACAATGAACCCTGTGTACCTAATGATCCAGATTAAACATTTACCAACATTTTGCTAATCTTGTTTCATCTATCCCTCCCACCTTTTGTTTTTAAGTATTTAAAAGTAAATCACAGGCATAACATTTCAGCCTTAAATACCTCAGTATGAATCTCTAACACTTAAGGACTCATACACATATACCCATAATGCCATAGTCATGCCTAACATATGAACAATAAATTATTTCGTATCATTTAGTAACCAATCCATGTTTACATTTGTACAATATGTAGAGACATTTTATTCCTTCAAATCTTGTATTGACTATGTTTTCTTTATTTTCTGTATTCCTGATGCTCTGGCCACTTGGGGCCTTGATCCTGGATAGGCTGCCCCTCCCAGGGCAAGCTAATGCATAGATGATAAACTCCACTGCAAGCATGCCTTTCATATACAAACCAACCAATCCAGAGCCCATACTCCCAACTATCTCCTTTACCAAACTCTCATACACCAATTCAATATTCCCCTGCCCTAACTAGACAATTACGAATCCCCCCTAGATCCCAGAGACCAACAAAATTACTCAAACTATTCAATCCTAAGCTTACCAGTGTGCCTACCCCTGCCTTGTCCATTCCTTCCCATGAAAACCCCCAATAAAAGCTCTGGGCCATGCTGTGCTCTCACCCTCTGCCTCCTGATACACCCAGGTGCTTCTTTACGTGACCCTGCATGCCATGCCATGCCTCCCGTTTGTGGGATCTGCGTATAAACTTCTTCCTTCATGACAATAATTTCCATGTCTGCCTGTCTCACCATGATTGATTAAAACAAATCCCAAGCGCATTTTAACACAAGGATCCTAAAATGCTCCATACACTGTATTTGAAGGATACGTTTCTTAGTCTCCTTTAAAGTGTAGGATTCCATTTTTGTCTTTTTTTTTTTTTTTTTTGACATGTATTGGTTAAAAAACTAGGCCATTACTTCTGCAGAATTTCCCAAATTGTGCATTTGGTTGTTTGCTTCTTTGTGTTGTTAATTTGTTCTTTTATTCCCCATGTTTCCTGTAAACTGGTAATTAGGTTTGGAGACTAACTTGTACTTCTCAGTTTTGGGGGAGCCAAGAAAACTTCACAGGTGTCCACTGTGTGTATCCATTTCATCACATCAAGTTCATCTGGCTGATCTCATTTAGAGATGTTAATATAGATTAGTGTCCTGTCATTCTGCTCCATGCATTATAAGCTTCCTATCCATTTTTCACCTAATGGTCTTCGCATCCATTGCTATCACCACGAAAATCCATGATTTTGTAAAATTAAAGAGCGTAGTTTTCAAATTCTATCATTCATTTGATCTTTGTTTTGTTTTGTTTTTTGTTTTTTGTTTGAGACAGAGTCTCGGTCTGTCACCCAGGCTGGAGTGCAGTGGCGCGATCTCGGCTCACTGCAAGCTCCGCCTCCCGGGTTCAAGCCATTCTCCTGCCTCAGCCTCCTGAGTAGCTGGGACTACAGGCGCCTGCCACCACGCCCGGCGAATTTTTTGTATTTTTAGTAGAGATGGGGTTTCACCGTGTTAGCCAGGATGGTCTTGATCTCCTGACCTCACGATCCACCTGCCTCGGCCTCCCAAAGTGCTGGGATTACAGGCTTGAGCCACCGCGCCTGGCCTCCTTTGACCTTTTAACCAGTTGGAATTCTCTAATCAACAACTTTCCTTCACCAACTTTTGGTTGTCTTGAAATATAGTTTGTAAAGGATAGGCAAGGTAAATATTCCATTCTTTTCCTTTATTTGTTAATAATGCTCTAGTATGCTCCATAACTAATCAATGCATTTGGTTCAGGAAAAAAAAAAGCTCAAAGGTTGGAGTGGTCATGATAAAAGGACACAGGAGCCAATTTGAGGGGATTGCCTCAAAATGCTAAATTGACAATTTAGCATTTTTAAAAAACAATGAAGTAGTTTAAAAAATTAATGGGGCTTCATAATACAGGTGACTTTTAATTTCCAAAGTTTCATGTTATCCTTTGTCAATTTTTAATATTGACTGGGGCCAGAGAATACTGATTGTAGTTTTTTTTTTTTTTTGAGACAGGGTCTTGCAGTCACTCAAGCTGGAGTGCAGTGGTACAATCACAGCTCACTGAAGCCTCAACTCTTGGGTTCAAATGATCCTCCCACCTCAGCCTCGAGTAGCTAGGACTACAGGCATGCACCATTATGCCCAGCTAATTTTTAAAGTTTTTTGGTAGAGACAGGGTCTCACCATGTTGCCCAGGCTGGTCTCGAACTTCTGGCCTCAAGCAATCGTCCTTACTTGGCCTCCCAAAGTGCTGGATTTACAGGCATGGGCCACCTCACCTGGTCTAGGGTATCTGTTTTTTAATGAACAAACTGGAAAGGAATTCCTTACTTTCAATATTTTAACGAGAATAAGATATCTCAAGTTCAATGAAGATTAAATGTTGGTGGAAGGCATTTCTATACTCATTATGCCCACAGCCTTTAGTATGAATTATGTAAAAATAAATATTTAGTATGATAATAAAAGAAAGTTTAGTGGCTTAAAACAACAACCATTTTATTATATCTCATGTTTTTGTGGGTCAGAAATTTGGGCCAGGGGCTCAGCTGGTCAATTCTTCCATTCTACATGGCATCAGTTCAGGTTACCAAGTCGCTCACTGGCATTTAGCTGGTGGCTGGTCTGGTGGATCCAAAATTTCACTCAAATGTCTGGTATCTTGGTGGATGTCAAGAAGACAGGGTTCAGCAGGTGCCTCTCCCTCTCTACGTAGTTTCAGGGCCTCTTCATGTGGTCTCTTCAGCAAAGTAGCCAGACTTTGTAACAAGACAGTTCTGTCATTTCATGAGATGAAGTAACCCTACCAGTAAAGTCTGAGTCAAGAAACCAGCACAGCAGTACGTCTACCATATTCTACTGGGCGAAGCAGTCACAGAGGGATGTAGATTCCTGTATACAACAGAGGGATGTAGATTCCACCTCTTGATTGAAAGTGTGTCAAACTGCTGCACTCTTATATGACCATGTCATAAATTAAAAAATTATAGCACAGAGCAGTTAAGCGTCTTGTCCAGTATGACACAAAGTGATGGGATAGGGATGACGGTAAATGTCTTTTTCATTCTTATAACAGGATTAGTTTTTAGAACAAATATGCTGAAGTTTCAGGTTTGAGTGATGATGGACTACAATACATTGTCACACTCTTTTAATGGTATAAAACCTCTAATGCCAACGCAGTTGCATGTATGGAGCAAAATAGATTAATTACTACATTCATAGAATGTTCTATAACACAGAAGTTGAAAAGACTTTCTTAGATTTTTACATTATGAATTTTCAGATGATGAGTAAGGTGTGAATGTTGCCTAAAGGCCTTCTTACATTCCTTACATTCATAGGGTTTCTCACCAGAATGAATTCTCAGATGTTGAATAAGGGATGAATTAAGTCTAAAGGCCTTCCTACATTCCTTACACTCAAAGGGTTTTTCGCCAGTATGAATGCTCTGATGTAGAGTAAGTTTTTGGCGCAATCTAAAGGCCTTGCCACATTCCTTACATTTATAAGGTTTCTCACCAATATGAATACTCTGATGCTGTGTGAGTTGTGAAAGTAGTCTGAAGGCCTTCCCGCATTCCTTACAGTCATAGGGCTTAACACCAATATGAATACTCTGATGTGAAATAAGTTGTGAGTAGCGACTAAAGGCTTTCCAGCATTCCTTACATTCGTAAGGTTTTTCACCAGTATGAATTCTGTGATGGAGAATAAGATGATAACCACGGCTAAAGGTCTTTCCACATTCCTTACATTCATAGGGTTTCTCACCAGTATGAATTCTCTGATGGAGTGTTAGTTGTTGTCGCACTCTAAAGGCCTTCCCGCATTCCTTACATTCATAGGGTTTCTCACCAGTATGAAGTTTGTGATGTACTCTAAGACCAGAGCCACACAAAAAGGCCTTCCCACATTCTTTGCATTCATAGAGCCTGTCAGCACTATTAAGCTTCTGATGCCGAGTCAGGTGTGCGTACTGTCTAAAGGCTTTTCCACACTCTTTACACACATAGGGTTTCTCACCAGTATGAATCCTCTGATGCAGAGTAAGTTGTCCTCGTACCCTAAAAGCCTTCCCACATTCTTTACATTCATAGGGCTTCTCACCAATATGCATTTTCTGATGTACTCTAAGATCTGCACCACATATGAAAGCTTCCCCACATTCCTTACATTCATAGAGTTTTTCACCAGAATGAAGTCTCTGATGTCGAGTAAGGTGTGCAGTCTGTCTGAAGGCCATCCCACATTCCTTACATTCATACGGTTTTTCACCAGTATGAATTCTGTGATGAAAAGTAAGCTGTTGGCGCACTCTGAACGCCTTCCCACATTCCTTACATTCATAGGGTTTATCAACAAAATGAAGTCTCTGATGTGGAGTAACAGATGTGCGTTTCTGGTAAGAGGACACCTTTTCAGATGGCATTTTCACACTACTGAAGTATCCTTCTTGAGGTCTCTCCTGTCCTTCAATTTTTCCTGTGGATTCCCAATCATTTTTTAAAATGAGACCCTTAAGGCCATGGTTTTCAATTCTTTCCATTATCTTCCACTGGGATAAATTTATTTCATAAATGTCATTTTCTAAAGATAACTTCTTGGTCTCATACTTGGTCTCCAAATCTAAAATAAAACAAGAAAGCAAACACATGCTGTTTTCTTTTACTAAAAGAAGCAACATTTCTAATGTAGAAATAAAAGACAACAAAAGTAATCCTTAACCAAAACTCTAAAATATTGTTATACAATTTGGAAAGAAAAAAAAAGCCAAAGGGAACATCAGGAAAAATGAGAGTTCATACAAAATAGCAAGATTGGTGATGAAGTAAACATTTTAAGTCAGTGGTTCTCATATTGAGGTGTGGATCAGAATCACCACATAGCTTGTTACTAACACTGAGGTTTAGACACCACCCAAACCACCTGGATCAGACTCTGCAGTCCTGGAAGGATATTTAATATTCTCTACATGATAATTCTGATGAAGATGAGAGGTCGAGAATCTATACTTAAATTTTTTTCATCTTTCTTCATTCTCAGAATCCAGTCAAGCTCACTGTGGTTAAGAAGGCCTCTGCTTACCTACATCATATGATCTCAAACCAGTGTCCCCTTTACTGCTCCCTGGAGAGGCCTCCTTGCAGACCTCACATGTCCTAACTTACTTCCATCTCTTAGGACTCTTCACAGTCTGTTCTATCTCCCACAAATCTCCTGATTGGGCTCTTTGCATGGCTGGCTCCTTTCATCTTGAGATCTTAGATTAAAAGTCATTTCCTTTAAGGTTGACCCTATTGATAGTACCTAAATCCATGTTGCTATTCTCTATTCCTTGCCTTTATAATAGCTCTCAATTTAAAAATTATATATTTATTAACTTCTCCAATTGTTATACTGCCTATTCTTACCTATAAACCTCCTCAAGGACAGAAACAATCCCTAGTTAACGCTACATTAAGTAATAAATGCTAAGCATATAATAGGTTTTACTCATTTAATTCCCATAGCTACATACTTGTTCTAAATGTATCTCTCTGCCTCTAGTCTCTCATGCCTTACTACAGTGATTAAATATTCTCTTTATTCATCCAGGGCAGCCCAGCTAAATACAAGAATGGAAATAGGTGGCTGTATATTCCTATGCATCTGCCACTGCTTATGCCTTTACCTATGCAGTGCACTGCCCATTTGCCCCTTCACATAGCTATGGGTAACTTTTTCTTTGTCTCTACACCATAGCAAAGGTATTGAGGAGTTCTACCTACTCAATCTTCCCTTCAACTTATTCTATTACTCATTCATTTGACAAATGTTCAACTGGTTTTGTTCTTTCCTCCCATTGCTCAGGTTTTCTCCTTTCCATTCCCTCATAGTCAAGGCCATTCCTGTTTTTTTAGGAAATGTGTATCAGTGATTTTTCGGACAGGAAAACACGTCTATATCTTACTGAAGTTCTTATGAAATTCATGGCACAAAAAGACAGGATATGCCTGTAACTCAGAAATGTGGAAAAAAGTAATGTGCATGTTCAACTGTTGCAGTCATCTGAATGTGAAGGACTTGCTAACAGAAGTCACGTTACATGTAGGCCAGAGGATGGCAAGCCAGCAACAGGAACAGCCAGAGGAAAATCTACAAGCTGAATGAGTTGTGTATGAGAGAGAAACAGGATGAGGTTTTCAATTATGATAAGGTGGTCTCTATTAAAAAGCTGAAATCTAGACACAAAACTAGGAGTTAGCAAAAAAAAAAGGTTGAAATTATATAGACATTTTCTACTAAAACTGGAAATTAATAATAAAATTAAAAGAAACACAAGTAAAATCTACCTGAAAATTCAAAAGTCTATATTAAATAACTCTTAGGTCAATAGGAAAATAAGATCTGAAACAATGTTTTTGATTTTTGCTTGTTTGTTTGTTTTTTGAGACAGAGTCTCACTCTGTCACCCAGGCTGGAGTGCAGTGGTGTGACCTCAGCTCACTGCAGCCTCTGCCTCCTGGGTTCAAGCGATTCTCCTGCCTCAGCCACCTGAGTAGCTGGGATTATAGGCATGTGCCACCACGCCTGGCTATTTTTTTTTTTTTTTTGTATTTTTAGTAGAGACAGGGTTTCACCATGTTGGCCAGGCTAGTCTCAAACTCCTGACCTCAAGTGATCCTCCCACCTCTGCCTTTCAAAGTGCTAGGATTACAGGCATGAGCCAGGCCACCTGGCTGTATTTTTGTTTTTTTGAAAATAATGGGAGGCCAGGTGTGGTGGCTCACACCTGTAATCCCAGCACTTGAGGAGGCCAAGGCAGGAAGATCTCTTCAGCCCAGGAGTTCAAGACCAGTCAGGGCAACATGGCAAGACCTCATCTCTAAAAATAATAAATTGGCTGGGCGCAGTGGCTCACGCACATAATCCCAGCACTTTGGGAGGCCGAGATGGGTGGATCACGAGGTCAGGAGATCGAGACCATCCTGACTAACACGGTGAAACCCCGTCTCTACTAAAAATAGACACACACACAAAAATGAGCTGGGCGGGGTGTCAGGCACCTGTAGTCCCAGCTACTCGGGAGGCTGAGGCAGGAGAATGGCGTGAACCTGGGAGGCGGAGCTTGCAGTGAGCCGAGATCGCGCCACTGCACTCCAGCCTGGGTGAAAGAGCGAGACTCCATCTCAAAAAAAAATACATACATAAATAAAGTAATTAAAAAATTAGCTGGGCATGGTAGTGTGTGCTATAGTCCCAGCTACTTGGGAGACTAAGGTAGGAGAAGTGCTTGAGCCCAGGAGGTCAAGGCTGCAGTGAGCTCTGTCTATGCCACTGCACTCTGGGTTGGGTGACAGAGCAAGACTCTGTTTCTTTAAAAAAAAAAAAAAAATTAAGCCTACATTTTGAAAACCTGCATATAAGTATCTATAAAACATAACCATAGTGCTTATAAGAAAATTTACAAACTAAAATACAGCAATAAAAGTGAAAAACATCGTTAAAAGTCTCATTCAAAAAAAGAAAATAAAATTAAGCTGAAGTAAAGCAGAAGAAAAATATTAACCGATATAAAAGCAGAATTAGTTAGAATACAGAAATAGAAGTAATAAAGCATAAACCAATTTTTTTTTTTTTTTTTTGAGATGGAATTTTGCTCTTGTTGCCCAGGCTGGAGTGCAGTGGCGCAATCTTGGATCGCTGCAACCTCTGCCTCCCGGGTTCAAGCAATCCTCCTGCCTCAGCCTCCTGAGTAGCTGGGATTACAGGCACACACCACCACGCCCAGCTAATTTTTTGTATTTTTACTAGAGACGGGTTTCATCATGTTGGCCAGGCTGGTCTCAAACTGCTGACCTCAGGTGACCCACCCGCCTCGGCCTCCCAAAGTGCAGGGATTACAGGCGTGAGCCACCGCGCCTGGCCTCATAAACCAATTTTTTAATCAACAAAATGTAAGCCATGGTTAAGATAATGAAAACAGCAAGAAAGCACAGACATAGAAATAAGAAAGAACAAATGAAAATGATCATGAATACAGAGGACAGATGACTATGCTAATAAATTTGAAAACACAGCTAAAATGGATAATTTGTTGTTTTTTTGTTTTTTGAGACAGAGTCTCACTCTGTCACCCAGGCTAGAGTGCAGTAGTATAATCTCGGCTCACTGCAACCTGCACCTCCACCCGCTGGCCCCCCGCCACGCCCCACCACCTTCAAGCGATTCTCCTGCCTCGGCCTCCCAAGTAGCTGGGATTACAAGCACACGCCACCACACCCGGCTAAATTTTGTACTTTTAGTAGAGACGGGATTTCACCATCTTGGCCAGGCTGGTCTTGAACTCCTGACCTTGTGATCCACCCGCCTCAGCCTCCCAAAGTGCTGGGATTACAGGCATGAGCAACCATACCCAGCCTAAAATGGATAATTTTTTAGAAAAATATAATTTATCAAAACTGATCATGGAAGAGATAGATGTTAATAAAATGTTTATATAGATCAATTCCCATAGAGCAAATAGAGAATGTGATCAGACTTACCATCCCTTTTCCCAAGAATAAAGCTTTACAAAACTTATTTAAGCTTTAAAGACAGGCTATCAAAATTCTTTTTCAACTAAGAAGATCAGGACTTCCAAACTGTTTTCATAAAGTGATACTGATATAAAGATCGCTCACAAAAAGAAAACTACACACCAATATTCTGAACACTGAGGAAAAAATTCTAAATATCTAATAAAACAGCACATTGAAAGACCCAAGGGGTGTTTATTACAAGAATGTTTTAGGCTGGGCGCAGTGGCTCACACCTGTAATCCCAACACTTTGGGAGGCCAAGGTAGGTGGATCACGAGGTCAGGAGTTCAAGACCTGCCTGGCCAATATTGTGAAACCCTGTCTCTATTAAAAATACAAAAGTTAGCGGGGTGTGGTGGCACATGCTTGTAGTCCCAGCTACTTGGGAGGCTGAGGTAGAAGAATCGCTTGAACCCAGGAGGCAGAGGTTGCAATGAGCCAAGATCACGCCACTGCACTCCAGCCTGGGCAACAAGAGCAAAACTCCATCTCAAAAAAAAAAAAAAATGTTTCAATGGTTCAATATGGGGAAATCTATTAAGACAATTCAATATACCAACAGAGTGAAGGAGAAAAAAAAAATCACACAATCAATTCCATAGATGCTGAAAAGGTAACTAAAAAAAGACCAAAACTGTTCCTGAATTTGTTTTCCCAAGAAACAGCGTCACCCTCTGTCACCACAGCTGGAGTGCAGTGGTGCAATCACAGCTCACTGCCGCCTCTAACTCGTGGGCTCAAGCAATCCTCCTGCTTCATGTTCCTGATTTTTTTTAAAAAAGCTCAGTGAAACTGTAATGATACTTCCCTAAATGATAAAGTATATATTATCTTACCAAAAAGGCAGCTTGCCTAACATTACCACTACTATTAATGATGTAGTATTAGAGTTATTAGTCAACATAATTAAAAAATCAGAAAAAAAAATCAGAGGTAGAAGAATTAGAGGTAAAACTCTATTTCCAAAGGATATGCCTGTCTAATTGGAAAACTCAAAGGTTTAAATATTATAAATGGCAACAAAATTTAGAAAGGTAGCAGGATATAAAATAAAAATACAAACAACAATATCCTTTGAATATACATTTAACAATAAAATATGAGGGGAAAGATCTCACTCATAATACTTACAAAAATTTAAAATATATGGATAACCTTTATGAGGAAAACTTCGAAACACTCATGAAGTATTTAGCATTGGGTATACTGAAGAAATCATATACCAAATCACAAGGAAGAGATTCCTGCACAGAAGCTAAGGGTGCCCCACCAAGGGTGGTCATACTAAGAAGCTGCTGAGCAAGAAGCAGGTGTGGAGACAGTGGCAATACACAGGGTAACTGCTGTGTTCAAAGTGGTCAGATAAACTTAACCCTCAGGTTACCTCTCCAAGGCCAGACAGCAACTACTACTGTTTACCTCCAGAGGAGGCAACAGACAAGAGGTTAGGGTATCAGAGATGGGTCAGTGGCTGGTCATGTCCTGGGGATACAGCCACAGTCGCAGGCCCAGGTGACAAAGCACCCCACCTCACAAGAGGCAACTATGTTTGTTCCAAACAAATTTAGGTGTGTTTCACTTTTTTCCTGAAAGTATCTAATTTAATTTAATAAATGTTAAATAAATTCATGAGTGTAAACTCATGAATAACAAGGAGAAAACAACTGATTCTATGAAAACAAAATTGAACATTTTGGAAAACTGGTGATAAATACAGATTGCTAAAAATCTCAGCTGTCGAAAATTAAGTGTAGGAAATACAATAGTAAAAAATGAAAGAAAACATAACAATCAAGACGTATTCTGCACTCATACTGCAAGTTTGGTTCCTATTCTACTTTAAAAATAAATAAAACTGGAAATAATAGACTTCATATTATGTGTGTGATTTAGAGGAAAAATGAAATACAATGAGACAATGGAAAGGAAGACTTGGACACTATCAAAAATACTGGCAAACAGACATACATTTGAATGTTCTAAGTTAAAATAATACTTTTATGGTATGTACATAAAATATACGACCCATTTTTTTATGACTAACAGACCTATTACCAGTCCTAAATCTGTTGGATCAAAGGATTTCTAGTCCATTAAACACTTCTGATGAGAATGTAGAAAAGTCCTTTTTTTGATCAGGTAAAAATATATAAATACAAAAAATCATAAATGTGATTCCTCTTTGCAGAGAACCACCTTTAATTAAACAGAAAATGTCATATAAATCACTTAGACTTACTCTATTTGGGCACTGTATCAACCATCTTACTTTGTTGATACAAGAAGTTCTGGGATATAGAAGATTTGGTTCCAGGGAAGTCCTATTTGCATTTCAACACAGGGATAATGTACAAAGATCTGAAAATAGTAAAACCCGACATCTAAGGAACTGTACTTCGGAGAATCAATTTTAATCATATCCTGAATAAGCCCATACTGAATGCTAATAATATTCCATTGATGCTCTCACATTCTATTGATCTTCTTTTTCACTGAGAAAACAGCAACAGAAGAATATGCTATCTTCTCTCCACCATCCTGAGCAACCTACCTGCACACATAACTACACTGTTTTTCCCTTTTATTCCCCCTTACTCACTGGATCCTTTCTTACTCCAGTCTCAAGGACAATTATGCCTTTCTCTACTGCACTGATTTCCTCCACCGATAGAATCATTCCTATGAGCACACAAACATGCCCTAATGTCATAAAATACACTGCTTTTTAACCCATATCCCCAGTGTAACTGACAACCCTATTTCCCAGCTTCCCTTCATACATAATTCCTCCAGAGTTGTCTTATACTCATTCTTGTTACTGCCTCACAAACCCTTCTCTCATCAAGTCACTCCACTTGGGCTTTCATCCTGACTCCATTGAAAATCTTTCTTGACAAGCTTACCAGGATTCTCCATCTTGCTGGAACCTGGGGTCAATTCTCAGTCCTCATTCTCTACTCCGTCCATGGTGAAACATTTCCTTTATTTTTATTTTATCTCAATGGCTGCCCCTTCTTTTTTTTTTTTTTTAATTTTTTTAGTGGCTGCTCCTTCTTTATCTCTTTTGTTGTCCCTCTTTCCCTCTTTCAAAGGTCTACAGGGTGGAGTGACCCATGAGTCAGTTCTCGGGCCTGCCTGCCTTCCCTAGTTGGTCACATCCAGATCCATGAATGTAAATTCCAATCATACAGACAGCCAAACATAAACCAGGCTGTAATCGCTCCAAGTTCCAGGTGTACGTATTCAACTGCCTACGCAACATCTCAAACTGGACAGATAATAATCATCACAAACTTAAAATATCTTAAACTGAAACTCTTAGTGCCAACTTTCCAACTTGCTCTTCCTATTTTCCTCACTTCAGTAAATTCTGCTTCTATTCACCCAGTTGTTTAAGCCAACACTCATTTCTTCTCCTTTTATATCACTCCTTCCCACTTAGTTCACTTATAATCCTATCAGCATGTTCTTTTGACAGCGCCTTCATACACATCATGAGCCTAACAGCTTCTTACTACTTCCTAACAATGCCATTCTTATCCAAACCACCACCCTGTCTAACTCAACAACTGAAACTGCCTCAGTATCGGTGCTTCCTGCTTTTGCACTCAACCGGAGAAATAATTTTAGAATACAAGCAGCCCGTGGCTTTCAATTTCTCTTAGTGGTTACATTACCGGGTCCTTGCCTAACTCTGATCTCAGCTTCTTACTTTCCCTTTCCCTGGTCTGACCATAATGGCCGTCTTTGTTATTCCTCAGACTAGCAAGGCTAATGCCGCACTCAGACCTTTTCTATCAGCTCATAATGCTCTTTTCCCAGAAAATGACATGTCTTGAGCCCTTACTTCATGTCTCTTCTCAAATATCACCTCAAGAAAGTCATCTGTCCACTTTTCTGAAGGCATGTTATTTATACTTTAATCAAACTTTCTTAAAGGAAGAATAGAAAAGAAAGAAAAAAAATACATGGTCTTGTTTAAGATGTCTAACTCTGAGCCAACAGTTACTATTTTGGCTAAATGCTTCCTGACTAAATGGATATTATCTTATTCACTTGGAACCTCTGCAATACATTTTGAGTGTTAATAATTGCAAATGTCATTTAATTACCTGAATGTGAATTTTAAAATAGATTAGGAGGCCGGGCACAGTGGCTCACGCCTGTAATCCCAGCACTTTGGGAAGCCAAGGTGGGCGGATCACAAGGTCAGGAGATCAAGACCATCCTGGCTAACACGGTAAAACCCCATCTCTACTAAAAATACAAAAAAATTAGCCAGGCATGGTGGCGGGCGCCTGTAGTCCCAGCTACTTGGGAGCCTGAGGCAAGAGAACGGCGTGAACCCAGGAAGCGGAGCTTGAAGTGAGCTGAGATCACGCCACTGCACTCCAGCCTGGACAGAAGAGCGAGACTCCATCTCAAAAAAAAAAAAAAAAAAAGATTAGGGATAAGAGGGAAAAAGCATGTTTTTCTTTCTTTTGGTAGAAGGTTAAGTCAGAAGATAGAACATTACAAACAGTGTAGGCACTGAAATGGTCCTATGGTTATAAAATAAGAACTAGTACCCTAAAATAAGTGTCCTTAGCCAGACCTGAATATACAGAGAACAAAATACAAAATTACAACATATGTCTCTGAATAAAAACATTTTTAAAGACCTTTTGTGGCCGGGTGCGGTGGCTCACGCCTGTAATTCCAGTACTCTGGGAGGCCGAGATGGGCGGATCATGAGGTCAGGAGTTCAAGACCAGCCTCAGCAGCATGGTTAAACCCCATCTCTACTAAAAATATAAAAATTAGCCAGGCATGGCCAGGCGCGGTGGCTCACGCCTGTAATCCCAGCACTTTGGGAGGCTGAGGCGGGCAGATCACGAGATCAGGAGATTGAGACCATCCTGGCTAACACGGTGAAACCCCAACTCTACCAAAAAAAAATACAAAAAAATTAGCCGGGCGTGGTGGCGGGCGCCTGTAGTTCCAGCTTCTCGGGAGGCTGAGGCAGGAGAATGGCATGAACCTGGGAGGCGGAGCTTGCAGTGAGCAAGATCACGCCACTGCACTCCAGGCTAGGTGACAGAGCAAGACTCCGTCTCAAAACAAAAAACAATAACAACAACAAAAAAAATTATCCAGGCATGGTGGCAGGCACCTGTAATCCCAGCTGCTCAGGAGACCGAGTCAGGAGAATCACTTGAACCTGGGAGGCAGAGGTTGCAGTGAGCTGAAATCACACCACTGCACTCCAGCCTGGGGAACAGAGTAAGACTCCATCTCAAAAAAAAAAAAAAAAAAAGGCCAGGCGCGGTGGCTCACACCTGTAATCCCAGCACCTTGGGATCCAGCGGGTGGATCACAAGGTCAGGAGTTCAAGACCAGCCTGGCCAAGATGGTGAAACCCCATCTCTACAAAAAATACAAAAAATTAGCCAGGCATAGTGGCACACGCCCGTAATCCCAGCTACTCCAGAGGCTGAGGCAGAGAACTGCTTAAACCTGGAGGGGCAGAGGTTGCAGTGAGCCAAGATCACGCCACTGCACTCCAGCCTGGGCGACAGAGCGAGACTCCGTCGCAAGAAAAAAAAAAAAAAAAACCTTTTGAAACAAGAGCTGCAAAGAGAGATGAAAACAGCACAGACAAGGTAAACAAAAGACCATGAGATCATTCTCTCTAGAGTCTATTATATCCATGTTTCTTCTTAATGTGAAGATAGATGAATACATAGATAGAAAAATCAAATAAGAATGATATTCTGTGAACTAGGAGCTATCTTCTAGAATAATTCATATGAAACTTTAGTTGCTGATAAAACATATATGATTATACTATCAAGCATATCATTTTTGTAGTCTTTTATTTCCCTTTAATAATTTATGAGAAAAGTTGGGGGAAAAAAGGCTTCTCTGACAACTAAAAGAGTCTTCCCAGCACACATCTCCATCCCCTTACTCTGCTTACTTTTCTTCATAGCACTCTCATTACCTGACATTGTATTTCCTATTTATTTATAGTTATTATGTTTCTCTTATTACAAGGTAAATTTCGTGGGGATGGAAACTTGATTGGTTGTTTACCACTATATTGATAGTGTCTGTGACAGTGCCCAGCTCCAAGGCCACCTGTCTATTTATTAAAGACCGAAGTAAAAGTCCTAAACCCCGACAGACTGAAGGACCCTCTTTTGGCTAAAGACCCCATGTTCCTAGTCATGGCACATGGCAGGACAGAAGGCTGGTCATGACCCATTTGCTTCCAATCCCTTTCACCTTTCTGATCATTAGATTTTCTCAAAAGTCAGCTAGAGAAAATAAAAGGCTGAAAGACCCTTTTGCTTACTTCATCAGAACACTCCCCCACCACTCCACACTCCTGTTTTTATGGTTCCAACATGACAGCTATTCCAGTCCACAGCTTCTTCTTGATAAACGACTTCCAGCCTTGGACTGGTTTTGACTGGTCTCCCAAGGATACACAGATCATGGACTTGTGTCCTACATTTACCCTTTTAATGCATAGGTCCTAGTTATAATGCATTTAAATGTTAAATCTCTACCCTAAAGTGGCCATAGGACTTATGTTAACCTAATATGCATGTGCACAGTCTCTTTCCTGAGTATTCATAGCTCCTCCTGTAGCCTGTTGAATATGTATACTTGGCTAACATTCAGCATACATTTCTGTCTTACCCTCTCCCTCCCTCGAAATGCCCGTCTCTGGGCAGAAGCCTAGGCTACACTTCCCAGTCTGTCAGAATAACCGCCTTGCAGGCTGCAATCCTTTATGAAAAATAAAGCTCTCCTTTCCAAATGTATGAACTTTGTCATTCTTCAGCTGACACTATAAATGCAAAAGAGGGGCTGGGCACAGTGGCTCACATCTGTAATCTCAGCACTTTGGGAGGCTGAGGCGGGCAGATCACCTGAGGTCAGGAATTCAAGACCAGCCTGGCCAACATGGTGAAACCCCGTCTCTACTAAAAATACAAAAATTAGCCGGGTGTGGTGGCACACGCCCGTAAACCCAGCTACTCAGAAGGCTGAGGCAGGAGAATTGCCTGAACTCAGGAGGCAGAGGTTGCAGTGAGCCGAGATTGTGCCATTGCATTCCAGCCTGGGCAACAAGAGCGAAACTGCATCTCAGAAAAAAAAAAAAAAAAAAAAATGCAAAGGAGGAAAGCAACTGAATCAAAATATACAATGGTTGTCAACAGTGAGCCAAAGAGAGCACCACCTTACCCCTCAGCTCCATTAAGGAGGAGGAAAACTAGAGAGAACAATAATAAAAAAGAAGAGTGGTAAATGGGACAAATAAGTGCTTCTTTTAGTATCCCCCAGCTAAGACCTTAATTTGCTCCCCATGTCACAGACCTTTCCTCCTTGGGCCACAGACCTTTCCTCCTTGGGCCACAGACCTTTCCTCCTTGGGCCACAGACCTTTCAAGAGGGCTTTCTAAACAACATAAGGATGTGTCTCTTCCCCAGTGATCTGGGGTTCCCTGTGTTGATGGCTTCTTCCTGCCCAACTAGCCCTCACCTGGATATTGTCTTCTTCCTTTCCTCACAACTTTCCAAGGCTCTTTTCCTTGCTCCAATGAGGAAATCACATCTGGTTTAGAAATGAAGCATCCTGCTTAGAAGAAAAGGAATATAAGGTACATGAAAATAAAAAATAAATCAAAATTACTTTGATTCAGTCTTGGTTAAAGTATATGTCAAAACAGTAATTAATAAGGCAAAACAAATAAGTGAAAGATGTTTTAAAAACATTTACGTTAAGGTTACACAATAAATAGAGACTAGAGAGGGAATGAAAAAATCTTTTTAAAATCTATATTCATATAAGTGTTTCTTTTTCAGAGGCAATAGTGGTTGAGATGACAGACTGCTGGGTGCAAATCCTGCCTGAACCACATCCTAGTTGTATGACCTTGGGCAAGTTACTTCCATGCTACCTTTTCCTTCCCTATAAAATAGGGATAATCATAGTACTTATCTTATATGATTATTGTTAAGATTATATTTATATATGTCTGTATCTAAACATTGCCTAGAGTATATACCAAACACTATTTATATTTCATTAGCTATTGGTTATTGTTATTTTGCTGAGAGGAAAAATAAGCTTTCTGGGACATGTATTATTTCTTGGATATTCAAACAATGTTAAATTAAATGTAAAGTTCTTGGATTTTAACAGCTTTGCTGCAATATAATTTATATAACATAAAACCTACCTAAGTGTACAATTCAATGATTTTTAGTAAATTTACAGAGTTGTGCAAACGTCACCATAACCCAAACTTAGAATATTTCCGTCATCCCCCAAATATCCCTATTGGTCACTGGCAGTCAATCCTCATTCCTACTCCCAGCCCCAGACAACCATTGATCTTCTTTTTGTCTCTATAGATTTGCCTTTTCTGGGCATTTCATATAAATAGAATCATATAATATGTAATCTTTTGCATCTGGCTTCTTCCACTTAGCATAGTGTTTTTTATATTCTTGCATGCTATAACATGTATCAGTAGTTTGTTCCTTCAATGAATATTCTATTGTATGACTATGCCACATTTTATTTATCCATTTATTTAGATAATGTGAATAATGCTGCTGTGAATACTTATACATCTTTGTATAGACACATTTTTATTTCTCTTGAGTAAACATTTAGGAGAAGAATTACAGGGTCGTATCTATAGTATCGTACATTCCCACTGCAATGTATGAGGGTTCTAGTTTTTCCAAATACTCACTAATAATTATTTTGTCTTTTGACTAATAATTGTATATATTTATAGGCTACAATGTGATGTTTTGATACATGTCATTGTGGAATTAGCAAATCAGGGTAATTAGCATATCCATCACCTCAAATATTTATCATTTCTTTTCTTTGTAGTGAGAACATTAAAAATACTCTCTTGTAGCTATTTTGGAATATACAATATACAATACATTATTATTAACTATACTCATCTTGCTGTGCAATAAAACACATGAATACAAATCTTAGATTTTTAATTTTCTTTTTTTTTTTTTTTTTTTTGAGACGGAGTCTCGCTCTGTCGCCCAGGCTGGAGTGCAGTGGCGGGATCTCAGCTCACTGCAAGCTCCGCCTCCCGGGTTCACGCCATTCTCCTGCCTCAGCCTCCCAAGTAGCTGGGACTACAGGCGCCCGCCACTACGCCCGGCTAATTTTTTGTATTTTTAGTAGAGACGGGGTTTCACCGTTTTAGCCGGGATGGTCTCGATCTCCTGACCTCGTGATCCGCCCGCCTCGGCCTCCCAAAGTGCTGGGATTACAGGCGTGAGCCACCGCGCCCGGCCAGATTTTTAATTTTCAATCATAAAGGTAGGTAAAACTGAATATGATTGTTTATTAATGAAGGGAATGAGTTCTCTTGAATTGTAAATACATGCTGTTGATCCATTTTACCACTACATAAATCATATGTATTATTTTGATAGAGCTAATTCAATAAACAGGATCTAGCTATTTCCCTTACAAAATATACCAACAAGCAACAAAACATCTAAAGCAGTTCTGAATTCAAACACAAAGTGAAACTTGTTTTCTTTGACGCTGGTGAGGCTACAAATCACAAAGATCTCAAACCCAGCCCCTTCATTATTAAGGCCCAAGGGCTACTTAAGGATGGGGAAGGTCAATGTGCTTAATGAAGGTGCTCACTTCCAATGAAATAAAGCTCAAAGTGTTCCCTTTAGAAAGTGGAGCAAAAATTTAGATAGCTTCCTAAAAGATACTCTTGAAATTTCCACAGGAAAAAGCTGATTTACAGAGAACACAGTCTAAATTCCTAGAAGCAGATAACCTTACCCAGTGAGACCAAGTTGCTGTAGTTCTCCAACATGACATCTCTGTACAAGTCCTTTTGTTCCAAGTCCAGGTATTCCCACTCTTCTGGAGAGAAGTCTATGGATACATCACTGAACATCACTGATCGCTGAAATGACAAACCACACATTATAAATGAAATGGAAGAAAATGTATTTTAAGGTAGAAGGAGAAAAGAAGGAAGAGATATTGCAGGAAGTGGATCATATGGCAAGAAAACAGGCTTGGGCTGGAAGCCTGCAACACAGCGAGTCAGGAAATGAGTGTGCCTGAAGCAAAGTGCCTGGGTTCCCGAAGGATTCTGTTGCTACAGACACAGACTCTTATACTCTGGCAAATCTTAATAATCTAGATACTCCTGGGAAAGAAAAAAAAATCAGTTTTCCAATTAAATGAAATACTGTATATAAGCCTTTGCCTACTATGTCTCCCTCATCAATTCCCAAGGAAGGTGAGTTCTTCCGCCCCTTTCTTCTTAAAGAACAGATTTTTTTTTAAAGTCTCCCTCCCTACAATATCTTTATCTTAGAAAAGGATCTAAATGCAATTAGAGAATATCTTCTAAGTTTATCCTAGAAGCAGATCATATCATAAGCATTTTTCTAATTATGACTGTTAAAAATTGGTTGTATAGGCCAGGCGCAGTGGCTCACACCTGTAATCCCATCACTTTGAGAGGCCGAGGTGGGAGGATCACCTGAGGTCGGGAGTTCGAGACCAGCCTGACCAACAGGAGAACCCTTGTTTCTACTAAAAATACAAAATTAGTTGGGCCTGGTGGCACATGCCTGTAATCCTAGCTACTCAGGAGGCTAAGGCAGGAGAATCGCTTGAATCCAGGAGCAGAGGTTGTGGTGAGCCAAGATCACACCATTGCACTCCAGCCTAGCCAACAAGAACAAAACTCCGTCTCAAAAAAAAACAAACAAAAATTGGTTATATAATAGTCTATACAATGCATATATGAGATTTAATCATTCTTTTATACTTAGATATTTTGGTTGGACAAAACCTTAAGATCCTCCTCAATTCTGGGAGTCAACGTGACTACTTATGTACCTGGATTACCTTCTCACATGCTATCACTTTCCATCCCTCACTGTATGCCTTCCTGGTTCCTGAGTTAAAGGATATTAATATAGCATAATCCAGAATCACAAAGATGTCATTCTAGACCAGCACATCCTGTTCAACCAAAAATGGAATCTTGTTCCTGAGTGTAACTCAGGAATTCCAAAAGATCTCAGATCTCTCTATAAGACCTAGCCACACCCCTACTCAGTCCTAAAAGCCTCACAAAACATGAGATCTTATGATATACTGAGGCTGAGGCCAACTAACAGCAACTCTTACCTTTTTGTTTTATAACTTTTTTTTTTTAAGAGACAGGGTCTCCCTGTCACCCAGGCTGGAGTACAGTGGCACATCCATAGCTTCATTGGAGCCTCAAACTCCTGGGCTCAAACAATCCTCCATGTCAACCTCCTGAACAGGAGGGATTACAGGTGCAAGCCACCATGCCCAGCCACGACCCTTATCTTACGTACTTGGAAAACTCAAAGTTCAGTTTTCCTATGAGTGGCTAAATGGGCCCATGGTCAAATATTTAAGAGATTTCATTTTTCCTCCATTGCAGCTTTTAGCAGAAGACTGAGCACATATAGGAGATGCTGAATAATTTGTTCAACAAAGATAAGAACAATGACTAGAATAAAGAGTGTTCATAGGACAAGCATTGTGGTTCACCCGCCACTGGATTTGGAAGAACTGGAAGAAGGTTCTTGGATGGAGCTCTGATAGTAAGGAAGTTTCAGAATAAAAAAATGGTCACAGAACCTTAACATGATAGTATTCCTAGGAGGAGAAAAAAACTTACAAGGGCCATGGTATAGAAATTCAAGAACTGGTCAGTCCTCCTTGGGGTTTACTTGCCAGGAGAAGCACCGAGTCCACAGAGGCTGATCTAGGGAGAGGAAAACAAGGCCATGAGATCAGATGGACCTCAGAAATCCCCAAATGATTTGAGTTACTGTGACCTTTCCCCTCTCTTCTGATCTCTCCACCACAGCTCCTCCAACACACACGCGCGCACACACACATAGGCAGAGAGAGAGAGAGAAATTTGAGGGAGTCTGGACGAGTCTAATCCCTTGCTAATTCCAGGGCTGATAAGGGGCTGTATCATCTAAACCACAATCTTCCTTCTTCAAAGTTTCATAGGCCTGTTTAGATTCACCAGACACAAAGAGAGAAATTCATAAAGACCAAGCCTGGCAGCCATTACCACCACAAAACTGCACACTGGCAGCCCTGCTTGCAGCCAGAACAACTTTCAAAATCCTCTGGGCTCATCACTCTCTCTTTCCAGTCAGAATCAGAATCATCCACATTGTTTTCTGGAATGAATTCATTTGCCATTCTCTTTCTTACAACCTAGGCTGAACAGGCATGGATTCATGCTCTTGGTCATTTGACAATAACAAATGTCTATTTATCAAGAATTCCAGTATGTTGGGTGTTATATATGTATGTGTGTGTGTGTGTGTATATGTGTGTGTATATATATATATTTTGTTGTTGTTGTTGCTGTTGTTTGTTCTTGTTTTTGTTTTTTTGAGATGGAGTCTTGCTCTTATTGCCCAGGTTGGAGTGCGGTGGCACGATCTCAGCTCACTGCAACCCCCGCCACCCGGGTTCAAGCAATTCTTCTGCCTCAGCCTCCCAAGTAGCTGGGACTACAGGCACGCACCACCACGCCTGGCTAATTTTTGTATTTTTAGTAGAGACCAGGTTTCACCATATTCACCAGGCTGGTCTCGAACTCCTGACTTCATGATCCGCCCGCCTCGGCATCCCAAAGTGCTGAGATTACAGATGTGAGCCACCGCACCCACCCGGCCTGTTTTATATATATTAACTATATCCTCAGGATTGCTCTTTAGCACAATAATTATTCTATCCATGCAATGGATCAGAAATTCACATGAAGAGAAATAAAACCACTTGGGCTGGGCGAGATGGCTCACGCCTATAATCCCAGCACTATGGGAGGCCAAGGCAGGTGGATCACCTGAGGTCAGGAGTTCGAGACCAGCCTGACCAACATGGTAAAACCCTGTCTCTACTAAAAATACAAAAATTAGCTGGGTGTGGTGGCAGACGCCTATAATCCCAGTTACTGGGGAGGCTGAGGGAGGAGAATCGCTTGGACCTAGGGGGGCGGAGGTTGCAGTGAGCCGAGATTGCGCCATTGCACCCCAGCCTGGGAGACAGAGCAAGACTCCATCTAAAAAAAAAAAGGAAATAAAATCATTTGTAGAAATGCAGTTTATGAGTAGCAAAGCTGCATTTGGAATCATTTATCTAACCATAGAGTCGGCTTTCCTTCAACTCTAGCTCTTGTTTCTGAAACCCAGAATTTCTATTCCAGTGAGCGAAAACTGGCATGCATGATTCACTAAAAAAAAATAAAATAAAAATAACACATCAGCTCACCAACAGGTATCTGAGTACTGATACCCATATTTGCAAGCATGAGAGGAAATGAACATTCTAACCAGTATACTGCAGACTGCATAGATTTCAAAGTATGTACAAGCAGCATTTAAACCACGCATACTCTTTGATTCAGAAATTCTACTTTGGGGATTAAAAAAAATTGTACATATGATCAAAGGTATGTGTAACAGTATGTTGACCTTGTTCATAATGGAAAAAAGCTGGGAAGAACCTAAATGTCCTTCAATAGAAAACAGATTAAATAATCCTGGCTAACATGGTGAAACCCCGTCTCTACTAAAAATACAAAAAATTAGCCGGGCATGGTGGCAGGCACCTGTAAGCCCAGCTACCCGGGAGGCTGAGGCAGGAGAATGGCGTGAAACCAGGAGGCGGAGCTTGCAGTGAGGCGGGATCATGCCACTGCACTCCAGCCTGGGCAACAGAGCAAGACCCCGTCTCAAAAAAAAAAAAAAAAGAAAACAGATTAAATAAATCATAAAGCATCCATAGAGTAAAACAAACTGTTGCCATTTAAAAAATGATAATGCAGCTCTTTAACTGGAAATATGGAAATATGTTCAGTACAGTTTGTTGAGTGAGGAGTGCAGTAACAAACAGTTGTGAGTAGTATGATCCTGTTAAGGTACAGCAAAAACAGACGTGAGAGAAACAGAGAGAGAGAGAGAGAGAGTGTGCGTGTGTATTAATCTCTAAGTGCTAAGTTTTAGAAAATACACAAGGACATATAAAATATTCAAGATATATAATCTCTTAGAAAAATAAAATGAACATTATTAGGACATCTGTAAAGTATACATGCAAATCAGCACAAAGAAACACTGACAGGCATCAATAGATATTGATCTTGATTTCCTTTTCGCTTACATTTATTTCATAATTCTACATGACCATATATACTTGAAACATATATTTTAACTTTGCATAGTGGAAAGCGTTCTTTAAATAGGTTAAAGAGATAGTTTTTAAAGTAGTCATCCCTTGAACTTGGAGAAAAAAACTCAATATCCTACAAGCAGCTTCTATGTTTTTACTGGTTTTGTTGATTTCAGCTCCCAAAATCTGAACTGACTCTATGATTTCTAAGTGTGTTCATGTATGTCAGAGTTCTGCCTATATAAACATGGCTAAACATCTTCAATTAATGCCTTGTTTCACTGCTGCTACTTCTCATGACTTCTTGACCAAGCTTTTGTTTTGTTTCTGAAAGAGTTGTTTTAGCCATGAGGCCCACCTAGGAGCTGCTGAATCTTCTTGTGCTGTTCATTTGCATCAACATCATGAAAATAAAAACTATAAGGCACATGCTTATTACATAAAATCCATTACCCCACAGGAACCCCATGAGTTTGGTATTATTTGGTCGTGACCTGACAATGCTTGCTACAATCAGCTGTCTGCTTCCCATGACCTCTCAAGCCATGCCACCTGAATTCTTCAATGACTTTACCTCACCTATCTCAGTGTTATTCTTGCATAGGCTTATCTACCTTGAAAGACAACAAACAATGTAAGGATATCAACCATGTCATTTTGGTCACTGTATTTCCCCCAAGGACTGGCACAGGATCTGGCATATTGTGAGTACTTTATAAATGTCTCATAATTCAACCCAGAAATTCCACTTTTAGGAATTTATCGTTAGGAAATATTTGTAAAAGTATACAAAGATGTATTGCAAGAGAGTTCATCAAAGAATAATTTATTGGCCAGGCATAGTGGCTCATGCCTGTAACCAACACTTTGGGAGGCCGAGGTGGGCAGATCACTTGAGGTCAGCAGTTTGAGACTAGCCTCGCCAACATGACGAAACTCCATCTCTACCAATAATACAAAAATAAGCTGGGCGTGGTGGCAGACACCTGTAATCCCAGCTACTTGGGAGGCTGAGGCAGGAGAATCACTTGAATCTGGGAGGCGGAGGTTGCAGTGAGCTGAGATTGCACCACTGCACTTCAGCGTGGGCAACAGAGTGAGATTCTGTCTCAAAAAAAAAAGAATAATTTACGACAACCTGAAATCAAATACCTAACAGTAGGCAACAAGTTGAATAAATGATGTTCTACTATATTATAGCACATTATGCAATTATTAATGATGGCATTGGCCCACATTAATTAAAGAAGGAAGATATTCATGATAAATTACTAGCTATGGGAGTCAGACTAAAAGAATATGTACAATGTTGGGAGGTGGCAGACTCTCAGTTATTAAAAATACAGGCTTTGTTATCAAGATTCAGGATATGAACAGAGCTCTGAGAATTATTAACTGTGAGAATTTGGACGCATTAATTTTCAGTGTCTCAGTTTCCTCAGATATAAACTAAGGAATAAACAGTACCTACCTTATAGGGTTGTTGTGAAGGTTAAGAACATAATACATAAAGCACTTAAAATGGCTTACTGTAAGCACTAAATTCAGTGAAAAACATCACATACCCCTCATTCCACTATTTTAAAAATTATCTTCAATAATTTTTTTTTTTTTTTTTTGAGATGCAGTCTCGCTCTGTTACCCAGGCTGGAGTGCAGTGGCAAGATCTCGGCTCACTGCAAGTTCCACCTCCCGGGTTCAGGCCAATCGTCTGCCTCAGCCTCCCGAGTAGCTGGGACTACAGGTGCCCGCCACCACGCCCGGCTAATTTTTTGTATTTTTAGTAGAGACGGGGTTTCACCATGTTAGCCAACATAGTCTCGATCTCCTGACCTCGTGATCCGCCCGCCTTGGCCTCCCAAAGTGCTGGGATTACAGGCGTTAGCCACCACACTGGCTTCAATAATTTTCAATTTAAAAATTTGGTATTTGCTGATAAATTATCTTTAACAATTTCAATAGCAGTCCCTTTCTCTAAAGGGATTTTTGAGATTTTTGAGATTTTTCAGCATTGCTCTTAAAACATTGATAAATGTTAGAACTAGGCTTGAAAATGTAATTCTACTTTTTTTTTTTTTTTTTTGAGACACAATCTTGCTCTGTCGCCAGGCTGGAATGCAGTGGCATGATCTCAGCTCACTGCAATCTCTGCCTCCCGGGTTCAAGTGATTCCCCTGCCTCAGCCTCCCAAGTAACTGGGACTGCAGGAGCATGCCACCACACCCGGCTGATTTTTTGTATTTTAGTACAGACAGGGTTTCACCATGTTGGCCAGGATGGTCTCGATCTCCTGACCTCGTGATCTGCCTGCCTCGGCCTCCCAAAGTCTTGGGATTATAGAGATGAGCCACCGCACCTGGCCTATGTAATTCTTCTTAATAATGTTATCAAAAAAGGATTCACAGAAATCAAAAAGTAGAGCAAGGCCCCTGTTACTTTCCATCCCTAGTAGCTCCAAAGGGACACCATTCCATATCATAAAACCAGCTCAAGAATTTTGCTTTGATAAGGTATCATATTAAATACTTTTTTTTTTTTTTTGAGACAGTTTCGCTCCTGTTGCCCGGGCTGGAATGCAATGGCAAGATCTCGGCTCACTGCAACCTCCACCTTCCGGGTTCAAGTGGTCCTCATGCCTCAGCCTCCCAAGCAGCTGGGATTACAGGCATGCACCACCACGCCTGGCTAATTTTGTATTTTTAGTAGAGACAGGGTTTCACCATGTTAGTCAGGCTGGTCTGGAACTCCTGACCTCAGGTGATCCGCCCACCTTGGCCTCCCAAAGTGCTGGAATTACAGGCGTGAGCCACCAGGCCCAACCTCTTTTTCCTTTTTCAAACAAAGTGTTGCAGAGTCTTTGTCTCCTTAAATGATCAATTGTTGTGATTCTATTTTGGAAAACAAACACATGTGCACAAGTGCACAGAAAAAAATGGAAAAGCAAACATTAGAATAGTAATATTTATTGTGGATGGTGAGACTACGGGCAACTTAAATTTTATTCTTATAGAGTGAAGATGACTGGGTGGTAGGGGATGGAGAAAATCTGTTCTGAATAGTACTAAATATAGTTGGCAGCTTAAACCAGGACTTTCTTTTTTTTTTGGAGACTGAGTCTCACTCTGTCACCCAGGCTGGAGTGTAATGGCAGGATCTCGGCTCACTGCAACCTCTGCCTCATGGGTTCAAGCAATTCTTCTGCCTCAGCCTCCCAAATAGCTGGGATTACAGGCAGGCGCCACTGTGCCCAGCTAATTTTTCTATTTTTAGTAGAGACAGGTTTTACCATATTGGCCAGGTTGGTCTCAAACTTCTGACCTCAGGTGATCTGCCCACCTCAGCCTCCCAAGTGTTGAGATTACAGGCGTGAGCCACTGCGCCCAGCCAATTAAACTATTTTCATACACATAGAATTAAAAACAGAGTTGTGAAGAAGGAATATCTTTTAGTTGTTAAGAAAATTGTGATTCTATAAGCCTGTGACATGAGTGGGTTTTGGGAAAATAAACAACAGTGTGGCACAAATAAGTAACACCCATCAGTTCTTTAACTGTTCTTCATCAAAACGATGGGCTATTTTCACTCTCAAGATTCTTCTATGAATGAACACAATCAAGCGACATTCCTAAATTCAGTAAAAGTATACCAAAGCAGACAGAACAGTGTGGTAAACAACAGTTTATCTTTTTTTCTCCACTAAGAAACTAGTTTTATATTATGTATAATCCTTGCAAAATGTTTTATAAATCTCTAGCTTATTAAGAGCGATTCATACATGATTAAAGGTTTTGTGAGTCATCTTGTTCAAAACTATTGCTTAGACAACATCGATCACAAGCTTTTTTTCCTTCTCATAATTAACAGTATTTATTAATGGCAAAAAGCTGCATCACATGGAGTGTGGCTTATTTAATCATTTCCTACTATTAGACACTAATTTTGTGTCTAACATTGAAAAACATTCTCAAAGGTTACAGACTTTGATTCTAGGCCAGTAGATCTGAATCTTAATGGATCATGTTTGATAATCTCATTAAATTACATATTTTCTCCCCATAAAAGTGGCATATTAACAGATATCTATAACAATTTTACGTACAATTTCAAAGAGTATCTGGTCCCCTGAAAGCCTCAAATGAATTCAAATTACTTCTGGTTAAGAATTCCTGTTCTATGGCCGGGCACGGTGGCTCATGCCTGTAATCCCAGCACTTTGGGAGGCCAAGGCGGGCAGATCACCTGAGGTCGGGAGTTCAAGACCAGCCTGACCAACATGGAGAAACCCCGTCTCTACTAAAAATACAAGATTAGGCAGGCGTGGTGGTATATGCCTGTAATCCCAGCTACTAGGGTGGCTGAGGCAGGAGAATCGCTTGAACCTGGGAGGCGGAGGTTGCGGTGAGCTGGGATCACACCATTGCACTCCAGCCTGGGAAATAAGAGCGAAACTCCGTCTCAAAAAAAAAAAAAAAAAAAAGAATTCCTGTTCTAGGCTGGGGGCGGTGGCTCATGCCTGTCATTCCAGCACTTTGGGAGGCCGAGGCAGGCAGATCACTTGAGGCCAGGAGTTTGAGACCAGCCTGGCCAACATGGTAAAACCCGGTCTGTACTAAAAATACAAAAATTAGCTGGGTGTGGTGGTGCAGGCCTGTAATCCCAGCTACTTGGGAGGCTGAGGTATAAGAATCGCTTGAACCACGGAAAGGGAGGTTGCAGTGAGCTGAGATTGTGCCACTGCACTCCAACCTGGGTGACAGAGCAAGACCCTGTCTCAAAAAAAAAAAAAAAAAAAAAAAAAAAGAATTCCTGTTTTAGACTATTTAAGCATCTGATCTGGCTCATTTATTTTTTACTAGGAAATACTCACCACAATTGGCTTAGTATTTTCATTTTCCCCCCATCTATAGAAGGCTGATGTAGAATTGCTCCAAATCACTACTTAAGAATACATAACTAAGGTTTATTAAGTACTAACGAGGTCTCAGGAACTGTTCTAAGAACTTTACACATAGTAATTAAAAGAAGGCCCACAGAAGTAATGAAAAACATCTACCAAATGGGTATGTGCATACAGGCTCTCGGGAGGGGACCTAGGTATCAGCTCAATGGACAGGACATTTATGGAGAATGAAACAAATATTCTCATGTCCTAAGAAATAAGAATGCATTTCACAGAAGAAAGCAGAAACACCCACTCGCCTCGACCTTGACTTAAACAGGCAACAGCAATTCATTCCTCCTCCCGCTCGGACCCCTTTTCTTAAAGAATTGGGCAGGACTGGCTAATAAGGGAACCAGGCTTTTCTTGCAGCCCAGCCTCGCATAGGGCACAATGCCCCCACCGCCCACCCACACATAACCAGAGTAACATAAGAGAGATGGTGTTGTTAACTCTTCCCAGTATCAAAGAAAGGCCAGGGTCATGGATGCCCGGGGCTAGAACTGGAGTTCACAATAGCTTCCTGGAAGCAATGCTGTGGTTCTGAAACCTGCAGCTGGACTCTTCAGAGTTGTGAGTGCACGTGCGTGGGTCCGGGTCCGCGAGGAGGTGGTGTGGGAGTCCCTTCCAGGAGCAAGCCTGGGCGGGAGCGGGGGCTCGTTCAGTTCTAATATTCCTATCCCAAGGTCGGGTCTGAGCCTTGTTTCGCTGTTGCCCAGGCTGGAGAGTAGTGGTGCTATCATAGCTCGCTGCAGCCTCAATCTCCTCCTAGGCTCAAGCCATCCTCCCGCCTCAGCCTCTCGAGTGGCTGGGACCACAGGAGCACGCCATCACACCCGGCTCATTTTTTAAATTTCTGGTACAGATGGGAGTTTCGCTTTGCTGCCCAGGCTGGTCTCGAACTCCTGGCTTCCAGCGATCCTCCCGCCTCGCTCTCCCAGAGCTCTGGGATTACAGATGTGAGCCACCTGGTCCGGCCTAGTCTGCGCGTTTCTGCTGGGAGTCTTTGGCGTGCAGAAACTGACCGAGGGCCATTTCTCTGCAGCTGGGCCCGGTGTGGGCAGAGGATGCTGGGGTCAGTCACGCACTCCACGGCCACAACAACCTTCGCTCATACAATAGTCTCTGCACCCAAGTCAGCCGCACAGACTCCGTCACGTCCCAGCCCCGGCCCCGTCACGCCCACGACACACACACCCGGGCCTGAGGCGCGGGCTCCCGCCCCTCTGCGATACTGCAGTGGCCCCGCTTACCTCTCTTTACCCCCTGGGCCGCAGCGCTTTTCCTACAGATTACCAGGACCGACGCTCCGGGCCAGGACTGCTCACTCGGGGCGCGAACCCGAGGCACAGCGATGCCCGAACGGAGGAAGCCGCTGCCGGGTCACGCCACAATCCCCGGGGCCTAACGGGCTGCGCGCGGAGGCTGCTGGGAGGGCCGGGCGCGCTCACGGAGTGCGCAGGCGCGGCCAGTCTCAAGGGTCCGCTCGCTGGTGCAGCCCCTGCTCTGCGTGAACCCGGAGCCGGAGCTAGGTCCGTCCCAGCGAGGCTGCGCTTCGAGTCCCTTAGCGCCTGGGGACGGCGCGGCAGGGCCTGGAGGGGAGCGGGGACAGATGGCTGGCGCGTTAAAGAGGGGCGCCCGCGACCGCCTCTCTATAGTGCCAACTAGGGAGCCCTGTGAGCGAGGACGGCGCTGCGAGTCTGTCCCTGGCGCGCTCCTGGGTGGGATTCTTTCACTGGGTGTGGCTGTTGGGATTTGAGACCGTGTGACTCCGGAGATTCGGGGAAGCCAGTTCCTATATTTTCCATTTCTGTATTTTTAAATGGTAAAAACAATGAAAAGGAGAACAATATTTTGTGAAATATGAAAATCATACATGTCAAATTTCAGTGTCCATAAATAAAAGTTTTATTGGAACATAGCCGTGTTTGATTGTGTACTGTCTATTGCTATATTTGAGCTACAAGGACAGACTCGAGTAGTTACACAGACCAGATGGCCCACGCAGCCTAAAATACAGTCAGTTCTCACTATTCACAGTAGTTATGGTCTATAAACTTGCTACAAACACGGAATTAGTGAATACCATTCCACTGCTTCTAGGGGAAATACAGGGTTAGTTTCCTGTAAGCATCTGGTCACATTTTAGTCAACCGATGAATGCATAAGCTTATTTTATTGTGTTTATTTTCTTTTTTTCTTTTTTTTTTTTTTTTTTGAGATAGGGTCTTGCTCTGTCACCCAGGCTGGAGTGCAGTGGTGGGATCTTGGCTCACTGCAACCTCCTCCGCCTCCCGGGTTCCAGCAATTCTCCTGCCTCAGCCCCCAGAGTAGCTGGGAATACAGATGCATGTCACCATGCCCAGCTGATTTTTGTATTTTGTAGAAACGGAGTTTCACCATGTTGACCAGGCTGGTCTCAAACTCCTGACCTCAGGTGATCCACCCGCCTTGGCCTCCCAAAAGTGCTGGGATTATAGGCATGAGCCACCGCGCCTGGCCTTATTGTGTTTCTATTTAAACACTTTAATATATATTATTGATTCATTAACATTGAACTCATGGCCAACAGCTCCATAACTCATGCCTGAATGAAGCTTATCTAACACATGTATTTTTTCTGTAAGACACATGACCGCTTTCTCATTCATAGGAACATCAACAGCACTTTAGTACTACTACATTTGGGGTCCCTTTGAAACAGCAAAATCACCAGCAAAAAACAAAAATATGAGAAGCCAAGGTACTAAATGGACTGCAAAAAGGGTACCTGTTTACAGTATGAGAGCTGAAATAAGAAGATAGAGGGTCACTTTGTTTGACTTTGGCTGAGAACATGCCTGTTAAGGGACTCAAAAAGGTTCACCGCTCTTCGGATGTCCACAAATGACCACAAAGGTGCTGCAAATATTGACTCTGGGTTTATAAAAAAGTTTTAGCAAGTAGATGAATTCACAAATTCAGAATCTGTGAATGAAGATTGACTGTATTTACTATCAGGCCCTTTAAAGAAAAAGTTTGCCAATCCCTGTTTTTATATGTCCCTCTTAGTTATACAGCTAGTGTTTAAAAACTACTTGAAATAATTATTTTCCCTGTGCCACCAATTATGTCTATAATTGATTGTACCCCATTAAATAAGCACAAAGAAAAAAGAAAGCTTTCTTTATAGAAGAAGGCCAGCTAATAACTATCAAGGGTTTGATTTTACGTGGCTTAGACACGCTGCTTCAAATGCATTTAAGATGTTTGGTTTTAACAAGGATTTTGCAACAGTATAGTGTTTTCCTTAAGTTCAATGTCATTTCTATGTCATGGCAGCTGTCACCTGCAGTTAGGTAAGACAGTGACATCATTAACATGGATGCATTTTCATGGCATGAAGGCTAGCCATTGATGGGGTAATATAACACAATTTATCAGTAAACGCTGAGTTTTCTTTGAAGTCAGTCTCTGATTTCTTACAGTGCTTGATGTCTGCCTTGCCTGCTAGTGACCAATTCCCCTGCGTCTTTACAGAGCCTTGTTACTCACTCAGTGTAAAGACAGTGGGGGAAACAAGGTTTCCCAAAGTATCCTTATGTGCAAAAGTGTTTCTTACTACTTTGGAAATACTAAGCTGAGTTTAATGTTTATTCTTTTTCTACCAACAGACACAAAAAGGACAAGCACATGCCTTAGAATATTCAATACAATTTTCTACAGCGATATGGTTAAATACTCTTCTGTCTTCACTACTTTTTTGTTTTTACTTTACTTGGAAATTTTAATTCTCTAGGAATAACGGGGCAGGAGTCTAAAATAATACTTTGTGGGAGTGAAGTATATATTTTTTTCCAAGTAAAAAAAAAAAATCAGGCCAGGCGTGATGGCTTAGGCCAGGCGTGATGACTCATGCCTGTAGTCCCACATACTCGGAAGGCCAAGGCAGGAGGATAGCTTGAGCCTGTGAGATCGAGATTACAGTGAGCTATGGATCGGCCACTGCACTCCGGGCTGGGCGACAGAGCGAGACCCTGTCTCAAAATTAAAAAAAGGAAAAAAAAAAAAAAAAAAGTCTGCGCTCCCCGGGGCCCAAGGAGAGGACCCAGGAGAGGAGTCTGGCTCCTTTTGCCTCAGACGAGTCCAGGGCGCCGGGTTAACTGGTCTAAAGTCCCAGGCGCTTTCTGGGACTGCTCAGCCACCGGCCGCTCCCGGCACCAGGGGACGCCGGACGCCCTCTGGACAATCGGCGCACTTGCCACGATCTTGGACGGGCCTCGGGCCTCGACCTTAAGATTCCCCGCTCCAGCTCCGAGATGTCAGCAACGCTGATCCTGGAGCCCGCGGGCCGCGGCTGCCGAGACAAGCCGGTGCGCATCACCATGCGCGGCCTGGCTTCGGAGCCGCTGGACACGCTGCGCGCGCGTCCCTGCGCGACGAGAAGGCTGGGCTCTTCCGCTACTGCGCCGACGCCCGCGGCGAGCTGGACCTGGAGCGCGCGCCCGTGCTGGGCGGCAGCTTTAGGGGGCTAGAGTCCATGGGGCTGCTCTGGGCCCTGGAATCCAAGAAACCTTTTTGGCGCTTTCTGAAGCGGGACGTACAGATTCCCTTTATCGTGGAGTTGGAGGTGCTGGACGGCCACGACCCCGAGCCTGGACGGCTGTTGTGACAGGCGCGGCACGAGCGCGACTTCCTCCCACAAGGGGTGCGGAGCGATTCGGTGCGCGCGGGCCGGGTGCGCGCCACGCTCTTCCTGCCGCCAGGACCTGGACCCTTCCTAGGGATCATTGGCATCTTTGGTAATGGAGGGAGCCTGTTGGAATATCGAGCCAGCCTCCTTGCTGGCCATGGCTTTGCCACGTTCGCTCTAGCTTGTTATAACTTTGAAGATCTCCCCAAGAACGTGGACAACATACCCCTGGAGTACTTCGAAGAAGCCCTATGCTACATGCTTCAACATCCCCAGGTAAAAGGCCCAGGCACTGGGCTTTGGGGCATTTCTCTAGGAGCTGATATTTGTCTCTCAATGGCCTCATTCTTGAAGAATGACTCAGACACAGTTTCCATCAATGGATCCGGGATCAGTGGGAACAGAGGCATAAACTGTAAGCAGAATAGCATTCCACCATTGGGCTATGACCTGAGGAGAATCAAGGTAGCTTTCTCAGGCCTCGTGGACGTCGTGGATATAAAGAATGATCTTGTAGGAGGGTATAAGAACCCCAGCATGATTTCAATGGAGAAGGCCCAGGGCCCCATCATTTTCATTGTTGGTCAGGATGACCATAACTGGAGGAGTGAGTTGTATGCCCAGTCTCTGAACGGTTACGGGCCCATGGAAAGGAAAAACCCCAGATCATCTGTTACCCTGGGACTGGGCTTTACACTGAGCCTCCTTACTTCCCCCTGTGCCCAGCTTCCCTTCACAAATTACTGAACAAACACGTGATATGGGTTGGGGAGCCAGGGCTCATTCTAAGGCCCAGGTAGATGCCTGGAAGCAAATTCTAGCCGCCTTCTGCAAACACCTGGGAGGTACCCAGAAAACAGCTTTCCCTAAATTGTAATGCGTTTGTCTGTTGTTGACATGAGAGAGTCAAGATCAGATTCTAGTGTTCAATAACCCTATGTGAATCAGCTGTCTCCTGGATAACATTAAAGCCATGTCTTTGTCATTAAAAAAAAAAAAAATCGGCCGGGCGCAGTAGCTCACGCCTGTAATCCCAGCACTTTGGGAGGCTGAGGCATGCAGATCATGAGGTCAGGAGTTCGAGACCAGCCTGGCCAACATGGCGAAACCCCATCTCTACAAAAAATACAAAAATCAGCCAGGAGTGGTGGCGGGCACCTGTGATCCCAGCTACTTGGGAGGCTGAGGCAGGAGAATCGCTTGAACCCGGGAAGCGGAGGTTGCAGTGAGCCAAGATCATGTCATTGCACTCCATCCTGGAAGATAAGAGCAAGATTCTGTCTCAAGAAAAAAAAAATTAGTAAACTAGAAATCTCTGAACAAAGTATCATACATGTAATTTAATTTTCCCATAGATATAGGTAAAGAGAAGTTGTTGAGTTACAGCCTCTATCTAGCACAGCAATCTCCTCAAAACACAAGGTAGCCGCCCGGAGAGGCCACAGAGGAGATATCTAAGAGATATAACACTGGGGATGTTTGCAATTGGAAATTAAATGACATTTTAGAAATGTAGTTATCAATGTCAAGCCTTGATAGACATCAGTCTGAAACCTAATACATGTTTTATATATAATAAATTTAAACAGCTTAAATTCTCATCCATTCAAAATGGGAGAAAAACTAAGTAAATGTGATAAATGTATTGAGGTGTTTGGCTTTCAATCAATGCTTCCTGATACTCGAAAAGTCTTCACAGGGAAGGAACCAAATAAATGCAGAGTATGGAAAAAATGAAGCCATACACATATTATTGTGTGGTAAATATTTCCATTGAAAGTCAAATCTTTACACTCACCGAAGCATTTCCATAAGAGAAAAGATGTATATTAGAAATGTAAATGTTTTTATAGCAATTGAAATCTTTACAGAGGTAGAGAAATCTGGTAACTGTTATTAGTGTAGTAGGGATTTAAGCTAAGTTCTTGTCTCATGGTAGTCATCCAGGTTCTTGATGTTTTGAACAAAGAATTGGACAAAATGCACAAAGCAACAAAACAATGAAGCAACGGAAGCACAGATGTATTGAAATGAAAGTACACTCTACAGAGTGGGAGCAGGACCAAGCCTCAAAGAGTGCTGGTTACAGAATTTCCTGGGGTTTAAATACCCTCTAGAGGCTTCCCATTGGTTACTTGGTTACACCCTATGTAAATGAAGGAGTGGCCCACAACCAGTCTGATTGGTTGCAGAAGACAGGACCAATCAGAGACTAAATAGTAGTTACCAAGTTACGCCCTATGCAAATATCTGATTGATTGCGGGAGGGGACCAATCAGAGGTACTTTCCATTTTTCATCTGCCACACAGTGCAAAGGTAGTAACCTCTGATCCTTTTGTTATTTGGGTGTGGAGAGACGGGGTTTTCCTTTTGATTCAGTTCTAAGAAGTCAGCGGGAATGGCCTTAGGTTCCCTGCCTCCAGACCTATTCTCCTGTCTCACCTCCATTTATCACTAAAGAGTTCACAATACATGACCCTCCAGAAAAGAGACATGTGACATTAATATGTCAGACTCAACCAGTGTCTTCACACTGGAATGACTTTATTAGTGTGAAGCTGGAGTAACATTTTATCATTAGCACAGAACGAGAAGCATTGCAGATGATAGAGCCTTTTTTGGTCACCAAGTGACGCAGCCAGTACACTGTTGACTAGCAGTGATGGTAGCAGGCCTTCTTGCCTTGGTCCTGATCTTAAAGGGAAAGATTTCGGTATTTCATCACTAAGTAAAAAATGTGTTGTTGGTTTTTTGAAACAGGGTCTCCCTCTGTCGCCTAGGTTGGAGTGCAATGGTGCCATCAGGGCTCACTGCAGCCTCTACCTCCTAGGCTCAAGTAGTTCTCCTGACTCAGCCTCCTGAGTAGCTGGGACAAGTACCACCACACCCAGCTAATTTTTAAAATTTTTTGTAGAGATGAGGTCTCACTATATTGCCCAGGCTGGTCTCAAACTCCTGGGCTCAAGTAATCCTCCTGCCTCAGCCTCCCGAAGTGCTGGGATTACAGGTGTGAGGCACCATGCCCATCAAAAAATGCGCTTAAATTTCTCCCTGGATATCCTTTCTTAGAAGTTTCCTTGTATCTCTATTTTTCCAAGAGGCTTGATGATAATTGGATTTGAAATTCTATCATCTTTTCTGTATCTTTTGAGATGATCCTGGGGTTCTTTCTAAATTAATACGTTAATGTGGGGAATCATATTAACTGATTTTTAAATAATAAGTCAAACTTGCATTTCTGGAATAAATATCTCAAGTTGGTCATAATCTAGTTGGCTAAAAATTAATAAAGTTGTTTCCTTAATGATTTAGATAAGAACTTTGCATCTACCTTCATGAATACAACTACCCCATAATTTTCTTTTCTCATACTGTCTTTGAGAGATTTTGAAATCAAGGTGATATTTTCTTTCTTTGATTTTTTTTTTTGAGAAAAAGTCTCTCTCTGTTGCTCAAGCTGGAGTGCAGTGGCATGATCTCAGCCTACTGCAACCTCCAACTCCTGGGTTCAAGAGATTCTCCTGCCTCAGCCTCCCGAGTAGCTGGGACTACAGGCACATGCCACCATGCCCAGCTAATTTTTGTGTTTTTAGTACAGACGGGGTTTCACTATGTTGGCCAGGCTGGTCTTGAACTCCTGACCTCGTGATCCACCCATCTCCACCTCCTAAAGTGCTGGGATTACAGGTGATCATATTTTCATTAAAGAAGTCACTGTTTCTGCCTTTTTATTCTCTGGGAAAGTTTACTATGTAAGGTTGGAATTCTTCTTAACTTGAATGGGTTGGTAGAACTTTTCAATTAAATCATTTGGAACTGAAATTCTCTTTCTGGGTTGCTGTTTGCTGATAGTCATTCCAAAAACTTCTATGCCAAAAAAGCCACACACTAGGTATCTTGGTTCATAGTTTACTCAGTGTAACACATAATAAATATCTCCCTGAAGCCAAGGAAGAGGCCACCTTCCACCCTTCAGGGAACAGCAGTGAGTTCAGGGAACAGTAATCTCTTTCTCAATTCCAGCTGGTCTTACCTATAGTTCTTGTGTGCCAGATTCCCTTTTGTATGTTTTGTACCTTTGTGGATTTGATTACAAGTGGGGTCGCAATTGTGGATAGCCTGAAGATATGAGAAATGTCTATTGTGGGAAGGTAATGAAGGAGAGTTGGTGACCAGCAGGACGAGAGCTTTAGCCATGGGGCTAATAAGACAGAGCCAAGTCAGCAGGGACATAAGATGTAAGAGGGCTCTGGTGCTCAGGTAGAACTGGATAAAGGATGGGTGAGCTGGAGTTAAACGTTCCATGTCATAACACCAGGAAAGCAATAAAAATGTTTTTATTGTGGCAAAATATACATAATATAAAAAGTCACCATTTTAACCATTTTTAAAGCATAACATTTAGAGGCACTTAGTGAATTCACAGTGTTTTTTTGTTTTTGTTTTTGTTTTTGTTTTTTGAGACAGAGTCTCGCATTGTCGCCCGGGCTGGGGTCTGGAGTGCAGTGGCACGATCTTGGCTCGCTGCAACCTCCACCTCCACCTCCTGGATTCAAGCCATTCTCATGCCTCAGCCTCCTGAGTAGCTGGGATTGCAGGTGCCCACCACCACACCCAGCTAATTTTTGTATTTTAGTAGAGATGGGGTTTCACCATGTTGGCCAGGCTGGTCTCGAACTCCCGACCTCGTGATTCGCCTGCCTCAGCCTCCCAAAGTGCTGGGATTACAGGCGTGAGCCACCGCGCCCGGCTGAATTCACAGTGTTCTTTCATCACCACTATCTAGTTCCAGAATATTTAATCACCACTCCCCTAAAAAAAGAAATAAAAATAAAAGCCACTGATAAGGTTTGGCTCTGTGTCCCTACCTAAATCGCATCTCAAATTGTAATCCCCATAATCCCCATGTGTTGAAGGAGGGACTTGATGGGAGGTGATTGGATCATAGGGGCAGTTTCCCCCATGCTGTTTTTGTGATAGTGAGTGAGTTCTCACCAGATCTGATGGTTTTATAAGTGTTTGACAGTTCCTCCTTCACACTCTCTCTCTCGCCTGCTGTCATGTAAGATGTGCTTGCTTCCCCTTCCGTCATGATTGTAAGTTTCCTGAGGCCTCCCTAGCCATGCGGAACTGAGTCAATTAAACATCCTTCCTTTATAAATTACACAGTCTCGGGCAGTTCTTTATAGCAGTGTGAAAACGAACTAATATACCTACATATCTTCTAAGTTGCTTTCCATTCCTTACTTCCTCCAGCCATGGCAGCTACTAATCTGCTTTCTGTCTCTATGGATTTACCTGTTCTAGATACTTTCATACGAGATGAGCCCTTTTATGTCTGACTCCTTTCACTTAGCATAATGTTTTGAATATTCATCCATGCTGTAGCATACATCAATACTTTATTTCTTTTTCTAGCTGAATACTATTCCATTGTATGAATGTACCACATTTTGTTGATCCATCAGTAGATAGAAGTGCGTTGTTTCTACCTTTTCGCTATTGTGAATATTGCTGCCATAAACTTTGTGGACAAGTTTTTGTTTAAACACTCATTTTCAATTCTTTTAGGTATATACTCAATATATACAAGTGGGCCAGGCATGGTGGCTCACACCTGTAATCTCAGCCCTTTGGAAGGCCAATGTGGGCAGATCACTTGAGGCCAGGATTTCGAGACCAGCCTGGCCAACATGGTGAAACTCTGCTCTACTAAAAGTACAAAAATTAGCTGGGTGTGGTGGCGTGCACCTGTAATCCCAGCTACTTGGGAGGCTGAGGCATGAAAATCACTTAAATTCAAGAAGGGGAGGTTGCAGTAAGCCAAGATTGCACTCCAGCCTGGGCAACAGTGCAAGATTCTGTCTTAAAGAAAAAAAAGTCTTTAAAAAATAATATATAGCATATTTATATATATATACACACATACACACAAAGCATACATATATATATATATATATATATATATGGAATTCCTGAGTCATACAGTAATTTTATGTTTAATTTATTGAGTAACCACCAAACTTTTTTCCACAGCAGCTACACCATTTACATTTCCATAAACAATGTATGATAGTTCCAATTTCGCTACATTCTCACTAGCACTTATTTTCCTTTAAAAAAAAAATTATTGGCCAGACACAGTGGCTCACGCCTGTAATCCCAACACTTTGGGAGGCTGAGGTGGGCAGATCATGAGGTCAGGAGTTTGAGACCAGTGTGACCAACATGGTGAAACCCCGTCTCTACTAAAAATACAAAAATCAGGTGGACGTGGTGCTGCACGCCTGTAATCCCAGCTGCTCAGCAGGCTGGGGCAGGAGAAATGCTTGAACCCAGGAGGCGGAGGTTGCAGTGAGCCAACATCTGGCCATTGCACTCCAGCCTGGGCGACAGAGCAAGGCTCTGTCTCAAAAAAAAAAAAAAAGATTTGTCCTTGAATGTTCATAGTAGTTTTATTCACACTGCCAAAAACTGGACACTACCCATTCTCTATCAACTGGTAAACAGATAAACAAATTGGAAGATGTCCAAAAAATGCAATATTACTCAGAAAACAAAGAATAATTTACTGATATATGCAACAACATGAATGAATCTCAAAAGCACTGTTAAATACAAGAAGCTTTACATAAAAGACTACATACTGTATGATTCTATTTATATGAAATTCTAGAAAAAGTACAACTATTGTGGACAGGAAGCAGAACAGTGGCCCTCAGGGGCTGGGGCAGGGGATGGGGAGGGGCCGGACTGCAAAAGTGCAAGAGTGGCCGGGCGCCCTGGCTCATGCCTGTAATCCCAGCACTTTGGGAGGCTGAGGCGGGCGGATCACCTGAGGTGAGGAGTTGGAGACCAGCCTGGCCAACATGGAGAAACCCCATCTCTACTAAAAATACAAAATTAGCTGGGCATGGTTGTGCACACCTGTAATCCCAGCTACTTGGCAGGCTGAGGCAGGAGAATCGCTTGAACCCGGGAGGTGGAGGTTGCATTGAGCCGAGATTGTGCCACTGCACTCCAGCCTGGGCAACATGAGGGGGTGGGTGCAGTGGCTCATGCTTGTAATCCCAGCACTTTGGGAACCCGAGGTGGGCAGATCACTTATGGTCAGGCGTTCAAGAGGAGCCTGGCCAACATGGTGAAACCCTGTCTCTACTAAAAATACAAAAATTAGCCAGGTGCAGTGGCACTGTAGTCTCAGCTACTCTGGAGGTGGGGAGAGAAGGTGCAGTGAGATGAGATCATGCCATTGCACTCCAGCCTGAGCAACACAGCGAGACTCTTGTCTCAAAAAAAAAAAAAAAAAAAAGGCATGAGGGAGCTTTCTGAGTTGATGGAAGTTCTGTATATCATGATTGTGTTGTGGTTGTGAAAGGAACACATCTTGGGCCCCCAAAATCACTAAAGTAAAGAGAAAAGTCAAGCTGGGAACTGCTTGGGACAAACCTGCCTCCCATTCTATTCAAAGTCATTCCTCTGCTCACTGAGATAAATGCGTATCTGATTGCCTGTTTGGAGAGGTTCATCAGAAACTCAAAAGAATGCAACCATGGCCAGGCACGGCGGCTCATGCCTATAATCCCAGCACTTTGGGAGGCCAAGCCGGGCAGATCACCTGAGGTCAGGAGTTCGAGACATGGCCAAACCGTGTCTCTACTAAAAATACAAAAAAATTAGCTGGGCGTGGTGGTGGGCACCTATAATCCCAGCTCAGGAGGCTGAGGCGAGAGAATCGCTTGAACCTGGGAGGCAGACGTTGCAGTGAGCCAAGATCATGCCACTGCACTCCAGCCTGGGAGACAAGAGTGAAACTGCGTCTCAAAAAAAAAAAAAAAAAGCCATAAATAAAAACAATGCAACCGTTTGTCTCTCACCTACCTATGACCTGTCCTACCTTTGTGGACCGAACCAATGTTTATTTTACATATATTGATTGATGTCTCATATCTTCCCAAAATGTTTAAAACCAAGCTGTGCTCTGACCACCTTGGGCATGTGTCATCAGGACCTCCTAAGGCTGTGTCACGGACGCATGTCCTCAACCTTGGCAAAATAAACTTTCTTTTTTTTTTGAGATGGAGTCTCACTCTGTCGCCCAGGCTGGAGTGCAGTGGCAAGATCTCGGCTCACTGCAACCTCTGTCTCTCAGGTTCAAGTGATTCTCCTGCCTCAGCCTTCCGAGTAGCTGGGACTACAGGCACCCACCACCATGACTGGCTAATTTATTTATTTTTATTTTTTATTTTTAGTAGAGCCGGGGTTTCACCATGTTGGCCAGGCTGGTCTCAAACTCCTGACCTCGTGATCCGCCCACCTCGGCTTCCCAAAGTGCTGGGATTGCAGGCGTGAGCCACCGCACCCGGCGGCAAAATAAACTTTCTAAATTAACTAAGACCTCTCTCAAATTTTTGAGGTTCACTGGTAATAATTACATGATTACATGTATGTCAAAACTCATCAAATTGTACACTTAAAATTGATAAATTTTGTTGCATGCAAATTTTCCCTCAATAAAGCTGATTAAACAAAACAAAAACAGAAGCACCAAGATTCTAGAAAAATTGTGCCTCCAGCAGTAGTTTTTGAATCTTCCAAAATCCCCAAATAAAAATAGAGCAATCAGACAGCAAAACCAAAATCTTGTTGACAGCATTCAAACAAAACTACGTGAGATAATGTGATGGGCTGAATTGCATGCTTCCAAAATTCGTATGTTTAAGCTGTAACCCCCAGTACCTCACAATGTGAGTGTATTTGGAGGTGCAGCCTTCAAAGAGATGATTAAGTTAAAATGAGGTAGTTAGGGTGGGTCCTAATCCTATATGACTGTTGTCCTTATTTTATCTTTTTTTTTTTTTTGAGACAAGAGTCTCACTCTGTCACACAGGCTGGAGTGCAGTGGCTTGATCTTGGCTACTGTAACCTCCACCTCCTGGGTTCAACGATTCTCGTGCCTCAGCCTCCCAAGTAGTGGGGACTGCAGGCACGTGCTATCATGCCTGGCTAATTTTTGTATTTTTAGTAGAGACGGGGTTTCGCCATGTTGCCCAGGCTGGTCTCCAACTCCTGACTTCAGGTGATCCACCCACCTCAGCCTCCCAAACTGCTGGGATTACAGGTGTGAGCCACCATGCCCAGCCTGGTGTCCTTATTTTAACAAAGGAAATTTGGATATGCTGAGGCACCCTAAGGATGTGCACACGCAGCGTGAATGCCGTGTGAAAATCCAGCAAGAAGGCAGTTGTCTGCAAGCCAAGGAGAGAGTCCTTAGGATAAACCAGACCTGCCAACGCCTTGATCTGTGACGAAAAGCCTCTAGAGCTGTGAGAAAATAAAGTTATGTTTAAACTACCCAGCTGTGGTAATCTGTTACAGCAGTACCAGCAAACTAATACAGGAAATGTCCCCATGAGCCCCCAAATATAAGCAGATGAGAACAATCATAAACATCACAATACCTGCATGGTGGACCTGAGCATCTGTGAAGGAGGCAGCCAGGGGAAGTGATGGGGCATCTGAAATCATCTGAAAACAGAAGAGCCTCAAAACGAGTATTAACACACAGAGGGGGTTGGGTGCGGTAGCTCATGCCTGTAATCCCAGCACTTTGGGAGGCCAAGGCAGGCGGATCACGAGGTCAGGAGTTCAAGACCAGCCTGGCCAACGTGGCGAAACCCCGTTGCTACTAAAAATACAAAATTAGCTGGGCATGGTGGCAGGCACCTGTAATCCCAGCTACTCAGGAGGCTGAGGCAGGAGAATCGCTTGAACCCGAGAGGCGGAGGTTGCAGTGAGCCAAGATTGTGCCTCTGCACTCCAACCTGGGTGACAGAGCAAGATTCCATCTCGAAAAACAAAACAAAACAAACAAAAAAACACAGAGGGCCATGCTGACAGCAGCAGCAGAGAGGGGTTGAGGCTTTTCCTACACCAACAGGAGGGGAGTGCAAGTGGTCCACAAGGGAAGACCTGAAGGGGCCAGTGAACTCTTCGCTGTGACAGCTCTTAAAACTGACAGCCAAAATTCCTTTCCATCTCTAAATAAATAGATAAATAATAAGCAACACCAGCCAGGCATGGTGGCTCATGCCCGTAATCCCAACATTTTGGGAGGCTGAGGCGGGTGGATCACTTGAGGTCAGGAGTTCAAGACCAGCCTGGCCAACATGGTGACACCCTGTTTCTACTACAAACACACAAAAAATTAGATGGGCATGTTGGCGCACTAAATCCCAGCTACATGGAAGGCTGAGGCAGGAGGATCATTTGAGCCTTGGAGGTGGAGGTTGCAATGAGCTGAGATCCCACCACTGCACTCTAGCCTGGGTGACAGAGTGAGACTCTGTCTTAAAAAATAAAATTAAATGTAATTCCAGCACTTTAGGAGACAGAGGTGGGCCGATCACGAGGTCTGGAGTTTGAGACCACCCTGGCCAACATGGTGAAACCCCGTCTCTACTAAAAATACAAAAAGGCATGGTGGTATATGCCTTTAGTCCCAGCTACTTGGGAAGCTCAGGCAGAAGAATGGCTTGAACCTGGGAGGCGGAGGTTGCAGTGAGCCGAGATCGTGCCATTGAACTCCAGCCTGGGCGACAAAGCAAGACTCCATCTCAATAAATAAATAAATAAATAAATAAATAAATAAATAAAATTTTTAAAAAAACAACAGAAAAGTATCAAGCATGAAGTCCCTAAGAGTTGCAATTTAAAAGAGAGAGAGAATAAGGAACACAATAACATTCCTCCCGACAATAAAAGCGTATCAGAAAGCCATGCCCACAGGAGATCAGAATTGGAACTTGCTATTTCAGACTGAGCTAAAATTTCATTAACAAAATGATACAAGATATGAAAGAACAAAATCAGTTAGAATCAGAAAATGCGGGAAATGAGGTAATAATTCAGAAAATAATTCAAATAAAAATCATTTCAGAAATGAAAACTAAACTAAAAGGACCACCACAAAGAATAAACACAACAAATGTTTATGAGAAACTGAAGGTAAAAATGAGGAAAATTTCTTTTGTTTGGAGCAAACTCGTTAACTGAAAAATGAGGATAATTTCTTTTTTTTTTTTTTGAGATGGAGTTTTGCTCTTTCGCCCAGGCTGGAGTGCAGTGGCAGATCTCGGCTCACTGCAACCTCTGCTTTCTGGTTTCAAGCGATTCTTCTGCTTCAGCCTCCTGAGTACTGGGATTACAGGCGCCCACCACCACGCCCAGCTTATTTTTGTATTTTTAGTAGAGACGGGGTTTCACCATGTTGGCCAGGCTGGTCTTGAACTCCTGACCTCGTGATCCACCTGCCTCGGCCTCCCAAAGTGCTGGGATTACAGGTGTGAGCCACTGCGCCCGGCCAAAATGAGGATAATTTCTAAAATTGGATGGAAATGAAGAAAGTGACAAAACAAAAAAAAAAGACCTGAGAGAAAGAGACAAACATAGAAGACAGTTCAAGAAGATCAAATACATAAATAGAAGGTTCTAAAGAACCAAGCCAAAGCAAAAGAAAAGAACAAATACTAAAATGTTATAATTATAATAAAACATTTTCTGAAATAAAAAAGATGTGTATCACTAGTGAGAGGTATAAGTGACTTAAAAAGCAACAAAAATCAGGTTGTCATTTACCTTCTGACAGTTGTAAATAGTAAGTAGAAAATAGAGTAACAGGCCGGGTGCGGTGGCTCACTTTGGAGGCTGAGGTGGGCGGATCACTTGAGGTCAGGAGTTCAAGACCAGCCTGGCCAACATGGTGAAACCCCATCTCTAAAAAAAAAAATTCAAAAAAATTAGCCTGGCTTGATGGCGAGCACCTGTAATCCCAGCTACTTGGGAGGCTGAGGCAGGAGAATCGCTTGAACCCAGGAGACAGAGGTTACAGTGAGCCGAGATCATGCCACAGCACTCTAGCCTGGGAAACAGAGCAAGACTCTGTCTTTAAAGAAAAAAGAAAGAAAGAAAAAGAAAGAAAAGAAAATGGAGTAACATATTTTACATACTCAGTGCAAGAAAAGATATGGCAAATATTTTATATCCAGCATAGCAAAATCAAATACTTTTATCAACATATGAGTGTCAGGGACTCTTGCTGGTTAAAAGACTTAAAAGATATGTCAAGTAATAAAAAAGGGAAGGCAAAAGCATTTAGGGATGTGCAAATGGATAATAATATTATAAAGGAACACAAGGAAGTGATCACTATAAAAGTTAGGAGAGGGATGGGCTCAGTGGCTCACGCCTATAATCCCAGCACTTTGGGAGGCCACGGCAAGTGGATCACCTGAGGTTGGGAGTTCGAGACCAGCCTGGCCAACATGGCAAAATCCCGTCTCTAATAGAAATATAAAAATTAGCCAGGTGTGGTGGCAAACGCCTGTAATCCCAGCTACTCAGGAGGTTGAGGCAGGAGAATTGCTTGAACCCGGGAGGCAGAAGTTGCAGTGAGCCATGATTGTGCCACTGCACTCCAGCGTGGGCGACAGAGTGAGACTCTGTCTCAAAAAAATAAAAAATAAAAAAAAGTTAGGAGAGTGGAACTGGTTACTTTTAAGGACAGGGAACACAGAGGAACTTCTAGATTATCTAGCAAAGTTCTATTTCTTGACCTGAGTTCTGGTTACACAGGTGTTTGTCTTGTAACAATTCATTTGGCTATATTTTTATGTTATAGTTTTGTTTTTCTATATCTATGTTTTATTCTTACAATTTAAAAAGTTTAAAAACCCAAGTCTTAGGAATTGTCACCTTTCCCCTCCCTCAAAACATGGAAACATGGAAAGGAAGAGGCATAAAGGTCAGTGCTGAAATTATCTCCTTAAAATACGTATGGGGAGGCCGGGTGTGGTGGCTCACGCCTGTAATCCCAGTACTTTGGGAGGCCGAGGCAGATGGATCACATGAGGTCAGGAGTTTGAGACCAGCCTGACCAATATGGTGAAACCCTGTCTCTACTAAAACTACCAAAATTAGCCAGGTGTGGTGGCGGGTGCCTGTAGTCCCAGCTACTCGGGAGGCTGAGGCAGGAGAATCACTTGTACCAGGGAGGCGGAGCTTGCAGTGAGCCGAGATCGCGCCACTGCACTCCAGCCTGGGTGACAGAGTGAGACTCCATCTCAAAAAAAAAAAAAAGAAGAAGAAGAAAATATGTATAGGGACCTGCAAAAATGACATAGATTTTCAAAAGAATCGAATAAAACTTTCATATGTGAAAAGTACAATAATGAAAATTAAATATTGGCCAAATGCAGTGGCTCACAACTGTAATCCCAGTACTTTGGGTGGGAGGATTGCTTGATCCCTGGAGTTTGAGACCAGCCTAGGCAACATGGCAAGACCCTATCTCTAAATAAAATATAATAAATGAAACTAAAATACAATAAAATAAAATTAGCTGGGCATGGTGGTGCATGCCTGCTACTCAGGAGGCTGGGGCGGAAGGTAGAGGCTGCAGTGAGCTATGATCACACCACTACACTCTGGCCTGGGTGACAGAGTGAGACCTCTTCTCAAAAAAAAAAAAAAAAAAAGATATGTAGGACAGAGTGAGAAGGTCAAACATATTTTTAGTTGGAGTTCCAATTAAACATCAATATTAGAAGAAACAATAGCTGGCTGGGTGTGGTGACTCACTCCTGTAATCCCAGCACTTTGGGAGGCCGAGGCAGGTGGATCACAAGGTCAAGAGTTCAAGACCAGCCTGGCCAACATGGTGAAACCCTGGCTCTACTAAAAATACAAAAATTAATTGGGCACAGTGGTGCGTGCCTGTAATCCCAGCTAGTCGGGAGGCTGTGGCAGGAGAATTGCTTGAACCTCAGAGGCAGAGGATGCAGTGAGCCGAGATTGTGCCACTGCACTCCAGCCTGGGCGACAGAGCGAGACTCCAGCTCAAAAACAAAAAGAAGAAGAAACAATAGCCGAACAATTTCCAAAGATCATGAAAGTCCCTAAACCATTGACTCAAATCCCTTAACCTAGACCCATCATGGACAAACTGCAGAAAAACCAAAGATAATGAGAAAATCTTAGAGCAGCAAAAGTAAAAAGGATAAATTACCTTCAAAGTAGTCATTAGACTGACAGCTGACTTCTCATAGCAGTAATGAAAGTCAAGAATGAAACGATAGCTTCAATGTACTGGAAAAAAAAAAGCCCAATGTAGAATTTCATCAATGGACATAGGGAAAATGATGTCAAATGGAAATATTGTTATGCAAGGAGGAATGGAAAGCAATATAGGAATTATGGGGGCAAATGTGAATGAATATTGATTATAAAAAGCAATATATGTTGACTGGGCACGGTGGCTCACACCTGTAGTAGCACTTTCAGAGGCTGAAGCAGGAGGATTGCTTGAGCCCAGGAGTTCAAGACCAGCCTGGACAACATGGCGAAACCCCATCTCTACAAAATGTACAAAAATTAGCTGGTCATAGTGGCGCATGCCTGAGAAAGAGATAATAAAAATACAAGAGAACAATAATCCACATTGAAAGTAGGTGAATACATGTAGCTAGAGTAGCCTAAGTACTTTCTATTGTCGTGGGAATGAATAAAGGTGTGAACTGCGAAAGCTGTAACATTCAAAATAGGGTCACTTGTGTCAAACCCTGGCAAATTAAGCCAGGGGAAGGCCATAAAGAGAGAGCTCTCACACACAATCTGACTGATAACAGGCAAATATTTCACAAGAAATTTTTCCAGACTGCAGCTTACTTCATGAGTCACACAAGCCCAGCTACCTGCTTATACAAAAACACTTGCCTATTTCAAAATTGGCTCACAGACCCAATCCAAAACTGCAAGGACCTAACCATTACTCTGAGATTACAAATCCTACCTGGCAACTAATGACACACACCAATCAGAACTCTCCAGCTCTTGTAAAACGCTGCCAGCACCAATACATTTTATTTATTTGTTTGTTTGTTTATTTATTTAGAGACAGAGTCTGGCTCTGTCACCCAGGCTGCAGTACAGTGGCGAGACCTCTGCCTCCCAGGCTCAAGCAATCCTCCCACCTCAGCCTCCCAAGTAGCTAAGACTACAGGCGTGCACCACCATGCCCAGCTATTTTTTTGTTTTTTGGGTTTTTATTATTATTATTATTATTTTTTGAGATGGAGTCTTGCTCTGTCACCCAGGCTGGAGTGCAACACACTGCAACCTCCGCCTTCCGGGTTCAAGCGATTCTCCTGCCTCAGCCTCTCAAGTAGCTGGGACTACAGGCACTCGCCACCATGCCTGGCTAATGTTTGTATTTTTAGTAGAGAGGGGCTTTCACCATATTGACCAGGCTGGTCTCAAACTCCTGACCTTGCGATCCACCTGCCTCAGCCTCCTAAAGTGCTGGGATTACAGGCGTGAGTCGCCAAGCCCGGCCCAATTTTTGTATTTTTAGAAGAGACAGGATTCCACCAAGTTGCCCAGGCTGGTCTCAAACTCCTGGGCTCAAAGCATCCACCCGCCTCAACCTTCCAAAGTGCTAGGAGATTATAGGCATGAGGCACTGTGCCCAGCCAAGTAAATTTGATTTAAAAACAACTCACATAACCTCCTCTTTACCCAATAAACTCTAAACTTTTCATTTGTTCTCTAGACATACCAGACACCACGCGTCTATGTATGTCCTGAATTGCAGTTCTACTTCTTGTATATTATTCCCAAATAAAACCTTTTACTTAGCGATTCGTCTCTATGTCTTTTTACGTTGACACAACTTTTTTATTTTAAGTTTTAATTTTTATGGGTACCTAGTAGGTGTACACATTTATGGGGTGCATGAGATATTCTGATACAGGTATGCAACGCATAATAATCACCAGGGTAAATGGAGTATCTGTCACATCAAGCATTTGCTGTTTATGTTATAAACATCCCAATTATACCCTTTTATTTTTAAATGCACAATAAATTATTGTCGACTGTAATCACTGTGTTGTGCTTTTGACATAACTGTTTTAGACTTTGATGGATTTTGTTATGCATGGTATTTTCTAAGGTAATTCTTAAAGCATAGAAATAATATATAGAATTTCCAAGCTAGTAACCATAAACAACGACATGATTATTAAAGCTCCTGAAGAAAACAAGGAGGAAAAATATATATATATATGTATATATAATTGACAAGATAAACAAAAGAACAAAGATAGATTTAAAACCAAATATATTAGTAATCACATCGAATAAAAGTGAATATAATACTTTACTTAAAAGACAAAGGTGGGGCCGGGCGCGGTGGCTCACGCCTGTAATGCAAGCACTTTGGGAGGCCAAGGCGGGTGGATCACAAGGTCAGGAATTCAAGACCAGCCTCGCCAACATGGCGAAACCCCATCTCTACTAAAAATACAAAAATTAGCTGGGCATGGCGGCGCGTGCCTGTAATCCCAGCTACTTGGGAGGCTGAGGCAGGAGAATCGCTTGAACCCAGGAAGCAGATGTTGCAGTGAGCCGAGACTGCGCCACTGCACTCCAACCTGGCAACAGAGCGAGACTCCGTCTCAAAAAAAAAAAAAAAAAAAAGACAAAGGTTGTCAGACTGGAATTTTAAAAGTTCAAGTATAGTCCGGGCGCGGTGGCTCACGCCTGTTATCCCAGCACTTTGGGAGGCCGAGGCAGGCGGATCATGAGGTTAGGAGATCGAGACCATCCTGGCTAACACGGTGAAACCCCATCTCTACTAAAAATACAAAAAAATTAGCCGGGCATGGTGGCGGGCGCCTGTAATCCCAGCTACTCGGGAGGCTGAGGCAGGAGAATGGCATGAACCGAACCCGGGAGGCAGAGTTTGCAGTGAGCCGAGATCGCGCCACTGCACTCCAGCCTGGGCCACAGAGCAAGACTCCGTCTCAAAAAAAAAAAAAAAAAAAAAAAAATTCAGGCATATTGTATTCTCAAAAGCCATCTTTACCTTAAGAATGCAGAAACATTGAAATTAAAGATGGAGGCCAGGCACAGCGGCTCATGCCTGTAATCCCAGCACTTTGGGAGGCCGAGGCAGGCGGATCACTTGAGGTCAGGAGTTTGAGACCAGCCTGGCCAACATGGTGAAACCCCGTCTCTACTAAAAAAAAAAAAAAAAAATACAAACATTAGACGGGCATGGTGGTGTGCGCCTGTAACCTCAGCTACTCAGGAGGCTGAGGCACGAGAATTGCCTGAACGTGGGAGGCGGAGGCTGCAGTGAGCTGAGATTGCACCACTGCGCTCTAGCCTGGGTGACAAAGTGAGACATTGTCTCAAAAAAAGAAAGAAAAAGAAAAAGAAATTAAAGATGGAAAAACTAACAATAAACAAGCAAGTTCATGTAACTATACTACTTAAAATAACAGAAACTTTTTTTTGTTGTTTGAGACGGAGTTTAACTCTTGTCGCCCAGGCTGGAGTGCAATGGCGCAATCTCGGCTCACCACAACCTCCGCCTCCCGGGTTCAAGCGATTCTCCTGCCTCAGCCTCCCAAGTAGCTGGGATTACAGGCATGCACCACCACGACCGGGTAATTTTGTATTTTTAGTAGAGACGGGGTTTCTTCATGTTGGTCAGGCTGATCTGCCCGCCTTGGCCTCCTAAAGTGCTGGGATTATAGGTGTGAGCCACCGCGCCCGGCCCAATAACAGAAACTTTAAGACAAAATGCATTGTGAGACATATCTTGCTTCAAAATCCTATAATGATCTTGTCTGAGGTAGTTACCTTGCAAGGGTGTTACTGTTTTTCTTGCTCCCCTTGTAATATCCAGACCATAAAATGTAATAAAAACCTCAGCATTCTCTCAATGACCAATTATAAAATCAAACCCACATATCAAAAATATTGCCAGATTTTGAAACTTTATCTAAAAATAATATGGAGAATAGATGAAAGAGCACCTTCACCAGAGACACAACAGTGGTTACAAAAAAATGGAAAGTGAGAACATAATGCAGCTATTTGGTGCTCCTTGTGACCATGGGCAACAGATGAAAGGTTGGGGTGGGAGAGGTAAGGGAGAGTAGGTTGGTGTTTGCTGGGCTGATTGATCCTGGCTCTCAAGGGGGAAATAGGTTTGAACCTTCTAAATGTAACATGGATAGAATGCAAAGATTCCCCTGGGTCAACTCCTACCTCTGTCTTTTACAATAGAAAAAGTTAATAGAAAACTATAGTAACTAATAATAATTCGGATCCTATGAAAGAAGATTCGAGTCACTTTAAAAACTTCCAATCACAGCTGGGTGTGGTGGCTGGCTCATGCCTGTGGTCCCAGCTTTTGGGAGGCCAAGGCAAGAAGATCACAAGCCCAGGAGTTCAAGACGAGCCTGGGAAACATAGTGACACACTGGTGCTAAAAAAAATTAACTGGACATTGCAGCACATGCCTGTAGTCCCAGTCACTTGGCAGAGACTGAGGTAGGAAGATGGCTTGAGCCCAGGACATCAAGACTGCAGTGACCCATGATCGTGCCCCTGCACTCCAGCCTGGGCAACAGAGCTACAACCCTGTCTGAAAAACGAAAGAAAGAGAGAGAGAAGAAAGAAAGAAAGAAAGAGAGAGAGAGAGAGAGAGAAAGAATGAAAGAAAGAAAGAAAGAAAGAAAGAGAGAGAGAGAGAAAGAAAGAAAGAAAGAAAGAAAGAAAGAAAGAAAGAAAGAAAGAAAGAAAGAGAGAGAAAGAAAGAAAGAAAAGGGGGGGAGGGACAGAGGGAGGGAAGAAAAGAAAGGCGGGCCAGGCAAGGTGGCTCATGCCTGTAATCCCAGCGCTTTGAAAGGCTGAGGCAGGCAGATCAAGAGGTCAGCAGTTTGAGACCAGCCTGGCCTACATGGTGAAACCCCATCTCTACTAAAAATACAATTAGCCAGGCGTGGTGGCGGGTCCCTGTAATCCCAGCTACTAGGGAGGCTGAGGCAGGAGAATTGCTTGAACCCGGGAGGCAGAGGTTGCATCGAGCCGAGATTGAGCCATCACATTCCAGCCTGGGCAACAGAGCAAGACTCCGTCTCAAAACAACAACAACAAACCCTCCCAATTTGCTAAGTAAAAGGGAATGAGTCACAACTATGATTTATAGAAAAAAAGACTGGAGCATCTATCTGATTAACATACAGTTATATATTATTACTGATTACTTCTTTTTTACTCCCCTTTTTCCTTTATGTAGCTTTTCACATGCTTATATGTATGGGGTACATGAGATGTTTTGATAAAGGCATACAATGTGGAATAATCACGTCAGGGGAAATGGGATATCCATCACCTCAAGTATTTATCACTTATTTGTGTTACAAACATTTCAGTTCTACTCTGTTATTTTTAAATATACAATAAATTATTGTTGACTGTAGTTACCCTGGTGTGCTGTCAAATACTATATCTTATTCATACTATCTAACTATATTTTTGTCCCCACTAACTATCCCTACTATCCCCTTCCCCTGCCCACTATCTTTCCCAGCCTCTGGTGACCATCATTCTACTCTCTATCTCCATGAGTTCAATTTTTAATTTTTAGCTCCCACAAATGAGTGAGAACACGTGAAGTTTGTCATTCTGTGCCTGGCTTATTTCACTTAACATAATGCCCTCTAGTTCCATGCATGTTGTTGCAAATAGCAGTATCTCATTCTTTTTATGGCTGAATAGTACTCCATTGTGTATGTATACCACATTGTCTTTATCCATTCATTGATTGATGGACATTTAGGTTGCTTCCAAATCTTGGCTATTATCAACAGTGCTGCAATAAACATGGGAGTGCAGATATCTCTTCAATATATGAATTTCCTTTCTTTTGGGTATATATCTAGTGGCAGGATTGCTGGATCATATGGTAGCTCTATTTTTTTTTTTTTTTTTTTTTTTTTTGAGACGGAGTCTTGCTCAGTCATCCAGGCTGGAGTGCAGTTGTGCGATCTCCCCTCACTCAAGCTCCGCCTCCCGGGTTCACGCCATTCTCCTGCCTAGCCTCCTGAGTAGCTGGGTCTATAGGCACCTGTCACCATGCCCGGCTAATTTTTTTTTTGTATTTTTAGTAGAGACAGGGTTTCACCATGTTAGCCAGGATGGTCTCGATCTCCTGACCTCGTGATCCACCCGCCTCAGCCTCCCAAAGTGGTAGCTCTGTTTTTATTTTCTTGAGGAAACTCCATACTTTTCTCCATAGTAGCTGTACTACTTTACATTCCCACCAACAGCATATGAGGGTTCTCTTTTCTCCACATCCTCACCAGCACTTGTTATTGCATGTCCTTTGGATAAAAGCCATTTTATTTTTATTTTATTATTATTATTATTTTTGGGACAGAGTTTCACTCTTGTTGCCTGGGCTGGAGTGCAATGGTGCGATTTCGGCTCACTGCAACCTCCACCTCCTGGGTTCAAGCAATTCTACTGCCTCAGCCTCCCGAGTAGCTGGGATTACAGGCACCCGCCACCACACCCGGCTAATTTTGTATTTTTAGTAGAGATTGGGGTTTCTCCATGTTGGTCAGGCTGGTCTCGAACTCCTGACCTCAGGTGATCCACCTGCCTCGGCCTCCCAAAGTGCTGGGATTACAGGCATAAGCCACTGGGCCCAGCTTCCTAAAACCCCTTTTTAACTGGGGTGAGATGATATCTCATTGTAGTTTTGATTTGCATTTCTCTGAGGATCAGTGATGTTGAGCACCTTTTCACATATCTGTTGGCCATTTGTATGTCTTCTTTTGAGAAATGTCTATTCAGATCTTTTGCCCATTTAAAAAATCAGATTAGATTTTCTTCCTGTTGTTTGAGCTCCTTGTATATTATTAATCCCTTGTCAGATGGATAGTTTGCAAATTTTTTTCCCATGCTGTGGGTTGTCCCTTCACTTTGTTGATTGTTTCCTTTGCTGTGCTCCAGAAGCTTTTTAACTTGATGTGATCCCATTTATCCATTTCTGCTTTCATTACCTGGGATGTTGGGGTATTTATTACTCAAGAAATCTTTGTCCAGACCAATATCCTGGTCTTTAATCTTTTTTTTTTTTCTTCCCTGGCTGGAATGCAATGGCGCGATCTTGGCTCACTGCAACTTCCGCCTCCCAGGTTCAAGTGATTCTCCTGCCTCAGCCTCCAAGTTGCTGGGATTACAGGCTCGCACCGCCATGCCTGGCTAATGTTTTTCATATTTTATTTTTTGAGACGGAGTCTTGCTCTGTCGCCAGGCTGGAGTGCAGTGGTGTGATCTCGGCTTACTGCAACCTCCACCTCCTGGGTTCAAGTGATTCTCCTGCCTTAGCCTCCAAAGTAGCTGGGACTACAGGCGCGTGCCACCATGCCCAGCTAATTTTTGTATTTTTAGTAGAGATGGGGTTTCACCATGTTGGCCAGGATGGTCTCGATCTCTTGAACTCGTGATCCACCCGCCTCGACCTCCCAAAGTGCTGGGATTACAGGCGTGAGCCACCGTGCCCCGCCGTTTTGTTTTGTTTTTTTTTTGAGACAGTCTTGCTCTGTTGCCCAAGCTGGAGTGCAGTGGCATGATCTTGGCTCACTGCAGCCTCTGTCTTCCAAGTTCAAGCGATCCTCCCGCCTCAGCTTCCAGAGTTTCTGGGATTACAGGCACATGCCACCACACCCAGCTAATTTTTGTATTTTAGTAGAGACGGGGTTTCTCCATGTTGGCCAGGCTGGTCTCAAACTCCAGACTTCAGCTGATCCACCTGCCTCTGCCTCCCAAAGTGCTGGGATTATAGGCATGAGCCACAATGCCTGGCCTCATTTTGATTTGATTTTTGTATATGGTGAGATGTAGGGGTTTAGTTTCAGTCTGCATGTGGATATTGTTCTCCCAGCACCATCTACTGAAGAGACTATCGTTTCCCCAATGTATGTTCTTGGCACCTTTGTTGAAAATGAGTTCACTGTAGATGTACGGATGTATTTCCAGGTTCTCTATTCTGTTCCATCGGTTGATGTGTCTGTTTTTATGCCAGTACCATGCAGTTTTGGTTACTATAGCTCAGCAGTATAATTTGAAGTCAGGTAATGTGATTTCTCCAGTTTTGTTCTTTTTGCTTAGGATGGCTTTGGATATTCTGGGTCTTTTGTGGCTATTTTAGGGCTATTTTTTCTATTTCTGTGAATAATGTCATTGGTATTTTTATAGGGATTGCATTGAACCTGTGGTTTATTTCTGTAGTTTACACTTAAAAGTAAGATGACAGAATGTCTACACAGAATCCTCACAGATATAAAGTATAGATATTGCCCATCACATTTTCAGTTGAATGAAAATGGGATGGAAATAGGAATAGAAAATCTATTTTCTATAAAGTAGGAATAGAAAATCATAGCCTGTACTAGAGACCATGGAGAAATTAAGGGTCCAATGAAGGGAGGTAATATACACAGTTTTAACACATTTCACCAAGGCAATAAGTCATTTCTCTTATAACACACAAACAAGAGTAGGGCTAAAAATAGGAAGAAGAAAACAAAATCTCAAAAACTGGCTGTTCTGTAAAAAATGAGTAAAATATGGTTAAAAAAAAAAAGTGCTGCCCAATACCCACTCTCACCAGGTCTGTGGTCTGCATATGCAATAAGAAAATAAGATGGCCCAGGCGCAGTGGCTCATGCCTATAATCCCAGCACTTTGGGAGGCCAAGGCGGGCGGATCACAAGTTCAAGAGATCGAGACCATCCTGGCCAACATGGTGAAACCCTGTCTCTACTAAAAATACAAAAATTAGCTGGGCGTGGTGGTGTGCACCTGTAGTCCCAGCTACTCAGGAGGCTGAGGCAGGAGAATCACTTGAACCCAGGAGGCAGAGGTTGCAGTGAGCCAAGATCGCGCCACGGCACTCCGGCCTGGCGACAGAGGGAGACTCCGTCTCAAATAAAATAAAATAAAATAGATATAAAAAATATTGTGAGATAGGTATGTCACCTTTATCTGCAGATTATATAACTATAGAGCCCAAAAGAATCTATCACCTTATAAGCAGAACTCTAATAAATTTTCAGGTATTACTAGCATATTTTAAGTATTGTGAGACATCACAGTAGATGGTGTTATTATTAGATATTAGAGAGTCAAGAGGATGAAGAGTTATAAAAGAAACCTCAAGATGTGTTAATGAATTCCATTCAGTGTCAATTGTTTATTCATGTAGGATACTCTGCATTTAAACTGAATGAAATTCAAAATATAATCCTAATGGGGTTTTCATTGGAAAATAAATGAGTCAAAAATTCTCATGAAGAAACATCTTTATTTCCAAATAATAAACTATATATTAATAATATATACATACATCTTTATTTCCAAGTAATAAAAGCTATTGAAAAGTGTCAAGGATTGCTAGAATATGGAGAACAGAAATAGATGTGAGCATTTAATATACAACTGATAGTATTTTAATTCAGTAGGAGAAAGGTGAATAATAGTTACTTCTGGCATAACTGGTTTTATTCCTGGATAGAAACAAGTCTGACATCCTGCATTAGATCGTATAATCAATTCCTGATGTATTAAAATATTAAATCTCTGTGTATACACACTCACAGAATCACATATATGAAAAACTGCACTCCACTCCTTTATTCTCTTGCCCTCTGAAATCTTCCAGAAGCAAAACCTTCCTAGGAAACATAGAAAACACTGGAAATGACGCCGGGTGCGGTGGCTCATGCCTATAATGCCAGCACTTTGGGAGGCCGAGGAGGGTGGATCACCTGAGGTCAGGAGTTCGAGACCAGCCTGACCAACATGGAAAAATGCCGTCTCTACTAAAAATACAAAATTTTCCAGGCGTAGTGGCATATACCTGTAACCCCAGCTACTTGGGAGGCTGAGGCAGGAGAATCTCTTGAACCCGGGAGGCGGAGATTGCAGTAAGCCAAGATTGCGCCATTGCACTCCAGCCTGGGAAACAAGAGTGAAACTCTGTCTCAAAACAAAACAAAGCAAAAACACTGGAAATGACTTGGGAAGCTTATTTTATAGAAATAAAACAGACAAGAATACAAAGTGTTTGTTGCAGCATTACTTTTAGATGGCAAAAAAGCGCAAACAATCCATAATATCACAATTGGGAAAGTGGTTGAAAAGGCATTGGTAAATAACACTGTGGAACATACTGTAACCATCAGAAAGACTGTTAGATCATCATCTATTGAAGGAAAATCCAAAATGTACAGTTGAATGTAAAAAAGCAAATTTCAGGGAAATGTATAGTTATCCATTTTTCTGTAAAAACATAATAAAATAATTGTGTGTTAATGTTTTAGCATGAAGAAATATATGGGTAATATACACAACCTTTAAATATTATTCAGAAGAAAATTGACAGAGGGGAGGGAATGAGGAACGGAGAAGGGCAAAGATAATCATTTTTTCTTTCTTTTTTTTTTTTTTTTTTGAGACAGATTTTTTGAGACTCTGTCATGCAGGCTGGAGTGCAGTCAGGATCTCAGCTCACTGCAACCTCCGCCTCCCGGGTTCAAGCGATTCTCCTGCCTCAGCCTTCCGAGCAGCTGGGACTACAGGCACATGCCACCACGCCCAGCTAATTTTTGTATTTTTAGTAGAGATGGGGTTTCACTATATTGGCCAGGCTGCCCCCTGCCTTGGCCTCCCAAAGCACTGGGATTACAGGCGTAAGCCACTGTGCCCAGCCCCTTTTCTTTCTCTTTAATGGTATTGTTTCATTAATTTGGGTGCAAATGCACTATCTCTATAATTTTAGATGAAGAACTTTATAAAAGACATAAGCACACAAGAAAAGAAAGTAAACAAAATCTCATTTGGCAGTTTTCATTTTGATAACGCAAAACATTACAACAGTCCATTTTTAGTAATTCTCTCATTTGCAGGTATTTTTGCTCACTCTACTTTTCTCAAATTTATTATGAAATATTTTACTTCCTTATGCCAGTAAAGTAAAGTAACACAATGTTCAGAGAGACCCGTCTACACAGGATCTAAGAAAAAAGGAAGTGGGGCATAAAATAACAGTTCTACAGACATAAACTTCATCCTTCCACATATGCGATCTGTCCAGCGTGGGGAGCTGCTTGCTGAGCATGTTTTGAGCACAGGGAAGGCCCATTTCAAAACACTAACTTAACCCCAAACAAAGCTACACTGTGGACTTTTTTTTTTTTTTTTTAATAGTCTCATTCTGTCGCTCAGGCTGAAGTGCCATGGCGTGATCTTGGCTCACTGCAACCTCCACCTCCTGCATTCAAGTGATTCTCCTGCCTCAGCCTCCCCAGTAGCTGGGATTACAGGCATGTGCCACCATGCCTGGCTAAGTTTTGTATTTTTGAGTAAAAATGGGGTTTCAACATGTTGGCCAGGCTGGTCTCAAGCTCCTGGCCTCAAATGATCCTTCCATCTCAGCCTCCCAAAGTGCTGGGATTACAGGCGTGAGCCAAGATGTGTACTTCTATATAACTGAAATAGTTCCTTGAACATTTGATAAAGTTTTCCTTAGAAAGAAACTGGATTTGGTGCTTCATTAGTAATAGTTAACTGATCACATGCTAATTTTTCCCTGTTCTCTGTGTTTATGAGAGTCTTTGAAGAGTCCTAATTTTCTTGGAGTCAATATTGATGTATATTTTCCTTAAAAACCATTTTGTTTAAATTTTCAAACATATTAGAAAAAAGCATAATATTCAACAGAACCTTTTAAATCTGTAACTATGTTTCTATCTCTGTCCATTTTTTAAATATGATGCTGTTTCTCTTTTCATACTTTTTTTCCTCATTAGTGCACCAATATTTTGCTTATGTTCTCTTTTCTTTTTTACTGGGTATATAATGCGACAAAAAGAGTATTAGTCGGAATAAAGTCCTTCACACACATTATTCACAGTACTTTCCCCCCCAACACCTAGGATTATTTCATGTTCAATAGTAAGTACATGATGATGGGAAATTTTCTTAACTTGTTACCTTCAAAGGGTCTTTCTTCAGTCAAACACCCTGCCTAATGGTGACTAAGTTCTGCAGAAGTTAAAAAGCCTTTCTACAAATAATAATACTGATGATGATGAATATAATAACGATGACTAACATTCAGTGAGTATGTATTTATCATGTCAGGCACAATTCTAAGCACTTTATCGATCTTAATTCATTTAATCCTCACAAAGCATTATGAGGTAGGTATTATAATTATCCCCCATTTTATAATTTTTACTGAGACACGCATGTATATATGAACAGAAAAATGATCAGCAATAAATAATGAACTGATAAAGACTATCCTTTGGGATATGGTCAAAGGGTACATTTGCCTTTTTGTAATGTTTGCATCTTTTATAAGGAAAATATATTCACACATTACTTCTGCAATTAAAAGATATGATACAAAGATGTGCTTAGGGAGAATGTCCAGCAGGGACTTGTATTTTGGCATGTATTATGGCAAAATATCTAGAGGAGACTACGATATCCACCAATAGGATTTCATAAGTGATATTACAGTAACACAACAAAACACCATGAAGATAATGAAGAATCTCTATTGAGTAAAATGTCGTTCATGAACATTTTTACAATAAGAAAGCCTTAATGTTATAAAGAACAAAAAGAATAAGCCATCTTCAAAAATAAAGAGGTCACTTCTCCCAGGTACTAAAGGTATTTTTAAAATAGTATACAAATCAGGATGTAAACAGATGAAATTTATAGCCATATAAATTTAATATGGATTAAAATACTAAGAATGTAACAATTAGAGAAATTAGGGGAAAAAATGACAATCACAGGACTACATTTCTACAAAAATTCTCTGACGTTAAGAAGGTTAGAAAGGTGTTAAAAGTGCTGTCATTTTCAGTATGACAGACTGAATTATCTATCATATTGCTAGACTGAATTATCTGATGTCAAGAGAAGTAAGCGTTTAGTTAAGGGCTTCCAAAGTATATTCTATTCATAGAGTATTTCTCCAACATTATTTTTCCCAGGCTGAATAAGCTGTAGTCCACAAATAAAATGTTTCTACATTATTCTATCTAGAGGAATTATTAACAAGATAAATTCTGTTTTGAGCCATAATTAAAAGCCTCCCTACACATTTCATATATTCTGTTTCATCACCAGTACAAATTTTGATGCTGAATAAGTTGTGGGTCATAATTAAAGTTCTTTCCACATTCCCTATATTCATAGGGTTTCTCACTAGTATGAATTCTATGATGACTAATAAGCTGTGAACTCTGAGAATAAGCCTTCCCACATATCTTACATTCATAGGGTTTCTCCCCAGTATGAATTCTCTGATGTCTAGTAAGGTCTGAGCCAGAACGAAAAGCCTTTTCACATTCCTTACATTCGTAAGGTTTCTCACCTGTATGGATTCTTTGATGTTTAATAAGTTGTGAGCTCTGACTAAAGGCATTGCCACATTCCTTACATTCATAGGGTTTTTCCCCAGTATGAATTCTCTGATGTTGAGTAAAGTTTGAGCCACTACTAAAGGCCTTCCCGCATTCTTTGCATTCATAAGGCTTCTCACCTGTGTGAATTCTCTGATGTCGAGTGAAGTTTGAACCACTACTAAAGGCTTTCCCACATTCCTTACATTCATAGGGTTTCTCACCAGTGTGAATTCTGTGATGTCGAGTAAGGTCTGAGCCACAAATAAAGGTTTTTCCACATTCCTTACATTCAAAGGGTTTCTTGCCAGTATGAATTTTCTGATGATGAGTGAGTCTTGAGGGATGTCTAAAGGACTTTCCACATTCCTTACATTCATAAGGCTTCTCAATGGTATGAATTATCTCATGTGTAGCAAACTGTGAGCCATGTCTAAAGGTTTTCCTATATTCTTTAGATGCACAGAATTTCTTTTTACTGTTAATGATTTGCTGTAATGTGAAGGATGGATGGTGACTCAAAGTGGGCAGATCTTCATGAGTGAATACCAATTGATTGAAATGTCCCCCCTGAGAGCCGAGTTCTTTCTTAAACTGCCGATTACATTCCCAATCATCTCTGAAACTGGAGCACTGAAAATCACGTCTTGTGAGTTTTTCCATTATTTCCCACTGGGTTGATTCTATTTCATAAATTTCTTTCTTCAGAAATAATTTCTTGGTCTCACATCTTGATTCCAGGACTGAAAGAAAATATGAAAGTAATCACTCACATTTTTCTTGTTTGGGAGAAACAAAACTTCAATCAATATGGGAGAATTTAACCGAATTTTTTTTACAAATGGATGAGGAAAAAAGAGAGTTAGAAGACAGGTTACATAATAAGATGAGGGTAGTGATTAGGAAAACAAAGTAAGTCACTGGTTCCCAAACATTGCTATAGATCAGAATTACTTTGGGAAGCCTGCTAAATATACACATGCTTTAGTCCTATCTCCCTTGTTAAAGGATGACTCTAATCATACACACACAAAATATCTCATTGCATATATACACACAGACATATAATAGCATCTCATAGTATGAATTATAAAATAAGGGAAATGGCCAGGCATGGTGGCTCACATCTGTAATCCCAGCACCTTGGGCGGGTGAGGCAGGCAGATCACTTGGTCAGGAGTTTGAGATCAGCCTGGCTAACATGGTGAAACCTGTCTCTACTAAAAATATAAAAATCTAGTGGGGCATGGTGGTGTGTGCCTGTAATCCCAGCTACTGGGGAGGCCGAGGCACGAGAATTGCTTGAACCCGGGAGGCAGAGGTTGCAGTGAGCCGAGATTGCCACTGCACTCCAGCCTGGGCAACAGAGTGAGTCACTGTCTCAATAGATAGATAAATAAATAAATAAATAAATAAAGGAATGATCACACTGTTAACAGGGCTATTGTCGGATGAAATGAATATGCCTAATGGAAAATTCCCAGAGATCAGTAAACTATGGCCTATGGCCCTGCACCCATTTTTATAAATGAAGTTTTATTAGCCATACTTGTTACGTATTGTCTATGGATGCTTTTGCGCTAAAAGGGCAGAAGTGAGTAGTTATGATAGAGAATGTGTGAACTGCAAACCTAAAATACTTACTATTTGCCTTTCAAGAAAAAGTTTGCCAGCCCCTGGTTAGATATGCATCGTCTAATACAGTAGCCGCTAGCTACATGTGGCTTTTAAAATTTCAAATAATTTAAGTAAAATGTGCATTTCATTTTGAAATAAACAGCTGAATTTGAAAATTCAGTTTCTCAGTCACATTATTCACATTTCCAATGTTCAACAGCCAAATGTGGCTGGTAGCTTTTGTACTGGAAGTCTGTACGAAATATCACAAATATAAAACATTTCCATCACCACTGAATGTTCTCTTGGATAGCCCTGGTCTGGATTCTGTAACAGGAGGGCCAGAGCACTTTAAAAAATGATAAGGAACTAGAGGGTGACAATCCAGAAAAAAGCCTAGCTTAAGAAAAGTCAAGTGTGGAATGAACATAGTATGAGTGGTAGATAGGACTCATTTGTGGACAGATATGGTATATGTTTGGGGTTTGATGAAAATAGTGTTTGTCGTGTAATTCTGAGATGCTGACCTTTGTTAAAGAGAAGAGGGGACTTAACAAGTACATGATCACTATAGTAGTAATGACTGACTGGCAGAAAAGACATTTGTAGGTTCAAGAGAAGGGGAGAGAGTAAAATGGAAGGCAGTGTATGGTACTGACAGATCAGAGATACTAGATTCAGTTACATGCGTTTTATACTCAAACTTGAATAATTATAAGCTTTGTTTTCTTGGGCAAATTAGTTCAACCTTCCAAACCTGCAGTTCTCTGTCTAATACAATAGGAATGATAGCCCTTACAACTGTTGTGAGGATTGGGATTAATGTTTGTAAATACTATGGAAGAATTTCTGCCAGGCACAGTGGCTCACGCCTGTAATCCCAGCACTCTGCGGGGCCGAGGCGGGCCGATCACGAGGTCAGGAGTTTGAGACCAGCCTGACCAACATGGTGAAACCCTATCTCTACTAAAAATACAAAAATTAGCCGGGTGTGGTAGCACATGCACTGTAATCCCAGCTACTCAGGAGGCTGAGGCAGAAGAATTGCTTGAACCCAGGAGGTGGAGATTGCAGTGAGCCAAGATCACACCACTGCACTCCAGCCTAGGGAACAGAGCGAGACTCCATCTCAAAAAAAACAAACAAACAACAAAAAAAAGAATTTCCATACAAAAATGGGGACATTAGGCCCGACCCCTTGACTCGTTAAAAAAAAAAAAGGGAGAATAGTTAGAAGACTTGAAAGTCACTGACTCTTAGACAAGGAAATGGAGGGGTAAGGAAGGTACAGCTTTGTAAACTATTATAATATACATGTAATACAAATAAATTTTTACAAGAAATAATTTGGTCTGGTTACAGAGGGACAGGATCTCATCTAGTATTCTTATCAGTTACCCATAGAGAAAGAAATGACTACGGAATGAGATATGATGAAAAGAAAAAATGAGTATAGCAAGGTGGTTGAGAAAACTGAAGGCTTTAGGGTTGTAAAAGAGGTCTGAATTCCAGACTTTTTAACTAGCTGAGAGGCATAACCAAATTATGAAACCTCAATGAATATTGTTTTTATCATCTGTAAATCTGTCAAGTGTATGACACTAGTAGGTACTCAATATTTTAGTGGAATAGTGTTATGAATTAAGTAGGGAAGATAGTTTGAAATCATACTAGATCATATGGTAAAAACGTACATCATGCAATCTTTCTCTGATAGCTATAAGGCATTTAATCTGATCACTGAATCCTAAACAAACAAAAGACGTGAGAGGAAATCAACACTAGATTTAACTTGTAAGAAACATCAAAAAGAGTTCTTCAAGTAGAAAGAAAAGGACACTAACAATATAAAAATATAAAACTCACTGTAAAGGCAGGAATATAGTTATATTGAGAACACTCTGATAATGTAATAATAGTGTATAAATCACTTTTAACTCTAGTATAAAAGTTAGAAGACAAGGCTGGGCACGGTGGCTCACACCTGTAATCCTAGCACTTTGGGAGGCCAAAGCGGGCAGATCACTAGGTCAGGAGTTCGAGACCAGCCTGCCCAATATGGTGAAACCCTGTCTCTACTAAAAATATAAAAATTAGCTGGGTATGGTGGCGTGTGCCTGTAATCCCAGCTACTCAGCAGGGTGAGGCAGGAGAACTGCTTGAACCCGGGAGGTGGAGGTTGCAGTGAGCTGAAATCTTGCCACTGTACTCCAGCCTGGGCAACAGAGCAAGACTCTGTCTCAAAAAAAAAACAAAAAAACAAAAAAACAAACAAAAAAAAAGTTAAAAGACAAAGGTACTAAAAATAAATAAACTGGCGGGGCGCTGGTGGCTCACATGTGTAATCTCAGGACTTTGGGAGGCCGAGGTGTGCAGATCACGAGGTCAAGAGATTGAGACCATCCTGGCCAACATTGTGAAACCCTGTCTCTACTAAAAATACAAAAGTTAGCTGGCTGTGGTGGTGTACGCCTGTACTCCCGGCTACTCAGGAGGCTGAGGCAGGAGAATCACTTGAACCCAGGAGGCAGAGGTTGCAGTGAGCCGAGATCGCGCCACTGCACTCCAGCCTGGGTGACAGTGTGAGACTCTATCTCAAATAAATAAATAAATAAATAAATAAATAAATAAATTAATTAATTAAAATAAAATAAAAATAAAAATAAATAAACCTACAATCATTTGCTAATAGATACACAATATATAAAAGATGTACATTGTAACATCAATAATGTAATGTGGGTGGAGAAGTTAAAGTGTAGACTTTTTGTATGTGGTCAAAGTTAAGCTATTATTATTATTATTACTATTATTATTATATTTTTGAGAAACAGGGTCTTGCTCTGTAGCCCAGGCCACAGTCCTCACTGTAGCCTCAACCTCCTGGGCTCAAGGGATCCTCCTACCTCAACCTCCTGAGTAGCTGAAACTAGACATGTGCCACCACACCTGGTTAATCTTTTTTTGAGACAGATTCTTGCTCTGTCTCCCAGGCTGGAGTGCGGTGGCACAATCTCGGTTTGCTGCAACCTCTGCCTCCCAGGTTCAAGTGATTCTCCTGCCTCAGCCTCCCAAGTAGCTGGGATTACAGGCACCTGCCACCACACCTGGCTAATTTTTTGTATTTTTAGTAGAGACAAAGTTTCATCATGTTGGCCAGACTGGTTTCCAACTCCTGACCTCAAGTGATCCTTAAACATTTCGGTAGAGACAGGGTCTCACTATGTTGCTCAGGCTGGTCTCAAACTCCTGGGCTCAAGCTATCCTCCCACCTCAGCCTCCCAAAGTGCTGGGAATACAGGTGTGAGCCACCATACCCAGCCTAAAGTTAAGTTATTATTAACTTACAATAGACTGTTATAACTATGAGATGTTTTAAATATGTAAGCCTTATGGTAACCACAGAGAAAAACTCTCTAGTAGATACACTGAAGACAAAGAGAAAGACATCAAATCATACCACCATAAAAAAATCAAATCAAAAAGAAAGAGTGAGATAGGAACAAAGACACTATAAAACAGTCAGGATTAGCTCGGCAGAGGGGTGCATGACTATAGCCCCAGTAACTTGAGAGGCTGAGGCAGGAAGATTGCCTGAGCCCAGGAGTTCAAAACTGCAGTGAGTTATGGTCATGCCACTATACTCTAGCCTGGGCAATAGAGGGAGACCTCATCTTTAAAACAACAACAACAACACAAAAGAAGAATCATAAGAGACTACTATGAATAATTATATGCCAACAAATTGGATAAACTAGGAAAAAAATGGATAAATTCCTAGAAACAAAACTACCAAACCTGAATCATGAAGAAAGAGAAAATCTGAACAGACCAATTATGAGTAGGATAGTTCCATCAGTAATCAAAAACCTCCCAACAAATAAAAGACAAAGACTTGATGGCTTCACTAGTAAATTCTATCAAACACTTAAAGAAGAATTAACTCCAGTTCTCCTCAAACTCTTCCAAAATGTTGAAGACGGAACACTTCCAAACTCATTTTATGAGGATAGTATTACCCTGATACCAAAACCAGACAAAAAATCTACAAGAAAATTACAGGCCAATATCCCTGATGAACACAGATACAAAAATCCTCAACAAAATACTAGCAAATGGAATTCAACAGCACATTAAAAGGATCATGCAACATGATCAAGTGAGATTTATTCCTAGGATGCAGGGATGTTTCAATATAAGCAAAGCAATCAATGTGATACACCACATCCTAAAACCATATGATCATTTCAGTAGATATAGGAAAGTCATCTTACAAAATTCAACATACTTTCATAATCAAAACTCTCTCAACAAATTAGGTGTACAAGGAATTTACTTCAAAATAATAAAGGCCATATATGACAAACCTATAGCTAACATTATCCTCAACATTGGAAAGATAAAGGTTTTTCCCCTAAGATCAGAAACAAGACAAGGATGTCCACTCTTGACACTCTGCTCAACATAGTACCAAAAGTCCTTTTCATTCCTTTTAGGCAATAAAAAGGAATAAAAGGCATCCAAATTCAAAAAAACCCTAGGGGATCTACCATAAAACTGTTAGAAGTAATAAATGTTATTTATTTGCAACTCAGTGTGCTCCCACCTGTAATTCCCGCACTTTGGGAGGCCGAGGCGGGCAGATTACTTGAGGTCAGGAGTTTGAGACCAGCCGGGCCAACATGGCAACATCCCGTCTCTACTAAAAATACAAAAATTAGCCGGGCAATGGTGGGCACCTGTAATCCCAGTTACTCAGGAGGCTGAGGCACGAGAATCGCTTGAACCCAGGAGATGGAGGTTGCAGCGAGCCAAGATCATGCCACTGCACTCCAGCCTGGGTGACAGAGCGAGACTCTGTCTCAAAAAAAAAGAAGTAATAAGGCCTCATGCAGTGGCTTATGCCTGTAATCCCAGCACTTTGGGAGGCCAAGGTGGGCGGATCATGATGTCAGGAGATCGAGACCATCCTGGCTAACACGGTGAAACCTCTCTCTACTAAAAATACAAAAAATTAGCCAGGCATGGTGGTGGGCGCCTATAGTCCCAACTACTAGGGAGACTGAGGCAGGAGAATGGCGTGAACCCGGGAGGCCGAGCTTGCAGTGAGCCGAGATTGCACCACTGCACTCCAGACTGGGTGACAGAGCGAGACTCCATCTCAAAAAAGAAAAAAAAAAGTAATAAATGTATGTGTATTCAGTAAGATACAAAAATCGGTTGTTTCTATACACTAGCAACAGATTATCAGAAAAAGAAATCAAGAAGACAATCCCATGTATAATAACATCAAAAAGAATAAAATACTTAGGAAAAAATTTAACAAAGGAAATCTGTATATGGAAAACTATAAAACACTGATGAAAAAAATGAAGACACGCCAGGCATGGTGGCTCACGCCTGTAATCATAGCACTTTGGAAGGCCGAGGCAGGTGGATTGCCTGAGCTCAGGAGTTCAAGACCAGCCTGGGTAACACAGTGAAGCCCCATCTCTACTAAAATACAAAAAAAAAAAAAAAAAAAAAAATTAGCCGGGCGTGGCAGCATGCACCTGTAGTCCCAGATACTCGGGAGGCTGAGGCAGAAGAATTGCTTGAACCCGGGAGGCGTAGATTGCAGTGAGCTGAGATCACACCACTGCACTCCAGCATGAGCAACAGAGTGAGACTCCATCTAAAAAAAAAAAATTGCATTAAATAAAAAAGGGGGGTGGGGAGCTAGGGGAGGGATAGGATTAGAAGAAATACCTAATGTAGATGATGGGGTGATGGGTGCAGCAAACCACCATGGCATGTGTATACCTATGTAACAAGCCTGCACAATCTGCACATGTATCCCAGAACTTAAAGTATAATAAAAAATAAATGAAGACAAAAATAAATGAAAAGATATTCTGCATTCATAAATGGGAAGAATTAATATTGTTAAAATGTCCATACTACCCAAAGCAATCTACACATTCAGTGGAATCCCTAACAAAATTCCAAAGGTATTTTCACACAAATAGCAAAAACAATCCTAAAATTCATATGGAACCATAAAAGACCCTGAAGAGTCAAGGTAATCTTGAACAAGAAGAACAAAGCTGGAGGCATCACTACATCCGATAGATTTCAAAATAGATTACAAAGCTGCAGTAATCAAAACAGCACGGCACTGGCATAAAAATAGACACATCAACCAATGGAACAGAATACAGAACCAAGAACCCATACAGAACCCATGCATTTATGGTCATTGGATTTTCAATAAAGATGCCAAGAACACACAATGGGGAAAAGACAGTTCAATAAATGGTGATGAGAAACTGGATAGCCACATGCAAAAGAATGAAATTGAATTCCTATTGCATACATATACGAAAGTCAACTCAAAATGGATTAAAGACTTAAACATGAGACACAAAACTAAAAACACAGAAAAGAAAAGCAAAAAATAGAAAAATATGATTACATCAAACTCAAAAGCTTCTGCACAGCAAAGGAAACAACAGAGTGAAGAGACTATCCACAGAGTGGGATAAAATATTTTCAAACCTTGTATCTGGTAAGATGCTAATATCCAAAATGTATAAGGAACTCAACTCAGTAACAAGAAAACAAATAACCCAATTAAAAAATGGGCATTTCTCAAAAGAAGACATAGAAACAGCCAATAGGTATATGAAAAAACACTCAACATTACTAATCATCAGGAAAATGGAAATTGAAACCACAATGAAATATCACCTCATTGCTGGTTACTGTGGCTCAGGCCTGTAATCCCAGCACTTTGGGAGGCCGAGGTGGGTGGATCACTTGAGGTCAGGAGTTCGACACCAGCCTGACCAACATGATGAAATCCCATCTCTACTAAAATACAAAAATTATGTGGGCTTAGTGGAGGGCACTTGTAATCTCAGCTACTTGGGAGGCTGAAGTGGGAGAATCGCTTGAACCCCGGAGGCGGAGGTTGCAGTGAGCTGAGATTGCACCACTGCACTCCAGCCTGGGCAACAAGAGTGAGACTCCGTCTCAAAAAAATAAACAAACAAACAAAAATCCCCTCACACCTGTCAGAACTGCTATTATCAAAAGGACAAAAAATAACAAGTGTTGGAAAGGATGTGGCAAAAAGGGAATCCTTGGACACTGTTGGTGGCATAAATTGAAACAGCCATTATGGAAAACAGCATGGAGGTTTCTCAAAACTACCCTATAACTCAGCAAGCTTACTTCTGGGTATATATCCAAATGAAATCAAATCAGTATGGGGGAAAAAAAATCTGCATTCTTATGTTCATTGCAGCATCATTCATGATAGCCAAGATATGGAATCAATGGATAAATTGATAAAGAAAATGTGATGTGTGGGCATATATATGTATACACACACACATACACATATACACACACATAATGGAATGTGTGTGTATATATACAAATACACAAACACTGGAATATTAAGACTTAAAAATGAAGAAAATCCTGTTATTTTCAACAACATAGATGAAGCTGGAGGACATATGTGAAATAAGCCAGGCACAGAAAGACAGATACTGCAGTGATCTCACTTATATATGAACTCTAAAACGTTGAACTCATAGAAGAAGAGAGTAGAATGGAGGTCACCAGGGGTTGGGGGACGGAGGAAAGAAGATATTGGTCAAAGGGTACAAAGTTCTAGTTACTCAGAATAAAAAATTTCTGGAGATCTAATATACAGCATTATATATTAATAGTATGTACTGCCATGTAAGTACATACCATTAATGGTAATACCAGTACAGAACGTATACCATAGTAACTATAGTTTATAATACTGTATTGTATACTTGGAATTTATTATGGGAGTAGATCTTAATGTTCTTACCACATACACACATATACAAATTGGTAACTATGTGATGTGATAGATACATTAATTGGCTTGATTATGGTAATCATTTCACAATGTATACACATATATCAAAATACCTAACTGTATACTGTAAATACATATAATTTTTCTTTTTGAGACAAAGTTTTCACTCTTGTCGCCCAGGCTGGAGTGCAATGGCGCGATCTTGGCTCACTGCAACCTCTGCCTCTTAGGTTTAAGTGCTTCTCTTGCCTCAGCCTCCCAGGTAGCTGGGATTACAGGCATGCACCACCACGCCTGGCCAATATATATAATTTTTATTTGCCAAATATACCTCAATAAAGCTAGGGAAAAAGCTGGAATGAATTGTTTAAAAAACTTTCAGAGAAGGATGAAAGTGATGACAGAAAATAATAAGTCATAGGGAAGAAAAATTGATGTAAGAAATAAAATGAATGTCAAATATGAATTCTGGAAGGAAAATATGGCAATGATATAGAACCCTAATAAAACAAATTTCCAGGGTTGATGAAAACTCTTAGTATTCAGATGGTTCCCTTTTTGCTGAGCAATATATATGAGGAAAGAGGTTTTTGTTTTGTTTTGTGTTTGCCTCAGCCTCCCAAGTAACTGGGATTACAGGCATGAGACACCATGCCTGGCTAATTTTTGTATTTTTAGTAGAGATGGGGTTTCATCACCTTGGCCAGGCTGGTCTTGAACTCCTGACCGTGTGATCCACCCACCTGGGCCTCCCAAAGTGCTGGGATTACAGGCGTGAGCCACCGCTCCCAGCCTATTACTTTTTTTTTTTGAGACAGTTTTGCTCTTGTTGCCCAGACTGGAGTGCAATGGCTTGATCTCGGCTCACCACAACCTCTGCCTTCCAGGTTCAAGCGATTCTCCTGCCTCAGCCTCCTGAGTAGCTGGGATTACAGGCATGCGCCACCACGCCCGGCTAATTTTTTGTATTTTTAGTAAAGACGGGGTTTCACCATGTTGGCCAGGCTGGTCTCGAACCCCAACCTCAGGTGATCCACCCGCCTCGGCCTCCCAAAGTGCTGGGATTACAGTCGTGAGCCACCGCGCCTGGCCACCTATTACTTTTTTTTTTTTTTTTTGAGACAGAACCTTGCTCTGTTGCCCAGGTGAGAGTACAGTGGCGTGATCTCAGCTCACTGCAACTTCCACCTCCTGGGTTCAAGAGATCCTCCTGCCTCTCAGCCTCCCAAGTAGCTGAGATCATACGCAGCTATTTTTTTTGTATTTTTAGTAAAGACGAGGTTTCAACACGTTGGCCAGGCTGATCTCGAACTCCTGACCTCAAGTGATCTGCCCACCTTGACCTCCCAAAGTGCTGGGATTACAGGCATAAGCCACTGTGCCTGGCTTTCATAGGATTTAAAGAAAGACCTAGGGTCTCATAGAATAATATTCAGAATGCCTTAGGATACCATCCAAAATCACTCAACATATGAAGAATGAAGAAAATTTTAACTTACATGGCAAAAGACAACAGACACCAAAATAAAGGTGACTCATGTTGGAATTATCAGATAATGACTTTAAAGCAGCTATTTTAAAAATGCTTGAATAAGGAATCATGCACACTCTGCAAACCAATATAAAAATAGAAAGTTTCAGCAAAAGAATAGAATATATAAAGAAGAATAAACAAGTTTTAGAACTGAAAAGTGCAGTAGCCGAAATAAAAACCACTGGCTAGGCTCAACAGCAGAATGGAGGTAATAAAGTCAATAAACTTGAAGATAGTTCAAAAGAAATTAGCTAATATGAATAGCAGCGAAAAAAAGATGGAAAATGCAAAAAGAACATAGCCTCTGGGAATGTAGAACAAGAAAAGATTTAACATTTGTGTCATCAGGGTTTCAGAAGGAGAAGAGATAGTATAGGACTCAAAAAAGATTTGAAGAAATAATGGCTGAAAACTTACAAATTTTGTGAAAGATAAAACAAGCAAAGCCATTTTGAGAAGCTCAGCCACCCCAAATAGGATAAACCCAAAGAAATCCATACTCAGACACATCATAATCAAACTGCTGAAAATCAAAGACAAAATAAATAGTGAAAGAACTGTAAAAAAATATATATTACTTCTGGGTGAACAATGATTTGAATGACTGGATTGCTCTTCATAAACTCTGGAGGCCAGAAAAAAATTGGAACAATAATTTATTGTGCTGAAAAAAAGAGTTGTGAATCCAGAATTTTGTATCTACCAAAAATATCCTTCAGTAATGAAGGTGAGATTAAGAAAAGTAATACTGCAAATGTACATTGCAGCTCAGGCTGTGCCCTCAGAGTCTGTGTGAGAGTAGGCAATAGTGGGGACAGTGGTTAGTAAAAGAGCTTGTACCCCTTCTCAAAGGGGTTAAGTGCTTGTTAAATCCAGGAGACAGCTGTCATGTGAGAATGAAGGTCCAGTGCTGCTTTCCAGCTCTCCAAGGAAAACTAGAAATCCAGATTTCTATATTAAATCCCCTGATAGCTTGAGGCTGGTAACTAATTCAGAACATTAGAGAACTGTAGGGGCAGCACCAAACACAAACATGTGTAGGATACACCCTGAGTTACTAGGTTGTTACTTCAATGGAGTTTTCTGTTTCTTTGAACTTCAGAAATTATACCAAGATACATCTAATTAAAACTCTTGGCTGGACGCAGTGGCTTACGCCTGTGATCCCAGCACTTTGGGAGTCCGAGGCAGGTGGATCACCTGAGGTCAAGAGTTTGAGACCTGGCCAACACGGTAAAACCTCATCTCTACTAAAAATACAAAAAAAATTAGTTAGGCTTAGTGGCGTGCACCTGTAGTCCCAGCTACTCAGGGAGGCTGAGGCAGGAGAATCCCCTGAACCCAGGAGGCAGAGGTTGCAGTGAGCCAAGATCACGCCACTGCACTCCAGCCTGGGCGACAGAGCGAGACTCTGTCTCAGAAAAAATAAAATAAAATAAAATAAAAAAATAAAATAAATCCTATGGAGATGGTTCATATTTTGTTTTAACAGGTATTGACCATGTTGGGTACAGGCTGCAAGTTCCAACAAGGCTTGTGTGGACTGTGATTCCAGTGTCAGTTTTCAAGGCCTTTGCAGTGTTATTTGGATTTGTCCTGTGTGTACACCACCCAATCCAATCTGAACTTACACTTTAGTTCTTAAAGTCTTTGATATGTTATTTAGGGACAGATCCACATATATTCGGGCAAAAATGAGCCTAAGAGTTCATAAAAACTGAGTTTTTTGAACTTTGGGTTTTTTTTTTTTTTTGGAGATGGAGTTTACTCTTGTTGCCCAGGTTGGAGTGCAATGGCATGATCTCGGCTCACCCCAACCTCTGCCTCCCGGGTTCAAGCAATTCTCCTGCCTCAGCCTCCCGAGTAGCTGGGATTAGAGGCATGCACCACCACGCTTGGCTAATTTTGTATTTTTAGTAGAGATGGGGTTTCTCCATGTTGGTCAGGCTGGTCTTGAACTCCCGACTTCAGGTGATCCACCCACCTCGGCCTCCCAAAGTGCTGGGATTACAGACATGAGCCACCATGCCGGGGCCAACTTTGGGTTTTTTGAACTTGAACATAGGTTGCTTTTTTGAACTTGTTCCTTTCTGGGATCTTCTTAATACTTTCTAGTTCCCTGGAGCTCCCCTATTCAGTTCTCTAGTCCTAACGCTGGGGCTTTAGTTACCTCCCTCTGCTATGTATTTTCTGCAACTATGCCTGGGTATGGCAGGAGGAAACAGAGAAAAAAAGTAATAGGGGTTCACTCCACGGCAACTCTAACAGGAAAAGAAGGTTCCTATTCCTTGTAGTTTTAGATACCTGCAGGCCCCCACTGCTTCCACTATTGCTGCTGCTGCTGTGAGATTGTCTGGAGGCTGGGACATGCAAAAACAGGGGGGAAAATATAGACATATATTTGTGTATATATACATATATGTATATATGTACATATGTATGTGCATATACACACAAGCAAGAGATTGCCCCAATCTCTCTTGGTGTTAAGAATCCCATTTCCTCCCATCCTGGCTAACGCGGTGAAACCCCGCCTCTACTAAAAATACAAAAAATTAGCCAGGCGTGGTGGGGGGTGCCTGTAATCCAAGCTACTCGAGAGGCTGAGGTAGGAGCATCGCTTGAACCCAGGAGGCGGAGGTTGCAGTGAGCCGAGACTGTGCCACTGCACTCCAGCCTGGGTGACACAGCGAGACTCTGTCTCAAAAAAAAAAAAAAAAAAAAAAAAAAAAAAAAAATCCCATTTCCTGTGCCTTCTGCCAAAACTGGAAGGCTTATCTTGGGCCAGACGCAGTAATCCCAGCACTTTGGGAGGCCAAGATGGGAGGACTGCTTGAGCCCAGGAGTTCAAAATCAGCCTAGATAACACAGGGAGACCTGGTTTCTACCAAAATTTTAAAAATTAGCTGGGCACGGTGGCACATGTCTGCGGTTTCAGCTACTCGGGGGCTGAGGTAGGAGGATTGCTTGAGCCCAGGAGGTCCAGACTGCAGTGAGCTGTGGGTTCACCACTACACTCCAGCTGGAATTATCTCTGTCTACATCCTACGCAATAAACAACTCAACTGCATTTGTAGACCCCCAAAAATATATAGAAAATACCTAGAAATAAAATATCAAATGAACTATAAGCCCTTTTTTGAGATAAGTTTATAAAAATACACTGAAATACCATCAAGAAGGCCTAAATAAATGGAGAAAAGTACTGTGGTCATGGCAAACATGATTTAACGTAATAAAGATATCAGTTACTACTAAAGTGATCTACAAATTCAATGTAATTTCTTTTTTTTTTTTTTTTTTTTTTTGAGGCAGAGTCTCGCTCTGTTGCCCAGGCTATAGTACAGTAGTACCATCTTGGCTCACTGCAACCTCTGCCTCCTGGGTTCAAGTGATGCTCATGCCTCGGACTCCCAAGTAGCTGGGACAACAGGTGTGCGCCACCACACCTGGCTAATTTTTGTGTTTGCTTTTTTTGGGTTTTTTTTTTTGAGACAGAGTCTCACTCCATCACCCAGGCTGGAGTGCAGTGGCACGATCTCGGTTCACTGCAACCTCCACCTCCCGGGTTCAAGCAATTCTTGTGCCTCAGCCTCCCGAGTAGCTGGGATTACAGTTGTGTGCTATCACACCTGGCTAGTTTTTGTATTTTTAGTAGAGCCTGGGTTTCACCACGTTGTCCAGGCTGGTCTCGAACTCCTGGCCTCAAGTGATCTGCCCACCTCGGCCTCCCAAAGTGTTGGGATTACAGGTATGAGCCACCACACCCGGCCAAATTCGATGTAATTATACATATTAAAAACTCAACATTTTAAATAAAACATAAAGTAATTTTTAATACTATATGAAAGATCAAAGAGATAAGTATAACCAAAATATGCCTAAAGAAAAGGTGGAGAGATGTGTCCTATCAGAAATCAAGACTTGTTATATAAACAAGAGTAATTAAGGCAGGGATAAAAAGGCTCAATGTAACAAGAAAGACCCAATGCATATATGAAATCTGAATATATGACAGAGGAGCATTGTTGATCAATGAAGAATAGACGGAGTTTTCATTTGAGAGGGAAACATAATTTTTTTTTTAAGAGACGGTGTTTCCCTCTGTTGCCCAGGCTGGTTTTGAATTCCTGGGCTCAAGCAACCCTCCTGCCTTAACTTCCCAAAGTGCTGGGATTATAGGCATGAGCTACCACACCCAGCCAATTCGTTTTCTATATAGGAAAAATAACTGATCTCCATCTCATACTATTCATAAAAATCAATTAAAGTTGCATTAATAGGTCTTTAATAAGAAAGCGGAAACATAAAAATTCTTGGGAGTTCGAGATCAGCATGGGCAACATGGCAAAACCCTGTCTCTACAAAAAATATGAAAAGTTAGCCGGGAGTGATGGCATGCGCCTGCAGTCCTGGGAGGCTGAGGTGGGAGGATCACCTGAGCCTAGGAGGTAGAAGCTGCAGTGAGCCGTGATTGTTCCAGTGCACTCTAGCCTGGGTGACTTTTTCTGTCTTAAAAAAAAAATTTTGGGAATCAAAGTAGAAAATTGGGCTAGGAAGGGGTTTCTGAAGATCCAAAAAGTATAAAGCATACAGGAAAAAGATAAAAATGTTTATAAGCAATATATAATTTAACCACTAAACATACAATTTGACAATATTAACACAAAGAATTACTGTTCTTCAAAAGATATCATAACGAAAGTGAATAAAAAAGACACAAACTGGAAAACATATCTATAAAACATGCGATTGATCAAAAATGAGTATCTAGAATTTATACAAGGAATTCCTACAAATCTTAGGAAAAAGACAAATTAGCCTAATACAAAATGGATCAAAATGACATTATACAGAAGAGACACTAATGACCAATAAACATATGGAAAGGTAATCATCTTCAAAAATGACCAGGGAAATTTAATTTAAAATTATAAAATAAGAGTTCATACTCACCAATCAGATTATTAAAAGATGAAAAAATAATATCATAAGGAAAGATGGTGGAACAAAAGTACTTCCAACGTAAACTAATACAACACTTGGAAAACAGTTTGGCATCACCTTGCAAAGCTGAGTAAGTACGTACACCAAGATCCTGCAATGGTATTCCTAAGTGTATTTCCTAACAAATCTCTTGCACATGTCTAAGTCTGCAGATGTAAATATTATTGTCATAATTACATGTTTACATATATACATTCTATATATTCTACTATGTTTATAAATACTTTTTTTTTTGAGACGGAGTCTTGCTCTGTAGCCCAGGAGTGCGGTGGCACGATCTCAACTCACTGTAAGCTCCGCCTCCCAGGTTCATGTCATTCTCCTGCCTCAGCCTCCCGAGTACCTGGGACTACAGGTGCCCGCCACCATGCCCGGCCAATTTTTTTTGTATTTTTAGTAGAGACGGGGTTTCATCATGTTAGCCAGGATGGTCTCGATCTCCTGACCGCGTGATCCACCCACCTCGGCCTCCCAAAGTGCTGGGATTACAGGTGTTAGCCACCATGCCCAGCTTATAAATACTATTTTAAGGGAAAAATTTAATGGATAGGTTGAAAAGCATAAAGGTCATTGTTACAGAATATATTAGCAAATCAATATAAATCAAGGCCAAAGAAATATATATATTAAATATATATAAAGGCAGTATAAATATATATAAAGGCAGTATAAATGGAAAAACAGATAAAGAGTAAGAAACACACAGACGTTTTATGTCAGTTTAATAGAAGGAAAAAAGGAAAAGGTAACAAGGCAATATTTGAAGAGATGACTACTAAGAATTTCCTATCACTGAAAAAAAAAAGATGTAAGTCCTCAGATTGAAAAATACTACCAGGAGCAAGGCATAAGGGGAATAAAGGTAACCATATCTGAATTTATCACAGTAAAAATTTAGCCTATTAGAGGAAAACATTTTTCTCTAATGGAAAGGAACAAGAATCATCTATCAAAAAGAAAACAGTTAAGAATATCTTCATGGCCTTGTGGCAGGCAAAGATATATTAAAAAAGACAACAATGTACAGCTGTCCCTCTGTACCAGGTGGGAGGGGTGAGGACAGTTGAGGTTTGGTTTCAGGACCATGGCAGACACAATCTGCGGATGCTCAAGTCCCTTATATAAAATGGCACAGTAAGTTGGTTTCAACCAACTGTGAGTCTCAACCTACTAATACAGAGGGCCAACTATACGTATTTTACATCCATGATTGGTTGAGTCTGTGGATGCAGAATCCACAAATACGAAGGGCTGACTATACATATGTGATGATTCCATTCATGTAAGATTCAAATATAGGCTAAGGAAGAATTTCTTAACTGAGTCCCTACGAGTGTGAAGCATAAAAGAAAAGATGGATACATTTGACTACAGTAATCATTAAGAACTTCTGCTCACAGAAAAGAAAACCGTAAACAGAGCTAAATTCAATTCAGAGTAGAAAAAGATACTTGTAGTTTGTAGAACATGCAAAGTCCCATAAGCAGAACATATAAAGAACTCTTACACATTAAGAAAAATACAGACAATTCGGCCAGGCGCAGTGGCTCATGCCTATAATCCCAGCACTTTGCCGAGGCAGGTGGATCACAAGGTCAGGAGATCGAGACCATCCTGGCTAACACGGTGAAACCCCATCTCTACTAAAAATACAAAAAAATTAGCCGGGCGAGGTGGCAGGTGCCTGTAGTCCCAGCTATTTGGGAGGCTGAGGTAGGAGAATGGTGTGAACCCGGGAGGTGGAGCTTGCAGTGAGCCGAGATGGCGCCGCTGCACTCCACCCTGGGTGACAGAGCGAGACTCCGTCAAAAAAAAAAAAAAAGAAAGAAAAATACAGACAATTCAACAGAAAAACAGGCAAAAGATTTGAGCAGGCAATTCACTAAAGAATTTCAGCTGGGCATGGTGGCTCACGCCTGTAATCCCAGCACTTTGGGAGGCCGAGACAGGCGGATCACGAGGTCAGGAATTTGAGACCATCCTGGCTAACACAGTGAAACCCCATCTCTACTAAAAATATAAAAAATTAGATGGGCATAGTGGTGGGTGCCCATAATCCCAGCTACACAGGAGGCTGAGGCAGAAGAACCACTTGAACCTGAGAGGCAGAGGTTGAAGTGAGCGAAGATCGCACCGCTGCACTCCAGCCTGGGCAACAATGTGAGGCTCTGTCTCAAAAAAAAAAAAAAAAAAAGAATTTCAAAAAACCAATGACTTGAAAATGTGTGCTAAAACTCATCAGGAAAGAAAAATGTGGCCGGGCACGGTGGCTCAAGACTATAATCCCAGCACTTTGGGAGGCGGGTGGGTCATTTGAGGTCAGCAGTTGAAGACCAGCCTGGCCAACATGGTGAAACCCCATCTCTACAAAAAATATAAAAATTAGCTGGGCTTGGTGGCACGTGCTTGTAATTCCAGGTACTTGGGAGGCTGAGGTGGGAGAATTGCTTGAACCTGGAAGGCAGAGGTTGCAGTGAGCTGAGATCATGCCACTGCACTCCAGCCTGGGTGACAGAGCGAGACTCCATCTCAAAAAAAAAAAAAAAAAAAAAAAAAAAAAAAAAAGAAAAAAAGAAGGAAATGCAAATTAAAACCACACTGAATTATTATTATACACTCACTAATTGATAAAAATCAAAGTTTGGGCTGGGCATGGTGGCTCACGCCTGTAATCCCAGCACTTTGGGAGGCCGAGGCAGGCCGATCACCTGAGGTCAGGAGTTCGAGAGCAGCCTGACCAACAGGGAGAAACCCCATCTCTACTAAAAATACAAAATTAGCCGGGCGTGGTGGCGCATGCCTGTAATCCCAGCTACTTCGGAGGCTGAGGCAGAAGAATCACTTGAACCCGGGAGGCAGAGGTTGCGGTGAGCCGAGATCGTGTCATTGCACTCCAGCCTGGGCAACAAGAGTGAAACTCTGCCTCAAAAAAAAAAAAAAAAAAAATTAAAGTTTGACAATACCGTACATTAGGAAGCATGTGCAACAATGGGAACATTCATATACTGCTGGTGAAATTGTAAACAAATACAAGTGTTGAAGAAAAGTTAAAATTAGGTAGCTCGGCTGGGTGAAGTGGCTTGCTCCTGTAATCCCAACACTTTGGGAGGTTGAGGTGGGAGGATCACTTGAGGCCAGGAGTTAGAGATCAGCCTGGTCAACATGGCAAAACCCTGTCTCTACTAAAAATACAAAAATTAGCTGGGTGTGGTGCTGCATGCCTGTAATTCTCACAATTCGGGAGGCTAAGGCATGAGAATCACTTGAATCTTGGAGGCAGAAGTTGCAGTGAACCCAGATCACGCCATTTCACTCCAGCCTGGGCGACAGGACTAGACTCTGTCTCAAAAAAACTAAAAAATTAGGCAGCTAGTTTGGGAGCAGTAGCTCATGCCTGTAATCTCAGCCCTTCTGGAGCCTGAGTGGTGGGATCACTTGAGCCCAGGAGTTCCAGACCAGCCTGGGCAACGTGGCAAAACCCCGTCTCTACAAAAAATACAAAAAATTAACCAGGTGTGGTGGCATGCATCTGTAGTCCCATCTACTCAGGAGGCTGAGGTGGGGGGATCACGTGAGCCCAGGAAGTGGTCAAGACTGCAGTGAGCCGTGATAGTGCCACTGCCCTCCAGCCTGGGCAAGAGTGGGACCCTGTTTCAAAAAAAAAAGTAAAAGCACCCTCTGGGAACCAATAGACAGGTAAATGTTATTATTTTGCAAAGTCCATAAAAACTGAAAAAATCAACACAGTAATAGATTAAAAGTATGAAATATAGAAATGAACAAGGTAATTATCATGCTATGGTGAAAATGTACACTCTTACAAGTATTCAATATAATGACAATAAAGCAGTCCAGTATACAAAGAAATCACTGTAAAATTTATATAACTTTGCATTAAGGTTATATAAGGGAGAAAGTATCAGTATTTTTTAGAATTACATGAGATTATGCAAGGGTGAAATGACATGAAGTCCTGGATTTACTTGAAATTATTTGTGGTGGGACGCGGTGGCTTACGCCTGCAATCCCAGAATTTGGGAGGCCAAGGCAAGTGGATCACCTGAGGTCAGGAGTTCGAGACCAGCCTGGCCAACCTGGTGAAACCCCATCTCTATGAAAAATACAAAAAAATTTGCCAGGCATGGTGGCGGGTGCCTGTAATCCCACCTACTCGGGAGGCTGAGGCAGGAGAATTGCTTGAACCCGGGAGGTGGAGGTTGCAGTGAGCCGAGATCACGCCTTTACACTCCAGCCTGGGTAACAAGAGCGAAACTCCATCTCGAAAACAAAGAAAAAAAAGAAAATATTTGTGCGACAATAGGGGTAGATTAGTGGCATGTATTTTTGAAAATTTTCACAATGAAAAGCAACATTCTACGACTTGTAAAATAAATGAGCGAAAACATTTATTTAAAATAAAAATTAACCATTCTTAAAGAGTACAATGAAATGAATACTACCAAACACTGTGAGTGTCTGAAAGCTTCAGAAATATCTTGTCTCTGAGAATCTATCCTAAGCAAATACAGAAAAATCTATATGCGTAAAGTGTGCTTTTACATAAAGAATGCATATATGCATAAAGAATGGTACTTTTACAAACAAGCATTGATTAGAAAGCAGCTTAACTATGTAAGTATAAGTACTCGAACTGCACTAAAAGAAAAAAAAAACAGAATTATATGAGAAAATGCATGTAGAAACTATTACATACCTATCTAATCTTCATGGCCAGATCTTTTTGGTACTTTTCTTCCTGAGTTCCTGAGTTCACCTTCTATCCTGCTGTTGTTCAACCTACATTTCCTTGCCATACCTTCTCCTGCTGTAAACCTCTAGGTATCAGGGTGCTTCAGGTTTCTGTCCTTGCTATATTTATTCCCTAGGGGATTTCATCCAGTCACAAGACTCTATATCTCTACATTGAAGGCTCTCCAAATTTTCCTCCAATGCTGATCTGACCTCCCAGTTCCAGACTTCTATACTGAGCTGCCTGCATGGCATCTATGCTGCGTCCAGTAAGCCCTGAAGCTTAACATAAGCAAACCCACCCTTGATTTTGCAAGCCCCAAATCTACTTTCCCCATTTCAGTAATTACAAAGCCCATTCTTCCACAGGCTCTCCCTAAAAAGCATGAATCCTTTTTTTTCCGCTTACACTCCAAGACTGAATCCTGCTAACTCTTCCTTGAAAAGATTTCAAACCCACCGCTTCCTTCCACTGCCACTGATAACATTTCAATGGTCTCTGAGCCATCACTGTATCTCAACCAGACTACTACAAAAACCTGCTAAACAGCCACTCTGCTTCCAATCTTGCCACCTACAAAGCAGCCAGGGAAATCTTTTTAAAATATATGTTGCATCAAGGACAGGCGCAGTGGCTCACACCTGTTATCCCAGCACGTTGGGAGGCCGAGGTGGGAGGATCACCTGAGGTCAGGATTTCGAGACCAGCCTGGCCAACATGGTGAAACACTGTCTCTACTAAAATACAAAAATTAGCTGGGCATGGTGGCGGGTGCCTGTAATCCCAGCTACTCGGGAGGATGAGGCACGAGAATCGCTTGAACCCAGGAGGTGGAGCTTGCAGTGAGCCAAGATCATGCCACTGCACTCCAGCCTGGGTGACAGAGCAAGACTCCATCTCAAACAAAAACAAAAACATGGCCGGTGTGGTGGCTCACGCCTGTAATCCCAGCACTTTGGGAGGCCAAGGCAGGTGGATCACAAGGTCAGGAGATTGAGATCATCCTGGCTAACATGGTGAAACCCTGTCTCTACTGAAAAAAAAATACAAAAAAATTAGCCGGGCATGGTGGCACGCACCTGTAATCCCAACTACTCGGGAGGCTGAGGCAGGAGAATCGCTTGAACCTGGGAAGCGGAGGTTGCAGTGAGCCGAGATCATGCCACTGCACTCCAGCTTGGGCGACAGAGCGAGACTCTGTCTCAAAAAAAAAAAAAAAAAAATAATGAGTTGCATCAAGCCATTTCTAGGTGCACAGCCTTCTGATGACTTCTTGTCTTAGAATGAAAAGATTTCCCATGGCCTGTATGGCAGACAGTACATAAACTGACCCACTCTTTCCCACTCCTGCCTCTTTGATCTCATCTCCCACCCACGTACCCCTCTGCTCTCACTCCTCCAGTCACTGGCCTCTGGGGCTGCTCCTCAAACACAGCCAACGCACAGCTGCCTCAGGCCCTTGAAGGTCTGCATTCCTCCATCTGGAGTGGTCCTCCGCCCAGTACAGTAACTTACTATGGTGCTTCTTCAGGTCTCTGCCCAAACGTTACCATATCATTTAGTAAGATATGGTAAATTTCTCTTGCCCCTTCACATAAAATATCATCCTTTATCCCCTTCCTCTACTTCTTATTTCTTTTAGTATTTACTATTACCTGGTATGTTATATATTCATCTATTTTCATGTCTCTCCCTACACTGTGGGGTAGGTTCTGGGAACAGAGATTATGCATGTTCTTTTTTTTCTTTTTTTGAGAGAGTCTCTCTCTGTCACTCAGGCTGGAGTGCAGTGGCGTAATCTTGGCTCACTGCAACCTCCACCTCCTGGGTACAAGTGATTCTCCTGCCTCAGCCTCCTGAGTAGCTGGGATTACAGGCGCATGCTACCACACCCAGCTGATTTTTGTATTTTTTAGTAGAGATGGGGTTTCATCATGTTGGCCAGGCTGGTCTTGAACTCCTGATCTCAGGCAATCCTCCTGCTTCAGCCTCCCAAAGTGCTGGGATTACAGGGGTGAGCCACTGCACCCAATCACGCATGTTCTATTCATTACTGTAACCTCAGTGTTGAGAATAGTGCTGGGCATACCATAGTCACTACAGAGACATAAACTAAATGAATGAATGTGCTGTTCTGTTCCTCCTCCTTCATACCAAATCTCTCTTTGCCAGCTCTTACCTTCTCCATGGAGACACAGGCCCTTTATTTCCAACCCTCTATATAAAGTCAATGATGCTTACACCAAAAATCTCCCCCTATGACTTCTATGTGGATCAACCCCTCTTCTACCTCGTTAGCCCTCACTTTCTGCTAAGCTCCCTATTTTAACTTCGCTTATGGTGGTGTTATTTGTAGACATGTTCTAGTACTTCTACTAGGCAGTAAGTTCTGAAATTGCTTATTCCTTTTTTAAACTCTGCAGCACCTAGCTGAGTGCCTTATACATGTTAGAAAATCAGTAAATGTTGGTAAAAAATATGAATGAATCAATGAGGGCATAAACCCCTATCCCAAAAAACTTAGTAAAAGCAAATAAGTCTTTGGCAGTGTAGGAAAAAATCTATTTCTGGAGACAGTGATGCTTTTATTAGACTAAATACAAAGGAGGATGAGAAGCTAGGAAGGAAATGGATCCAAAATATGGATAGAAAAGAATATCACTAGAAAGGGTGGAGGAGGGCACCAGCTGGTTAGAACTGAGAGAGAAGGATAAGAGGAGAAAAGCAGGCAAAGTGTGTTAGGTAAAGGGGAAAGGTAGGATCATTTGAAAGCTCATGTAGAAAAGGTCTTACATTTGCACAACAGGCCAAAAGCCTGTGAGGAGAGTTTCCCAGATAGCATCTAAAAGATGCAGTCTCTCTACCAGCCAAATCACGCATTACCTGCTGTGCCTCACTTACCTGGCCACTGGCCTCTTGTTAGCTCTCTGTCAGCCAACCAGGGCTCCTTCCCTTGCTCCAAGTAGGAGATCACATTTGGTTTAGAAATAGAATGCCCTGCTTACAAAAGAAGTAACAAAACAAATTTATCATGAGCATATCCTAGAATTCAAATCCAGTCCCTTCATTATAAAGAAAGACATGGCATTATGAGAAGAGTCAAAGAGAGGTACAACGGACTTATGAAACATAACGGAAGATGTAAAACATCCCCAAAAACTCAATGCAGCTTCCTTTTTCTAACTCTACCATATTCAGAACATTCCTGTGGAACAGGATATCAAAATTCGACTGGTTTTTGAAAGCCAGGTGAGCATTTCACATTGGAGGAAGTAGGCCTTCCAAGGGCAGAATCTAAATTACTATGGACAGATGTCCTTACCCATTGAAACCAGGTTGCTGTAATTCTCCAACATCACATCTCTGTATAAATCTCTCTGATCATCATTCAGGCATTCCCACTCCTCCTGAGAGAAGTCTACGGACACATCACTGAACATCACTGACTCCTGGAACAATAACCACGTATATGACTTCATTAATTTTTTAAAAAGTACTTTTGTGAAGGAAAGAGAGAAGAAAAAGATTAAGGTAGAGGAAGTAAAATATAGTGAGCATATGAATGTCTGGGAAGCAGTGGAGGACTGTAAACAAATAAGCACAACTGAATCACTGGGTTTCCAGGTCATTCTGTTTCCTCCAAATGAAACTGCCTGAGTATGCTAGGATACCTCCATTATCCAAACAAGGTTGGGAAGGTACAAAAATTCAGCTAAGAGGGCTTTTCCAATTAAATGAAATTGTATATGCAATGCCTCACACTATACCTGTCATATAATAAATCAACGATACATGTGATCTTTCTCCCTCTCTTTTCCCAAATAGCTGAGAGTCAAATTTCAGAATAAGGGATAAAGACATTAAAAGCCACCAGAGAGAAGAGCAGGTCATATAAAAGGCATCAAAAATTAGAGGGGCAATGGAATTCTCAAGAACACCTCTAAAAGCAAGAAACAATAAGAACGATTCTTCAATATTCTGATGGAGAAAATAAACTCTGACCTAGACTTTCATAAACAAACTATCATTCTGTTTTGAGTGTTGAGAAAAGACATTTGTAGACATCCAAGGACTCAAGAAGAGTTTCTTCAGAAACTTCTAGAGGATGTGGTCCACAAAAACGAGGGAGTAAACAAAAAAAGAAGACAACATAGGATTCAGGAAGTAGGTAAAGTTTCAGGAAAGCTGTGACTGAGAGAGTAAACCAGACCAGATGGGAACAAGGAAACAGGAAATGGGGAATCAAGTCTCTATATCAAAAGGAACTGATGTGTCTGACCAGAGGGAAAACGTATTGATTGGCCTGTGGCAATGATGCTGGAGATTCTGGATATAAACACACAAATGACTAGGCAAATGAGGGGGGAAGCAATTAACCCCAGGAAAATGAAGGGTTGTATAGAACAAAGCCATGAGCTCGCTTGGCAGAGAATAATATTTGCAGCCGTAATAAGGTGTATACTATTGATTTAACCAAAAATGGTGATATGGTAACAGTCAGGAAAAACGAAAGTGCAGTATGGGAATACAATGTTCCCTTTAACTTTGCAATCAGTCAAGAGATAATGACTAAAGTGGGTTTATCGAAAAATGGTAGTAAACCAATTTTCAAGAGTTGAGGGCAGTGGCCTCTTGGAGTGGGTCTGGTAACGGGACAAAACCAGAATTGAACTATTTCCCTTGTAGACATGTGTAAAATTACTTTTAAAAACTTTGTATCTTAGAAAATTAAATTTGCATATAATTTAAGACTCTGATCCATTCCTATGCCAGACTATTATATAATAAGAAATATTCCTTGTTACAACAAATGCTATTCATATGTTTCTCACTGAATACTATTCTATTATAAGGCTATAAATGACATCTATCCTTTTGCCTTTAGAAATTCAGGCTAGAGGTGATCTCTAAAGACCTCGCCAACATTGGCCCAATCTTATTTATAACCACCTACTGCCCAGCTGTAAATTCCCCTTATAACTAAGCTACAGAAAACTGGTGAAGGATGATCCAGTTTCACCGTTGGTATTACTGACATCATTGCTTTTGTTTTTTAAACAGGATCTTCCTCTATCACCCAGGCCAAAGTGCAGTGGCATGATCACATCTCACTGCAGCCATGACTTCCTGGGCTCAAGTGATCCTCCCACCTCAGCCTCCCGAGTAGCTGGGACTACAGGCGTGCACCAACATGCCTGGCTAATTTTTGTATTTTTTGTAGAGATGGGGTTTGCCATGTTGCCCAGGCTAGTCACCTGGGTTCAAGCAAACCACCAGCCTCAACCTCCCAAAATGCTGGAATTACAGGTGTGAGTCACCACGTTTGGCCACTGACATCAATTTTTCATGGATGCTTAGTGAGGTGTGAGAGCTTTGTAACAACCACTAGTCACACTCTCAAACATAAAAGGCTCGTTAACCAGGAGACCTTGCCATGTACTAGGACTGAAATCAAACAAAACCACAGCATGTATTTTCTTATTGGAAAACCCAGGTCTACAGAGCTAATGAGGGCTTTTCCCTATAAGGTGCCCCTAATTACTTATTTTCATCCCATCAAATCACTGTCCAAGCAAATTAAATTCATATTAATTCAATGTGGGGAACACATTTCTGCCCTATCAGGATTTTTGGTAGAAATCTGAGATAGGAGATGCTGAAGGACTTGTAAACCAGCATGTAAACATTGTTTAAAAGCGGGGGGCGGCGGGGAACTGAAGAGGAGACTGGGGTTGTTTAGGAGGAAATGCATGTCCTTTTCCTGACAGGGGACCCTGGAAACCAGTGTAAAAAAAATTATTCCAAACCTGATCTGGGTCAGGTTTTTACATTACATAATTTTTACATTACATAATTCTTAAATCTCTTTATGGAAAGAAAGAAATAAGTATTCTTGATGAAACTGATAGGGGATTTTCTGATGGACATTAATCTAAATTAAAACTTCTTCAGAGAAATTTGTTATTCAACCACTTGGCTGACTAACAGTTAACAGTGAATTAATATAAATTTTTTTCTGGGCACAGTGGCTCATGCTTATAATCCCAGCTCTTTGGGAGGCTGAGGCGGGTGGATAACTTGAGGTCAGGAATTCGAGGCCAGCCTGGACAACATGGCAAAAACTCATCTCTACTAAAAATACAAAAATTAGCTGGGTGTGGTTGTGGGCGCCTGTAATCCCAGCTACTCAGGAGGCTGAAGTAGGAGAATCACTTGAACCCTGGAGGCAGAGGTTGCAGTAAGCCAAGATTGTGCCACTGTACTCCAGCCTAGAAGACAGAGCGAGACTCCATCTCGAAAAAAAAAAAAAAAGGGTAAATTTTCTAACAATGATTATGTAATCAATTCTTTTTTTTTCTATGAATTGGCCTGTTAGAGATCCTTTCCTTTACAGCAAAATTCTGACATTGCTCATAACCAAACTTTTTGAAAGGTGTTGTTTTTCTAACATCAAAAAGCATCATCATGAGGAAAGCAAATGTTTACAGTTACTAGAAGTAAAAATCACTCTATCTGAGCAAAAGGAAACAGTATCTCACCTGAGCCATGGCTCTGATATTTGTAGAAAAGGACCTTCTCTTGGCTCTTCTTTTGGAGAAGGGTAGAGCTGGGAGAGGCAAAAGAAGATAGATAAGACCCCACTTTCCTCACAGCTCCTGGCCCAGAATGATCATTTTCCTTCTGTTCATGCTTCAGAAATGCTTGTGGGGTATCAGTGAGGAGAATGGGCAAATGTCTCTATCATCCCTAGCTTCAAAGATACCAGGCTGTAACTGGAGCAGGATGGATTAGGGCAACTCAATATGGCTTGGAGAATATATGTTTATATACACACACATACATACATATAGATTTTTTTAACTCATATTATACACACTACTTATACACGTTGCTATTTTTACTTTACATATCTTGGAATGAAGTCCCAATTAGCACATATTGTGTTACATAACTGGTTTAATAGCTACATTGCAGTCCATTAAATGGATATAACTTAATTTTTTTTTTCTTTTCTTTTTGAGACAGAGTCTCACTCTGTCCCCCAGGCTGGAGTGCAGTGGTGCAATCTTGGCTCACTGCAACCTCCGCGTCCTGGGTTCAAGCGATTCTTCTGCCTCAGCCTCCCAAGTAGCTGGGACTACAGGCATGTGCCACCACGCCCGGCTAATTTTTTGTATTTTTAGTAGTGATGGGGTTTCACTCTGTTAGCCAGGATGGTCTCGATCTCCTGACCTCATGATCCGCCCGACTCCACCTCCCAATGTGCTAAGATTACAGGTATGAGCCACCGCGCCTGGCCATAACTTTATTTATTTAACCAATCTGTGGCCAATCATCATTTAGGCTTTTTCTAGTTTTTCACTGTAACAAACAATGCTGTAATAAATATCCTTGTGCATATGTCATTTTACCTGTATATGAGTTCTTCACAATTAATTCCTAAAAGTATAATTGCTCAGAGATTATACACATTTTAAGTTTGGATATACCTGGGTCAAACCAGTTTTCTGTTTCTGTTTTTTTTTTGTTTGTTTGTTTGTTTTTTTGAGACGGAGTCTTGCTCTGTCGCCCAGGCTGGAGTGCAATGGCGCGATCTTGGCTCACTGCAAGCTCCGCCTCCCAGGTTCACGCCATTCTCCTGCCTCAGCCTCCTAAGTAGCTGGGACTACAGGCTCCCGCCACCACGCCCGCCTAATTTTTGTATTTTTAGTAGAGACGGGTTTCACCATGTTGGCCAGGCTGGTCTCAAAATCCTGACCTTCCAAAGTGCTGGGATTATAAGCGTGAGACACCACACCCAGCCTTGTGTGTATTCTTTATAAACATCTTCACTTTAAGATGTTTAAAGTGCCCAAAAGAATAAGTTATACTAAAATACTAAAGGAAGACTACATTGTTTAAGGGGAAGAACTGAATTAGTGATCAATGTTTAAATGTTTAAGAAAATTTTGGTGTTTTGCTTATTAGCTACAAGAACTTAATAAACTTAAAATTATACAAACTATAAAGAGCACTATTATTCTCTATGCACCAAGCTTCTTGATCATTAAACAATTCATCAATTATTTCATATAAAACTGACCACCCAGAAAGTAGCACCATGTTATCAATTATCTAATGGCTTCCTCTACCCATAGGCACTCACTCACTGCATTTCCCCAGATGAATACCAAAGGAATACAAGTGTCTCTTCTTTAAAACCTAAATGCACGCTGATATTATTATTATTACTACTACATATTAAGCTCTTAGTATTCTTTTATCAACCAAATAGCCTATGATATATAATAGCCAGGCATTGTGCTAGATACTAAAGAGTCAAAAATAATCCAGAAAGATCTGGAAACAGAGTTCCTTCTTCTATATTCCTCATTTTAAGCCCTCCTTTCTGGTCTCTCCTCCTGGCCTTCCTCTGGTTAAAGGGATGTCTTCAAATGCTGTACCTTCCAAGCAGGATGGCATGAAACATTCCCACTTCAACAGCTCCATACCATGCTTGTTGCATTCTCAACACTCCTCATCTTTGCCCCAGAGGGCAGCCTCCCATGCTGAATTCTTACATCAGGGGATCTGCTCCTCTCTTTTAAATTCAGCCCTCATTAATGTAAAAAAAAAAAAAAAAAAGTCTCACGAAATAAGAAAGAAAACTTTCTCAACTTGATGAGTAGCATCTAAGAAATACCTACTGTTGGGAGAGACAGTTACCATGGGTCTCCACATTCTTAGGCGTCTTGCTGGGTATGCCTAGAATGCAAGATTCTAACTACTCATTTCCCAGGGTTATTTATGCAGCTGATAACCTTGAGAGTTGAGATAAGAGCACGAACAGTAGGGTTGCTTACTGCTGACTATAAAAGCAATGGATTATCCAGGCTCAGTGTTCCTCAGTGGCTATGCCCATGCACTGCATGAATAGCATCCATGTAGACCCACATGCTGTCCCCATGGGAGCTGAGAGAAATAGGAACTGATGAACACTGATGCCTACGCTGCTTGCTGTGCCATGAGTAATAAAGTCTTTGTCTCTGATCCAGGGGTCTCATGTTTTCTGCCAGCATTCATGAAACTAACAGGCTAATGTATGAGCTTGTATGTAGGAAAATATCAAATCCTAGAGCTAATGTTATAACTAATGTTGAAACACTGAAAAATGTCCCCCTGAATCCAGGAAAAAAAGAATAATGTGCATTATCATCATTTCTTTTTAACAATGTAATAAAGGGCTTGGCCAGTATAATAGGGCACGATGAAGAAATAAAAGGTATAAAGATTGGTAGGAAAGAAAGAAAACTATCATTATTCACAGATGATAAGTTGCAGACATAGAAAATCCTAAATAATAAATTCTTAAAATTAGCAAGTGAATTAAACAACATGGTCTCATATAGAGACAATATATAAAAATCAATTGCATTTCTAGTAACAAGTAATTGGAAAATTGTTTAAAATGTAAATACTATTCACAGTTTCCATAATAAACATCAAATACTCAGGTATAAAGCTATCAAAAATGTTACTAAAAATGACAAATTGGTAAGAGAAATTAAGGATCTTAACAAATGTCGACATATACCATATGTACTATAGATTGAATATTGATGTCAATTCTCCCAAAATGAACACAGTTTTTGTTTTTGTTTTTGAATCAGGGTCTTGCTTTGTTACCCAGGTCGGAGTGCCGTGGCACGATCAAAGCTCGCTGTAGCCTCAACCTGTGGGGCTCAAGGGATTCTCCCACCCCAGCCTCCTGAGAAGCGAGGAGTAGAAGCACGCCATCAAGTCCAGCTAAATGTTTGGGGTTTTGTTTCTTTGTTTGTTTGCGTGTTTGCTTGGTTTTAGTTGTTTTTTTGTTTTTGTTTTTGTTTTGGTAGAGACAGGGTCTCACTGTGTTGCCCAGGCTTGTCTTAAACTCTTGGGCTCAAGCAATCCTCCAGCCTTGGACTCCCAAAGTGCTGGGATTACAGGTGTGAGCCACTGCATCAGGCCCCAAAATGAACACATATATTTGTAAAGAAAACCCCAGCAAGGCTTTGGGGGGAATAAGGTAAAAATTAGCAAGTTGATTCTAACATTTATTTGGAAATTAGAAGAGCTTATAATAGCCGAGATAGCTTGGAAAAGAAAAAAAGTAGGAGGACTAAAACTACAGATTTCAAGACAGCAGTACAGACAAAACAATAAAACCAAATAGAATATAGAGTCCAGAAAGAGAGCCACATAACCACATGTATATACTGTCACCTGATTTATGACAAAGACTCCATGCAATTTTTTTTTCTTTTTTTTTTTTTTGAGACAGAGTCTCACTCTGTCACGCAGGCTGGAGTGCAGTGGCAAGATCTTGGTTTACTGTAACCTCTGCCTCCCAGGTTCAAGCAATTCTCCTGCCTCAGCCTCTGGAGTAGCTGGGATTACAGGTGGCTGCCACCACACCCGGCTAATTTTTGTATTTTTAGTGGAGACAGGGTTTCACCATGTTGGCCAGGCTGGTCTCAAATTCCTGACCTCAGGTGATCTGCCTGCCTCGGCCTCCCAAAGTGCTGGGATTACAGGCGTGAGCCACCTTGCCCAGCCTCCATGCAGTTTAGATGGGCAAGGACAATCTTTTCAATAAACAGTGCTGAAACAACTAGGCACCCAACTGGAAAAAAAAAAATTAACCTTTACCCCATACATAAGAATTAATTTAAGAGGGATCACAGACTTAAGTGTGAATGTGAATGTTTAAAAGCTTCGGGGCCAGGCGTGGTGGCTTATGCCTGTAATCCCAGCACTTTGGGAGGCCAAGGCCCACCAAGGCAGGCGGAACACCTGAGGTCAGGAGTTCGAGACCAGCCTGGCCAACATGTTGAAATGCTGTCTCTACTAAAAATACAAAAAAAATTAGCCGGGCATGGTGGCAGACGCCTGTAATCCCAGCTACTCAGGAGGCTGAGGCAGGAAAATCGCTTGAACCCAGGAGACAGAGGTTGCAGTAAGCTGAGATCACACCACTGAACTCCGGCCTGGGCAACAAGAGTGAGACTTCGTTTCAAAAAAAAGCACTAGTCATAAAAGACAAAGTACTAAATAAATATCTGCTACAAAAATGGGGAAAGACATAAACAGGCAATCTTTTAAAAGACTCTGAAATGTTCAAACACACTCATAATGAGAGAAATAAGAAAACAACAATGAGGGCTGGGCACAGGGGCTCATACCTGTAATCTCAGCACTTTGGGAGGCCGAGTCTGGTGGATCACCTGAGGTCAGGAATTTGGGACCAGCCTGGCCAACATGGTGGAACCCCATCTCTACCAAAAATACAAAAATTAGCTGGGCGTGGCGGCACGCGCCTGTAGTCCCAGCTACTCAGGAGGCTGAGGCAGGAGAATCACTTGAACCCAGGAGGCGGAGGTTGCAGTGAGCCGAGATCGCGCCACTGCACTCCAGCCCCGGCAACAGAGCAAGACACTGTCTCGGGAAAAAAAAAAAAAAAAAAAAAAGAAAAGAACACTGAGGTACTATTTCTCATCTATTAGACTGGTGAAAACTAAAAAACATGACAACATATTCTGTTAGGTGGGCTGTGAAGGGAAACAGACATGCTCATACACAGCAAGTAGGAATAAAAACTGGTACAACAGTTCTAGAGAGGAATTTTGCAATACTTAACAAAACTACAAAGCACTTACCTTTTGACCCAGCAATACCGCTTCTAGGAATCTACCCTAAAGATACTCCTCCAGCAATAGAAAAATACATATATACAAGGTTATTGCAGCACTGTTTCTAGTAACAAAATATTGTAAATGACCTAAATATCCATACGTAGGAAAGCGGTTCAATAAACTATGATAAATCCACAGGCTGCAGTATTATGTAACAATTAGAAAAGAATTATGAATATCTCTTTAACTGCCTGAGTGTTATCCAGAATGTATCATTAAGAGAAAGAAACAATGTACAAAAGAGTGCCTAGAGAATGCTATCTTTAATGTAAAAAGAATATAGGTAACTCTTCATTTGTGCAAAAGAAACACAGCAAGGATAAAGCAGAAACGAATGAAGTTGAATATATACAAGGAGTCTGTGGGAACTAAGTTAATTTTTATTTATTTATTTATTTATTTTGAGACGGAGTCTCGCTCTGTCGCCCAGGCTGGAGTGCAGTGGCGCGATCTCGGCTCACTGCAAGCTCCGCCTCCCAGGTTCACGCCATTCTCCTGCCTCAGCCTCTCCAGTAGCTGGGACTACAGGCGCCCGCCACCACGCCCGGCTAATTTTTTGTATTTTTAGTAGAGACGGGGTTTCACCGTGTTAGCCAGGATGGTCTTGATCTCCTGACCTCGTGATTCGCCGGCCTCGGCCTCCCAAAGTGTTGGGATTACAGGAGTGAGCCACTGTCCCCTGCGAATGTTTTCACATTCAAAATAGTGTAGCCTGCTACAATCAACCAGGATGTGGGGGAACCCAAAATGCAACAAATGATCCTTAAATGTAAGAAAAATGTAAGAAAAAAAAAAAACATACTGAAAAGAGTGGCAAAGAAAAGAACTAAATTGAGTAACTTTGGAAGATGTTTGTTTACTATATACTATAAGCTTAAAGAAAAAGAGCTACACAGAGATTCTCTACTGTAGTTACTAAATACTTTTTACACAGGTCCAGGTTGGCAACTCTGAACTAATTTGCATGTATTCTAGGATAGAGCTAATTATTGATTCTGAGAAGCAGGTTTCTCTCTGTTGGAAAATGAAGTAACAAGGAAATGGCCAAATTTGATGGGAGACAATTCTCCATGGGTCTTGCATGTTTCTGCGTATCTTGCAAGAAGAGGTACTAAGTGTTTTTGTTCTGCACTATTTTACCAAGTTGTTTATACAGTGAACAGCCTTGGAAGACAGAGTCGGTCTCCTTCTACAGCAAAGGGTAGGCATTCTAACTATCCATTATAAAAAATTCAGGTTTCCTAAGGTCAAGGGAACACACAGATACCTGTGTATTTTGCATAATCCTGGGTGTATGACTGAATCAGTACCATGAGAATGTAGATATTCTGAAGATTGCCATGAGCAACAAAGCATCCTTTGTCTCAGACTCAGAAGTCTCATGTTTTCTGAACGTATCTGTGAAACTGACAAGCCAACTTACTAGCTTACAACTAGGGTAAAATCTCAGATAGTTCATAGTTCTTGGGAAAAGAAAATACCCTGTGGTACTGGAATAGAATTAAACATATGAGTGTAAACTGGTGTGTTTTTAACATATAAACAAATAAATAGACATAAATGTGCATGTAGACATTTGTGTATTTTCTCACTCTCTCCACTGACCAGAACCAGAGCAAAGACACACCAGTAGCAATAAGCACACCAAGTGCCCAGATCTTGGTTTATAAATTCATTCTCCAATAAAAGAAATTAATGCTGCTTGGAGAAATTGCTGAGCCCAGAGATGGAAGAGGGAAAATACAAGATGAACCTGGAACATCTTATGTCCCAGAAAGCGGGGTTGGGGGGAAGCTTTAAAAAATGATCACACGTTGAAAAGACACAAGAGCCAACTTAAGGAGCTTCTGATGGCCAAATATGGGAAAATTTGAACAGCAAAATAAATAAATAATAATAATAGAGAATAGAATAAAATAAATATCCATGAGTCCATAGGTAAATAATTGAATAAACAAATGGGGACAAAAGAAAAACTTCAGCTGAATTAAATGTAAAGGAGTTTCATTGAACAATGAACGATTCGCAAATCAGGCAGCCCCCAGAATCACGGCAGATTCAGAGACACTCCAGGGATGCCTCGTGGTCAGAACAAATTTATAGACAAAAAAAAGGGAAGTGACATACAAAAATCAGAAGTGAGGTGGAGAAACAGCTCAACTGGTTACAAGTTCTTGTTTGCCTTTTTTTTTTGAGACGGAGTTTTGCTCTTGTTGCCTAAGCTAGAGTGCAATGGCACGATCTCAGCTCACTGCAATTCTCCTGTGTCAGCCTCCTGAGTAGCTGGGATTACAGGTGCACTCCACCACACCTGGCTAATTTTTTGTATTTTTAGTAGAAATGGGGTTTCACCATGTTGGTCAGGCTGGTCTCCAACTCCTGACCTCAGGTGATCCGCCTGCCTCGGCTTCCCAATGTGCTGAGATTACAGGCGCCAGCCTCTGTGCCCAGACAGTGTTTGCCTTACTTAACACAGTTTGAACACTCAGCAGTGTATGAGTGGTTGAAGTATTGCTGCTGGGATTAGCCAAGACTCAGCTTGTTACAGGCACATACACTGTTACAGGCACACAAGTTAGGTTTCCAATTCTGTCTACCTGTTAGGTTACAGTTCGTCCATAAGGACTCAAATATAGAAGTACAAAGTCCTTCTCAGGCCACATTTAGTTCACTTTTAACAGGAGCAAGAAGAGACAGCTCTTCCTTATAGTAGAATTTAAATTATCAAAGTGTAAGAAATGATAGAAGGAGAAAATCACCGCTAGGCAAACATCACAGTAATAATTGTTACAGGTAAAAATTATCAATGAATGTTAAAACTAATGCGTGAGAAAACATGATGAGAAATAGGATTTTGGCATAGTTTCTTTTTTTTTTTTTTTTTTTTGAGATGGAGTCTCGCTCTGTCACCCAGGCTGGGGTGCAGTGGCGCGATCTCAGCTCACTGCAAACTCCACCTCCCGGGTTAACGCCATTCTCCTGCCAGAGCCTCCCGAATAGCTGGGACTACAGGTGCCCACCACCATGCCCAGCTAATTTTTTGTATTTTTAGTAGAGATGGGGTTTCACCGTGTTAGCCAGGATGGTCTTGATCTCCTGACCTTGTGATCCGCCCACCTCGGCCTCCCAAAGTGTTGGGATTACAGGCATGAGCCACCGCGCCCAGCCATTTTTACATAGTTTCAAATTATTTCCCCACAAGATACTTATTCAATAAAATGGGAAAAACAGTGATTTTACAGAGGAGAAATCTGGCAAACAACACTGTTACCAAGTTCTCAAAGTTAACATTGCTAATAATGAGATATACTAATATATATATCTCCTGATATGACACATTGAGAAGAGTTCAACATCATTTCTGTGATCTTCTTGCCAAAACTGCCCAGTCTAAATCTAACCATAAGGAAACATCAGGCAAACGCAAATTGAAAGATATTCTGCAGGCTGGGTGTGGCAATCCCAGCATTTTGGGAGGCCAAAACAGGAGGATGGCTTGAAAGCAGGAGTTCAAGACCAGCCTGGGCAATATAGCAAGATGCTATCTCTACAAAAAAAAAAAAAAAAAGAAAATAGCCAGGAGTGGTGGTGTGCACCTGTAGTCCCAGCTACTCAGGGGCTGAGGTGGAAGAATTGCTTGAGCCCTGGAGGTTGAGGCTGCAATGAGCCATGGTCATGCCACTGCATTTGCACTCCAGCCTGGATGACGGAGCAAGACCTTGTCTATTAAAAAAAAAAAAAAAAAAAAAAAGTGGCCGGTGCTGGGCGCGGTAGCTCATGCCTGTAATCCCACTACTTTGGGAGGTCAAGTCGGCCAGATCACCTGAGGTCAGGAGTTCGAGACCAGCCTGGCCAACATGGTGAAACCCCATCTCTACTAAAAATACAAAAATCAGCCGGGGGTGGTGGCAGGTGCGTGTAATCCCAGCTACTCGGGAGGCTGAGGCAGGAGAATCGCTTGAACCCAGGAGGCAGAGGCTGCAGTAAGCTGAGATCGCACCATTGCACTCCAGCCTGGGGGACAAGAGCAAGACTTCGTCTCAAAAAAAAAGCGGTCAGGCGCGGTGGCTCACGCCTGTAATCCCAGCACTTTGGGAGGCTGAGGCAGGTAGATCACGAGGTCAGGATTTCGAGACCAGCCTGGCCAATATGGTGAAACCCTGTCTCTGCTAAAAATACAAAAATTAGCTGGGCGTGGTGGTGCGCTCCTATAGTCCCAGCTGCTCGGGAGGCTGAGGCAAGAATATCGCTGGAACCCAGGAGGTGGAGGTTGTGGTGAGCCAAGATTGTGCCATTACACTCCAGCCTGGGTGACAGAGACTCCGTCTCAAAGAATAAGACAGAGAGAGAAAGAGAAAAGAAAAGAAAAAGATATTTTACAAAATAACTGGCCAGTACTCTTCAAAAGTGTCAAAGTCCTAAAAGATAAAAAGGATTAAAGAACACTCAAAGATGGAAGGAGACTAATGAAACAATACAATTCAATGCAGGACCTTGGATTGGATCCTGAAACAGTAAGAAAATTTAGCAAAATTTGAAAAAGGGCTCTAACTTAATTAAAAGTCTTCTATCAGCATAAATTTCCTGGTTTTCATCATTGCACTGTGGGCACCTGCAGAGTATCTGCAAATTCCTTATACTATGTTCACAACATGAAAATAAAATTTTAGGCCAGGCATAGTGGCTCACACCTGTAATCCCAGCACTTTGGGAGGACAAGGCAGTTGGATCACCTGAGATCAGGAGTTTGAGACCAGCCTGACCAATATTGTGAAACCCTGTGTCTACTAAAAATACAAAATTAGCTGGCCGTGGTGGCGCAAGCCTGTAATCCTGGCTACATGGGAGGCTGAGGCAGGAGGATTGCTTGAACCTGGGAGGTGGAGGTTGCAGTGAGCTGAGATCATGCCATTGCACTCCAGCCTGGGCAGCAAGAGCGAAACTCTGTCTCAAAAAAAAAAAAAAAAAATGAAAGAAAGAAAGAAAAGAACATTTTTAAAAAATTTACGAAGGGGAAAATGGACACAAAAAAGAAGATATACAAATGGCCAGTAAACATACAAAAAGGTGCTGAACATCATTTCACATCAAGGAAATACAAATTAAAACTATGATGAGGCTGGGTGCAGTGGCTCACACTTATAATCCCAGGATTTTGGGAGGCTGAGGCGGGCGGGAGTTTCACATGGTGAAACTCTGTCTCCACTAAAAATACAAAAATTAGCTGGGTGTGGTGGCACGCACCTGTAATCCCAGCTACTCGGGAGGCTGAGGCAGGAGAATGGCGTGAACCCGGGAGGCGGAGCTTGCAGTGAGCCGAGATTGCGCCACTGCACTCCCGCCTGGGCCACAGAGCGAGACTCCGTCTCAAAAAAAAAAAAAAAAACAAACCAAAACAAGACAAAACAAACCAAAACAAAAACCTATGATGAAACTGCACCACACAACCAATAAAATAGTTAAAAGACTAACCATACCAAATTACGGAGAGGATATGAAGCAACTGGAACTCTCATACATTGCTGGATGGAGTGTAAACTGGAACAACCACATGAGAGCTTCGTAGTATCTATTAAACATTAGCCTACCCTATGATCTAGCAATGCCACTCCTAAGTATTAACCCGGGAGAAAAGCCTTCATGTGTTCACCAAAAACACAGCAGAGTGTTCACAGCTGCAGCATCATTTGTAACAGCCCCAAATTGGAAGCTACCCAAATATCCATCAACAATGTAATCGACTAATATACTACAATATATCCCCAGTATAGTGAGAGCTAAGTACAATTACACTGAACAACATGAATGAATTTCACAAACATAATATATAACAAAAGAAGCCTGGCATAAAACAGTACATGCTGCATAATTGCATATATACATGAAGTTCAAGAATGTGTAAGACAGCCAGATGCACTGGCTCATGCCTGTAATCCCAGCACTTTGGGAGGCCAAGGTGGGCGGATCACCTGAGGTCAGGACTAGCTTTGCCAACATGGGGAAACCCTGTCTCTACTAAAAATACAAAAATTAGCCGGGTGTGATGGGTGCCTGTAATCCCAGCTACTCAGGAGGCTGAGGCAGGAGAATCGTTTGAACCCAGGAGGCGGAGGTTGCAGTGAGCCAAGATTGCATCACTGCACTCCAGCCTGGGTGACAAGAGCAAGACTCTGTCTCAAAAAAAAAAAAAAAAAAAAAAAAAAGAATGGGTAAAACTAGTTAATGATAGAATTCTGAATAGATTGTGTGGGGGAGAAATTACTGAGAAGTGGTATGAGGGAAGCATCTCAGGTCCTGGCAAAGTTCTTTGTATAGATCTAAGAGTGTTACACAGCTGTACACTTAAGATTTGCACACTTTATATAGGCTCTATGTATCTATTGACAGCCTCCTGCTCTGTTGCCCAGGCTGAAGGGCAGTGGTATGATCATGGCTTCCTGCAGCTGCAAAGCACTGGGCTCAAGCGATCCTCTCATCTCAACCTCCTGAGTAGCTAGGACTTATAGGTGCCAGCCACCATGCCCGGCTAATTTTTTATGTATGTATGTATTTATGGTAGAGTTAGGGTCTCACTATGTTGCCCAGGCTGGTCTCCAGCTCCTGGCCTCAAGTGATCCTCTCACCTTGGCCTGGCAAAGTGCTGGGATTACACGCATGAGCCTCCACACTTGGCCTACAAAAATTTTTTTAACTCTTGGAACTATGCTTTGGTAGGGATATGGAGCAATAAGATATTTCAAACATTGCTGTTCAAGTACAAATTTGTGCAGCCACTCGGGTATATATTTTGACACTGTTTAGTAAAGTGGAAGATATATGAACCGGCAATTCTGCTGGTAAATAAACTCAAGCATGTGTACCCCATGTGAAAGAATGTGGCTGTGTTGTTTATAAAATGAAAAGCTATAAATAACTAATAGGGCATCATTACTAGAAAGGATGAATAATTGTGGTATACTTCAGAAGGGAGAATATAGCAAAGAAATTGAATTAACCGCGATTTTATCTAATAGGGATGATTCACAGAATTGTAAAAATAAACCAAAGACAGTATGACAACATTCATATAAAGTTTTAAAACGGGGAAAAACTGGAGTATAATGCCTAGAGAAGTATACGTAAGTGATAAAACCTCACACTGTGTGACTTACCCTGCCACACAAACCTGATCACACTCCCACCATGGGGACATTCAGCTACAGACAATCCACGCCCAAAGCAACAGGGTCGCACACGCAGGGCCTCTATCGGTCACATAAGCACAAGTGCACGCTTACCGAGGAGGCAGTCACAGTCACAACCACATTGTCACAGTCGGCGCACACCTGTACCGGGTCACAGTCACGATCACACATTAACCACAGCCACACACACAGATAGAAACATGCAGTTACTCGCAGGTATCCCCACCTGAACTCTGCCGCACACAGTCACACAGCATATAGTCGCACACCACTACGGGGACAAACGCAGTAACACTCAACCAGGCACAAGCTCCCCACAGCCGCACACACAATGCCGCACGTGGTCCTGCTCCCTCTCACACACACACCAGCAGCCACAGTCTCCGAGGCCGTGCTGCACACGGTGTGAGCGTTGGAAACACACTCATCACAAGGGCAGCCTGTCACAATCGCGCGATCATTCACCACACACCTCCACACAGACGCAAGCGCACGCTTTCAATCTCACCTCCACCGCCGCACAAAGCCGAGGCTTGGCCCCCGGCCCCGCCCTCTCCCGGGTTTCTCACCTCAGGCCTTACCAGCTTTCGAAGCAGCAGAACCCTCCCCGGCACTGGGGTAGTTGCTGGTAAAGCCCTGAGGGTCCCGCCAGCGCGTGAGTTGGAAGCTGAATTACCGCGAGAAGTACAGTCTTGCCGAGGAGACCTCTGGGAAGCGTAGTCAGAGACGTATCAAGGCCGGACAAGATGGTTCCCGATCGTCAGAATTCCTGTCCGCGCCTTGCGTCAGCCCCGCCGAAAGGATCGCCCCCCCTAGTCAAACCGCTCGCGCCCCAGAGGCCTCATGGAGTCCCGCCTCAGGCTCGGGCCTTGGCCCCCAAAGAAAGCCACTCCGACGTGTTTGAGATGGGCTTAGTTCCCGGACCCGTCCTACTGCCCCCAGGCGCTGGACAGCCTCAGAAAGAGGACAAGTCTGCATGGAAAGATAATCGCACAACTGAGCCTTCTGGGAGATGTAGTTCGGAGCTGGGAAGGCGGTTGGACCCTCCGAAAGTCATCTTAATTGCTCTCACAGATAAGCCGGTGCTGGGCTGCCGGCCTGAGTACTGTGCGCCCAGAGTGCGCAGGCGCAAACATCCTGGGTTGCTGTTTTGGCCTCTTTGTTCGGGCGTGAATTTTGTTTATTGCTCCTTAGTGCAGAGGGGTTATGGGACCAGAGGTTGTGAGACTCAGAAGTGGTTGGGGACGCAGAAGGGGTGTAGACCAGGAACCTGCGACCTGATGGGGGGAGGTCGAAGGGAAAGGAATCGCCAAACGTGGGACAGGTTTGGAGAGGCAGAAAGAGAGGAGTCTGAAATTGCAAAGGGCAGGTGTTATTCTGACTTCTGTGTGCTTTGTGATAAATGAGTGGGGCAGGAAGTAAGAGGAGTTTCACTTTCTCCTTCTGCAATTATTTGTGTACTTGGACTAAGTGTATCTCATGGCCAGTATTTGACTGCTTTTGACCTATAAAGGTATTGTATACACAGTCATGCATAGTTTAATAATAAGGATATATGCTCTCCCCACGGTCTCCCTCTCCCTCTCTTTCCACGGTCTCCCTCTGATGCCGAGCCAAAGCTGGACTGTACTGCTGCCCTCTCGGCTCACTGCAACCTCCCTGCCTGATTCTCCTGCCTCAGCCTGCCGAGTGCCTGCGATTGCAGGCGCGCGCCGCCACGCCTGACTGGTTTTCGTATTTTTTTGGTCTCCACCAAACACAGGGTTTCGCTGTGTTGGCCGGGCTGGTCTCCAGCTCCTAACCGCGAGTGGTCCGCCAGCCTCGGCCTCCCGAGGTGCCGGGATTGCAGACGGAGTCTTGTTCACTCAGTGCTCAATGGTGCCCAGGCTGGAGTGCAGTGGCGTGATCTCGGCTCGCTACAACCTCCTCCCAGCCGCCTGCTTTGGCCCCCCAAAGAGCCGAGATTGCAGCCTCTGCCCCGCCGCCACCCCATCTGGGAAGTGAGGAGCTTCTCTGCCTGGCCGCCCATCGTCTGGGATGTGAGGAGCCCCTCTGCCTGGCTGCCCAGTCTGGAAAGTGAGGAGCGTCTCTGCCAGGCCGCCCATCGTCTGGGATGTGGGGAGCGCCTCTGCCCCGCCGCCCCGTCTGGGATGTGAGGAACGCCTCTGCCTGGCCGCGACCCCGTCTGGGAGGTGAGGAGCGTCTCTGCCCGGCCGCCCCGTCTGAGAAGTGAGACCCTCTGCCTGGCAACCGCCCCGTCTGAGAAGTGAGGAGCCCCTCCGCCCGGCAGCCGCCCCGTCTGAGAAGTGAGGAGCCCCTCCGTCCGGCAGCCACCCCGTCTGGGAAGTGAGGAGCGTCTCCGCCCGGCAGCCACCCCATCCGGGAGGGAGGTGGGGGTCACCCCCGCCAGGCCAGCCGCCCCGTCCGGGAGGGAGGTGGGGGGGTCAGCCCCCCGCCCGGCCAGCCGCCCCGTTCGGGAGGGAGGTGGGGGGGTCAGTCCCCCGCCCGGCCAGCCGCCCCGTCCGGGAGGCGAGGGGCGCCTCTGCCTGGCCACCCCTACTGGGAATTGAGGAGCCCCTCTGCCCGGCCAGCCGCCCCGTCCGGGAGGGAGGTGGGGGGGGGTCAGCCCCCCGCCCGGCCAGCCTCTCCGTCCGGGAGGTGAGGGGCGCCTCTGCCCGGCCGCCCCTACTGGGAAGTGAGGAGCCCCTCTGCCTGGCCACGACCCCATCTGGGAGGTGTACCCAACAGCTCATTGAGAACGGGCCATGATGACAATGGCGGTGTTGTGGAATAGAAAGGCGGGAAAGGTGGGGAAAAGATTGAGAAATCGGATGGTTGCCGTGTCTGTGTAGAAAGACGTAGATATGGGAGTCTTTTCATTTTGTTCTGTACTAAGAAAAATTCTTCTGCCTTGGGATCCTGTTGATCTGTGACCTTACCCCCAACCCTGTGCTCTCTGAAACATGTGCTGTGTCCACTCAGGGTTAAATGGATTAAGGGCGGTGCAAGATGTGCTTTGTTAAACAGATGCTTGAAGGCAGCATGCTCGTTAAGAGTCATCACCACTCCCTAATCTTAAGTACCCAGGGACACAAACACTGCCGAAGGCCGCAGGGTCCTCTGCCTAGGAAAACCAGAGACCTTTGTTCACTTGTTTATCTGCTGACATTCCCTCCACTATCGTCCTATGACCCTGCCAAATCCCCCTCTGCAAGAAACACCCAAGAATGATCAATTAAAAAAAAATAAATAAATAAATAATAAGGATATATTCTGGCCGGGTGCGGTGGTTCACGCCTGAAATCCCAGCACTTTGGGAGGCTGAGGGGTTTGAGACCAGCCTGGGCAACATGGTGTAAACCCCGTCTATACTAAAAATGCAAAAATTAGCCGGGCATGGTGGTGCGCGCCTGTAGTCCCAGCTACTCGGGAGGCTGAGGCAGGAGAATCGCTTGAACCCAGGAGGCAGAGGTTGCAGTGAGCCAAGATTGCACCACTGCACTCCAGCCTGGGCGACAGAGTGAGACTCGGTCTCAAAAAAAAAAAGGATACATTCTGAGAAATGCATTGTTGGGCAATTTCATCATTATGGAGTGTACTGACACAAACCTAGATGGTATAGCTGACTGAACACTTAGGCTACATGGTATAACCTGTTGCTCCTAAACTACAAAGCTATACAGTATGTTACTGTACTGAATACAGTTGGAACACTGTAGGGACCAGCCCTACAAGGTCTGTGGGTTTTTCTCCCTGTGTGCAGAGACTAGAGGTGGTAGAAATAAAGACACAAGACAAAGAGATAAAAGACACCTGGGCCCGGGTGAGCCACTACCACCAAGACACAGAGACTGATAGTGGCCCCGAATGCCAGGCTGCACTGTTATTTATTGGATACAAGACAAGGGGGGCAGGGTAAGGAGTGTGAGCCATCTCCAATGATAGGTAAGGTCACGTGGGTCACGTGTCCACTGGACAGGGGGCCCTTCCCTGTTTGGCAGCTGAAGCGGAGAGAGAGAGAAGACAGCTTACGCATTATTTCTGCATATCAGAGACTTTTAGTACTTTCACTAATTTTGTTACTGCTATCTAGAAGGCAGGGCCAGGTGTACAGGATGGAACATGAAAGCGGACCAGTAGTGTGACCACTGAAGCACAGCATCACAGGAAGACGGTTAGACCTCCAGATAACTGCGGGCGGGCCTGACTCATGTCAGGCCCTCCACAAGACATGGTGGAGTAGAGTCTTCTCTAAACTCCCCCGGGGAAAGGGAGACTCCCTTTGCTGGTCTGCTAAGTAGTGGGTGCTTTTCCTTGGCACTGACGCTACTGCTAGACCACAATCCGCTTGGTAACAGGCGTCTTCCCAGACGCTAACGTTCCGCTAGACCAAGGAGCCCTCTGGTGGCCCTGTCCGGGCATAACAGAGGCTCACACACTTGTCTTCTGGTCACTTCTCACCATGTCCCTTCAGCTCATACCTCTGTATGGCCTGGTTTTTCCTAGGTTATGATTGTAGAGTGAAGATTATTATAATATTTGAATAAAGAGTAATTACTACAAACTAATGATTAGTGATACTTGTGTATAATCATATCTGTGATCTGTATCTAGTGTAATTCTTGTTATTTTATATATTTTATTATACTGAAACAGCCCATGCCCTCGGTCTCTTGCCTCGGCACCTGGGTGGCTTGCTGCCCACAGAACACAATGGTAAGTATTTATGTATCTAAACATATCTAAACACACAAAAGGTACAGTAAAAAAAACAGCATGAAAAGTAAAAAATGGTACACTTGTATAGGGTACTTACCAAGAATGGAGGCTGCAGGACTGGAAGTTGCTCTGGAGAGTCGATGAGAGGTGAGTGAATGTGAAGGCTAGGACATTACAGTACAACACTCTAGACTTTATAAACATTGTACACTTAAGCAACACTACATGTATTTAAAGTTTTTCTTCCATAATAAATTAACCCTTGCTTGCTGTAACTTTTCTACTTTATAAATGTTCAAATTTTTAAAAGCTTTTTGACTTTTCTGTAATATCGCTTAGCTTAAAACACAAATACATTGCACAGCCCATGTGGGATCCGTATCTCTTGGTAAGGAAATGTTGCAGGTCAGATGTCATTCTTATGTGGCCACATAGAGGTAGAAAGACTGCATATATGATACTGCCTTTCCCAACCACGGGCTCGTATTCTAACATACCGCAACAATGCCCAATATTTATGGGGTCATAGAAAATAGGATTCACTATGGTTGGAGAATTTCCAGAGCCAATTTAAGTTCAGGAATGCTGGCAATGAGAATGATCAGTAGGAATCAGTGTAATGATTTACATAGTTGAAACTATCAACTGGGCCAGGCTGGTGGCTCACGCCTATAATCCCAGCACTTTGTGAGGCTGAGGTGGGCTGATCACCTGAGGTCAGGAGTTTGAGACTAGCCTGGGCAACATGGTGAAACCCCGTCTCTACTAAAAATACAAAAATTAGCTAGGCATGGTGGCACACACCTGTGATACCAGCTACTCGGGAGGCCAAGGCAGGAGAACTGCTTGAACTTGGGAGGCAGAGGTTGCAGCCAGCCAAGATCATGCCACTGCATTCAAGCTTGGGTGACAGAGCAAAGACTCCATCTCAAAAAAAAAGTTAAAATAGAATAAAACATATAGCCATTATTTTTCTGTTTGGGGCAATTTTAAAGTTTTTCTTTTGTCACAAAAACAGGAATGTACTATGCAAAGGCTTGAAATAGGCCATCTTTTTTTTTTTTTTTTTTGAGTTGGAGTTTCGCTCTTGTTGCCCAGGCAGGCTGGAGTGCAATGGCATGATCTCGGCTCACCACAACCTCCATCTCCTGGGTTCAAGCAATTCTCCTGCCTCAGCCTCCCAAGTAGCTGGGATTACAGGCATGCACTACCACGCGTGGCTAATTTTGGGTTTCTAGTAGAGACGGGATTTCTCCATGTTGGTCAGGCTGGTCTCGAACTCCCGATCTCAGGTGATCTGCCTGCCTCGGTCTGTCAAAGTGCTGGGATTACAGGCATGAGCCACTGTGCCTGGAAAATAGGCCATCTTTTTAAACAAAAAGGCAATGATTCACAAAAGTCTATGAATAGAACATGTAACTAGTTGATACAAATCTAATAGGATTTGTTTAAAATCAGTCAAATCTAATACATCTGAAGTGTTCTTGTATAAAGTATCACATGAAGAAAAGAAGAATTTATTAATGTCTTAAAAAAATGGGTTTCTTCATAGACAATATGACAACTTACCATTAAAAGTGTTTCGGGACGGCCGGGTGCAGTGGCTTACGCCTGTAATCCCAGCACTTTGGGAGGCCGAGGCGGGTGGATCACGAGGTCAGGAGATCGAGACCATCCTGGCTAACACAGTGAAACCCCATCTCTACTAAAAATACAAAAAATTAGCCGGGCATGGTGGCGGGTGCCTGTAGTCCCAGCTACTCGGGAGGCTGAGGCAGGAGAATGGCGTGAACCTGGGAGGCAGGGCCTGCAGTGAGCCGAGATCGTGCCACTGCACTCCAGCCCGGGCGACAGAGCAAGACTCCATCTCAAAAAAAAAAAAAAAAAAAAAGTGTTTCAGGAGACATAAGGAAATGCAACATTATTCTTCCTGAACACTTTTAGTTCAAGACTTTCCACTCAATAAAATAGGAAAGGATCTGAAACTGAGAAAATGTATTTGAGTACAAACAGCTTGTGAAACATAATACTTTTTTTTGCATCATCAGAGGGTTTTACTGAACTTATAACCAACTTGCCCACTCAGTATGCAATTCAGATGTGAGTGAGGGGCCGGGCGCAGTGGCTCACTCCTGTAATCACAGCACTTTGGAAGGCAGAGGCGGGCGAGTCACCTGAGGTCAGGAGTTCGAGACCAGTCTGACCAACATGGTGGAACCTAGTCTCTACCAAAAATACAAAAATTAGCTGGGCGTGGTGGTGTACACTTGTAATCCTAGGTACTCCGGAGGCTGAGGCAGGAGAATCGCTTGAACCTGGGAGGCAGAGATTGCAGTGAGTCCAGATCTCGCCATTGCACTCCAGCCTGGGTGACAGAGCAAGACTCCATCTCAAAACAAAACAAAACAAAAAAAACAGATGTGAGAGGACAGAGGTGTCTCACAGGAGCCTGTACTGTCTTCAATCCTATGTGTGCAGGTATCTACCACAGGCAAACAGTTTCTCCACATTTTGTAGTTATATGATCTTGCTACTAGCAAAAAGAGGTAAACAGCCCCTGTAGAATGAAGGGACTACAGTCACGGGACTAGAGTCACAGAATGAAGCTTTCCTCTTAATATTTTTTAATTTGATGTTTGAACTCTTTTTCTTTTTTCCTTGAGACAGTCTTGCTCTTTCGCCCAGGCTAGAGTGCAGTGGCACGATCTTGGCTTACTGCCACCTCCTGTGTTCAAACAATTCTCCTGCCTCAGCCTCCGGAGTAGCTGGGATTACAGGCGCTCGCCACCACACCCAGCTAATTTTTGTATTTTTAGTAGAGACGGGGTTTCACCATGTTGGCCAGGCTGGTCTCAAACTCCTTACCTCAGGTGATCCACCCGCCTCGGGCTCCCAAGTGCTGGGATTACAGGCATGAGCCACTGCGCATGGCCCGATGTTTGAACTCTCAATGCAGCATCCTAGAGAAGGGTGTTCGGGACCTCCTGTGCCCAAGGGACCGATAAAGAAAAAAGCTCCATTTATTATTTGGGATTTGATGCACAGATGAAAAACTTAACACACAATAACGGAAGTCGGTTGTTAGTAAATCACATCCTAGTCTTTCAGCACTTCCATAAGAGACGACATCTTCAGTTGTCTAGTTCTTGTAGTTTTAGCACGGCAACATCAATGATGCCTATGTCCAGAATCAGTTAAAAAGACCATAATTTGTTTCTCTTAGTTCATCTATTTTTCACTGGCTCATGGTCCCAAGTGTATCTGAATGATTACCTTTGGGCATTCTCTGCTATTGCTTATTAGGGTGCTGTCGATTGTCCCCATGTTTTGTGGGCTGGTTGGGAAGGGGAGCTTGGGAAGGATGTGTCACTCTCAGGAGGTTGTAAGTCATTGGGACGCCTCCAGGGATGATTCCTTCCATGGCTGCAGGAAGTCCTCCTGGAGCCACGCCCACGATGCCTGGCGGATATCTGTATGTTGCACCGTTGAGCTCGGGATGAATTGCTTGCTGGTCTATTGCTGACCAAGGCGCTGATGTGACAAATAACTCCTTGTTCACACAGTTTCTTAAGCTTTCTGGGACGCGACCTGTGATGACTCGGCGGATCTCGGTGGCAGCTGCCTCCTTCATCTCCAGTGACGCCTGCATGCTGTCCTAGGCAGTGTGAGGAGTGAAGATGAGATTTGGCGCATCTTTCAACGGAGTCTGAGCAAAGCTAAAGGGCTCCGATTCGTGCAAGCCAAGGGCTGCCCCTCCTATCCTGTCCTCCTTGAGGACCTGTGCTAAGGCTTTCTCATCCACCAGGCCACCATGGGCTGCGTTCACAAGGAATGCTCCCTGTCTCATCTGCTTTATAGTAAAGTCATTGACGAGGTGGTGGTTATGTTCATTGAGATTGCAGTGCAACGAGACACAGTCACTCTGATACAGCAAACCCTGCAGGGTGTATCAGGGTCCCCTCTGCATGCCCTGGGACCTCTCTATCTTGTCCTACAAGTAGGGGTCATAAAATACGACGCTGAATCCAAAGGCCTTGGCTCAAACTGCAACCGCCTGCCTCATGCAACCGAAGCCCATGAGGCCTAGCGTCTTCCACGAATGAGGGCCACTCCCATGGCCACCTCGAGAATCTGCTCCACGCTCTGAACCCGCGCGCCTTCCCACAGTGTCTGGTACAGCCACATATTCCTCCGGCAGAGATTGAGGATGTGGCAGATAGTGGAGTTGGCTGCCTCTTCCACGGCTGTGGAGGGGATGTTGCACATAGTAATCCGGAGCTCACTGGCAGCCTTGATGTCCACGTTGTCGTAGCCACTTGCCTATCCACACGATCACTCTCAGGGCCTTGAACTTCTCCAGGTCCTCCCTTGTTTAGAATCTTCTCGTGGATCTCCTGCGTGGACTGTGCGTCACAGAAGGCCACAGTGGCCAGGTCCTTCAGGATGGGCATCTCCACGGTGCAGGTCACAGCCATCCAGCGGCGCCAGCAGCGGGAGGGGGTGCAGGGGGCTGTTCGTGATCTGAGGGTGGATAGCTTCACAAGTTCTGTCCAATCGCTGTCTCGTGATTTTGTGCTTATCCACCAGGGCCATTCTTTATGGAACTTTGCAACTCTCAGATCAAAAGGCAAAGCAGGCCTGGCATGGTGCCTCATGCCTGTAATCCCAGCACTTGGGAGGCTGAGGCAGGCAGATCACTTGAGGTCAGGAGTTTGAGACCAGCCTGGCCAACATGGGGAAACACCATCTTTACTAAAAATATAAAAATTAGCTGGGCATGGTGGCGCGCTCCTGTAATCCCAGCTACTCGGGAGGCTGAGGCAGGAGAATCACTTGAACCCGGGAGTCAGAGGTTGCTGTGAGCTGAGATCATGCCACTGCACTCCAGCCTGAGTGGCAGAGTGAGACTCTGTCTCCAAAAACCAAACCAAAACAAACAACAACAACAAAACAAAAGGCAAAGCAGTCCTCTAAAAACTTACGGAAACTCGCAGGAGTGTGTGTGCATGACGCCACTATGAACCCAATACATATCTGTCCACAAACTCTATAGTTCACAGGATGGGCTGTCCATCTTTTCTTTCTTTCTTTCTTTCTTTTTGTCGCCAGGCTGGAGTGCAGTGGCGCGATCTCAGCTCACTGCAATCTCCACCTCCCGGGTTCAAACGATTGTCCTGCCTCAGCCTCCTGAGTAGCTGGGATTACAGGTGCACACCACCACACCTGGCTATTTTTTGTATTTTAGTAGAGACGGGGTTTCACCATGTTGGACAGGATGGTCTCGATCTTCTGAACTCGTGATCCACCTGCCTTGGCCTCCCAAAGCGCTGGGATTACAGGTGTGAGCCACTAGCTGTCCATCTTTTTAAGGGAATGCAGCTTCGTCAGTTCAAAAACATTTAAGGTGATGAAACCCTCGTCCTGGGCAGTCAGCATCCACAGCGGAAAGGCTCCCGCCCCTCCCACCCCACCTGGAGGCTGTGCTGCCTCAGTTCAGTGCAGCATGGCTCCTGGTTCAGTCCTTCGCTCCTCGGGCCGCTCCCAAGCCACCTTAAAATGACACACTGAATTTGGATTATTATTATTATCTTTTTTTTTTTCAGACAGAGTCTTGCAGTTGTCGCCCAGGCTGGAGTGCAGTGGCGCAATTTCGGCTCACTGCAACCTCCGCCTCCTGGGTTCAAGCAATTGTCCTGCCTCAGCCTCCCAAGTAGCTGGGATTACAGGCACCTGCCACCACGCCCAGCTAATTTTTGTATTTTTGGTAGAGACGGGGTTTCACCATGTTGGCCAGGCTGGTCTTGAACTCCTGACCTCAGGTGATCCACCCTCCTTGGCCTCCCAAAGTGCTAAGATTACAGGTATGAGCCACCAACCCTGGTCTAAACATTTATTTTTTTAATTTCTTTTTTCTTTTTTTTTTTCTTTTTTGAGACAGAGTCTCACTCTGTTGCCCAGGCTGGAGTGCACTGGCACGATCTCAGCTTACTGCATCCTCTGCCTCCCGGGTTCCAGTAATTCTCCTGCCTCAGCCTCCAGAGTAGCTGGGACTACAGGTGCCCGCCACCATGCCCAGCTAATTTTTGTACTTTTAGTAGAGACAGGCTTTCACCATATTGGCCAGGCTGATCTCGAACTCCTGACCTTGTGATCTGCCTGCCTCGGCCTCCTAAAGTGCTGGGATTACAGGCGTGAGCCACTGTGCCCGGCTATTTTTTATTTTTTTGAGACGGACTCTCGGCTCACTGCAAACCTCTGCCTCCTGGGTTCAAGCGATTCTCCTGCCTCAGCCTCCTGACTAACTGGATTACAGGCATGTGCCACCATGCCTGGTTAATTTTTGTATTTTTAGTAGAGACGGGGTTTCACCATGTTGGTCACGCTAGTCTCGAACTCCTGACCTGGTTATCTGCCCGCCTCAGCTTCCCAAAGTGCTGGGATTACAGGCGTGAGCCACCGCGCCCGGCCCCAAACATTTATTATTAATTATTCTTCATATTACATTTCCAGGATCTACTATATATTTTTTATATTTTCATTTTATTTTTAATTAAGAAGTAATAATTGCATGTATTTATGGGGTACAATTTGATGTGTACATTGTATACATCGTGATGTGTACACAATGACACGTGTACATTGTGGAATGATTGAATCAGCTTTTCCAAGTGTGTTTCCTTCTCAGCACCTCCAAACCTCTCCTCAAGTTAACCCCAGGCCTTGAGAGAAACAAAGTGCTCTCCCTTAAACTGGGTCGCTTTGGTTCTCAGTGGAAAGTTGAGTCACAGAGGGAGGCTCTCTTTCATGTGCTTGGGTTTCACTCACTTTTATCAGCTGGACACTGCCGCAGGGGCTGATTGCTCCCACTCCCTTCCCCAGGTTCTGGGTTATCGTTCATGATTCCAGTGGATTTCCATTTTTCTTCTTGAAATAAAGTACATGGAGTTTATCTTTATGCACTATCATGCTATCCCCAAGTGACTGAGGCATTCTCTAATCTGCCATCTTGGAGGAAGAAAAGTTTTAACTTTGATATCACAGTTTACATATAATTTGTATCAATTAACAAATTATTGTAGCTATGGGTGTTTTGTAGTAGTTTTGTCTTTTTTTTTTTTTTAAGTCAGAGTCTTGCTCTGTTGCCCAGGCTGTTGTGCAGTGGCGTGATCTTGGCTCACTGCACCCTACACCTTCCAGGTTCAAGCAATTCTCCTGCCTCAGCCTCCCAAGTAGCTGGGACTACAGGTGCGTGCCATCATGCCCGGCTAATTTTTTGTAGTTTTAGTAGAGATGGGGTTTCACCATGCTGGGCAGGCTGGTCTTGAACTCCTGACCTCGTGATCCCCCTGCCTGGGCCTCCCAAGTGCTGGGATTATAGGCGTGAGCCACCGCGCCTGGCCACCAGTTTTGTCTTTTAATCTTCAAACTAGAGAGAGAATTGATTTACACCTCACCATTACGGTATTAGAATGTTGTGAATTTCACAATGTACTTATTTTTTACCTATAAGTTCGTTTTCGTTTTTTTTTTTTTTTTTTTTTTTTTTTTTTTTGAGATGGAGTCTCATTCTGTCACCCAGGCTGGAGTGCAGTGGTGCGATCTCTGCTCACTGCAACCTCTGCCTTGCAGGTTCAAGTGAATCTCTGCCTCAGCTTCCCGAGTAGCTGGATTATAGGCATGTGCCACCATGCCCAGCTAATTTTTGTATTTTTAGTAGAGATAGGGTTTCACCATGTTGGCCAGGCTGGTCTTGGATTTCTGACCTCAAGTGATCTGCCTGCCTTGGCCTTCCAAAGTGTTGGGATTACAGGCGTGAGCCAGCTCGCCTGGCCAGTTTTATATACTTTCATGTTTTCATGTTACTAATAAATGACTTTTTCCTTCAGCTTGAAGAATTCTCTTTAGCATTTCTTGTAGGGCAGATATAGGAGTGTTAAACACCTTCAACTTTTGTTTGTCTGAGAAAGTCTTAATTTCTCCTTCATTTTTGAAATACAGGTTATCTGAGTATAGTATTCTCACATGGCAGTTGTTTTCTTTCTAACAATGTATCATCCCACTCCCTTCTGGCCTGCAAGATTTCTGCTGAAAAATCCACTGATGATCTTATTGAGGTGACTTTGTACATATGTGAACATAAGAAGTCACTTTTTCCTTGCTCCTTTAAAGATTCTCTCTTTGTGTTTAACTTTTGAAAATTTGATTATAATGCACATCTGTGTGGGTTTCTTTTGATTTCTCCTATTTGGTGTCTTTTTGGCTGCTTCGATCTGGATTTATATTTCCTTTCACAGGCTTGGGAAGTTTTCTGCCGTTATTTCTTTATCTAAGCTCTCTGTCTCCTTCTCTTTTATCCTTCTGACCCTTTGGCAATGTGTGTATTGGTCTGCTTGATGGTGTTCCAAAAGTCCCTTATGCTGTCTTCACTATTTTATATTCTTTTGCTCCTCAGATTGGATGATTTCCAATGACCTGTTTCTGAGTTTGTTGATCCTTTCTTCTGCTTGAACTAGTCTGATACTGAACCCTTTATTGCATTTTTCAGTTCAGTTGTTGTACTCTTCAGCGCTAATATTTCTTTTCTTTTTTTTTTTTTTAAACAGAGTCTTCTCTGTCCCCTAGGCTGGAGTGCAGTGGCACGATCTTGGCTCAGTGCAACCTCTGCCTCCGGGTTCAAGCAATTCTCCTGCTCAGCCTCCCAAGTAGCTGGGATTACAGTTGCACGTCACCACGCCCAGCTAATTTTTTGTATTTTTAGTAGAGATGGCGTTTCACCATGTTGGCCAGGCTGGTCTCAAACTCCTTACCTCAGGTGATCCACCTGCCTGGGCCTCCCAAAGTGCTGGGATTACAGGCATAAACCTCCCTACTTGGCCATCCCTAAGATTTCTGTTTGGTACTTTTTTTATATTTTCTGTTTATTGAAATTCTCAAGATTGTTCATGCATTGCTCTCCTCACCTTGGTGAGCATCTTTGTGATGATTCTTTTGAATTGCCTGTTGGGTAAATCACATTATCTCCATTTCAGTAGGGTTGGTTTCTGGAAATTAATTTTGTTCTATTATTTGGAACATATTTCCCTGTTTCTTCATTTTCCTTGTATCTCTGTGTTGGTTTCTGTGTATTAATAAGAAAACAGTCTCAGTTTTTTCACACTGGCCTCACATAGAACAGCCTAATCAATAAGTCTAAGGTTCCTCTCACATTTTTGTGTTTGTCCAAACTGCAGTCTCTGTTTTTAGTGACCCCTAGGAGATTAGGATGTGCCAAGACCTAGCAGTACTCTGAGTCAGGTAAGATAGAAACCAGTCCCTCTAGATGCAGCTGGAAAGATTGGGGCATTAGCTATGTCTTCCACTTCATTTTATCCTCAGGGTGAAGCTGAGAGGAGTTTATCTCCAAGTCTCTCTGCATTAAGTCAGGGAGTGTATCTGTAGCAAATGCCTGCACTCTTCTTCAGATTGCGTGTTCTGATCCTCTGCTGGACGTGGGATCATTGAATGTCCACATCTTTATTTTCTGTGGTCTAGGGAGGCTCGGGAATGCTGAGCTCAATCAACTTACAGAGCTAGGTGGTTATAGAGGCAACCCCATGGAAGGGAGCTGTAGAAGTTATGGCACTCAATGCATGGACAAACTCCTTCAGGGAGCATCTACATACCTGGCTTTATTGCTCGAGCAAACTGAGGGGGAAAAGCGCAGGAAATGCCTAAGCTCCTGTTCAGGTTCCCATATGTCTATTGCTTTTCTACCCCACTGGTTTCCAGGTGCAGGATAGATTCTCAAACCGGAGTTGAAAAAGTGTGCAGATGGACACTTCCAGAGAGAAACTGAGAGGTGTGCACTTTAGACCATTCTCTGCACTGATCCTGAGATGTAAACAATGGCAGTGTTCGTGTATCAGTATAAAACCACCTCTTGGCCAGTCGCGGTGGCTCACGCCTGTAATCCCAGCACTTTGGGAGGCTGAGGCGGGCAGATCACCTGAGGTCGGGAGTTCGAGACCAGCCTGACCAACATGGAGAAACCTTGTCTCTACTAAATATACAAAATTAGCAGGCTGTGGTGGCGCATGCCTGTAATCCCAGCTACTCGGGAGCCTGAGGCAGGAGAATTGCTGAACCTGGGAGGCGGAGGTTGCCGTGAGCCCAGATCGCACCACTGCACTCCAGCCTGGGCAACAAGAGCGAAACTCCGTCTCAAAAAACAAAAACAAAAACAAACAAACAAAAAAGCCACCTCTTTATTCTGTGATCTAGAGAAACTAGTGAATGCCAAGTCCTTTCGTTCCCAATTTTAGATGGTTTAGGATGGAGCCTCCTAGTTGGGAGCTGTGAAAACTGGGGCACTCTATGTGTGGAAATCGCTTTTTTTTTTTTTTTGGAAGAATCTGTAGACATGGAGTAAGCCACGGGGAGACTTGGAAAGTGCCAAACTTCCATTTAGGCTCCCAAGGGTCTATACCCTGTTAGATGTAGGCTGGTTAGAAGCCTGTCACGCAGCAACTGGAGGAGTGTTCTGGGAAACCCCTTCTGTGGCAAAAGACAAATAAAATAAATTTGCCATCTTAAGACTTTTTTTTTTTTTTTGAGATGGAGTCTTGCTCTGTTGCCCAGGTTGGAGTGCAATGGCACTATCTCGGCTCACTGCAAGCTCCGCCTCCTGGGTTCACGACATTCTCGTGCCTCAGCCTCCCAAGTAGCTGAGACTACAAGCGTCTGCCACCACGCCCGGCTGATTTTTTGTATTTTTAGTAGAGACGGGGTTTCACCATGTTGGCCAGGATGGTCTCGATCTCCTGACCTTGTGATGTGCCCGCCTCGGCCTCCCAAAGTGCTGGGATTACAGGCGTGAGCCACCGCGCCTGGCCCTTTTTTTCTTTTTTGAGACGGAGTCTCCCACTGTCGCCCAGGCTGGAGTGCAGTGGTGCAATTTTGGCTCATTGCAACCTCCGACTCCTGGGTTCAAGCGATTCTTCTGCCTCAGCCTCCCAAGTAGCTGGGATTACAGGTGCCCACCAATGCACCCGGCTAATTTTTTTTTTTTTTTTGTATTTGTAGTAGAGACAGGGTTTCAATATGTTGGCCAGGCTGGTCTCGCACTCCTGACCTCGTGATCAGCTCACCTCAGCCTCCCAAACTGTTGGGAATACAGGCGTGAGCCACCGCACCCGGCCCCCATCTTAGACATTTTAAAGTGTACTGTTCAGTGGTATTAAATACATTCATAATGTTGTGCAACCATCACCACCACCCATCTTTATAATTCTTTTCATCCTGTCATAATGAAAATCTATACCCATTAAACAATTAACTCCCCATTCTTCTTCTCTGCTAAAAACCATAATTCTACTGTCCCTATGATTTTGACTACTTTAAGTACCTTGGATAAGTGGAATCATATAGTATGGTCTTTTTGTGACTGGAATATTTCACTTAGCATTATGTGCTCAAAGTTCATCCACATTGTAGCCTATTACAGAATGTCCTTCATTTTCGAGGCCTAATACTATTCCACTGTATGTATATACCACATTTTGCTTACCCATTCATCTATCTATAGGCACTGGGGTTGCCTCCATGTTTTCGGTATTATGAATAACGCTGCTATAAACATGAGTGTTTGAGTACTTTCTTTCAATTCTTTTAAGTATATACTCAGAAATGGAATTGTTTAATCATATGGTAGTTGTAGGTTTAATGTTTTTCTCTTTTCTTTTGGAGACAGAGTCTCTCTCTGTTGCCCAGACAGGAGTGCAGTGGTGAGACCACAGCTCACTGCAGCCTCAATCTCTAGGGTTCAAGCAATCCTCCCACCTCAACCTCCTGAGCAGCCTTCTGAGGTGGCAAGGGCTGAAGTTGCTGTGGACTGATGTGAATACACTGCTGGAAACTTGGGATAACTTGGATCTGTGCCACTGCTAACATTATCATGACATTATCAAGAATTCAGGGAGCGGTGGCTGACGCCTGTAATCCCAGCACTTTGGAAGGCTGAGGCGGGTGGATCACTTGAGGTCAGGAGTTCAAGACCAGCCTGGCCAACATGGTGAAACCCTGTCTCTACCAAAAATACAAAAATTAGCTGGGTGTGGTGGCAGGTGCCTGTAATCCCAGCTACTTAGGAGGCTGAGGCAGGAGAATCACTTGAACCCGGGAGGTGGAGGTTGCAGTGAGCTGAGATCTCACCACTGCACTCTAGCCTGGGCAACAGTGCAAGACTCAAAAAGTCTGGCCAGGCGCGGTGCCTCATGCCTGTAATCCCAGTACTTTGGGAGGCCGAGGCAGGTGGATCACCTGAAGTTGAGAGTTCGAGACCAGCCTGACCAACATGGAGAAGCACTGTCTCTACTAAAAATACAAAACTATCCGAGTGTGGTGGTGTATGCCTGTAATCCCAGCTACTCGGGAGGATGAGGCAGTAGAATCATGCCACTGCACTCCAGCCTGGGCAACAAGAGCAAAACTCTGTCTCAAAAAAAAAAAAAGTTTGACTTAGGGGCATAAAGTACAGGTGCACACCACCACAGCCAGCGAATTTTTATATTTTTTGTAGAGGTTGCCCAGGCTGGTCTGGAACTCCTGGGCTCAAGAGATCCCCTTGTAAGTGGCTGGGCGCGGCGGCTCTCGCCTGTAATCCCAGCACTTTGGGAGGCCGAGGTGGGCAGATCACGAGGTCAGGAGATTGAGACCATCCTGGCTAACACGGTGAAACCCTGTCTCCACTAAAAATACAAAAAAATTAGCTGGGCGTGGTGGCGGGCGCCTGTAGTCCCAGCTACTCAGGAGGCTGAGGCAGGAGAATGGCGTGAACCCGGGAGGCGGAGCTTGCAGTGAGCCGAGATCGCGCCACTGCCCTCCAGCCTGGGCAACACAGTAAGACTCCATCTCAAAAAAATAAAATAAAAAAGAGATCCCCTCCTCTCAGCGTCCCAAAGTGCTATATGTTTAATTTTTGGAGGAACTACTCTATTTTTTTCCACAGTGGCTGCACCATTTTACACCCTCATCAACAGGGCATAAGAGTTCCCATTTCTTTTTTTTTTTTTTTTTTTTTTTTTGGAGGTGGAGTCTTGCTCTGTCATCCAGACTGGACTGCAGTGGCTAATTTTTTTGTATTTTGTAGAGACCATGTTGTCCAGGCAGGTCTCGAACTCCTGAGCTCAGGCAGTCTGCCTGTCTTGGCCTTCCAAAGTGTTAGGATTACAGGCATGAGCCACGGCGCCAGGCCAGGTTCCCATTTCTTTTGATCCTTGTAAACACTTGTTATTTTGTGTATTTTGTTTAATAGCTATCCTAATGGGTGAGTTGGTAATCACATTTTAGTTTTGATTTGCAAAGCACTGGCGCATGAAAAAATCTTGGGCCGGGTGCAGTGGCTCACGCCTGTAATCCCAACACTTTGGGAGGCCGAGGCAGGCGGATCACCTGAGGTCAGGAGTTCAAGACTGGCCTGGCCAACATGGGGAATCCTCATCTCTACTAAAAATACAAAAATTAGCCGGGCACGATGGTGTGCACCTGTAATCCCAGCTACTCGGGAGGCTGAGGCAGAGAACTGCTTGAACCCGGGAAGCGGAGGTTGCAGTGAGCCTAGATTGTGCTGCTGCACTCCAACCTGGGCGACAGAGCCAGACTGTGTCTCAAAACAAAAAACAAACAAACAAAAAACTTCTTCGGATAAATGGCTATTTAAGTCATTTACCCTTTTGATCTGGTTGTTTGCTTTCATTTTGAGTATTAGGAATTTTCTATATATTCTGGATATTGATCACACATCAGATACATGAATAACTTCAAATAGTGACTTTGTCTAATATCTCAGTTTTCAGAATTTCAGTATAATTGTTAAAAATAAATCAATTAGGGCCAGGCGTCGTGGCTCACGCCTGTAATCCCAGCACTTTGGGAGGCCGAGGTGGGCGGATCACGAGGTCAGGAGATTGAGACCATCCTGGCTAACACGGTGAAACCCCGTCTCCACTAAAAATACAAAAAAGTTAGCCGGGCATGGTGGCGGGCACCTGTAGTCCCAGCTACTCGGGAGGCTGAGGCAGGAGAATGGCATGAACCCGGGAGGCAGAACTTGCAGTGAGCCAAGATTGCGCCACTGTACTCCAGCCTGGGCAACAGAGCGAGACTCCGTCTCAAAAAAAAAAAAAAAATCAATTAGGTAAATGTAAATGGGATAGACATAAAAAGACTTTTCATGTCATTTGACATCGTACCATTGTGTTACTTAATTACTGGATACTTACTAAATGTCTTGGTTGGTACCAAATAAGATTAAAAAACCAAAATATGAATTGTTGAACACAAATGTTTGTTCTTGGCATTTTAAATCTTATAAAAACTCTAAATAGGCCAGGTGTGGTGGCTCACGCTTGTAATCCCAGCACTTTGGGAGGCCAAGGTGGGTGGATCACGAGGTCAGGAGTTCAAGACCAGCCTTGCTAACATGGTGAAACCCTGTCTCTACTAAAAATACAAAAATTAGCTGGGTGTGGTGGCGGGCACCTGTAATCCCAGCTACTCGGGAGGCTGAGGCAGAGAATTGCTTGAACCTGGGAGGTGGAGGTTGAAGTGAGCTGAGATGGCGCCACTGCATTCCAGCCTGGTGGACAGGACAGAGTGAGACTCTGTCTCAAAAAAAAAAAAAAAAAAAAAGGAAAAGAACCAATAGGACAGAGAGATGTAAACAAAGTTATTAATATGAAGATACATTTTTGGTAAGGCAAGTTAAAAGCAAAAGAGAATAACTTTGTATGAGAAAGAATTTTATGTGATAAATATTGGTCCTAAAGTGATTTTTTTTTTTAAAAGAAAGCATAGGACAAAGCGGAAAGTCAAAGTATGTTGTCAAAGGTCTGAATAAGTTGTGATAAAGTTAGTGGTGACAGAGATCTGAATTACCCCGTTAACAGTGGTGTATTCATACAAGACCACAGCAACTTCAGCCTGTGCCTTCTCAGAAGAAAGAATTCAACTGAGGGGAAGCAGAAAAAGAGACCAAGGCAAGTTTCAGAGCACGAGTGGAAGTTTATTTTAAAAAGCTTTAGAACAGTAAAGAAAGGAAAATTCACTTGTTAGAGAGCCAAGCAGATGCCTGAAGGTCCAAGAAAGAAAAGACCAAAAAAAAAAAAAAAAGTCTTTGGCCGGGTGCAGTGGCTCACACCTGTAATCCCAGCACTTTGGGAGGCCGAGGAGGATGGGTCACAAGGTCAGGAGATCGAGACCATCCTGGCCAACATGGTAAAACCCCGTCTCTACTAAAAATACAAAAATTAGCTGGACGTGGTGGCACACACCTGTAATCCCAGCTACTCAGGAGGCTGAGGCAGAAGAATCGCTTGAACCTGGGAGGTGGAGGTTGCAGTGAGCCGAGATCACGCCACTGCACTCCAGCCTGGGTGACAGAGCAAGACTTCATCTCAAAAAAAAAAAAAAAAGACTTTAACCTTGATCCTAGGACTTTATACATTCACCTCTTTCCCATGATTCTTCCCTTAGGGTGGGCTCCCCAAATGCACAGTGCTTTCCTTACCCTTGGGAATTGAGCACACACAGCATGTTTAGGGAGTTATATACATGCCCATCTGAGGCTTTTTTCCTTTATCTGGTGGCATGTGGCCCTGGAACATCATGTCGCCATTTTGTCTATTAACACACATGGCCAAGAATCTGCTTCTCCCTGGGTCTGCACTCAAATTAACACTTTTAATGTTAACAGGTGTGGACCATCAGGAGATTGTCCCTCCTTGGAATTTTCTTTTTTTTTTTTTTTTTTTTGAGATGGGAGTCTCACTCCGTCACCCAGGCTGGAGTGCCATGGTGCAATCTCAGCTCGCTGCCTCTCGGGTTCAAGCGATTCTCCTGTCTCAGTCTCCCGAGTAGCTGGGACTATAGGCATACGCCACCATGCCTGGCTAATTTTTGTATTTTTAGTAATGACAAAGTTTCATCATGTTGGTCAGGATGGTCTTGAACTCCTGATCTCAAATGATCCACCTGCCTTGGCCTCCCAAAGTGTTGAGATTACAGGCGTGAGCCACCGAGCCCAGCAGAATTATCATTTTTAAAGAGGCAATGTCAAAACTGCCATACTATTACCTGACATTTCTAGTGGGTGGGCAGAGAGCCCTCACCTGCCTTGCTCAGGCCTAACTACATGTAACTATAAAATTCATGAAGGATTAATTTACGCAAGAAATTTTGTGTGTGACCAAATTGGCTATAATTAGAAGACAATTATTTGTCTAAATATTTAGCTTTGATATTAAAATACACTAAAATGGCCAGGCGCAATGGCTCGCGCCTGTAATCCCAAGCACTTTGGGAGGCTAAGGTGGGCGGATCATGAAGTCAAGAGATCGAGACAATCCTGCCAACATTGTGAAACCCAGTCTCTACTAAAAATACAAAAATTAGCTGGGTGTGGTGGTGCACGCCTGCAGTCCCAGCTACTCGGGAGGCTGAGGCAGAAGAATCGCTTGAACCCAGGAGGTGGAGGTTGCAGTGAGCCGAGATCGCGCCACTGTACTCCAGCCTGGGCAACAGTGCGACACTGTCTCAACAACAACAACAACAACAAAAAAAAAAAAAAAGAAAGAAAGAAAGAAAAGAAAACAATAGCCAGGCATGGTGGCGCATGCCTATAGTCCCAGCTACTTGGGAAGCTGAGGTGGGAGGATGGCTTGAGCCTGGGAGGTGGCAGTTGCAGTGAGCCAAGATTGTGCCACAATACTCCAGCCTGGGCAATAGAGCCAGACCTTAACTCAAGAAAAGAAAAAGGGAGGCAAAAAGACAAATAATCCTATAGAAAAATGAGCTAACAATATGAAAACTCTCAAAGAGGCAAATCTGGGAGCAAGTGAGGTTTATACTCATCAAAGAAGCATACAATTAAGTAGCATCATAGGATCTATTGTAGAGCCAGAGGATATGTTGTTCTTTTGGACCTGACTCTGACAACATCTATTAAAAATTTTAAAATAACATCAATCCTTTGATCTACCAATCCCTTCCCTGTAATCTGACCCACAGAAATAAAAACAACTGAAATCTAAGGGGTGATTACATGAATTTTTATTGTACCATTTCTTATGGTGGCAAATAAGCAAACTGTGAGTAAACGAGGGCAGCTGAATAAATTTACAGTATACAATATTAGAGAATATTATGTTGCAATTGCTCATCTTACTCTGACCATCATAATCATTCTTTTTGCTGGGTCCAGGACCATGGCTAACTCATGGCACAAAAAGCTAGTCCTGGTTTGGTCTGAATTTGAGTCCTAGTTATTCTGGTGACTTCAAGGCTACCCAAGCACATGGGCAAAACACTTAAAAAATATGAAAGATTATTTAAGTAAAGCAAAATGAGGAACAGAAGAAGACAGTTTAGATTCATGTACACATACATATATTTTATTTGGGTATATTACCTCAGAAAATCAACAACTGTCATTTTCAATCTTATCTCAAGACCAACCTTCAGAAATGCTAGTAAGTGCTACAGTAATATTAACATTATATTGAGTTTAAAAGAAATTAATATATTTAAAATCAGTCTAAGGTTTTAATGCTGTATACCCATTTTCATAATCATTCAAAAACATCAGGCCGGGCACGGTGGCTCACGCCTGTAATCCCAGCACTTCGGGAGGCCAAGGTGGGCGGATCACCTGAGGTCGGGAGTTCAAGACCAGCCTTTGGAGAAACCCCATCTCTACTAAAAATACAAAATTAGCCAGGCGTGGTGGCTCACACCTGTAATCCTAGCACTTTGGGAGGCCGAAGCAGGTGGATCACCTGAGGTCAGGAATTCAAGACCAGCCTGGCCAACATGGTGCAACTCCGTCTCTACTAAAAATACAAAATTAGCCGGGCATGGTGGCGCATGCCTGTAATCCCAGCTACTCAAGAGGCTGAGGCAGGAGAACCACTTGAACCTGTGAGGCAGAGGTTGCAGTGAGCCAAGATTGTGCCATTGCACTGCAGCCTGGGCAACAAGAACAAAACTCCGTCTCAAAAAAAAAAAAAAATCATTAGTAGCGTTCTCTGTCAGTTTATTGTGGAAAGAAATCAAGTAAACAAATTCTCAAAAAGATTTGCTTCAAATAAGAGAACACTGTTTAGGTGGAAGATCTCCTTTTTCAGCACGGTCTTCCCAAGGTAACAAGGGGGTTGGGATTGACTTGGGTGTGTCTGACATAATTGAGAAAGAAATTTAGTCTGCAGGTTAAAAGTGAAGCTGAAATCCAGGAGTTAATGTTTTCCTCAATGGCTTATAAAAAAATTGAAGAGTGACACAGTTTTCTCATTTTAAAAGTGGCTAATTTCTAATGCTAATACTGGTTATGCAGAGTATTAAAATTTCTGATAAATGTTTTAGTAAAAACTAATTCTCTCCATGTCTGTGCATATATTATTTAATAATATGATCCTTAAATGTATGTGATCCAACCAATCTGTGGCAAATCATAACCTCCAAGACTATATACAGATTAGAACTACGTACAGATTATGTAAAATTTACTCTTGTGACACATGAGTTATTTTAATTGAATTTAAGTTGCCACCCCAATTAAAAATTATTTCATATTTTAAAGATAAGATTTTAGAAATATCTTCTACAGAATATTAGTATCTGACTAGGAATGTAAGTCCATTATGTTTCATGTACAGCTTCCTCACTCCTATCTGGACTTTTTAACTTTCAGAAGTTTAAGGAAATAAATAGCACGAATGATAGAATGAACACAAATATTACCACCACCCAGAATTAATATTTCGTTATGTTTACTTAGAATGTTTCTTTTTAATAAGAAATAGATACAAAATTGAAGTATCCTTTAACTACCATGCTTGGTAACATTTCCCTTCCACCTCCTTTCTTCCTAGAGGTAACCACTCCACTTTTGGGAACTGAGTATATACATATCCTTTCAATCCATTCTTTAGTTTTACATAATTTATCCATAACCAATTCTTAGTACTAGGGCTGGTTAGTGTTGATTTTATTCAAATTCACAGAAGCATCATTACAATATGTTCATCATTTTTCTTCACTCTAATTTTTTAAAAATATTTCTGTTAATATATAGACTTAATTTGTCACTTAACTGCTAGAGAGTACTCTACTATGTTACTATCACATTTTATTCATCTATTTCACAAGAGACAGCATTTGTTTCCCAACTTCTGGCTACTATAACTCATGGTGCAATGAACTATACAGCTATAGACCAGTACATGACTCCCTGTGTTCATGTTTCTTGGGTAGATGCATATATATAGTAGTTCCCCCTTATCCACAGCTTTGCTTTCCATGGTTTCAGTTACCTGTAGTCACCACAGTTCATAAATAGTTGAGAACAGTACAATAAGGTATTCTGAGAGAAAGATCATATTCACATAACTTTTATGATTACAGTATATTGTTATAATTGTTCCATATTATGTTTATTATTGTTTTAAATCTCTTGCTGTGTCTAATCTGTAAACTAAATTTTATCATAGGTATGTATATATAAGAAAAAAACATAGACATAGAGTTTGGTCCTATCTGGGTTTTAGGTATCCACTGGGGGTCTTAGAGTCCATCTCTTGCAGAAAATAGGGGACTACCATACTCAAGAGTGGAACTACCGGGTATTCTGGAATGTTTTAGAAGTTCTTTCCTGCCCTAAGGTTTTAAAAACATCTTCTTATAAAACTGTTATATTATTAAGTATTGCTTTTTGCATTTTAGTCTTTAGTACTTTAAGAATTCATAAGAAAAATATTTTATATTATGATGGGAGATATTATTTTTCCATATGAAGAGTCAATTAATTTTTAAGTAATCCATGATTTCCCCACCAATCTGGGATACCGCCTCTATCAATTACCAATTCCCCATATATTCATGCACACATTTCTGAATTCAATATTCTGTCTCAGTCTCAGTTTTATGACTGCTTCAACAACAAATAATTTTGATGATTCTAGTTTTACAATTCATATATGTAGCAAAACATCACAAAAATGATAATTTTGTCTCTTAATTTCAAATCCTCATACATCTCATATCTATTTCTTAATGCATCTGTAGGCCTTCCAGGAACACATTAAGTAGTGTCCATGACTAGATCCTAACTTTAATGAGTATACTCCTAGAAGTACAGCATTGATAATGCTTGTTGTGGGAGTTTTGGGGGTACGGGTTTTCTTTACACTATAATACTTATTAAACATCATAGTATTTAAGTTTTGAATTGCTGCTGAAGGACTTCCCACATTCATGTCACTTTAATGTAAAATGAATTTTCCAATACACTATTAAGTGTAAAATCTGCTGAACGTTTTGCTAAATCCAAGGCATTCATAGAGAACTTTAATGAGTATGAATTCTCTGGTGTCTAATGTGATGTGACTTTTGGCTGAAAGCTTTCCCACATTCACTACACTGATAAGGTTTTTCACCAGTATGGATTCTCATGTGCAGAGCAAGGGTTGAGAACTGAGAAAAGGCTTTCCCACATTCATTACAACCATAGGGTTTCTCACCTGTATGGCTTCTCATATGCACAGTAAGAGATGAGCTTTGACAGAAGGCTTTCCCACAGACCTTACACTCATAAGGCTTATCACCTGTATGAATTCTCACATGTACAATAAGTGATGTGATTCGAGAGAAGGCTTTTCCACATTTATTACATTCATAGGGTTTCTCTCCTGTATGAATATTGTGATGTTTAATGAGGTATTGCTTCTGCCTGAAGATTGTTCCACATTCATTACATTTGTAGGGTTTCTCTCCAATATGAATTTTCTCATGCTCTGTGAGATTTGACTTGCCACTGAAGGCTTTCCCACATTCCTTACACGTATAAGGTTTCTCTCCTGTGTGACTTCTCTGGTGTCTAATGAGGCTTGACTTCTGAATGAAAGCTTTCCCACACCCTTTACATTCATAAGGTTTCTCTCCAGTATGGATTCTCTGATGTATAATGAGGTTTTCCTTCTGGCTAAAAGCTTTTCCACACTCACTACATTTAAAGGGCTTCTTTCCAGTATGGATGTTCTGATGTTTAATGAGGTATTGCTTCTGGCTGAAGGCTCTTCCACACTGATTACATTCAAATGGTTTTTCTCCAGTATGAATTTTCTCATGCTCAGTGAGATATGCTTTGCCGTTAAAGGCTTTGCCACATTCCTTACATGCATAGGGTTTGGTTCCTGTATGATTTTTCTGGTGTCTGATGATGGTTGGCATCTGAATAGAAACTTTTTCACATTCATAAGGTTTCTCTCCAGTGTGATGTTTCTGATGAGAAAGGAAGTTTTCCTTCTGGCTGAAGGCTTTTCCACATTTATTACATTTATATGCCTTCTTTCCTGTGTGACTTCTAAGGTGTAGAGTAAGAGATGAGACTCGAGAGCACACTTTACCACATTCAGTGCATTCATGAGATTTCTCTCCAGTATGCATTTTCTTATGCTCTACAAGGTTTTGCTTCAGGCTAAAAGTTTTTCTACATTCATTACATTCATAAGGTTTCTCTCCAGTATGAATTTGATCATGCTGAAGGAGATCTGATTCATGCTGAAGACTTTCCAACATGCCTATCATGCATGTGAATTTAATCAGGAGATTTCCCTAGTATCAAATAAGATGTAATAAGGATGAAAGCTTTCCCACATTCACTAAATTCATATGGTGTATTTTCAATATTAATTCTCAGGTATCTAATGAAGTTAAATTTATGATGGAAGACTTTTCTCACATTGATTACCCTGAGATGAGATGATTACAAAAAGGGATAAAATGTAACATTCTCTTTATATTCTTAATGGTTCTTATATAGCTTCTCCCATATTTAGGTATAGATTGTATATAAATTAGGTTTCAAATTCTTTTAAACTGAGTTCCATACACAGAAGGGTAGTCTTGAAGAATCAATGACTGTTCAGAGGAAATACTTTGTTTCCTAAATTTTCCCTCAGTCTGTCTTTTCACAGAGAAAGATGAGACTTAACTTACAAGTCTTTCATGTTGCGTCTTTATCTGTTTATAAACTTCCCAGGCTTCTTCTAAAAGGAAGTACAAAAAAATCATAATTGAAAAAGTTAATATAATATATAGTGCCTGGCATGTAATAAGCGTCCAATAAATTAGGTTATCATTATCATCAACATAATATCACTAACACCTTTGAAGTTTCCCATTATTAATATAATTTCAGAAATGTATTACTGTAAAATAGATTCTTTTTTTTTTTTGAGATGGAATTTCGCTCTTGTTGCCCAGGCTGGAGGGCAATGGCGCGATTTTGGCTCACCGCAACCTCTGCCTTCCAGGTTCAAGCAATTCTCCTGCCTCAGCCTCCCGAGTAGCTGGGACTACAGGAGCCCGCCACCATGCCTGGCTAATTTTTGTATTTTTAGTAGAGGCAAGGTTTCTCCATGTGGGCCAGGATGGTCTCAAACTCCCGACTTTGGGTGATCCGCCCACCTCAGCCTCCCAAAGTGCTGGGATTACAGGCATAAGCCACTGCGCACGGCTGTAAAATAGATTCTTTATCCAAGCCTAGTCTCATTATAAAATAAAGTTCAAATACAAATAACATTCCCAGGTATGTGTAATTTTAATTGCTTTTCAATGTAACCCAGCACACTTCATAAATCAGTAAAATGAGAGAAAATAAGGCTAGGTATGGTGGTTCACACCTATAATCCCAGCACTTTGGAAGGGTGAGGCAGGAAAATTGCTTGAGGCCAGGAGTTTGAGAGCAGCCTTGGTAACACAGCGAGACTCTCGTCTCTATAAAAAATTTAAAAACTAGCCAGGCATGGTGCCTGTAGTCCTAGCTACTGAGGAGATTGAGGTGGGCAGATTGCTTAGGCCCAGGATTTCAGGGCTGCAATAAGCTATGATCGTGCCAGTGTCTGGGTGACAGTGCAAGACTCGGTCTTTTATTTTATTTTTTTGGGTCGGAGTCTTGCTCTGTCGCCCAGGCTGGAGCGCAGTGGCATGATCTCGGCTCACTGCAAGCTCCGCCTCCTGGGTTCACGCCATTCTCCTGCCTCAGCTTACTGAGCAGCTGGGACTACAGGCGCCCACCACCATGCCCTGCCAATTTTTTGTATTTTTAGTAGAAACGGGGTTTCACCACGTTGGCCAGGGTGGTCTCGATCTCCTGACCTCGTGATCTGCCCGCCTTGGCCTCCCAAAGTGCTGGGATTACAGGCGTGAGCCACTGCGCCCGGCCGACTTGGTCTTTAAAACATAAGGAATCGGTGAGAAACAGGATGAAAGGACAAATACTTAAAAGACTGGGAGTGCATAGGAAGACAGGGCAAAAATAAAATGAACAGAAAAGTTTAAATAAGGTGCTTATTTCTATGTCTTCCCGAAACACCATTAAAATGACAGTAAAAGGGTGAAGAAGGACACATAAGAACTAAACGGTTAAGAAGATATCAGTGGACAAAAAGTATTAGGAGGACTAGGGATAGTGGCTCCTTCCTGTAATCTCAGCACTTTGGGAGGCCAAGGCAGGAGGACTGCTTGAGGCCAGGAGTTTGAGATCAGCCTAAGCAGCACAGCAAGGCTTTATCTCTACAAAAATTTTAAAAATTAGGTAGGTGCAGTAGCATACACCTGTAGTCTTAGTTACTTGGGAGGTTGAAGTAGGAGGATCGCTTGAGCCCAGGAGTTCGAGGCTGCAGTATGCTATGATCATGCCATTGCAATCCAGCCTAGGTGACAGAGTATGACCTTGTCTCTAAAAAAAAAAAAGTATTAGGAAATTTTGGAAAGAAAGCAAATAGAGAACTGTAAATTAACAGCAGAACTGAGTGGTTTAAAGAAAAGCCAGCAGATGTGGGGGCCACCTTCACAGGTCTGTAACACAGATATTGACAGATATGCTCTGTCAGTGGAGAAACTGGGCAAGAGTGGAAGGCAGGGCTTACAAAATGACTGTGAAAGGACCAGCTAATGCCCTGAACTCTCCTAGCTGGACAGAAATGTGAAGTTTATCATCCAGACAAAACCAAGAGGCTCCAAATTTAGTGATGACCAGCAAAGTAATGAGAGCATCCTAGTAAGAGAAGAATGAGTAAAAGTTTATACACATAACAGAGGCTCTTCTACTGTTAGAGTCCGAGAATGCTGGTGGTTACTAGCTGTCAGATGATGGAAGAATTATTTTCTTTTTTCTTTCTTTCTTTTTTTTTTTTTGGGACGGAGTCTCGCTCTGTTGCCCAGGCTGGAGTGCAGTGCGATCTCGGCTCACTGCAACCTCTGCCTCCCGGGTGAAGGGATTCTCCGGCATCAGCCTCCCGAGTAGCTGGGATTACAGGTGCCCGCCACCACGCTCGGCTAATTTTTGTATTTTTAGTTAGAGACGGGGCTTCACCATGTTGGCCAGGCTGGTCTTGAACTCCTGACCTCATGATCCACCCGCCTTGGCCTCCCAAAGTGCTGGGAATACAGCCATGAGCCACCGCACCCGGCCCGGAAGAATTATTTTCTGAAAAAATGAGAAGACCATGAGAACACCTACAGATGCTAACATTTGGAATCATCTAACGAAACACATCTATATTACTGATTGATGCACAGTGAAAACCACCATTTCATAAGCCCCGCTTACATACACAAATTAATATAGAGCTAAAGATCAGAAAACATTTGATGAAAGTCCTAACATCAAAGGCAGATCAAACAAAATACAAGGCAAAGAGCAGAAAAACTCACCCATATAATACTACAATTAATATCATGGAAAGTTAGGAGATTACTATTATCACTGCAATGAAATATTAACAGTGTTCTATAAAGAGGTGTTTTTAGAAATAAACAATATGAAATTGATCTTAAAAATTCAGTATGTTGGGGAAAGAAAGTCTAGAAAATCTCCTAGAATAAAAAAAGGAAGAATGGAGGAAGGCAGAAAGAAAGAGTGTAATGGTTGGAACATTTAGTGGGTTAGTGGAAGAATCTGGAAGGATCAGCATCTACTAAAGAAGTTCCAAAGAAAGTATGAAGAAAAATGAATACAGGACATTTTCAAAGAGCTAATAAAGAACACTTCCCAGAATTACAAATCATGAGTCCACATACTTAGCAGGCCCATTGAGTACAAAGAACATTCCATTTAAAAAGATAGCGGCGAAAGCACATCAATACAAAATTTCACCTAGGGATAAAAAGAGGATCCTAGTTTGAGACCGGCCTGTGCAACACAGTGTGATCTTGTCTCTACTAAAAATAAAAAAGATTATCTGGGTGTGGTGGCATATACATGTACTCCCTTCTACTTGGGGAGGCTGAGATGGTACGATGGCTTGAGCCCAGGAGAGTGAGCTATGATTACCCTACTGAACTCCGGCTTGGGCAAGAGTGAGACCTTGTCTTAACAAAAAAAAAAAATCCTAAATGTTCCAAAACATTTATCCTATAAAAGGAAATAAAAGAAAAAGACATACCACATCAAAAAGGCATCAGATTGCAAGACAATGGATAATCCTAACCATAAGTTACTTCCAACTTAGACTTCTAGGTTTTACAGTTCTGTCTGAAAGCTTGGGAAGAATCAAAACACAAAAATGGAAAACTAAGCAAACAAAACAAAGAAGCAAATATTAATTAAAAGAAAAGCAAAAGGTTATACAAGAAATCAAACAGAGTCATAGAAAATCATTTGGTTTACCAGTCAACAATGCTTACAGTGTTATAGTTACGTAAATGCTTACAAATGCTTTAATAAAAAAGCAGTGATCTTACTAGTATCAGAAGTCAGAAGGGGAAGTATGGGTATAACATACTGGGGGTAACATTTCAGAACCCCGTTAGTAACTGAGAAAACAACCACTCTCAACCTCTGAATTCAAATCCATAAAATACAATATAAATAAAAAGAAAAATGTATACACATTTATAACATATTTTATTAATCAGTTTATCCTATATCTTGAAAATAGATTATAAACCACCTTTTTAAATGCCCAAAGAACATTCTGAAAATCAGCCCATACAGTAGCCTGTTCCACAAAGTAGTAAAGGATGGACAAAATACTCTGACCAAAAAAACAAAAAACCCAACACATAGAAATGACAGAACAAAAACAAAACCTTTCACTTGTAAATTTCAAAATCTATTGGTTTGAACAAACCCTTTGGCCAGGGAAAATTAATGCTTGGAGAATGAAGTTTTAGCATAAAAGCTTACATCATTTTAAAAAAAGTAATAAAATAAGCACTCAAAGTAATTAACATAAGAAAAAGTAAATATAAGAAAAACAGACCGGGTGTGGTGACTCACGCCTGTAATCCCAGCACTTTGGGAGGCCGAGGTGGGCAGATCACTTGAGGTTAGGAGTTCGAGACCAGCCTGGCCAACATGGAGAAACCCCATCTCTACTAAAAATACAAAATTAGCCGGGTGTGGTGGTGTGCGCCTGTAATCCCAGCTACTCGGGAGGCTGAGGCAGGAGAAATGCTTGAACCCAGGAGGAGGAAGTTGCAGTGAACCAATATTGTGCCACTGCACTCCAGCCTGGGCAACAGAGTGAGACTCTGTCTCAAAAAAAAAAAAAAAAGAAAGAAAGAAAAAGGAAAGAAAAACAGAAAATTAGTAAAAATAGGAAAAAGAAATTAATGTATTACAAACAGAAAAAGAGAAATAATAAATTCATGAGTGGATTCTTAAGGAAAAACTTAAAAGAAGTAAGAGTAAAAAAGAAAAAGATATTTGGAAATAACTATAGATAGAAAATATGGATAGTACAGACTATTTTGTTAAACCCCATGCAAATAGAAAACTTAGCAAGTATAACCGATGCGAACTGAAACCAGAAAAGACAGAAAACCTAAACAGAAACATAAACATAGTACAAAATAGGGCTGGGTGTGGTGGCTCACGCCTGTAATCCCAGAACTTTAGAAGGCTAAGGCAGGTGGATCATTTGAGCCCAGCAGTTCAAGACCAGCACTTTGGGAGGCCAAGGCAGGCAGATCACAAGGTCAGGAGATCGAGACCACTCTGGCTAACATGGTGAAACCCCGTCTGTACTAAAAAGACAAAAACAAAAAAAATTAGCTAGGCGTGGTGGCGGGCGCCTGTAGTCCCAGCTACTCTGGAGGCTGAGGCAGAAGAATTACTTGAACCTGGGAGGCAGAGGTTGCAGTGAGCTGAGATCGCCCCACTGCACCCCAGCCTGGGTGACAGAGCGAGATTCCGTCTCAAAAAAAAAAAAAAAAAAAAAGGACCAGCCTGGCCAACACCGTGAGACCCTGTCTCTACAAACAATTTAAAAATTAGGTGGGCGTAGTGGCAGGTGCCTGTAGTCCCAGCTGCTCAGAAGGTTGAGGTAGGAGGATTACTTGAGTCAGGAGTTCAAGGCTGCAGTGAGCTGTGATCATGCCACTGCACTCCAGCCTGGGAGACAGAGTAAGACCTTGTCTCAAAAAAAAAAAAAAGAAAGAAAGAAGGAAAAAATAGAGCTCTTGCCCCTTAAAGCCCAAGGCATGGATGGCTTAGCATGTGAATTTTACTAAACTTTGATTAGATAATGGTATTATTTATTTTGTTTTCCACTTACTTTTAAAAAATTCATGAAAATTGGTATGATGCATAACAGATCAGGACTTATGCTACTATATTCCAAACAATCCAAAAGAAAATTAAAAATTACATCTCCTTTGTAATTAAAACCCTACATCCTTCACACACTTATCAGAATTGAATTTTTAACACTGTAAATGACAATGCTGAACTGAACTAGAAAACATAATCAGAACAACAAGTAAAATGGTTCTTTCAACATTTATCCCATGGTTTAAAAAATATTCTCAGGACCAGGTGCAGTGGCACACGCCTGTAATCCCAGCACTTGGGGAGGATGAGGCAGGCAGATCACCTGAGGTCAGGAGTTCGAGACCAGTCTGGCCAACATGGTGAAACTCTGTCTCTACTAAAAATACAAAAATTAGCCAGGCATGGTGGTGGGCATCTGTAAATTCCAGCTACTCAGGAGGCTGAGGCAAAAGAATCGCTTGAACCCGGGAGGCAGACATTGTAGTGAGCCAAGATTGTGCCACTGCACTCCAGCCTGAGTGACACAGCAAGACTCTGTCTAAAAAAATAAAATAAGGCCGGGTGCGGTGGCTCACGCCTGTAATCCCAGCACTTTGGGAGGTGGAGGCAGGCAGATCACAAGGTCGGGAGTTTGAGACCAGTCTGGCCAACATGGTGAAACCCCGTCTCTACTAAAAATACAAAAAATTAGCTATGCTTGGTGGTGGGCGCCTGTTATCCCAGCTACTTGGGAGGATGAGGCAGCAGAATCGCTTGAACCTGGGAGGCAGAGCTTGCAGTGAGCCGAGATCGCGCCACTGCACTCCAGCCCAGGTGACAGTGTGAGACTTCATCTCAAACAAATAAAAAAAATAAAATAAAATGAAAAATGCTTTCAAAATATAAGTCAAAATGCTCTAATGGCAAGCAAACTCTTAATTGTATTATGTGTAAATAGTGACCTGTTAAAACAAGGGTTGACGCCAGGCTCGGTGGCTCACGCCTGTAATCCCAGCACTTTGGGAGGCCGAGGTGAGTGGATCACCTGAGGTCAGGAGTTCGAGACGAGACTGGCCAACATAGTGAAACCCTGTCTCTACTAGAAATACAAAAAATTAGCTGGGCGTGGTGACATGTTCCTGTAATGCCAGCTACACAGGAGGTGGAGGCAGGAGAATCGCTTGAACCTGGGAGATGGAGGTTGTAGTGAGCCGAGATCACACCATTGCACTCTGGCCTAGGCAACAAGAGTGAAACTCCATCTCAAAAAATAAATAAATAAATAAAATAAAAAAAAACACCACAAGGTTGGCAAACTAAAAGAGTTTTTCTGGAACATGGCCATGTTTATTTATTTTCTTGTCCATGACTACTTTCACAGTATAATGCTTGAGATAAGTAGCTGCAATGGAGACCCTGTAGCCTACAAAGACTTAAATATTAACCATCTGGCCCTTTACAGAAAAAGCTTGCTGAACTCCTGTCCTAGAGTAGCAATTCCTCCATCTTCTATCTGGCTGAAACCAGGTTGCATTGTTGATCCAGCTCCAACCACAACCAGATAATAAAGAGAGAACCTCGGAGGAATCCATATGTTTCAGGGACCATAAGCACCAAAGTTAGCATGCAAATCTGGACTATTCACCACATGAGTGTTATGTGACCAAGAAATCAATTCCTACATTCCTTAAACTGGCACTTTGAAGTTTATTATAGTCACTTAGCTTTACTGTGATTAGTACACTTCTTATTGCTTTACATATCATGAATCTGAGATGCCTAACAAATACTAATCACCAGCCTGGACCTCTCTCCTCAACAATCAATTCAAATATCCAGCTGACTACTCAACATTTCCACTTGGATGTCTAATAGTGATCTAACTTACCCTGCCCCTATTCAAACTCTTGCTCCAGCTCCCAAACCAACTCCTCTCAAATTCTTCTCATCTCTTTAAATAGCAATCTCATTCTCCTTGCTGCTCAAACAATACTTCTCTTTCAGTCAGATTGCACACTCTTTACAACCTCGTAGCTTACTGGCTATTTTGGACAATCCTCACTGTGACCACCAAGGTCTAAGCCACATGTCTTGCCAGGATTATTTAACAGCCTCCTTACCAGTCTTGCTACTTTAGCTTTCAACTCTTTACAGTTCTCAACACAGCAGCCACAGTAATCTTGTCACAGTCCAATCACATCACTGCTCTACTTGAAAGCCTTTTTGTATCCTCATAAAAACATTTAGAAGCATACAGCAGACACTGTTAACAGTGGCTGCTTCTGGGAAACAGGGGATTGAGGGCCAGGAATGAAGAGACATACCTGATTGTTTTAATTTTCTATCAAGTATACATATTAAATTTTGATAATAATAGTATTATTTCTTTTTTTTTTTTTTTTTGAGATGGGAGTCTCACTCTGTCGCCCAGACTGGAGTGCAGTGGCATGATCTCGGCTCACTGCAACCTCCGCCTCCCAGGTTCAAGTGATTCTTCTGCCTCAGGCTCCTGAGTAGCTGGGATTACAGGCGTGTGCCACCTCGCCAGGCTAATTTTTGTATTTTTAGTAGAGACTGGGTTTCACCATGTTGGTCAGGCTGGTCTCAAACTCCTGACCTCATGATCCACCTGCCGCAGCCTCCCAAAGTGCTGGGATTACAGGCGTGCACCACCATACCCAGCCATTATTATTTCTTTTTAAAATTAACAGGGTAATGAACTAATAGGAAGTCAGCACTAATCCCTAAGCCTGTAATATTGTTAAAAAGCAGGAGGTGACATAGTGTTGAACTATGATGGCTGGAGGTAGGAAGACAATAGAAAACAAGAGTAAGGAAGCAAAATTCAATTCTGAGGAATATAACAATGGAAGGAGAAAGAATGATAGAAAGTTAAAATGTAAAGAAAAGAATCTACTTGCTAGTCTTTGAAAGTTTTTTTATTGATACATAATAGTTATACATAGAATGATTAATTTATTTTATTTATTATTATTATTTTTTAGACAGAGTCTCACTCTGTTGCCCAGGCTGGAGTGCACTGGCACAATCTCAGCTCACTGCAAGTTCCACCTCCCAGGTTCACGCCATTCTCCCACCTCAGCCTCCTGAGTAGCTGGAACTACAGGCGCCCGCCACCACACCTGGCTAATTTTGTTTTTGTATTTTTAGTAAAGACGGGGTTTCACCGTGTTAGCCAGGATGGTCGTGATCTCCTGACCTCGTGATCCGCCAGCCTCGGCCTCCCAAAGTGCTGGGATTACAGGCGTGAGCCACCACGCCTGGCCAGAATGATTACATTTTAAAGAAAATAACTTACATGCTAGTTTTTTTTTTTTTTTTTATTGATCATTCTTGGGTGTTTCTCGCAGAGGGGGATTTGGCAGGGTCATAGGACAATAGTGGAGGGAAGGTCAGTAGATAAACAAGTGAACAAAGGTCTCTGGTTTTCCTAGGCAGAGGACCCTGCGGCCTTCCGCAGTGTTTGTGTCCCTGGGTACTTAAGATTAGGGAGTGGTGATGACTCTTAACGACATGCTAGTTTTTGAAAACTAACAGATCTATGAAGGACTGAATGCTTAAGGAAACGCATCTAGGCATACAGGGAAAAGTGAAAAATGGAGAATGTTAGTGAAAGGAAGAAAAGTGAAATTGAGGCTGTAAAAAAATCATAAAATTGAGGCTGCAAATGATGTAGAATGACTGGCATCCAGAATAGATTTTAGAAGAGCAATCAGTCCTCTAGAATCTGATAAAAGGGATGCATAGATTCAGGAAGACAGTCTGGAAATGTCATTTAGGTATCTAAAGAATTCCCAGCAACAGTCACTCTAAAAGACAAAGGCTAGTACGAAAATCTCAAAAAAACAAACAAACAAACAAACAAAAAAACCCCACAACAACTCAGAGGCTGCAAATTCTCACTGAATAACTGCAATAAGTCTTTATCTCATTCATACCTACCAGGTTCTTGCTTACTCACACAAAGAGAACCTTCTTTACATTTCTTTCTCAATCATCTGTTGCTGTTCTTTTAAGTGCTGACTTTAAACTTGTGAGCAGAAAAATGACACTGGACTTGGATGTTATGGTTGGGGAACAAAGCAGCATCCCAAAATTCAGGGAGCGCCCTTAGAACTCTAAGAGGTTTTGCAGCTCCTGTGGATATACAAGGAAGCAGGCCTGTGAAAAAGAACAAAGTAATGATGATTCTTTGGCTTTGACCTACATGTGAGCAAATGGAAAAACAGTATTTGTACATAGCACCTCAGGCCAGACCCATTATGCCATTCAAAAGCTCTACACATTTCAATGGCCGGGCATGGAAGCTCACGTCTGTAATCTCAGCACCTTGGGAGGCCGAGGCAGGCAGATCACTTGAGATTAGGAGTTCGAGACCCGCCTGGCCAACATGGTGAAACCCTGTCTCTACTAAAAATACAAAAATTAGCCAGGCGTGGTGGCATATGCCTGTAGTCCCAGCTACTCAGGAGGCTGAGGCAAGAGAATCACTTGAAGCCAGGAGGCAGAGGTTGCACTGAACCAAGGTCACGCCACTATACACCAGCCTAAGCGACAGTGGAGACTCCATCTCAAGGAAGGAAAAAAAAAAAAAAGCTCTAAACATTTCAAAAATGAGAAACAGAAGGGACCTTATTTTCAGAATTTAGGTTACACAGAGAAACTATGAGAGACTAAGATGCCAGAGTTATCCACAATCACAACCTGTATAGGTTCCTTCGAGCAGGTGTCACTTGTGACCTTGCTCCTGAGTGAAGTCACATCTTTGCATATAATTTTTCCCCATAACACTTTTCTCATAAGTCTGAAGTAACCAACCTTGAGTGATATGGAAAAAAATACAGGAAATTATTCTGATGGTATTTATAGGTCAGAGCTCTAAAAAATTTAGAGGACTAATATTTTACTTAGATTAACTAGGAGAAGTTAAATATAGTAAGTGTCCTATAATAATAATCTTCCCTTGATATCACAGGAGATTGGTTCCAGGATCACTGTGGATACCAAAATCTGCAGATGCTCAAGTCCCTTATACTTCAAATATAAAGCCAGGCATGGTGGCTCACGCCTGTAATCCCAGCACTTTGGGAGGCTGAGGCAGGCTGACCACCTGAGGTCAGGAGTTCGAGACCAGGCTGGCCAAGATGGTGAAACCCTGTCTCTACTAAAAATAAAAAAATTAGCTGGGCATGGTGGCACACACCTGTACCTCAGCTACTTGGGAGGCTGAGGCAGGAGAATCGCTTGAACCCAGGAGGCAGAGGTGGCAGTGAGCCGAGATTGCACCACTGCACTCCAGTCTGGGTGACAGAGTGAGACTCCATCTCAAAAAAATAAAAATAAAGTGAATGGAAGTATATTTACATATAACCTATGCACATCCTCCCATATACTTTAAAATTATCTCCAGATTACTTATCATACGTAATACAACGTAAATGTCTGGTAAATAGTTGTTATACTGTATTGTTTAGGGAATCATGACAAGAAAAAAAAATCTGTACACGTACAGATACAACCATCGCAAGCTTAACAACAGTTATGATTCATGTTTGTTGAATCCGTGGAAGCAGAGCCTACAGACACAGAGGGCTGACTGTTCATTCACTGATTCAGCAAACATATACATTTATGATTATGTGTGCTGAGAAACCTTGGTTTACAATTTGTAATGGGATATAACAAATCAAAGGATCAAACTTACTTAGAAGCCTTCTCTAAGATGTAAGTGCCTTAGAACCTGGCTAGACAGTGCTATAAATTGCTGAAACAGGTACAGAGGGGAAATAGATGGAGGCAGACTGCAGGAAGAAGGAGCCCTTTAGACATAAAGAGCTTGAAGTTCCCTGTAACTTCCAGGTGGACTGCACATTGGGCAATTAGATAATATGGATTAGGAGCTCAGGACAAGCCTCCAGCAGAAACAGACATTTATTAGTCATCTGTATTAGATGAAGCCATGGATGGCAGTGTAATGTTGTTGCTGATAGGAGTACTTAGATGATCAAGGCCAGAAACTTAGAAACACCAATAGTTAGGGGAAAAGCAGAAACTAAGTCCTGTCTTCTTTGTATCTTTTACTTTTTCTGTATATTTCAAAACTATTAACCCTGTTACTTTTTTATTTTATTGAAAAATATGTTAAGAATAAGTGTGACAAGATACTTGAATATGTTGATATGTTAAGAATAAGTGTGACAAGATACTTGAAGATAGGATACTTCTATCTTTGTATACACAAGAAAAGAATTTCCCCTATATTTACAAAAGGCTGGGGAAACCCTGATTAAATTAGGAGTGAGATTGCTGCCCTCACTGACGAACTAGGGAGTTTCTTGACCTCTGCGCTAAAGGCAGGACAAGTAGCTTCCAAATTCTGTGCCGTCTGCGCTATTGGAAACTACCTCTTAAAGATATTCCTTAGTTCAGGGTTTCTCCAAGCAACTGCACCAAAGTTTCTCCAAAGTATTAAGAAAAGTCAATGCCTACTGGGTGTACAGGCACCCAGTAACAAGTTTTTCCGAAATCTTGCCTCTTTAAAAAAATAATGGAAAGGTAATGCTGATTTTGTTTTCTACTCCACAATAGGTCTGCTTTTATATAAAAAATCACCTTTAAAATTACTTATCCGCTCAATTCCTTAGCCTTTTCCGTTTCCTATTTTCCAGAAAACGCATCTTTATTATTTTAGAAATGAGAAAAGTGAGGCTTAGAGGTTACTACCTCACAAAGCCATCCGTCCATCCTCACAAACTTGGAACCAGTTTCTCACTAACTCTGCACCCTCAACACCCCCTCACACTCTCGGTCACCCACCCGCGAACCCACCCGAACTGTACCCCTGCCCCCAGCCACACAAGCTCGGATCACCGCACATCATAGAAGGCGATTCCTCCCCTCCATACTCCCAGCCCCGTCGCAGGCACTGCAAATCCTCCCCTCCAGCGTCCCTGGCCCGTTTCAGTGTCCAGAAACCCAAGTCCCACAGGGCCGAAACCCAACTCACCGGCAGACAAAGACGACCATGGCAAGTCGGAGATTCCGCGCCTGCGCACTCCTTCCGCGGGCAGCGCTCCCAGAGGTCTCCTGGGCTGGGCCAGGCCCCGACTCAGAACCGGACGGAATCGAGAGATCTTGGCCCGTCCTCCGTGCCACTCTTTTGAGGGTAGACTACATTTCCCAGAAGGTTCAGCGGTTTGAGTCAGCTTTTCGCGCGAACTTTTCCTCCGCCAGAGCTTGTGGGACTGTCTCCCTGGCCGGGGCAGGGGTGTAAGGCCTTAGTCTTAGTTTACTCTATCCCTGGGATTGGGTAGTGGTGTAACATCAGCTTAAACACGCTGTGCTGACTTTATGTAACAGCCACGGTGCGATACTAAGCCAGGAACCCCAGGAGACTCTCAGACACGGTTCGGGAATGAGGGTAATCCCTTTGGCTGGGCTCAAGCCGGGCGCCATCTTGCTCATCGCGGGCGTGGCGCTGAACTACATTTCCCAGAAGGCGCCGCGCCCTCGGCCCCTCCCCTCGCGACTCCCGCGGCTCGGGGGAGAGCTGCACGCGACCCAGGTGCTGGCCTCTGAGCGGGTCGGCTCGGAGACTACAGGATCAGGAGGAGGTTGGAGGTGAAGCGTCTGGAATCCGGTGCGGAGGTTGAGACTGAGTATTAAGTCTGTTCAGGCGGAACGCGCCGAGAAGGGCGGTTGTGAAATTGTGTTTTTGTGAATGTATGTCCTAGCACAGTGTGTGTGTGATTGTGATTGTGTGTGACACCTTGTGTACGGATGTGGGGAGGACTCTGCGGGTGTCCCGTGAGTCCCTGTGTTAGGACTGTTATTGTGTGACTGTGTAACGCTGTGTGAGGGTGTGGGTTAGCTGTGACTGTGTGCCCGCGGTGGGTGTGTGATTGTAACTCTGTGACCATATGTTCGTTTGTGTGCAGATATAGGGAGCTTTGTACTTATGTAGTTGTGACTCTGTGTCCTTGTGTGGGAGTATGGAGGGTGGGTGCTTGTGACTTTGTGTACAGTGGTGGGTGTGTGACTGTGAAGCATTGGGTGTGCGTGGAGTTGAGACTGTGTTTGTGTGTCTTTGACCAAATGTCACACATAGTCATATGTGAGAGCAGAAGACAGCTCGGCCCCGTGATAGTAAAGGGGATTTTTCTATGACACTGAGTTTTGAGTTGGAAGCCCCAGTTTCCTCTGATAGCCCTCCCATGGCGGGGGAGGGGAACGCAGAGTAAGCTCTGGCCTTGTCATTTGGGCCCTAGGGGAGGTGTATTGTCTCCCTTCTCATTTCTGTCCTCCAAGAGAGGTTCCCCAGAGGAGAGGAAATAACGGTTGTGATATCTAAAAGCCATGTTTAAGGTGCCTTGAAGTTTTCTCTTTGTTCCTGAAATGCTTTATTTTTCCAGGACCTGATTTTTTTTTTTTTTGAGATGGAGTCTCGCACTGTCGCCCGGGCTGGTGTGCAGTGGCGCGATCTCGGCTCACTGCAACCTCCGCCTCCCAGGTTCAAGCGATTCTCCTTCCTCAGCCTACCGAGTAGCTAGGATTACAGGTGCCGGCCACCACGCCCGGGTAATTTTTTTGTTGTTGTATTTTTAGTAGAGACGGGGCTTCACTATGTTGGCCTGGCTTGTCTTGAACTCCTAACCTTGTGAACCGTCCACCTCGGCCTCCCAAAGTGCTGGGATTACAGGCATGAGCCACTGCGCCCGGCTGATTTTTTTTTTCTTAGCAAATGCCTAAAAGGACTTATCAAGTAACCTGGAATCTTCTGTTACTCTTTGGAAAAATCTTCCTAATTTTGTCTTATTAATATAGCAAATGGTTCAGTTTATCATGTATGCTTAGTTTGGTTTTACCTATATACATATGTAGATATATATGCATATACATAAATATACATACACATATTTGTATATGCACATATTGAAATGTATCTCATGTTTTAAGTGATATTTTAACTTCCTACATAATTGAAAGCTATTTGAGAATATATTAAATTGTAGATACTGTTAATTGTTTTGCCACATATGTGGCTAACCCAATATCCATTCCCTTCTTTATTGCTATAAAAGTCCTGATCTTGTTTGCTCTGCTTAAAGAAAAACAAACAGAAAACAAACAAAAAACCCAAACTCTACGTGTTCTAGCTTCTCCTGTTGATGTAAGTTAAAGTTCTTAGATTGGGCTTCTCAGACAGTTTTTTTTTTTTTGAAATGGAGTCTTCACTCAGTCACCCAAGTTGGAGTGCAGTAGCGTGATCTCAGCTCACTGCAACCTTCACCTCCCGGGTTCAAGCGGTTCTCCTGCCTCAGGCTCCTGAGTAGCTGGGATTACAGGCGACTGCCACCATGCCCGGCTAATTTTTGTGTTTTTAGTAGAGATGAGGTTTCCACCATGTTGGCCAGGCTGGTCTCGAACTCCTGACCTCAGGTGATCTGCCTGCCTAGGCCTCCCAAAGTGCTGGGATTACAGGCATGAGCTACTGCACCTGGCCACTCAGGCAGTTCTTTAAAGGTATGGGGATGGGGTGGGGCAGGCTCAGTGTGCATACATTCTTTTTCCCCTTTCTGTCTGGAATGTGGATATTGTGCTACATGCAGAGCAGCTATCTCATAACCATGCATTTTTTTTTTTTTTTTTTTGAGACAGAAACTTGCTCTGTTGCCCAGTCTGGAGTGCGGTGGCGCAATCTCAGCTCACTGCAACCTCTGCCTATTGAGTTCAAGTGATGCTCCTGCCTCAGCCTCCTGAGTAGCTGGGACTACAGGCGTGCACCACCATGCCTGGCTAATTTTTGTATTTTTAGAAGAGATGGGGTTTCACCATGTTGGCCAGGCTGGTCTCAAACTCCTGACCTCAGGTGATCCGTCTGCCTCGGCCTCCCAAAGTGCTGGGATTACAGGTGTGAGCCACCATGCCCGGCCATAACCATGCATTTATAATGGAAGGAAGGAGATGAGAGTTTACAATGTCATATTAAATGAAAATAGAGGATTTTAAGTTATATATGTTGTGTGAAAGCAATTTGATTAGAAGATATGTATATTCTACCTATCTATGCATGAAATGTGTAGTTGCACTTTAATTTTCTTCATTGTAACTAGACTCAAGCTTGTGAAAGAAGGGACTTGTCTTTTTGTTTAGTTGTTCCATCTTCACCATTTACAATGGCTAGCACATAGTTGGCTCTCAGTAAATATTTGATTAATGAAAGAATAGTAAGTAGTTAATAAATGATAGCAGTGCTACTTAGTTTCTTTTTGGTTGCACAGAGGAAACATGCCCAGATTGCCTTAGGTTTCTGTTACTCTCTGAGATTACTCTGTGTTAACTCTACCTCTGGGGTAGTGAAGAGGTATGCCAAGGGGTGTTATAAGCCAACATTCTTCAGACTGGGTATAAGTTCTTCATCATCCATAGGACTTTTGATGTTGGGCGAAAGATATTCACTGCTTTGATTATTTATTGTTTTCTTTGATTATTTATTAAGTTTCTGTAAAGCATAAAATATAACCAATTTTTCTCACATTTAAACTTGATTATTAATTTTGATTAATATATATTTCTTTTTTTTTTTTTTTTTTTTTTGAGACAGAGTCTTGCTCTGTTGCCCATGCTGGAGTGTAGTGGCACACTCTCGGCTCACTGCAACTTCCACCTCCTGGGTGCAAGCGAGTCTCCTGCCTTAGCCTCCTGAGTAGCTGGGATTACAGGTGCACACCACCACGCCTGGCTAATTTTTTGTATTTTTAGTAGAGACGGAGTTTCACCATGTTGGCCAGGCTGGTCTCGAACTCCTGACCTCAAGCAATCCGCCCACCTTGGCCTCCCAAAGGGCTGGGATTACAGGAATGAGCCACCGCACCCAGCCAATTCTTTTTTTTTTTTTTTTTTTTTGAGACGGAGTCTCACTCTGTCGTCCAGGCTGGCGTGCAGTGGCACTGTCTCGGCTCACTGCAACCTCTGTGTCCCAGGTTCAAGCGATTCTCCTGCCTCAGCCTCCCGAGTAGCTGAGATTACAGGTGCCCACCACCACTCCCGGCTAAATTTGTATTTTTAGTAGAGATGGGGTTTCGCCATATTGGCCAGGCTGGTCTCGAACTCCTGACCTCAAGTGATCTGCCTGCCTTGGCCTCCCAAAGTGCTGGGATTACAGGCATGAGTCACCGCACCTGGCCAGATTTGGATTCTTAAATGCCAATTGAGTTCTTAACAGGGAAATACTAGAAGCATTTCCGTTACATAAGGAAAGAGACAAGAATATATGTATCACCATTACTATTTAACTTTTTTTTTTTTTCTTGAGATTGAGTTTTGCTCTTGTTGCCCAGGCTGGAGTGCAAAGATGCGATCTCGGCTCACCACAACCTCTGCCTCCCAGGTTCAAGGGATTCTCCTGCCTCAGCCTCCCGAGTAGCTAGGATTACAGGCTTGCGCCACCATGCCTGGCTAATTTTGTATGTGTATCAGAGACAGGGTTTCTCCATGTTGATCAGGCTGGTCTCCAACTCCTGACCTCAGGTGGTCCACCTGCCTTGGCCTCCCAAAGTGCTGGGGTTACAGGCTTGAGCCACCGCACCCGGCCCTTAACTTTTTTTTTTTTTTTTAAGAGATGCTTGGTAGAGTAATTAAACAAGTAAAAAGATTCAGAGGCAAAAAAATTCTGAAAAGAGGAAATAACAATGACATTAAATGCATAATTCCATAGGAAGTATGTCTGGAAGATAAATGTTTATGTATATATTTTTAATCACCCTCTGAACCTGAACTTGAGTTAATCAGACTCATTTATCACTAATCTTTAAAAGGGCTCTATTGATCTGTTTCCAACACCATACTCTACTTCCATTCTCCTTCTGCTGTAGACACATTCAAAATGATTAATTTGTTGGACGCGGTGGCTCACGCCTGTAATCCTAGCACTTTGGGAGGATGAGGCAGGCGGATCACCTGAGTTCAGGAGTTTGAGACCAGCCCATCCAACATGGCAAAACCCCCATCTCTACCAAAAATACAAAATTAGCCAGGCGTGGTCGTGCACACCTGTAATCCCAGCTACTCGGGAGGCTGAGGCAGGAGAACTGCTTGAACCTGGGAGATGGAGGTTCCCGTGATCGAGGTCATGGCATTGCAATCCAGCCTGGATGACTGAGTGAGACTCCAACTCAAAAAAAAAAAAAAAAAAAGATTAATTTTATCTTTATGCTTGAAAATGTTCTTACAAAGCATATATTTTACATACGTGTATTAAATATATATATATATAAATGTCTCCTGTTCTTTTTCAGTAATCATAGTGTTTTTACAATTATCTGTTACTATGTAAACATTTATTTCAAGGCATTGGTCACGTTACCTACCTACTCTTCCAGGGAATGGACATGCAGATTGCCTTCATACCCTCCCACCACAGGAAATGCTGAAATTAATAATCTCATACATATCCCTTTATGGGCCAGTTTGAGAATTTCTTAGGTCACAGAATTTCTGGGTCATAGGATATGAGTTTACTTGACTAAGTGGTGCCAGATTCTCTCCGGATTGGTTGTAGGAGTCCAGACTCCCACCAGTATGGAATGAGAGTTTCCATATCCCACATCTGTATGAACACAGCACTGTGTAGCTGTCTCATAGTTATCAGTCTAAAAGGTATAAAGTAGTATTTCTTTGTAGTATTAATGTGCATTTCTCATTGCCAGTGATTTTGAATAGCTTTTATGCTTGTTAGCTTTTTCAGCTTGTTTGTAAATTGCCTTTTGTACCTTTTGTTAAAATGTAATTGGGATTAGTCTTTTTCTTGTTAATTTGCAAATGTTTATGTTTTCTAGATATTAACTCTCTGATAGTTTTAGACTCTGCTGATACCCTCTTATGTATTATTATACTTTTTATTAAACAGAAATACTTATTTTAATATTATTGTTATGTGTTTGTGTATATGTATGTGGCTTATGGTATTATTATTTAAGAAACATTTTTCTGGCTGGGCATGGTGGCTCACGCCTGTAATCCCAGCACTTTGGGAGGCCAAGGTGAGCGGATTGCTTGAGGTCAGGAGTTCGAGACCAGCCCGGCCAACATGGTGAAACCCCATCTCTACTAAAAATACAAAAATTAATCGGGCGTGGTGGCGGGTGCCTATAATCCCAGCTACTCAGGAGGTTGAGTCAGGAGAATTTCTTGAACCTAGGAGACGGAGGTTGCAGTGAGCCAAGATCGTGCCACTGCACTCCAGCCTGGGCAACAAGAGCAAAACTCTGTCTCAAAAAAGAGAGAAAAAAAAAAGAAACATTTTTCTTCTCTAAGGTCACAAAGAAATTCTTCTACATTTTTGTCTCTTGACTTTGTAGTTCTACCTTACACAGTTAGGTCTTTAACCTATTCCAGAGTAAAATTTTGTATTTTCAAAAAAAAAACTATTCTCCCATAATTGTCTCTTTCAGCCCTTCTCTGTGAGATGGTATTTTTTCCTGCCTCTGGATGAAATGTCTGTCAAGTGTCATTATAGTCATTCTTAAGTAATAAAAAATCCAGTAGACAAGATCAGCCTTAATTTGCTAAATGAAATACCTGGTATATTACAATAATTAGTACTCTGAACTGTTTAAAATTAAGACTTCTTCCTACAACTGAATCTTAGGTAAAGATGGACACCTGCATGAGGGAAGGAATATGTGAGCAGCTTCCATTTCCCTTCCATGGTCTTCTCAGCTTCCTCCAACAGTAGATTGTTCAGCCTCCCTAAAGCAGGAGAAGAGGAAGGGGAAGAAAGGTAAGAGACAGTAAAGGTCTTACTTAACTGGTATTGTTATAATCAGTGTTTGGTTCTCTCCTGCCTTCATGGATAGTCAAAGCTGACCCTTTTTCTTATTGTTAGGTGTTTTTCCGGGTTTCTAAGCAAATACCTTGCTGCAGATCTTCAACTGCAGGGGAGGGCATGTTGCCAGAACATCCTGTTTACAGAGGCCACTTAAAATCCTTACGTTAACCCTAGGCATACTGTGGTCATCCTTTTCTGGTGGGTCACATTGGCCCTCCAGAAGTTCTCTAGAACAGGATCCAAGATCTCCTGAGGTCAGCTCACTCCGTATGGTCCATATCCTGTCACCACGTGGGAATTAAGTTCCTATCTCTGTTTCTCCTAAATGGCAGGAAAAAAGGTAAAGTTCTCCTAAGAACTCTCTTAACACACTCCCCTTTGGATCTTAGAGGGACTGGGATGGATCGGGTCAACTTGCTTGGTTTGATTAGAGGAGGAAACACCCACCTCCTTTCCTCAGGGTGCTGAGAACACACCCACAGCTCTTCCCAAAAATAGTCTCACCTCACAAAAAGTCCTCTTCCTCAGCCTCCCCAGCCTCTCACATGTCCTTGAGGTATGTTGAACTGTAGCAAAAATTGTTTATAGCCAGTTTCTTTTTTTTAATTTTAATTTTTTAAAATATGGTCAGCTGGGCGCAGTGGCTGCCTGTAACCCCAGCAATTTGGGAGGGTGAGGCGTGCGAATCACCTGAGGTCAGGAGTTCGAGACCAGCCTGACCAACATGGAGAAACCCCATCTCTACTAAAAATACAAAATTAACCAGGCATGGTGGCACATGCCTGTAATCCCAGCTACTCAGGAGGCTGAGGCAGGAGAATTGCTTGAACCCCGGAGGCAGCGGTTGCAGTGAGCTGAGATCGTGCCATTGCACTCCAGCCTGGATGACAAGTCTCAAAAAAAAAAAAGAAAAGAAAAGAAAAAAAAAGATAGGGTCTTGCTCTGTACTCCAGGCAACCTTGGCTCACTGCAGCCTCAACCTCCTGGACTCAAGTAGTCCTCCCACCTCAGCCTCCTGAGTAGCTGGGACTACAAGCACATGTCACCACATCTGGCTAATTTTTATAGTTTTTTCCTAGACGGCACCCGGCCTAGAAAGCAATTTTAAACAATGAGAAATTTCAAGAAGGTGACTGGATATAAAATATGCCAAAATAGTACACATAATGTATATGATATACATATATATATGAAAACAACAAATAGAAGATTCAATTGAGAAAGTTTTAAAAGACCCCAGCAATGATAGACATAAAAATATGTTACTAAGGAATAAAATTAGCAAGAATTGGTATACCTTATGAAGAGAACTTGAATATGGAGGGACTAATCAGAAAACAAGTGAAAAAGCATAGTATAGGATGCCTCAAACTCCTAAGGGTTTAAAACTTAATTTGTAATAATTTAATGTGATCCCAATCTGATAATTATTTTATTAATAAATTAATAATTGTTTTATTAAAGACAAGTTAATTCTGAAGTTCATGTGGAAAAGTCAATATGGCAGAATAGCCAGGAAAATTCTGAAAAAGAGTAATTCAGAACATTTACTCTACCATATGTTTAAACATAAAATAATAGCCTTGGCTGGGTGTGGTGGTTTATACCTGTAATCACTAAAAGCACTTCGAGAGGCTGAGGTAGATGGATCATTTGAGCCCAGGAGTTTGAGACCAGCCTGGGCAACATAATGAAACACCATCTCTACAAAAAATACAGAAATTAGCTGGGTATGTTGACACATGCATATAGTCTCAGCCATCCTCCCAAATGCTTTGGGAGGCTAAGGCGGGAGGATGGCTTGAGCCTGGGAGGTCAAGACTGCAGTGAGCTGTGATTGTACTACTGAATTTCACCCTGGGTGACAGAGTGAGACCGTCTCAAAATAAAATAAAATAAAATAAAATAAAATAAAATAAAATAAAAGTCTTAAAATAGCATGGTTCTGACAGATGAGCAGACGGATCAGTGGAGTGGAAGAGAAACTCCAGACCCAGTAGGTAGTGCAGTATTCTTCATATGGTAAAGACAGCATTTCTAATTAGGGGCACACATATGGATTTAGTACTTCGTTTATAATATACAACTGTATATTGTAACCATTGTAGAGGGGAAGAAAATAGGTCGTTAACATTTCATATCTATTATTCCAAGTGGATCAGAGATTCAAATGTGAAATATGAAATCATAAAAATTCTCGAAATAATGTGGAAAAAATGTTAGCCTCAGGACATGGAAATCATTCTAAGTCTAACACAAATCCTAGAACCCATAATTGAAAATAATAATAAATTTTTTTTTTTTTGAGACAGAGTGTCGCTCTGTTGCCCAGGCTGGAGTGCAGTGGTGCGATCTCGGCTCACTGCAAGCTCCGCCTCCCGGGTGCACGCCATTCTCCCACCTCAGCCTCCGGAGTAGCTGGCACTACAGGCGCCCGTCACCACGCCGGCTAATTTTTTGTATTTTTAGTAGAGATGGGGTTTCACCATGTTAGCCAGGATGGTCTCGATCTCCTGACCTCGTGATCCACCCACCTCGGCCTCCCAAAGTGCTGGGATTACAGGTGTGAGCCACCACGCCCGGCCTAAATTAATTTTTTTACTTGGCAAAAACTATTAATGCTAAAATTCCAAAAGATAATTGATAGCCTGGGAAAACTTACCTGCAACATATATCCCAGAAAAAGTTAATTTTAATGAAATGAAAGTACTGCATATCTAATAAGGAGGAAAAATAATCAAAAAGAAAATAAGCAAGGGATACAGAGATGGTTCATAGAAAAGGAACAAAAAATCGCCTTTTGGTATGCATGTTTTCATCTGTTTGGACTATCATAACAAAATATCACAAACTGAGTAGCTTAAAAAACATAAATTTATTTTCTTATAGTTTTGAAGGCTGGAAGTTCAAGATAGGGGTGCCAGTACAGTTGATTTCTGGTGAAGGGCTGTCTTCCTGACTTGTAGATGGCCACTTGCTTTTTGTGTCTTGACATGGCTGTTATTCCGCATGTGGGAGGAGAGAAAGAAATCTCTGGTGTCTCTTCCTCTTCTTGTAAGAACACTATCAGATTAGGTTCCCACACTTACAACTTTCATTTAAGCTTAATATCTCCTTAAAGGTCCTATCTCCAAATCCAGTTCCATCAGTCATTAGGGCTTTAACATGAAATACGGGTAGACACATTTCAGGGTACAATAATGTGAAAAGATAATTATCCTCGCTGATAGGAATAAAATATAAATTAAACCTACAATTTTTACCTAGTAAAAGTTTAATGTGAACTAGATTTTTTCAGATGTAAGGCCAGGTGTGGTGACTCATGCCTGTAATCCCAGCACTTTGGGAGGCCAAGTGGGCAGATCATTTGAGGTCAGGAGTTCGAGACCAACCTGGCCAACATGATGAACCTCTGTCTATAGTAAAAATACAAAAATTAGCCGGGAGTGGTGGCATGTACTTGTAGTCTCAGCTACTCAGGAGGCTGAGGCAGGAGAATCACATGAACCCAGGAAGAGAGGTTGCAGTGAGCTGAGATCATGCCACTGCATTCCAGCCACCTTTTTTCCCCAATAGTGATATGGTTCAGGTCTGTGTACCCACCCACATCTCATGTCAAATTGTAATCCCCAGTGTTGGAGGTGGGGCCTGGTGGGAGGTGATTGGATCATGGGGTCAGATTTCCTCCTTGGTGCTGCTTTCATGATACTGAGTGAATGCTTGTGAGATTTGGTTGTTTAAAAGTGTGGCACGTCCCCACTCTGTCTTCTTCCTGGTTTGGCCACGAAAGACGTGCGTGCTTTCCCTTCACCTTCTGCCATGATTTAAGTTTCCTGAGGCCTCCCGAGCCATGCTTCCTGTCGAGCCATGAGCCAATTAAATCTCTTTTCTTTATAAATTACCCAGTCTCAGGTATTTATTTATAGCAGCGTGAAGAATGAAGTAATACAAATGGCTTTTGAGGTACATGTGGTTTTTGGTTATGTGGATGAATTGTATAGTGGTAAAGTTTAAGATTTTAACTTTCGCGGTGGCTAACGCCTGTAATCCCAGTACTTTGGGAGGCCGAGGCAGGTGGATCACGAGATCAGGAGATTGAGACCATCCTGGCTAACATGGTGAAACCCTGTCTCTACTAAAAATACAAAAAATTAGCCAGGCATGGTGGCGGGCACCTGTAGTCCCAGCTACTTGGGAGGCTGAGGCAGGAGAATGGTGTGAGGCGGAGGCGGAGCTTGCAGTGAGTCTAGATAGCACCACTGCACTCCAGGCACTTGTAACAGAGCAAGACTCCGTCTCAAAAAAAAAAAAAAAAAAAAGATTTTAACTTTTTAAGAAACTGCCAAGTTAGAAAATTAAAGAAACTAGAAAAGAGCAACTAAATCCAAAGCAAGCAAAAGAAAAACAATAAAGATCACAATGGAAATCAAAGAAACAGAAGACATTAAGACACATACTAGAAAATGTCTGAAACCAAAAGGTAGTTATTTGAAAAGATAACTTGACAAGCAAACTTGACAAGCAAAAAAGAACACAAATTACCAAAATCAGAAATGAAAGAAGGGAAATCACTATCAAAAACCTACAAAATTTAAACTTTATGCTAACAAATTAGGCAAACTAGATAAAAGGGAAACATTTCTGGTAAGTCATAAACTATGAGAACCAACTGGAAGAAATTTCAAAACTTGAATAGACCTATAACTAAAAAAGGACTTTATTAAAATTTTCCATGAAGAATAGCCCATAAATAGAAATCTATGAAATATTTAAAGAAAAAATAATACCAATACTTCACAAATTCTTTCAGGAAACAGACAAGGGAAAGGAAACAATTCTGAGGTCATACTATGAGGCCAGTATTAAGCCTATACCAAAGGCAGATTTTAAATATCAAAAGAAAGGCCAGGTACAGTGGCTCATGCCTGTAATCCCAGCACGTTGGGAGACCGAGGCGGGTGGATCACGATATCAGAAGTTTGTGACCAGCCTGGCCAACATGGGAAAACCCTGTCTCTACTAAAAATACAAAAATTAGCCGGGCGTGGTGGCTTGCAACTGTAGTCTCAGCTACTCAGGAGGCTGAGGCAGAAGAATCGCTTGAACCCAGGAGGCGGAGGTTGCAGTGAGCTGAGACGGTGCCACTGCACTCCAGCCTGGGCGACAGAGACTCCATCTCAAAATAAATAAATAAAATAAAATAATACAAAAATTAGCTGGGTGTGGTGGCGGGTGCCTGTAATTCCAGCTACATGGGAGGCTAAGGCAGGAGAATTCCTTGAACCCAGGAGGTGGAGGTTGCAGTGAGCCAAAATCACACCACTGCACTCCAGCCTGGGCAACAAGAGCAAGACTCCGTCTTAAAAAAAAAAAAAAAGTAAAAATAAAATAAAATAAATAAATATCAATAGAAAAACTGCAGACCATGAACTACAGACTCTCATGAACACAGACACAAAAATCCTGAACAAGGCCGGGCGCAGTGGCTCACACTTGTAATCCCAGCACTTTGCGAGGCCAAGGCAGGCAAATTGCTTGAGCCCACAAGTTTGAGACCAGCCTGGGACCCATGGTGAAACCCTGTCTCTACAAAAAGTAAAAAACTAGCCAGGCATGGTGGCGTCACTGTAGTACCAGCTACTCAAGAGGCTGAGGTGAGAGCATCATCTGAACCCACGGAGGTCGAGGCTGCAGTGAGCCACGATCGCGCCATTGTACTCTGGTCTTGGCAACAGTGTGAGACCCTGTCTCAAAAAAGAAAAAAGTCCTTAACAACAACAAAAAACACTGAAAAAAAGCATCTGACAGAATCCCAAACCCATTGATAAGCTCTCAACATACAAATAAGTTGAAAATATATGATTTCAATAGACACAAAAAATTATTTGATACAGTCCCACATACATGCCTGATTTAAAACATTTGAAATGCTAGGAATAGAACTAGGAAAATAAAGGAGTTTCCTCATCCTGATGAAAGGTATTGTATCAGTCAGGCTTGAATAAGACAAGCAGAGTCAATAAGAGATATATACATACTGTATCTATATATTAAGAGATTTATTAGAGGGGATTGGCTTGTGCAATTATGGGGGTTGGTTAAGCAGTCTCTATAAGGGTGTATCTCTCTGATGCTACAGCTTAAAGTCCAGGCATGGTACCTGGAGTCCTAGCTACTCAGGAGACTAAGTCAAGAGGGATTGCTTGAGCCCAGGAGGCTGAAGATGCAGTGAGCTGTGGTTGTGCCACTGCATTCCAGCCTGGGCAACAGGGTGAGACCCTGTCTCTAAAAATAATAATGAAGTAAAAATAAATAATGTAAATGTTTCATGCAGAAATGAAAAGATACTAGAAAGTAACACAAAGCTACAGGAAGAAATAAAGAACACTGGTAAAGATAACTACATAACTATGTATTTACATAGGTAAATACAAAAGCCAGCAATATTGTATTTTTGGCATGTATTCCCGTCTTCTTCCTATATGATTTAAAAGAAAAATGTAGCTGGGAATGGTGGCTCATCCTGTAATCTCAGCACTTTGGTAGGCCAAGGTGGATGGATCACTTGAGCTCAGGAGTTCCAAGACCAACCTGGAGAAACTGAAACCCTGTCTCTACAAAAAATACAAAAATTAGCTGGGTGTGGTAGCAGGCACCTGTCGTCCCAGCTCCTCGGGAGGCTGAGGCAGGAGAGTCGCTTGAACCCAGGAGGCAGAGGTTGCAATGAGCCGAGATCGCACCACTGCACTCCAGCCCGGATGAGACTCCCATCTAAAAAAAAAAAAAGGTAACTGCATAAAACAGTAATTATAAGTCTCTGTAAATGGGCACACAATGTTTAAAGATGTAATTCCTGTCAATAATAATATAAATGGGGAAGGACAGAGATGTATAGGACCAGAATTTTTGTAAATATTGAAGCTAAGATAGTATTAATTCAAAGTAGAATATGTGTTAACTCCAAGGCAAACACTGAGAAAATGAATACAAAATTTACAGAAAATAAAATAAAGGAACCAAAATGATACAGTAAAATAAATTCGGGCCAGGCATGGTGGCTTCCGCCTGTAAGCCCCTTGGGAGGCTGAGGCGGGCGGATCACTTGAGGTCAGGAGTTTGAGACCAGCCTGACCAACACAGAAAAACCCTGTCTCTACTAAAAATACAACATTAGCCGGCCGTGGTGGCACATGCCTGTAATCCCAGCTACTCAGGAGGCTGAGGCAGGAGAATTGCTTGAACCTGGGAGGTGGAGGTTGCTGCGAGCTGAGGTTGTGCCATTGCACTCCAGCCTGGGCAACAAGAGCGAACACCATCTCAAAAAAAAAAAAGAAAAAAGAAAAAATTCCATTAAACACAAAAGGTGGCAATATTGGGAGAATTAAGAAACAAAAAGAGACATACACAAAACAAATTAAAATATGGCAGAAGTCAGTCCTTTACAAGCAATTAATTTAAATGTATATTGATTAAACTCTCCAATTAAAAGGCAGAGATTGCCAGATGGATTAAAAAAAATGATCCAACTATATGCTGTCCATAAGAGACTCAGTATAAATCCCAAACTGTAAATAGTTTGAAAGTGAGAGGAGTGGACAAAGATTCCATGCAAATAGTTAAGCAAAAGAGAGGTAGGGTGGCTATGCTAGTATCAAACAAAATAGACTTTAAGTCAAAAATTTTTACAAGGGACAAAAAAGACACATTATATATTGATAAAACGGTCAATGCATCAAAAGATATAATAGTTATAAACACAAACACACCAAACAGCCCCAAAAGAAGTGAAGCAAACACTACAAAAAGTTGCAGGCAAAAAAAAAAAGTTCTACAACAGTTGGAGTCTTCAAAACTTCACATTCAATAATGGATGGAACATCTACACAGAAGATCAAGAAGGAAATAGAAAACTGGAAGATTATCAACTAACAACACCTAACATGTACACAACACTCTACCCCAAAACAGCAAAATACACATTTCCTCATTTTTCTCAGTATGGTTAAGAATTTCCCAAATCTTCACATTTTAGTTTCTTATTGCTTAAGAATTCCTCCTTCAATTCATCTCTCTCCTTTCCTGTTTTATATGCGCAATAAAGGGAACCCAAGCCACAAGTTCAATAATTAGAAATCTCCGCTACTATTCAGTTTTCATTGGTTGGAAGCGCTACCTTCCACAAAACACTAGAACATGATTCAGCCAAGTTCCTTGCTACAATAACCTGTTTCTCATTTCTGAGACTAAAACATTATGGCCTTAAATGTCCATATTTCTACCAACATTTTGTTCATGATTGTTTCTTTAACATGAATACCGTTCATGACAGGATTCTTTAAAATGGAAGCTTTCTCTCCAGTGGTTCTATTTTTTTTTTTTGTCCTCCCCAGAATCATTTTTACATCCATATTTCTAGCATCTACCCTCAGCATTCTTCTAGCCTATTTGCCCACCACCCAGTTCCAAAGCTTGGACTTGCACATTTTTAGTTTTTTGTTATAGCAGCACCCCACTTCTCAGTACCAACAACTGTCTTAGTTTGCTTAGGGTGTTGTAAGAAAATGCCATAGACTGTGAGGCTTAAATACAGATATTTATTTTCTCACTGTTCTAATTAAAATAGGGATTAGCAGGTTTAATTCCTGGTAAGGGCTCTCTTGGCTTCTCCTTGTGTCCTCATGTGGACTTTCCTTTGTGTGTGAGCATAGGAAGAGACGTCTCTCCTTCCTCTTCTCATAAGATCACCATTTGTATCAAATTAGAATCACATTCTTATGTCCTCATTGCCCTATGTCCAAATACAATCACATTGCAGGTTAAGGGGTGAATTCTGGCAAGTTGGAGTTGGGGTGGGGGGTGGCGCAGGGGTTATATAACTCCAGAAATCTCAGTCACAGACTCTTTACCTGTCCCTAACATACATATATTAGTTGCCATTAAATTGAATTCCTTCAAGGACATATAAAATTTAATGGTGCAGGACAGCAGAAAACAGGATGAGACTGCAATATCCTATCCTATTGAATATGAGAATAAAGCTCCTATGCAGGCTTAGAGAAAAGTCAGAAAGAATAAAGGGGCAAATGAAAATGGAAAGAATGGTGAAGTTTTATGTTTTTGAGTAAAAATAGTAAAAACCAAACAGTAATACCACCAATAATAATTATATTATGGTTTCGAGTAAGTGTGAAATGCCATAAGTTCATTACGAAGTTAAGTGAAAAATGTTAATATGATAAAAATATAGCTGTAACTACAAACAAGGAAAACATAATAAGGACACATTTTATTCATTAATTTATTATTTGTTAATGACTTCAAAAAGTAAAAGCCAAGACACAAGGATATTTTGTTTCTCTCACTAATTTTAATGTCTGTATACAAGGTTTAGATATTTAGTTTTAATTTGTTTAAGCTGGAAGGAAAAAAACACACACAAAGAAATATAGGACAAGTTCTCCTGGAGAACTATACCCAAAAGAGGAACATTAGCACTGATGGTAACTCAGGATAAAAAGGGAGAATGAGATCCAAGAGTAAATTAGCTGTGTTGTTACATAAATAGAATTTAGTTAGAAATAGAGCTACTACTCTATTTCAAAGATATGAAATAGCAAATATCCTGACAAAAAGGTTAACATACTCTTGTTCTTACTGTGTAGGACATGAAACAACAACCAATTACATATCTTTTAAAACTACTTGAATAAGCAATACTTACATAAAACATAGCTCAATATATCAGATGAGAAAATGGCTTAATACTGGTAATCATTCACACCGTTATAGAGTACATAAATTCTGGGAAAGACATCAGTTTCAAAAATTAAAATGTAATGAATGACAGTGACATAAATTTATCTGAAAATAATAGTAAAATTTTCTTATAAAAATCAAATAACCGGACAGGCGTGGTGGCTCATGCCTGTAATCCCAGCACTTTGGGAGGCCGAGGCAGGGGGATCACAAGGTCAGGAAATCGAGACTGTCTTGGCCAACGTGGTGAAACTCCATATCTACTAAAATACAATTAGCTGGGCATGGTGGCGCATGCCTGTAATCCCAGCTACTTGGCAGGCTGAGGCAGGGGAATCGCTTGAACCTGGGAGGTGGAGGTTGCAGTGATCTGAGATGACACCACTGCACTCCGGCCTGGTGACAGAGCAAGGCTCTATCTCAAAATAAATAAATAAATCCAATAACCAGGCTGGGTGCGGTGGCTCATGCCTGTAATCCCAGCACTTTGGGAGGCTGAGGCGGGTGGATCACCTGAGGTCGGGAGTTTGAGACCAGACTGACCAACACGGAGATATCCCGTCTCTACTAAAAATATAAAATTAGCCGGTCATGGTGGCGCATGCCTGTAATCCCAGCTAATCAGGAGGCTGAGCAGGAGAATAGCCTGAACCTGGGAGGCAGAGGTTGAGGTGAGCCAAGACTGCGCCACTGCACTCCAGCCTAGGCAACAAGAGCAAAACTCTGTCTAAAAAAAAAGAAAAAAAATCCAATAACCAGTGGCTCGTGATCTCATTGACTGCATAACCAAGTCAGCAGTCCTAAGAGAGAGATGATTTTGGAGTTAAATGAGATTAGTTAAACCAAAGAAGGTCTGCTGATTGTTGAAATGCCCAAACCTAGTAAGTCAACTCTGAGAGGGAATAAAAAGAAAAATAATGATAATAGATTAAAAAAACAATTGAAGCCATGTTAATATATAGTTGTAAATTCTCTTAATGTAAGTTCAGTGGTCATTTTTTCTCCCCTTTTAAAGGTGTTTGACAAATTTTAGAGTGATACTTTAAGAGAATGATAAATTTTAAGAGACTTACTGGGTGAGTAGTTTTATCAAATATTTAAAAGAGTTCTCTTCATTTGGATCCTGGTTGGTATAGCCTGCAGGTAAAAAGACTGCTTAAAGGAACTGGTTATATTCCAATATAACACACATACACACTATATATATATAGTGCCCAGTATATAGTGTATATACTATATATACATATATTGTGTGTGTGTGTGTGTATATATATATATATATATAGTGTGTTATGTAGTGCATGTGTGGGCATATATAGTATACATCACACACATATACATCACACACTATATACACACATATAGTATATGTGATATGTATAGTATACATCACACATACACTATATACACTATATGTGTATATACACTATATGTATATAGTGTGTGTGTGTGTGTGTGTGTGTTATGGTGGAATATAACCAGTTCCTATGTATGTGTTTTTTTGGGGGGAATATGTTGTATCAAAATAAAGTAGAAATTTAAAGAGAAGTCAACAATTGGATGAAAATGGAAAGGAGATCACACTTCTATCATTTAAAACAAAACAAAACAACATTACACAAAATGATGAGCTGTAAGACTGTAAAAATACATTGTATCTGACTAGGAGTGCTAACTCTGTGGAGGAAAATAAGTAAGTATAGATATCACAAGCAAAGAATTACAATGCAGAAAAGATATTGAAGTAATATTACAATTAAAAAACTGAATAGTCAAAAGAGCAATAATACAAACATCAAAAGCTATTGTAAACAAAACATGCCAGGATGAGAAACTCATGAAAAAAACTTTTTAACATAAAAAGGAGAAATATTTGGCAACATCTAACAAAGCTATAAGTATATATCAGCTATGACTAAGCAATTCTACGTCTACATACAGAATGACCATGAAGTCTAAAAACAGACTTTAAGAGAGGGAGATACTGAATTGCCTTGATTACCTATTAAATCCATCCACAGTATTTTCCTGTGAAAATCAGAAATAAAAAACCACTTTATACATTTATTTCAGTCAAATGATTTCTCACCAGTGTAAATTTTCGGTTGGCAAGTAAGATGCCCAACAACACTAAAGGAATTCCCACACTCCTTACATTCATAGGGTTTATCATCAGTATGAATGCGCTGATGTTTGGTAAAGGATGAACTATGTCTAAAGGCCTTCCCACATGCCTTGCATTCATAGGGTTTTTCTCCAGTATGAATTCTCTGATGTTCTGTAAGGGCTGAACTATGTCTAAAGGCCTTCCCACATACCTTACATTCATAAGGTTTCTCACCACTATGAATTCTTTGATGTTGAATAAGGGCTGACGTAAGTCTAAAGAACTTTCCACACTCCTTACATTCATAAGGTTTTTGACCACTGTGAATTCTTTCATGTCGAGTAAGTTCACTACCTACTCCAAATGCTTTCTCACATTCTTTACATTTATAGGGTTTTTCACCAGTATGAATCCTCTGATGTCTAGTCAGGGATGAACTATTTCTAAAGACCTTTCCACATGCTTTGCATTCATAGGGTTTCTTACCAGTATGAATTCTCTGATGACGAGCAAGTTCTCTACATACTCCAAAAGCCTTCCCACATTCCTTACATGCATAAGGTTTCTCACCAGTGTGAATTCTCTGATGTTCAATGAGCTGTGAACTAATTCTAAAAACCTTCTCACAGTGCATACATTTGTAGGGTTTCTCACCAGTATGAATTCTCTGATGTTCGGTAAGCTGTGAATGAAATCTGAAGTCCTTGCCACATTCCATACATTTGTAAGTTTTCTCATCAGTATGGATTTTCTGATGTCGAGTAAGTTGTGCATGCACTCTAAAGGATTTCCCACAGAATGAGCATTCAAAGTGTTTCTCACCATCATGAACTCTTTGAAGTGGAGTAACTTTTCCAACTCTTTCAAAGGTCCTTCTGTATTCCTTACATTTATAGAACTTCTCATTATGAATTTTCTGGTATACATTAAAGTCTTTATAAAAACTACATGTATTCCCATATTCCATATATTTACAAGGTTTCACACCAGTATGAATATTCAGTTGTAACATACTGGAGTTATCTATCCCAAAGGTTTTCCAACATTGATTACATTCATAGTTTTTTCCACCAGTATGTATTTTCTGATATTCATCAAACTCTAAGTCACAACTGAAGACCTTCTCATATTCCTTGTATTCATAGGGCTTCTCACTGTCATGAGTTCTCCGAGGTAAAGTAAGAGATTCATGAGTTTTGTAACTGGGCACATTTTCAGAGATGATTTTCATTTGACTGAAATATCCCACTTCAGGTCCTTGTAAGTCAATCTTGCTTTTGCTTTGCCAGTCATTTCTGAAAATGGAACCTTCAAGGCCACATAACTTGCTACTTTCCATTACCTCCCACTGAGAACCAGTGTTTTGAATAATATCTTTTCCTACAGATAAATGCTTAGTCTCATTCCTGGACTCCAAATCTGAAAGAAAGGAAAAAATAATTTTCATGTACTACAAAAATAAAACAGTTATAGAAAGAAGAGACAATTTAAGAATAATTCACCATATACATGAATTGGTTAAAATACTGTCATGAAAGATAAAGAGAGCTCACAGAGTAACAGCAGAACATAAAGATTATGAGGATTGTGATAAAGGTAACAGATTAAGTCAGTGGATCTGAAATTTGTGTGTTGGTCATCACCTGGTAAGCTCATTGGTTAAACAGAATCAAAATCTGTAGATGTAGAACTAGTCATTAGCATCTTGTAGAGGTAATGCTAACGCAGATCAAAATTTGATAATCCATATATACTAACACTTTTGTGGTTTTCCTCCCCAAAAATAAATTTTACCGAGGATAATAACAAGGTGCAGTTTGTTAAGACCTCATTTTGCCTGGGCGTGTTGGCTCATGCCTGTAATCCTAGCACTCTGGGAGGGCAAGGTGGGTGGGTTACCTGAGCTCAGAACTTTGTGACCAGTGAAACCCTGCCTCTACTAAAATACAAACAGCTGGGCGTGATGGCATGCGCCTGTAGTCCCAGCTACTTGGGAGGCTGAGGCACAAGAATTGCTTGAACCCAGGAGGTGGAGGCTGCAGGGAGCTGAGATTGCACCACTGCACTCTAGCCTGGGCAGCAGAGCGAGAGTCCGTCTCAAAAAAAACCACCTCATTTTAACGCATTCTCCTAATCATTTTTCATCTCCTAGATCAAAACAAATTTCCTATCATTTAGAGCTATCCACAGGACATTTCATTTCACATCAATGGTCTCTTTGTATGCCAGCTTCTTTTCTTTGTTAAAGTCTCAAGATACCCTCAGAAAGGGCATATTAGTTGACCCTAAATAACTTCATTTCTGTTTCTAATCCCATATCTAGTGCCTTACCCTCATATATATTTTTTTCAGTTGTGTATTCAATACTTTTCTCTTACACCATTTACTTCCTTATTCCTTAAATTCCACAAGGACAAATGTAATAAATTTTCATGTGCCAATGTATAACAAGACCTAAGGACATAGTATATGATAATTAATTAGAGGAAAAGTAAATCACTGTATGAATGAATCTAAATAAAAATAAAAGTATATATACAAAGATAAGTCACTAGAAAACAATAATTATCAAAATAATTATGTAACTATAAGAATAATGCCAGTTACCAATGCCTCCCAACCCTCACATTGTATTAGTGATTACATATGTATATTTATAATACAGTAAGATACATAAATATGGCGAACATTCATATGTATTTATTTTCCAACTGCTTCTCCACCTACACATATTGTCCACCACTATTGCTTATTCCCTCTTATGCAGAGCCATGATTGACATGTGGAATGAAGAAATACAATCGGGATGTGTTATTTACTTCTCTTCAACAGCATATTTACATTTACTCCGCCGTCCTCCTAAAACCTTCCTCTATTTTTTCTTTTATCTTCTTTTACAGATATTCCTTTCCATTTTCTTATAGCAAAAGTCAACTAATGCTGTACTTTCCAAAAATATATTTCAGATATTAAAATAATATCTGAATATAATTATAACTACTGTTAGACTTACACAGTTCTGAGCAAGGGCTTATGTGTGAAAAGGAGAATATGCTAACAGAATCATATGAAGAAGGTGGTCTAGGTAGACAAGATTGGAAGGCACTTTGTAGCAAAGGATTTTATGGAGATCATCTGGAGGCCAACAGTGAGAGAAGGGAATGCCTGAGGAAAACTCAGAGCAACACATAAACACTGCATGATAAAGGGCAAGAATAATTTTCTGTGACTTAATTATGTATAAGATGAAATAATGCAGGCATCAATATCTGACGACAACATTAAAACCAGATTTGAGTGCCAGTATCAGTAAATCAAAAGAAGTTTCAGTTAGAAATAAAGAAGCTCTCTACTAGGCTGGGTGCAGTGGCTGTAACATCTGTAATCCCAGCATTTTGAGAGGCCAAGGTGTGCGGATCACTTGAGGTCAGTAGTTTGAGAACAGCCTGGCCAACATGGCGAAACCCCGTCTGTACTAAAAATACAAAAAAACTTAGCTAGGCACGGTGGCACATGCCTGTAATCCCAGCTACTTGGGAGGCTGAGGCAGGAGAATCGCTCAAACCTGGGAGACGGAGGTTGCAGTGAGCTGAGACTGCGCCACCACACTCCAGGCTGGGCAACAGAGTGAGACTACGTCTTAAAAAAAAAAGAAGCTCACTATTAAATAACTGTTGAGTCAATGTGGAAATGTAACTGAAATCACAAAGTTTGTAGAGAACCATGATGTTGAAAACATTTCTAACTGACATCTATGGAACGCAAATACATTTGTCTCATAAAAAGTAAAAACTTAAATGCTTTTTTTTAAAAAAGTAAAAATAACCAATGTATAAAGAACAGTGACCTAAAGAAAAGGTGAGGAATTAGCAAACAATCACTAGGTGATGAAAACATACACAAAATGTTATTAAGACTCCTATGCTAATAAAGCTGAAAATGTAGACTAATGAATGAATTTCTTGGTAAAGGAATATTTAAAACCAACCCAAAAAGCAACAATAGTTGGAAAAAAACAAATTCCTGGAATGAGATAAAATGTTCACTCACTCCATGAAACAGAAAAATCATAACCATGACTTATTGTCCTTGTTATTGAAATAAACCAGATAATAAGCCAGGAATCCTAGAACAAAGACCTGAATCATGATCTGGACCAGGGGAGGTATGAGATGTAACCTGTAATGTTTTGCCAGAAAGAAAAAAGTTTTACAACAGTGGGTCACATCAAAGGGACACAAAAATAGTTTGCGGGAGCTAAAGTGCCACCATTTTGACAATACAAGAGTCAAATGAGGGGAAAAAAGTTTATGTACTGAAACATGCTAAACTAAACAAAACCAGAAAAATGCACTCATATCCAATTCAATGCTGGGTCTGGGATAGGGAGGGTATGGAATGAGCCTTGGATAAGCTTTGGACAAAAAGTGAGAATAAATTCAAAGGTTAAAGGATAAAGCCAAAGCACACAGAAATCACCATAAGAAACATGGTATCAGTATATCAAAATTTCATCCAATATTCATACAGCTGGACATCAAAAATCAGACTCTGGTGGGCTAATGTATACTGAACCAATAAAATCAATAAACATAATGAGACTTAATAGAAGGTATGAAAATTTCTAGTGCACCATTTGAGGTGGCTACTTACTTACAGTAATATAAAAGACATATAATAAAAAAAGCCTCTTTGCCTTTCCTACTAGAATTACAAAAGTTTACCAAAGAACATGACAGCAACTAATATATAAAAGGAATGACAAATTGAAACACACTGATTCCAATGAGGACTTCCAATTGCAAAAACATTAGGTGAACCACTGAAAAGGAACTGTGTATCTATAAAATGCCAAATTAAGACCACAGAGATTGGTTTCTGACCACACTGTCTGAATTAGCTCTTTCTCCATCACACACCATCCCTTTATTCTTATACATATCACTATATATGTTCTCTACTTATCTGTTTACTTGTTTATTATACATCTCAAGAACTAGTATGTCAATTCCATGAGAGCAGGGTCTGTATTGGTCTTGGTCACCATTGTACCGATATCTGTCTCAATGTAGACCTGAATAAATATTGAGAATATGAATGAGCATTTTTTTTGGTCAATATATACATACATAAGTCTAAATACAAGATGAACTGGAAAACAGTTGGTGGCACTGAAGATCTTAATTTCCTCCAAGTGCCAGGCTTTTGTTTCTTTTTTTAAAACAAACAAACAAAACACAGTCTGGGCTGGGTGCAGTGGCTTACACCTGTAATCCCACCACTTTGGGAGGCCAAGGCGGGCAGATCACGAGGTCAGGAGATTGAGACTATCCTGGCTAACACGGTGATACCCCATCTCTACTAAAAATACAAAAAATTAGCCGGGCGTGGTGGCATGCGCCTGTAGTCCCAGCTACTCGGGAGGCTGAGACAGAATGGCATGAACCCAGGAGACAGAGGTTGCAGCAAGCTGAAATTGTGCCACTGCACTCCAGCCTGGGTGACAGAGCGAGACTGTCTCAAAAAAATCAATAAATAAAATCAACAACAACAACAACAACAACATCAAAGTAAAAACCCACAGGCTTTTGAAGGGATTTTCCCAACAGAATCACAGGGGCTAATCTCCCTCCTGGACCAGATAGGCTTTGTGCTTTGGCAATGACTTTCTATCACTGATTGGCCATCACTCACCTGGCCCTGTCTTCTTTCACATCCCATAAACTCTATAGAGCAACTTCCCTTCCTCCAGTAAGGTGATCCCAATTGGATTAGAAATGGAAGACTGCTTACAACAAAGAAATGTAACAATGTTTTTTTTATTATAGCCAATTTTTAAAATACAGCTTTGAGAATTGGCTAAAGTTTTACTAAATAAAATCAAAATTATATTGATAAAGATGTCAGAAAAGAGAAATGTGAGGGAACTGGAAAAACATTCACCTTAGAGTAACCACAGAATTATCAAGTATAAAGAGACTAGACAGGTAAAGAAAGCTCTTATGTTATTTAAACCCATACTAATTCTTTGTCTGGAGAAGCAGTATAATAGTTAAAAAATACTGTCTTTGGTGCCAGATTGCCTGGGTGGAAAGCCTACCTCTGCAATTAAGTGGCTGTGTAGCCTTGCAGAAGTACCTAAATACTCTCTGTTGTAAGCAACCTCTTCTGTACAACAATAATAGAAATAGCACTTATATCACAGAGTTATTGTAAGAATTAAACAAGTCCTTTTTTTATGAGATGGAGTCTTGCCCTGTTGCCCAGGCTGGAGTGCAGTGGCGCAATCTTGGCTCACTGCAACCTCTACCTCCCGAGTTCAAGCGGGTTCCAGCAATTCTCCTGCCTCAGCCTCCTGAGTAGCTGGGACTACAGGCACATGCCACCATGCCCAGCTGATTTTTTTATATTTTAGTAGAGATGGGGTTTCACCGTGTTGCCCAGGTTGGTCGCGAACTCCTGAGCTCAGGCAATCCACCCACCACCTCGGCCTCCCAAAGTGCTGGGATTACAGGCATGAGCCACCACGCCCAGCCAAGAGTCAATTATGTAAAGTGCTTAGGATGGGGCCAAGTAGAAGGCAAGAACTATGGAAGCTGAGAGGAAAGTTAGTAACTTTCTGAGCTATTAAAAGGTCCTTGGTGGAATACTAATTTAATGTTAAATGTAAAGTTCTTTAGCCATAAAGCAGGTGGGAGGAAATGAATATGAACTCTTTATCAATCCATCAATATATAAATTGTAGAGATTCTTTTAACGATTATAACAAATCAGGACACACAGTATGTTAAAAGTTCTCCCAGAAGGCAGGTAAGAATATAAAGTATTTATAGCAATTCTGACCTCAAACACAATGTACAGGTTGTACATGCCGAATCTACAATCTGAAATTCAGCTACAAAATCCTAAACTTTTTGAGCACTGACATGATGCTACAAGTGAAATACACATAACTACTTAACACAAACTTTGTTTCATGCACAAAACTATTAAAAACATTGTATAAAATTACTTTCAGTCTATGTGTATAAAGTGTACATGAAACATAAATGAATTTTGTGTTTCAATTTGGGTTCCATCCCTAAGATGTCTCATTATGTATAAGCAGATATTCCAAAATCTGAAAAAAAATCCCAAATCCAAAACACTCTCATCCCAAGTATTTTGGATAAGGGATACTCAACCTGTAATGTCTCAATGATATGCTATATGTGTCCCATAAGTCAAATCCAGCTCCTTGGTATCAAAGAAGGTAGAAATTATATGAAGGGCCTAAGAAGGTAAGAATATCATGAAGAATGTTAAAGACTAATGGAGATGTCATTTGCAACACAACAATACTGAAAGCATGCCTTTGAAATCAGTTCACCTAGTTTCTTAAAACATAGCCTTGAGGACGGCGCAGTGGCTCACACCTGTAATCCCAGCACTTTGGGAGGCCAAGGTGGGCGAATCACAAGGTCAGGAGTTCAAGACCAGCCTGGCCAACATGGTGAAACCCTGTCTCTACTAAAAATACAAAAAATTAGATGGGCATAGTGGCGGGCTCCTGTAATTCCAGCTACTCTGGAGGCTGAGGCAGAAGAATCACTTGAACCCGGGAGGCAGAGGTTGCAGTGAGCCAAGATCATGTCACTGCACTCCAACCTGGGTGACAGAGTGAGACTCCATCTCATAAACAAAACAAAACATAGCCTTGAGTTCACTGAATATCAGTTGATAGTCTAGAGAGTATATTCTAAGTTATTTAAGGCAGATAAATTTACCCAGTGAGAGTAAGTTGCTGTAGTTCTCCATCATCACATCCCAGTACAAGTTCCTCTGAGCAGAATCCAGATATTCCCATTCCTCCTGAGAGAAGTTGATGACCACATCCCTGAGTGTCACCAGTTCCTGAAACAACAAACCCGTACATTACAGGTAAAATTTAAGGAAATATTTTTGAGAAAAAGACAAGAGGAATTGCCTTATAGCAAGGGGATTGGACAGTAAACAAGGAGGCCAAAAGAAGACTGTGACATGGGAAGTAAGGAAATTAGTGCTTCCAAACCAGACTATCATCTTTCAAGACTCCCTTTGATCCACTGAAATCTTTCTGCATACTTATGGGATCTCTTATTTAGCCAACCATGTCTGGAAATTAATAACCAGTTTACAAATTAAAAGAAGTACTATATACAAGCACATTTCATGCTATGTGCCTGCCTCATGAATCATCAATAAAGGTAAGTTTCTATACCGTCATTCCCCTGTACAGGAGAAAAATATCTAACTTTGAAAATGGGGTATGAATAAAATTAAAGATTTCTTGTAGCTCCAAGTTCATTACTATGTGACATATTATTTCACATTATATAATAACAATTATTACTTCCAGCGATAAAGTTTTTTTTTTTTTTTTGAGACGGAGTCTCGCTCTGTCGCCCAGGCCGGACTGCGGACTGCAGTGGCGCAATCTCGGCTCACTGCAAGCTCCGCTTCCCGGGTTCACGCCATTCTCCTGCCTCAGCCTCCCCAGTAGCTGGGACTACAGGCGCCCGCCACCGCGCCCGGCTAATTTTTTGTATTTTTTTTAGTAGAGACGGGGTTTCACCTTGTTAGCCAGGATGGTCTCGATCTCCTGACCTCATGATCCACCCGCCTCGGCCTCCCAAAGTGCTGGGATTACAGGCGTGAGCCACCGCGCCCGGCCGCGATAAAGTTTTTAGTAAGTGTTTTTTAGTGGCTACAGAGTAGTTTTCTTGTTAAAAATATAATAGCCTTAATTATATTCCAACGTTTAGGTTAGAGAAGGTCTTCTCCAATGCTGCGTCTACAATCATCATCATTTTGTATGACTTGAGGCCATTCAACATCAAATCAATCTACCTGGAAACTCAAGTCTGTGGAGAAGGTCAGAGTATGCCCAATTATCAAACAGATCCATCTGCTTTTTCCCTATCCAAGAATATGACAAGGAAAAGTCTAGGGATTCAACTTTTGCTTTATATCTGCTCTTGACAAAGGACTGAACACATAGGAGTGTTGAACATTCTTTGGGGAATAGAGGCACACAGGAGGGACACTGTGCTGTTAGACTCCAGCCCTTACTAGAAAGCGAAGAAGTATGGGGTTGTGGTACAGGTTCTTTGACAGAGGTGTTTGGTAGGAAGAATCAGAAAAAGGAAATATCACAAAGAAAAGAGAAGTAGTTAACTTACATGGTCCATGGTTAGAACTGTAAAGAATTGGTCAGGGAATTCCACTTCTGGCATGACAGCATGAGGAGCTCCATGGACATGATCCCCAATGAAACTGTAAAAATTATTTTTTAAGAAAGAACCACCATTAAAAGTCTCTGGAAATGGTGCTAGGAATGTACAGCAAATGAAGAAACATTAGTTTAAGAGAATCTCAAAAAACATGTTAAGAACTCTTAGAGTCTAGACTCCGTGAACCAAACCTGAGCCCTCCATTGTCCATTCTATCTTGGTGAGAAAGACTCCACTCCAGACAGGATAGCCAAGGGCATGGGGCTTCTTCACCACTTCTCAACCCTTGCCCCAGTCAGATAGCTATCTTCCTAGGTGGGGTAAGACATCATCACTTTTCACTCTGCCCCAGTTACCTGTTGCGCAGCTGAAGAATGAGGACTCCCTTCCTCTGCCTAGCCCCAAAACATGAAATGTAGGCTTTAACTTGGATGTGGTACTGCTGAGCATACTGAGGTTTCCAACTGTTGTGTCCTGGCTCCCGGGGCAAGTGTTCCATGCCCAAACAGGCAAGCCAGGCAGACCTGGCTGCTGCCCCATCTGCCATCTACCAAGCACTCAGCTCCTAAAGCAGGGGAATCACTCAGAGAGATGCACGCCATTGTCCCTACCTCCAGCACTAGAATGGTGGCTCTGAGATTTTGTCCAGGGGGAGAAGCAGGCCATAGAACAGAGAGTTCTGTATTGCTCCTCAAAGGAACTGAATTGACTTGCAACAGAATGTGGAGAAGTTTAAACCTAAGGGCAATGTCAAAAACTGAAAATTTTGGTGAAGGGCAATTGAGAGGAGGTTGATTAGAGATGTATATTATACTGTAGGGTGGCTTGTTTGCCAGACAGAAACTGAGAGACACCTGGGAAGACATTCTATTGTCAGAACAAATCTCGAACACTGACCTCAAAAAAGCCCCAGTTTGATTACATTAGCCTGTGAAGCAATGTATACTCCAGGGCACTTATGAAAGCAATACTGCCATAAGTTGCAATTAGTGGTGCTTAACAGCTGGGGGTGGTCAGGGAGATGCTCAAAGACAGCCCTGTCAAAACCACTATCATCTAACGCTGTCTGTAAAAGTAGGCAAGGCTGTACTCCCAATGAGCAACATCAGAGATTTTACAACATGGTGGGAATAGACTTCACTAAAATAATCCAGAGAGTCCATTCTCATGCTGCTATAAGGATATACCCAAGACTAGGTAATTTACAAAGGAAAGAGGCTTAATTGACTCACAGTTCTGCATGGCTGGGGAGGCCTCAGGAAACTTACAATCATGGCAGACGGCACCTCTTCACAGGGTGGTAGGAGACAGAATGAGAGCCGAGCTAAGGGGGAAGCCCCTTATAAAACCATCAGCTCCTGTGAGAACTCACCCACTATTACAAGAACAGTATGGGGGAAACCACCCCCATGATTCAATTATCTCCACCTGGTCCTGCCCTTGACATGTGGGGATTATTACAATTCAAGGTGAGTTTTGGGTGGAGATACAAGAGCCAAACCATATTACAGTCACTAAGCAGGTAAATAAGCAAGTACCAATAACAAGCCCTGAGGCAGAGGGTGTGGACAAAAGTACTGGAGTTCCAACAATTGTCTATAATGTCCACTTTCCACAAACAAGAGACAGGCAAAGAAACAGGAAAGTATGATTCACACACTGGAAAAGAAGCCCACAACAGAAACTGCTTGTGAGAGCAACCAGATTTAACAGGCAAAGACTTCAAATTATACATTATAATACATATTCAGGTAGACAAAGGAAACCATAAAGAAGTAAATGTAGGTATGATCATAATGTTGCATCAAAAAGAGAATATCAACAGAGATAAAAATTATTAAAAATAAACATATGGAAATTCTTAAGTTACAAAGTATAATAACTGAAATGAAATTTTCACTAGAAGGACTCAATAGTAGACATGAACTGGCAGAAGTATTAACAAAGTTGAAGACAGATTAATAGCAATGGTATAATCTGATGAACAGAGAGAAAACAAGACAAATTAACATCTCAGAGAAATGTGGGACCCCATTAACCACACTGATATAAACAGGAGTACCAGAAGAGAGGTGAGAGAGAAAAAAAAGGATTTAAAATTTACAAAGAAATAATGGATTTGAAATTCCCAAATTTATTGAAAAACATTAAACTGCACATCCAGGAAGCTCAACAAACACCAAGCAGGATAAATGCATAGAGATCCAAACATAGATGCATCATTATAAAAGCACTGAAATCCAAAGAAAGAAATGGAGAAAATCTTGAAAGCAGTAAAAGGAAACTGCAGGCTAGAAGTGAAACTAATACAAAAGTATTAACTGCTGATTTCTCATCAGAAAAAAATGAAGGCCAGAAGGCAGTGGGATGATATATACAAAGTACTCACACACACAAAATCCTTCAACCCAGAATCCTAAATCCATCAACACATAAAAAAATGAAGTGACCCCCTACCTCACACCACTTACAAAAATTAACTCAAAATGGATTAAAGTCTTAAATATAAGGCCTGAAACTATAAAAATCCTAGAAGAAAACATAGTAAAGCTCTTGACATTGGTCTTGCAATGATTTTTTAAAATATAACACCAAAAGCACCGGAAACAAAAGCAAAAACAAAGAAATGGGACCAAATAAAATTAAAAAGCTTCTACGAAAGAAAGGAAACAATTTAAAAAGTGAAATGACATTCTACAGCATGGGAGAAAATATGTGCAAATTATATATCTGACAAGGGGTTAATATCTAAATATATAAGAAATTCATTCAACTCAATAGCAAAAAAAAAAATCCAATTAAAAAAATAAGCAAAGAACCTGATAGACATTTTTGCAAAGAAGATATACAAATGGTCAACAGGTATATAAAAAGGTGCTCAATATCACTAAACATCAGGGAAATGCAAATCAAAACCACAATGAAATATCACCTCACACCTGATAGGACTGCTGTTATCAAAAAGACAAGAAAGAAAAAAAATGTTGACAAGGATATGGAAAAAAGGGAAGCCTTGTACACTGTCAGGGATGTAAATTGGTACAGTCCTTCTGAAAAAGAATATAGAGGCTCCTCAAAAACTTAAAAATAGGACAACCATACAATCCAGCAATTCTGCTTCTGGCTATACAGCCAAAAGAAATGAAGTCAATAACTCTTTTCCCCCTGCACCAAGATGGAGTCTTGCTCTTTCACCCACGGTGGAGTGCAGTGCCACAATCTCGGTTCACTGCAACCTCCACCTCCCGGGTTCAAGCAATTCTCCTGTCTCAGCCTCCTGAGTAGCTGGGATTACAGGCATGTGGCACCATGCCCAGCTAAGTTCTGTATTTTTAATAGAGACGGGGTTTCACCATGTTGGCCAGGCTGGTCTCAAACTCCTGAGCTCGTGATCCACCCACCTTGGCCTCCCGAAGTGCCGGAATTACAGGCGTGAGCCACCACACATGGCCAAGTCAGTAACTTGAAGAGATATTTGCAGTCCTTTTCATGGCTGCATTATTCATAATAACCAAGGTATGGAAACCTAAGTGTCCATCAATGGATGGACAGATAAAAGTGTGTTTGTATGTGTGTGTATACATATATGTATGTGTCAATTATATATCAGTAAAACAGAGGGGGGTGGTTATCCTTATGCAGCAAACCTATATTTCAAAACTTAAGAACATTTCAAAACTTAAGATGAAAAGACATTTCCAGATAAAAACTGAATTTATTGCTAGCTGACTGACCTTAAAAAGTACTCAAGGAAGCTCTTTAGGCTGAAAACAGGTGATCCCAGGCAGTAATACAAATCCATAAGAAAAAACAAAGAGAAGTGGCCTGGTGCGTTGGTTCACACCTGTAATTCCAGCACTTTGAGAGGCTGAGGCGGGAGGATCCCCTGAGGTTGGGAGTTCGAGACCAGCCTGATCAACGTGGAAAAACCTGGTCTCTACTGAAATAAAAAATTAGCCGGGTGTGGTGATGCATGCCTGTAATCCCAGTTACTCGGGAGGCTGAGGCAGAACAATCACATGAACCCAGGAGGCAGAGGTTGCGGTGAGCCGAGATCACGCCATTGTACTCCAGCCTGGGCAACAAGAGCGAAACTCCGTCTCAAAAAAAAAAAAAAAAAAAAAAAAGAGAAGCAAGCCAGTTTTATGTAATTATAAAAGACAGTATACATATATATCTCTTCTCCTCTTAACTGATATACAAATTTTATGAAACGTGTACTTATGTATTTATTGGGCCCATAACATACAGAAATGTAATATATTTGCTAATAATAACACAAGGCAGGGGAAAGCAAAGTTGTACTGGGCTAAGGAAATGAATCCAGATGGTAACTCGAATCCATCTGGACCAAATGAGGAGAACCCAAAGTGAGAAATCAGATTGATAAAATAAAAGTTATAAATGTATAAAGGTTCTCCTTTCTTCTCATTTTTTTTTAAAAACATAGACTTATATAAGGTAAAAATTACAACAACGATTGGTTGAGTTTGAAACATCTGTAGATATAATGTGAAGACCAATATTACTATAAGAGAAGATGAAAGGAAATAAGAGTTATATAGGAGTAAATTTCTCTATCTCACTTGAATTAAGCCAATATAAATCAGAAGCTGTTTCTGAAGTAAGATATTTGGCAGAATAAATCTCTAAGCAGCAAAGTGTTCAGGGTGCTGCTCGGCTTCTCTTAACTACTCAGAGTAAAATGTGAGAAGAAACAATACAAAGATGGGATTTATAACACGGAAGCAAAATATAGAGATTTGAAAATTCTCAGCCTAAGCATGTAAATAAAAAGGTATTTAGGAAAGTAAACCAAGGGTGTGACCAAGTGACTTTCTGATCAGAGTGTGGCTAGAAAGAAGCCAGGTGTTTTCATCATGACAATAGGAGAATGAACCCAATGGCACTTCAGAGAGCTTCAAGGCTGCTCCTCCCATCACAGGCCCACAGTGCGAGGGCCTTGAAGGCAGGATGGTTTCCAGGGAAGGGCGTAGAACACTCATGGAACTTTGGGGCTTGCTGCCCGGGGCTGCCTCAAGTCTCTGCTCCCCACATCCCGGCACAGTGCTCCTTGGCTGCCGTAGTTGTGGCTCCAGTGGGCCCAGGTGCAGTTTAGTCCCTGCTCTGGAGGGCAAAGTGGTGAACCTCAGCATCCACATGGTACTGATTTTGCAAGTGTGCAGAGTGCACAAGATGTGGAAGCATGGCATCCTTCAAAGAGATTTCTTTTTTTTTTTTTTTTTGAGACAGACTCTCACTGTATTGCCCAAGCTGGAGTGCAGTGGTGCGATCTTGGCTCACTGCAACCTCCGCCTCCCCGGCTCAAGCAATTCTTTTGTCTCAGCCTCCCAAATAGCTGGGATTACAGGCACGTGATGCCTTGGAGAGCCTCAGGGCCTAGACAGAGACCTACTACAGAGGCAGAGCCACTGCAGACAGTCCCCCCTAGGGCATTGTCCAGTGGAGTCATACAGGCTGTGCCACTCCCCAAACCCTAGACCTGTAGAGCCAGCAGCATGCAACATGGGCCTGGGAGAGAGCCAGTGGCACCTGACTGCAACCTATGAGAGCTGCAGTATGAACTGTGCACACCAAAGCCATGGTGGCAGGGACCCTTCGGGCCTTTGGGGTCCAACCCCCATCCCAGTGTGTCTGGAACATGCGACAAGGAGTCAAAGATGATTATTCTCCAGGCTAAAGGTTTATTGTTGTTTGCCCTGTTCAGTTTTGGACCTACTTGAGACCAGTGACCCATACTTTCTTATTTATCTGTTTTGGAATAGAAATGTCTGTCCTGGCCGGGTGCAGTGGCTCATGCCTATAATCCCAGCACTCTGGGAGGCCAAGGCAGGTGGATCATCTGAGGTGGGGAGTTCAAGACCAGCCTGACCAACATGGAGAAACCCCATCTCTACTAAAAATACAAAAAAATTAGCCAGGAATGGTGGTGCATGCCTGTAATCCCAGCTACTCGGGAGGCTGAGGTAGGAGAATCGCTTGAACCTGGGAGGCGGAGGTTGCGGTGAGCCGAGATCGCACCATTGCACTGCAGCCCAGGGGAAAAAAAAAAAGAAATGTCTGCCTTATTCCATTATTATTCCATTGTAGCTTGGAAGCACGTAACTAGTTTGGTTTCACAGGTACAGGACTAGAGAGCAATTTGCCTCAGGATGAATCACATGATTTAGATAATACCTAGATGAGACTCTGCCCTTTAAGTTGACTTTAAAGTTTATGCTGAAATGAGTTTTAATACTTTGGGGGCTATTGGAGTGAAATGAATGTATTTTGTACATGAGAAAGACATGAATATAGGGGGGGTCCAGGGGCAGAATGTAACATGTCCTCTCCAAAATTCAGGTGTTGCCAATGTGATAGTATTAGAAGGTGGAGCCTGGCCGGGCGCGGTGGCTCATGCCTGTAATCCTAGCACTTTGGGAGGCCGAGGTGGGCGGATCACGAGGTCAGGAAATCGAGACCATCCTGGCTAACAGGGTGAAACCCCGTCTCTACTAAAAAACTACAAAAAAATAGCCGGGCGTGGTGGCAGGTGCCTGTAGTCCCAGCTACTCAGGAGGCTGAGGCAGGAGAATGGCAGGAACCTGGGAGGCGGAGCTTGCAGTGAGCTGAGATTGTGCCCTCCAGCCTGGGCGACAGAGCAACACTCTGTCTCCAGAAAAAAAAAAAAAAAAAGAAGGTGGAGCCTTTAAGAGGTGATGAGGGGCTCCTCCCTTTGTGAATGGGATTACAGCCTTCATAAAAGAGGCTCAATGCAGACTTCCTTGTCCTCCCTTTTGCACGTGAGGACACACGTCCTTTCTGGAGGATGCAGCATCAAGGCACCCTTGGAAGAGGACATTTGAACCTGATGATGCCTTGATCTTGGACTTCATAAACTACAGAACTGTGATACATTTCTGTTCTTTATAAATCAGGTATTTTGTTATAGCAGCACAAACAGACTAAGAAAGTTGCCTATGGGTGCCAGGCGCGGTGGCTCACGCCTGTAATCCCAGCACTTTGGGAGGGTGAGGCAGGTGGATCATGAGGTCAGGAGTTCGAGACCAGTCTGGCCAACACAGTGAAACCCTGTCTATACTAAAAATACACCAAAAATTAGCCAGGCATGGTGGTGTGCGCCTCTAATCCTAGCTACTCGGGAGGCTGAGGCAGGAAAATCGCGTGAACCCAGGAGGCGGAGGTTGCAGTAAGCCGAGATCACACCACAGCACTCCAGCCTGGGCAACAGAATGAGATTGTGTCTCAAAAAAAAAAAAAAGTTGTCTATGGGTGACTCAGCTGCAAAGCTGCAAGGAGATTGAGAGTAAGACGATGGAAAAAACGGTCAAGCCGAGAACCAAATCAGGAACACAATCCCATTTACAATTGCCACTAAAAGAATAACATACCTAAGAATACAGCTAACCAGGGAGGTGAAAGATCTCTACAATGAGAACCACAAAACACTGCTCAAAGAAATCAGATGACACAAATGGAAAAACATGGTAGGAAGAATCAATATCATTAAAATGGCCATACTGCCCAAGGCAATTTATAGATTCAATGCTATTCCTATCAAACTACCAAGGACATTCTTCACAGAACTAGAAAAAGCTATTTTAAAATTCACATGGAACCAAAAAAGGGTCTGAATAGCCAAGGTAATCCTAAGCAAAAAGAACAATGCTGGTTACATCACACTACCTGACTTCAAGCTATACTACAAGGCTACAGTAACCAAAACGCAATGGTTTGGAAACAGACACACAGACCAATGGAATAGAATAGAGGACCTAGAAAGTCACACACCTACAACCAACTGATCTTTGACAAAGTCAACAAAAATAAGCAATGAGGAAAGGACTCCCTATTCAATAAATGGTGCTGGGATGACTGGCATATGCAGAAGAATGAAACTGCACCCGTACTTTTCAACATATACAAAAATTAACTCAAGTTTGATGAAAGCTTAAATGTAAGAACTAAAACTAAAAATCCTAGAAGAAAACCTAGGAAATACCCTTGTAAACATCAGCCTTGACAAATAATTTGTGACTAATTCCTCAAAAGCAACTGAAACAAAACAAAAATTGACAAGTGAGACCTAACTAAAGAGCTTCCGCTCAGCAAAAGAAATTATCAACAGAGTAAACAACAACCTACAGAATGGGAGAAAATATTCACAAACTATGCATTTAACAAAGGTCTAATATCCAGAATCTACAAGGAATTTAAACAATTCAACAAGCAGAAAACAGTCCCACTAAAAGTGGGTAAAGGATATGAACAGACCCTTCTCAAAAGACATACAAGCAGCCAACAAACATACTTTTTTAAATGCCCCACACCACTAATCATCAGAGAAATGCAAATCAAAACCACAATGAGTTAGCCATCTCATATCAGTCAGAACAATTATTGTTAAATAGTCAAAAGTAACAGATGTTGGTGAGGCTGCGGAGAAAAGGGAATGCTTACACACTGTTGGTGGGAGTGTAAATTAGTTTAGCCACTGTGGGATGCAGTTTGGAGATTTCTCAAATAACTAAAAATAGAACAACCATTTGACTCAGCAATCCCATTATTGGGTACATACCCAAAAGAAAATAAATCATTTTACAAAAAAGACACATGCACTCATGTTCATCACAGCACTATTCACAATAGCAAAGACACAGAATCAACCTAGGTGCCCCTCAACAGTGGCTTGGATAAAGAAAATGTGGTATACATATGTCATGGAATACCATACATAAAAAAGAACAAAATCATGTCCTTTGAAGCAACATGGATGCAGCTGGAGGCCATTATTCTAAAAGCATTAATGCAGAAAAAGAAAATCAAATACTGCATGTTCTCACTGCTAAGTGGGAGCTAAACACTGGGTACAAATAGACATAAATATGGGAACAATACACACTGCGACTACTAGAGGCGGGAGGGAGGGAGAGAAACAAGAGTTGAAAAACTATTGGGTACTAGGTTCACTATCTGGAAGACAAGATCAATTGTACTCCAAATCTCAGCATCATGCAATATACTCATGTTAACCAACCTGCAAATGTACCCCCTGAATCGAAAATAAAAGTTGAAAAAAGAAACCAAAAACACAATGAAGGAGAAACTAAAACATACCCAAGTAAACAAAAACTGAGGGACCTCATTCGAAGACATGCCATAATAGAAAAGCTAAGGGAGCCCTGCAAGTTGGAATAAAAAGACAGTAGAAAGTAACTCAAAGCCATATACAAAAATGAAGAACAGGCCGGGCGCGGTGGCTCACACCTGTAATCCCAGCATTTTGGGAGGCCAAGGCAGGCGGATCATGAGGTCAGGAGTTCGAGACAAGCCTGGCCAACATGGTGAAACCCCATCTCTACTAAAAATACAAAAATTAGCTGGGAATGGTGGCACATGCCTATAATCCCAGCTACTTGGGAGGCTGATGTAGGAGAATTGCTTGACCCCAGAGGCGGAGGTTGCAGTGAGCAGAGATTGTGCCACCGCTCTCATGCCTGGGCGACAGAGTGAGACTCTGTCTCAAAAAAAAGAAAGAAAAGAAAACAACGATAAAGGTACCTAAATAGGCAAATACAAAAGTCTATTGCATCTTGGGCTTGCAGGTCCTCTTTATTTCCCCAATATGATTTAAAAGACTAACGTGTAAAACAGTCATTATAAACCAATGTTAAAGAGCACACAATGTATAAAAATGTAATCTGTGACAAAACAACATGAAGAGGAGCAGAACTGTATAGGAACAGAGTTTTGGATATAGTATTAAAGCTAAGGAGTATGCAGCACAGTTTTGATTCAACAGGTCTGGAATTTTGTTTGTTTGAGACAGGGTCTCACTCTTTTGCCCCGGCTGGAGTGCAGTAGTGTCTGGAATGTTTAAACCCTGCCTATTCCAAAGAAAGTTGTAGCCCTTGACTAACACCTAGAAGATAAATTCTGGCCCCGGAATAGCCAGCTTTCATTAATTTTAATGTGATCCTTTCACTAGTGGGAAAACAACAACAACAACACTTTTCTGAGTTGTGTGAGTCCATCTAGCAGTCAGTGAACCTGAAAGTGGTCTTGGAGTTCCATGACCAAAGTCTATAAATTCAAACCAGTTATTTGTAAATGTAAAATATTCACTGTAATCTTCAGAACACATGCTAAGAAAACAATCAGCTTATATAAAAGAAATGACAAGGGAATTAAAATGGTACAGTACAATAAGTTAATTAAAACCAAAAGAAAGCCAGGTGTAGTGGCTCATACCACTTATCCCAACACTTTTGGGAAGCTGAGGCAGGCAGATCGCTTGAGCCCAGGAGTTCAAGACCAGCTTGGCCAACATGGTGAAACCTTGTCTCTACCAAAAATACAAAAAATTAGCCAGGCATGGTGGTGCTCACCTGTGGTCCTAGCTGTTGGGGAGGTGGGGGGCGGGGGTGTGTGAGGGCTGGGGCTGGGGTAGGAGGATCACTTGAGCCCAGGCAGTTGAGGCTGCAGTGAGTTGCGATTGCACCACTGAACTCCAGCCTGGGTGATGGAATGATACCTTGTCTCAAAAAAATAATAAAAAAAAGGGCCAGGCCTGGTGGCTTATGCCTGTAATCCCAGCACTTTGGGAGGCCAAGACAGGTACATCACCTGAGGTCGGGAGTTTCAGACCAGCCCGGCCAATATGGTAAAATCCCATCTCTACTAAAAATACAAAAATTAGCCTGGTGTGGTGGCAGGCACCTGTAGTCTCAGCTACTTGGGAGGCTAAGGCAGGAGAAGCGCTGGAAGGAGGCAGAGGTTGCAGTGAGCCGAGATCGCGCCACTGCATTCCAGCCTGGGCAACAGAGCGAGACTGTCTCCAAAAAAAAAAAAAAATTCATATGACATTGCAACAGATTCAGCCAAAACAAAGCTGGAAGACTGATATTTCCCAATTCAGAACTGACTATAAAACCACAATAATCAAGACTGTGGGGCACGGAATATGGATAGATATATTCATCAATGGAATAGAACTGAGTGAAAATTTAAACCAGTGTAGCTAGGGTCAAGTGATTTTTGACAAGGGTGCCAATCTAATGAAATAGAGGAAAGAACAGTCTTTTCAACAAATGGTGCCAGAAAAATTGAATATCCACATGCAAAAGAATGAAATTGCATCACTCCTTAATAACACATAAAAAAAGTAACTGAAAACAGATCAATGACCCAAATATAAGAGCTAAAACTATAAAACTCTTAGAAGGAAATGTAGGGGTAAGTCATCATGAACTTATATTTGGCAATGGATTCTTTTTTTTTTGAGATGGAGTCTCACTCTGTCACCCAGAGTGGGGTGCAGTGGCGCCATCTCGGCTCACTGCAACCTCCACCTCCCAGGTTCAAGTGATTCTCCTGCCTCAGCCTCCTCCTGAGTAGCTGGGATTACAGGTGCCTGCCACCATGCCTGGCTAATTTTTGTATTTTTAGTAGGAGACGGGGTTTCACCATGCTGGCCAGGCTGGTTTCAAACTCCTGACCTCAAGTGATCCACCCATATCTGCCTCCCAAAGTGCTGGGATTACAGTCTGAGCCACTGCATCTGGCCTATATTTGGCAATGGATTCTTAAATGATGACACCAAAAGGATAAGCAGCAAAAGAAAATTTTGATGAATTAGGATGTATCAAAACTAAAAGCTTTTGTGCATCAAAAAATCATTATAGAAGAAACTGATAAGACAGCCTGCACGATGTGAAAAAATATCTGCAAATCATATATCTCATGAGCATTTAACATCCAGAATATATAAAAACTCCTACAACTCAGCCCAACAAAAAGACAAACAGCCCAAGTTAAAAGCTGGCAAAAGACTTCAGTAGACATTTCTTCATAAAAGATGAACAAATGGTCAACAAGTACATGGAAAGATGCTGAAAATCATTAGACAATAGGAAAATAATAACAGAACCATGAGAATAACATCAGCAAGATGGCAGCTGAGGAAGCTTCAATTCCCTATTCTCTATTGAAACACTTAAAAAACAACTAGAGACTAGCTAAAATATCTTTGTAAGGGTCTGGAAATCACTCAAAGACTGTAACTATCAAACAAATGCCCAGTCAGGAGAAAGTCACATTCAAAATGGTAGTGAATTTGTTGATTATGTTACTTGTGCTCTTACTCCATCTCTAGTGCAGCATGGAAGAAGCAGCCCAGTTCCCATTTCCCTCCTTCAGGCCAGAAGGAACAAAGCAGAGCTTATTTGGAACATGCTAATCTGTCTGTGGGCTCCTTGAGGTACTGAGGTACTGGTTTCTGTTTTATCTGATTTTCTTTCTTTTTTTTTTTTTTTTACACAGAGTCTCACTTTGTCATCTAGGCTGGAGTGCAGTGGCATGATCTCGGCTCACTGCAACCTCTGCCTCCCAGGTTCAAGCAATTCTCCTGCCTCAGCCTCCTGTGCAGCTGGGATTACAGGTGCACACCACCACGCCTGGCAAATTTTTGTACTTTTAATAGAGACAGGGTTTCACTATGTTGGCCAGGCTGGTCTCGAAGTCCTAACCTCAAGTGATCTGCCTGCCTTGGCCTCCCAAAGTGCTGGGATTACAGGTGTGAGCCACTCTGACTTTTGAGTTTCAACATGTAAAAGGCTGCACAGCTCAGATCTCAGGCAGGTAAAGGCCACAAAGGACAGTGGTGGGCACTGTGGTGCATCAAAGCTAAAACACTATTAAAACTAGAAATAAGTGCAGCAGCACTGCAGGATATAAGATCAGTATGCAAAACTCAATGATATTTTAATTGCCTGGACACCTGTGGATACTTGGAGCAAACGATTACAGGTGGAAAAATATAACATCTAGGGCCTAAGAAGCAAGGGTGAGACCCTATGAAATTAAGGCATTTGAAAGCAGCTATGCATATTAGGGAAACTGGTAAAAGCATATACACAGGTATAGGCACAGGCATGCTACAGACCCAGGAAAAACGTAAGACCTTAGACTTTCACCCTGAGATGATCCCAAGGCCCTAATTAGTGAAGATCTCCAACGGTCTGCAAAAATTAGGAGAAGTAGCTGTTTCTTCAAATGCCCAGTTTTCAACAAAAGACTGCAAGGCATACAAAGACACAGGAAAACAGGGTCCAATCAAAGGAGCAAAATAAATTACACTTGAAGAAACAAAAGCATTGGAGTAACTAGAAAAAGGCTTTGTAAAAACTGTCTTAAATATGCTCATAGAGCTAAAGGAAAACAGAGAAAGAACTAAAAAGGAAATCACGAAAATGACATATAAATAAGTGAGATATCAACAAAGAGAAATAATTACTTTTTAAAAAACTGGCTGGGTGTGGTGGCTCATGCCTGTAATCCCAGCACTTAGAGAGGCTGAGGCGGGCAAACAACACGAGGCCAGGATTTCCAGACTAGTCTAGCCAACATGGTAAAACCCTGTCTCTACTAAAAAAAAAAAAAATTTAGCTGAGTGCAGTGGTGCACACCTGTAGTCCCAGCTACTCAGGAGGCTGAGGCATGAGAATTGCTTGAGCCTGGGAGGCACAGAGGTTGCAGTGAGTCAAGATCACACAACTGCACTCCAGCCTGGGTGACAGGGCAAGACTCTTGTTGCAAAACAAAAAGAAAAAGAAAAAAATGAAGAATTGGCTCAGAGTGCTCAAACCCTGCACATTCCAAAGAAGAAATTGTCCTTGACCAGCTCCTGGGAGATAATCTCTGAGCAGTTAGAGTATCCTGCCTGATTAACAGAGTCTATGTATATCTGAGGTCTTAGCCATGCCAGATGGCTTTTGTTAACAATGTGGTTTATGGTAAATACCTGTATCCATCTGACTTCTGGGTAGGCTTGACTAAGTAGGTAAGGTCAGTGCACAGAACCTTCATGCCCACATGACTGATCGTCAATAAAAACCCCGGACATGGGCCAGGGCAGTAGCTCACACCTGTAATTCCAACACTTTGGGAGGCAGAGGCAGGTGGATCACTTAAGCCCAGGAGTTCAAGATCAGCTTGGGCAACATGGCAAAACCCCATCTATACAAATAATACAAAAATTAGCCGGGTGTTGTGGTGTGTGCCTGTAGTCCTAGCTACTTGGGAGACTGAGGTGGGAGGATCCCTTGAGGCTGGGAAGTAGAGGCTGCATTGAGCTGTGACCCCACCACTGCATTTCAGCCTGGGTGAGAGAGCAAGACCCTATCTCAAAAAAAAAAAAAAAAAAAAAGAAAAGAAAAAAGAAAAAAGAAAACAAAGCAAAACAAAAAACCCTGGAAACCATGGCTTAGGAGAGCTTCCCTGGTTGGCCACGCTTCATGTTTGTATTCGCACATTGTTGCTGGGAGAATTAGGTGCTGCCTGTGCAACTGCACTGGAAGCTTGCACCTGGTTTCTCCCGGTATTTGCCCTATGCAACTTTTCCCTTTGCTGATTTTAATGTGTACCTTTTCATTGTAATGAAGAATAACTATGAGCATAACAGCTTTTCTGAGTTCTGTGAGTCCTTCTCGCAAATCATTGAACCTAAGACAGTCAAATTGCCTTAATAGAACATTTGCAAATCTGGCTTTTAAAAAATTCATTTCAAGTGCCCATCAAAATTAACTTTATATTTTCATTGCTCTTGATTTACAGAAAATGTATGGGGAATACTAAGAATCTTCACAAACCAGCTTTTTTTCTTCCCTTGCAGATAAGGACTTAAAGTGCCAGGCCTTTATTAAATTCTCTAGGTTTATGTCCATATTAATGTATCCAGGCCTCATAAAGACCCTAAAGCACTGATATAATTATTGTTTACATTCTACAACAAGAAACTGTAAAGCGGAAAAATGAGTAACTATTAACCCCTTTGAAATGCAGTGTGAACATATAACTGAATTTTAAATTTTTTTCACTTTTCCTAAGCTAATTAACACAGGATTACCTTTAATTTTAATTAACTTACATTTAAATACAAAAGCAATATAAATGTTTTTCTATTAAACACAACTTTATTGTTTTGGTAGGACTATAATTCACCCTAAACACTGAAAATTTAGCATCCAAATTGAGACATGCAATAACAATAAAACATATACCAGATTTTGAAAACTTGGTATAAAGATATGAGTGTAAAGTATTTCAGTGTATTCATATCATTACATGTTGAAATAATATTTTGGATATATTGGTTTAAATAAAATACATTACCAAAATTAACTTCAGCTGTTTCTTTTTCTTTTTAAAATGTGTTTAAAGCCGGGCGCAGTGGCTCACGCCTGTAATCCCAGCACTTTGGGAGGATGAGGTGGGTGGATCACCTGAGGTCAGGAGTTCGATACCAGCCCAGCCAACATGATGAAACCCCTTCTCTACTAAAAATTCAAAAATTAGCCGGGCATGGTGGCGGGCGCCTGTAATCCCAGCTACTTGGGAGGCTGAGGCAGGAGACTCACTTGAACCTGGGAGGCAGAGGTTGCAGTGAACTGAGATCGCACCATTGCGCTCCAGCCTGGGCAATAACAGTGAAACTCTGTCTCAAAAAAAAAAAAAAAAGTGTCTAATGGAAATTTTTAAATTACCTAAGTGGCTTTATATTATATTTGCATTAGACTGTGCTGCTTTAGACTCAGACACCACTGTATCAGGCTGCCTCTCACAATCTACACCAATGTCACACTGCCAAATCTCAAAGAAGATTTGGTTGTCACCACTTAAATCCCCTCATGAATGTTCTGGAAAAACTCCCTGCCCTTGTTGACATAGCCTCTCTGCATAAAACTCCTATCATATTCCCACTCCTAAATGTCTCCAAAGCCAACTTTGTCACTTACTGATTAATACCTACCATCTCCTATCTTGCTTTGTTTGCAAATCAAGTCTGTAAATAAGATCAAAGGTATCTAGTGTGCCATTCTACTTAATCACTCGTCTCCTCCTTAACAAATTACATTCTAAAAAAAAGTTTTAACTTCTCCTCCAGGAGTTGTATTTCTATACCATAAAAATCCTTTGGAAAAAAAGAAGCACATGGGAGAATTGAATGATTTACCTAATGCATATGTGAATATTCAATGAAAGGGAAATGGGCATTTGGAAAGGCAATGGAGGACAAGGGGACCCATCTCTACGGTCCTGTTGTTAATTGGGAAGAGAAAACCAAGGGACCAGGTAAATGAACAAAAAAAAAAACTAACCTTGAGTTGGCCATTAGTACCAATGCTGTCTTCCACTTCAGGGGGCCTTCACTTGCAGAACTACATAACCAAGAGGGAGAAAGGACTCATGACATCCTGGACTGGTTAAATAAGAACACAGTGTTCACCACCAGAAAAGCCCATCACACACAACAAACACACCCAGATCGAAGAGGGAAACTAGAATACTGTCGACTCCTCCCCACATCCGAGAAAAAGGTACGACCAATGCCTAGCAGTTTCTAGGGAACACAGCTCAGGAAATACTGTAGTTCTTTAATGTATAAATGGCCTCCAAACTCATGCAAGGGGAGTTATCCCAGGAATGAATACTACACCTATGCCCTCCCCTTCACGTCTTCCCAGGAAACTTCATTTATCTATCTTATCTATCTATCTATCTATCTATCTATTATCTATCATTTATCTATCTTCTATATATCATCTATGTAATCTATCTATATGCGTGTGTGTGTGTGTATAAGACCTCACGAAGAGATTCCATCACAGACATCACAGAGTCGGAAAAATGACGCTTTACCCAAAACAAACTCCTACAGGCTCACGGAAAAAAACGAACAAACAAACAAACAAAAAAAAACAAAAAAACACTTCTACCCCGTTCACACTTATAGTTGGTCACAACAGTGCTGTCACACGATCACGTCACCGTAGACCAGGGTCACACGATAGACCCCGCCCCTACTCACCGTCCTGAGTCCGATCAAACAGCACCCACGGCACACACTAGGGTCTCCGTCTCTCACACACACACACCACAATGACGTCGTAAACAATAGCACTAACCACCATCGTCCGCAGCTCCCGCGTACAGAGGCCTCAGGCTCCCGGCTCCACGTGGACCGACCTCGCCCGGCAGCGCGGGGCCACCTCACCGCGAGCTCCTCCCGCAGCCCGGCCCGGGTCACCTCGACTCGCCAGGCTTAACTCAATAACCACAACACCGGAAAAGGAAGCAAAGGTCGAAGTTCATCCGCGGCCCTGAGGCCTGTGGGAAACGTAGTCCAACAACGAAAGAGCCCTGAAGCTCAAGCGGAGCCCGCTGGCCGCAGGGGCCGCACCACGCCCCAGACCCTGGAGTTTCCGGGTGCGCAGACCCTTGCCATCAGCAGAGGCTGCCGCTGCGCGTCCCCTAGGCGCGGAAGAGGCGGCTGGTGGTCCCTGACGGCAAGGTGAAGTCGAGGCAGTAATCGGGAACCCAGGTTGGGAGGACAGAATGGGGAACAGGAAGCTGGGGCGAGGGTGGTCTTGGGGGAGGTGGGGGGCCGCGGAATTCTAGGTGGCCCCTGCCTCACCTCTGGAAAGAACCGGAAGCCCGGGCCGGGGAGGGTGAAGGGAGTCGCGGACCCGGCTGCTCAGCCGAGGAGGAAACCCGGACCCCAGGCTGAGGGAGGCCGAAGAAGGAACTGGAGGGCCGGGCTGGGAAGGCCTGAAGCGGGTACAGCCTTTAGGCTGGGGAGGGTCGAGGGGAGAACTCGGAGCCTGAGTCGGGCGAGGTTTTGCTCCACTCTGGCTTCTAAGTGTGGGGGCCTCAGGATGTGACCCGTGGTCGTAAACCTGAGGGTGACTTGGAGTTTTTGTCCGTTTTGCACCATGAGAAAGGCCCCAGATGGAATCTGGCAGGTAGCGGCGGTTCAGTGTGTGTGTGTCTGCCTTAGGGCGTGTTTTACACTGTTGACGAAAAGACTCAGACTCTAAAGTATTTGAAGAGACTTATTCTGAGCTAAATATGAGTGACCAATGGCCGGTGGCCCAGCCCTCAGGAGATCTTGAGAACCTGTGCCCAGGGTGGACGGGATATATGTGGTTTTATACCTTTTAGGGAAACATGAGACACCAATCAAATACATGTAAAATGTACATTGATTCCCTCCGGAAAGGCGGGACAGCTGGAAGGTGGCTGGCCTTCCAGGTCATAGGTAGATTCAAAGATTATTTGATTGGCAATGGGTTGAAAGAGTTATTGACGTAAGACTTAGGAATGTCTCCAGGTAGCACGCTTCACAGAGAATAGATTGTAAATGTTTCTTTTCAGACTTGGGGTCTTTTCTATCAGTAATTCCAAAATGGAGGAGGGTATAATGAAGCATGTCCGACCCGCCCACCCCCGCCTTTCCATCATGGCTTTACTAGTTTTTCAGGTTAGGAATGCCCTGGCCAAGAGGAGGGGTCCATTCAAGATGGTCTGGGTGTGCTTAGGATTTTATTTTTGGTTTACAACACCAGCACCACCGGAGTTTGCTGGTGTCCTTTCCAGTCAGTTTCAAAGCAGAGACAGCCATAGTTCTGATTTGTGTCACTGTAACTGTCAGTTCCGGAATTCCATATTTCTCCTTTAGTTTACCCTAATGTGTGTGAGATTTCATGTGTAGTTCATTTTTCTTTTTCTGAACAGCACTCCATTGTGCAAATATACCACAATTTGTGTAGTCATTTTTCTGTTGTTGAACATTTGGCATATTTACAGGTTTTATACATTACGAATAAAGCTGGCACGTTTCCATTTCTCCTGGGCAAATATTTAGAAGAAAAGTTGCTGGGTAATTGGTAAGTTTACATTTAACTTTCCAAGAAGCTGATAAGCCTTTTAGAATGATTAGTTGTGATTTGTGTGTGTGAGATTGTGTAACTGGAGTAAGTAGTTTCTGAGTTTGCTTTGCTATGTTTGTATGGAATTATAAGATGGGCTCAACAGGGTTGTGAATGTCATGTAGGATCCATAGGATTGTGGCTTTGTGGAGTAGGTAAGATCACAGGAAACTGAATGTGTCTGTGCTAATTGTTATTTATCATGGTTTTGTGTGTACATTCCATGATAACTGAAAATGGATCACTATGTAAGTGATGTTAATGACTGAAGAACTCTGTGTGTCTGGTGTATTTCATTTTGCTTGCAGAATTATGACAGTTTCTAATAACTAAAATATCACAAGCATTGGAAACTAGGAGGTAAAATTATAATTTCTAGATGACAGGGTTGCATTACCTGGAAACATCATACAAACTAAATCCAATATGTTGAAATGAGGACTCCATATGTAGCACAGAAGTAAAATACTTTCATCCCTACCACTTTGAATAGTTATATAGATTTGAGGTCCCCTCCCACCCATCCCCCCGCCTCCTGCTTGCCCCTGGATGAAGTTGAGGGTGATTTAATGCCCTCCTAAATCACTTTAAGCCAAGTAAAAGTACTTGAAATACTAAAAATCACAAAGTCAGCTTTGTAGTAATTAAAATAGTCATTTTCTAATTAAAATATTTACTGTAAAAATCAAATTTCAAACTTCATTTAAAAGAAAAATTTCTTTCAACTGTCTAGAGCCTACAGTGTAATTACTTTCTTCTCTACTTCCCCAACCGGTATTACTAAATAGGTACTATCTCGCATAATGATTAGGATTTAATAGTAAATGCTTATTAGTTAACCAGGCAGGTTTAACCACGTTATTATAGAAACTCTAAGAGGTTTCACATGTGTTTTTTTTTTGTTTTGTTTTGTTTGTTTGTTTTGAGATGGAGTCTCGCTCTGTCACCCAGGTGGGAGTGCAATGGCGTCGTCTTGGCTCCCTGCGACCTCTGCCTCCCGGGTTCAAGCAGTTATCCTGCCTCAACCTCCCAAGTAGCTGGGATTACAGGCACCCGCCACCACACCCGGCTAATTTTTGTATTTTTAGTAGAGATGGGGTTTCACCATGTTGGCCAGGCTGGTCTCCAACTGCTGACCTCTTGATCCACCCACCTCCGCCTCCCAAAGTGCTGGGATTACAGGCGTGAGCCACTGCACCCGGCCTCACGTGACTTCTTTTGCCTCCCTTCTCTCTGTTGTTCACCTTTTGAAAAAAAGAATCCAAAAGAGCAAGGGTCCTTTCCTGCAAATTATAAAAGCTATGGCTGAGAATGAATGTTTCTTCTCTCCTTTCTGAAATATCTTTCCCCCAGGATAACTGAGCATTTGCCTACCATGAAACTTCCATGAGACAGGATTCTCCATTTTCTTTTATTCTAGTCAGATAACGATGTTGCCTTCTCCAAGTTTCCCTTCTAATTGTAACTACTGTTCACTTAATAATTGGATATTTTGGCCGGGCGCGGTGGCTCACGCCTGTAATCCCAACACTTTGGGAGGCTGAGGCAGGTGGATCACGAGGTCAGGAGTTCAAGACCAGCCTGGCCAACATAGTGAAACCCTGTCTCTACTAAAAATACAAAAATTATCCAGGCGTAGTGGCCCGCACCTGTAGTCCCAGCTACTCGGGAGGCTGAGGCAGGAGAATTGCTTGAACCCAGGAAGCGGCGTTTGCAGTGAGCCAAGATCGTGCCATTGTACTCCATCCTGGGCTACAAAGCAAGACTCCGTCTCAAAATAATAATAATAATAATAATAATAATTGGCTATATCACTCAGCACTCCTTTTCACTCCTATAAACAGAAACATATTCCCTTGAATTAAATAAGCATATGTTCCTTTCATAAACCTTTTTTATACAGATAGTGATTTGATGTCTATGTAGTGAGTACTCAGGAGAGCCCATACAAGGGAAAGCCTCATCATGTCCACATATCTCAGTTTACTAGTGAGTGATTCTACTTTTTCTTTTTTCTTTTTTTTTTTTTTTTGAGACAGGGTCTTTGTCACCCAGGCTGGGGGGCAGTGGCACAATCTTGGCTCACTGCAGCCTCGACCTCTTAGGCTCAAGTGACTCTCCCATTTCAGTCTCCTGAGTAGCTGGGACCACAGGCACCCACTACTATACCTGGCTAATTTTTGTATTTTGTATTTTAGGTGGAGACAAGGTTTCGCCACATTGACTGGGCTGGTCTGGAACTCCTGAGCTCAAGCAACCGGCCCTCCTTGACCTCCCAAAGTGCTAGGATTACAGGTGTGAACCACCGTGCCCGGCCCTACTTTCTATCGAAGTAGAATAGGTAGATCACATTATTATTAACAGTATATGGGAAGAGGGAGGTCCTCCCATGTTACATTGTTCTCCCTTCACCTTCTGGGTCATGTTGCACCACTGTTTCCCTTCTAGTCATATCCCAGGGGGCCTTGTCCCATTTATACAGCTCTATTCTAGTGGTCACCAGAGGAATGGGAGTAATCTGATTGAAAGATAAGACAGAAGATTGTACTCTCTTTTTTTTTTTTTTGAGACAGAGTCACCCAGGCTGGAATGCAGTGGCATTGTCATGGCTCACCGCAGTCTCAAACTCCTGGGCCCAAGTGATCCTCCCACTCAGCCTCCTGAGTAGCTGGGACTAGAGGCACATGCAACCACATGCAGCTATTTTTTTTTAAATTTTCTGTAGAGACAGGGTCTCACTGTGTTGCTCAGTTTGTCTCAAACTCCTGGGCTCAAGTGATCCTCCTGCCTTGGCCTCACAAAGTACTAGGATTACAGGCATGAGTCACCACACTCAGCTGAACTCTACTCTTTATGTTCAGGAAAGCACTGGAGAAGAGAGAGGACAAGAGAAACAGGTCCGTAGTGACAGGAGCCTAGGAATAGAGCAGGCCTTCAGTCTTGGTGAAAAAATAAATGGTATTCTAAGCCTTCCTTTGGACATTAATTCAGTACTACCCACTCTTTTTCTCTTGTCCATTCCTCCCTTATATTTTTTTTATAAAATGAAGAACTCAATCCCTTATTTTTTTTTTCTATCCTTCAAGTGAAGGGCAAGAACAAAGAGTGTGGGGGAGATTTTTTTTTTTTTTTTTTTTTTGAGACGGAGTCTTAACTCTGTCACCCAGGCTGGAGTGCAGTGGTGCTATCTCGGCTCACTGCAACCTCCGCCTCCCAGGTTCAAGCGATCCTCCTGCCTCAGCCTCCCAAGTAGCTGGGACTACAGGCCTGCGCCACCGCACGCAGCTAATTTTTTGTATTTTTAGTAGAGACGAGGTTTCAACATGTTGGACAGGATGGTCTTGATCTCTTTTTTTTTTTTTTTTTTTTTTTTTTTTTTTTGAGACGGAGTCTCACTCTGTTGCCCAGGCTGGAGTGCAGTGGCGTGATCTCAGCTCACTGCAAGCTCCGCCTCCCGGGTTCACGCTATTCTCCTGCCTCAGCCTCCCGAGTAGCTGGGACTATAGGTGCCCGCCACGATGCCCGGCTAATTTTTTGTATTTTTAGTAGAGATGGGGTTTCACCGTGTTAGCCAGGATGGTCTCGATCTCCTGACCTTGTGATCCCCCCGCCTCAGCCTCCAAAAGTGCTAGGATTATAGGCATGAGCCACTGCACTCCACTGGGGGAGAATTTTTTTTTTTTTGAGATGAAGTGTTGCTCTGTTGCCCACGCTGGAGTACAGTGGTGCGATCTTGGCTTACTGCAACTTCTGTCTCCCGGGTTCAAGCATTTCTGCTGCCTCAGCCTCCCTGGTAGCTGGGATTATGCCACCACACTTGGCTGATTTTTGTGTTTTTAGTACAGATGGTTTCGCCATTTGACCAGGCTGGTCTCGAACTCCTGACTTCAAGTGATCTGCCAGCCTTGGCCTCCCAAAGTGCTGGGATTACAGGCGTGAGCCACCGCACCCGGCCACATGTAGTATTAAATTGTGTATTTGCGCCTGGAGGCAGTGGCTCATGCCTATAATCCCAGCACTTGGGGAGGCCGAGGCGGGTGGATCACCTGCTGAGGTCAGGAGTTCGAGACCAGCCTGGCCAACATGGTGAAAACCTGTCTCTACTAAAAATTAGCCAGGCATGGTCGTGGGTGCCTGTAATCCCAGCTACTCGGGAGGCTGAGGCAGAGAATTGCTTGAACCCGGTAGGTGGAGGTTGTAGTGAGCCAAGATTGCGCCGTTGCACTCCAGCCTGGGAGACAGAGTGAGACTCCGTCTAAAAAAAAAAAAAATACTACACGTGTGAATTAGAAATTCTAAGCTGAGAAAGCTACTTAAAATTGGTCAAGAAAAAGATACACATTAAGTATAAGAAAGTTGGCATGGCTATAGTAGTATCAGATAATAGGCCTCAAAACAGTGTATATGGCAGGAGATAGGTAACAGTCATAAAAGAGCAGGTCATTAGGAATTTGCATATACATTTGTCACTACAGGGATACATTCTGAGAAATGTGTTATTAGGTGATTGCATCATGCAAGCATCATAGAGCACACTAACACAAACAGCAATGGGGTAGCCTACTACATACCTAAGTTATATGGTATAGCCTATTGCTCCTAGGCTACAAACCTGTATAGCATATTATATAGCATATAGCATACCTGTATTGAATGCTGTAGGCATTTATAACACAGTGGTGTTTGTGTATCTAAACATAGCAAAGGTACAGTAAAAATACTGTATAAAATATTAAAAAATGGCACACCGGTATAAGATACTTGCCATGAATGGAGCTTGTGGGACTGAATTTCTGGGTGCATCAGTGAGTGAGTTGTGAGAGAATGCTAAGGACTAGGACATTACTGTATACTGCTGTAGACTTTACAAGCAGTACACTTAGGCTTCACTAAATTTATTTTTTTAAGTTTTCTTCAATAATAAATTAACCTTAGCTTCCTGTAATATTTTTACATTATAAACTTACTATTTTTTATCTTTCTGAATTGTAGTGACTCTTCACTTAAAACGCAAACACATTATATAGCAACACAAAAATATTTCTGTCCTTATTCTATAGGCTTTTTTCTATTTAAAAATTTTTTTGTTTTAAAAATGTTTGTTACTTTTTAAACTTTCTTGTTAAAAACAAACACACTTTAGCCTGGGCCTACACAGGGTCTAGAGTATCAATATGTCTGTCTTTTACCGCCATATCTTGTCCAACTGGAATGTCGTCTTCAGGATTAAAAATATGCATGGAGCTGTCATCGCCTATGAAAACAATGCCTTCTTCTGGATACCTCCTGAAGGACTTGCCTGAGGCTGTTTTACAGTTACTTTTTTTTTTTAATAAGTAGAAGGAGTACAGTCTAAAATAATAATACAAATAGTACAATAAATTACATAAACTAGTAATGTAATCACTTATTATTATCACCTATTACGTACTATACATAATTGCATGTGCTATACTTTTATACAACTGGAAGCACAGTAGGTTTATTTACAGCAGCGTCACCACAAACACCTGAGTGATATGTTGCATGACAACGTCCACAAGTGATAGGAATTTTTCAGCTCCATTGTAATCTTATGGGACCACCATTGTATATGTGTCCATCATTGAGTAAAATGTTATTACATGACACATGACTGTGTTCATCAGGAATATGTATGCTAGTATGAACCTATAATGAGAGTGTTAAATTTTATGAAGCAAAAACTAACAGAACAAAAGAAATAGATCCACAAGCATAATTGGAAATCCACAATTATATCTCAGTAATTGATAGCACTTGTAGGCAAGAAATTCAGTAGTATATGTAATCAGCTCTTCATATATGCAGATTCAACCAATAGCAATGCACAAATATTCAGAAAAAACACAATGACAGTAAAAAAATACAAATTTTAAAATACAGTATAAAATTATTTACATAGCATTTACATTGTATTAAGTATTATAAAAAATCTAGAGATGGTTTAAAATATACAGAAGGTTGTGCATAGGTTATATGCAACTACTACACCATTTTATATAACAAACTTGGGCATCTGTAGGTTTTGGTATCCACAAGGTGTCCTGGAACCAGTCCCCTGTGGATAGCAAGGGACAACTGTATAGAAGATATGAACCACACCAGTCAACATGACCTAATTGTTGTTTACAGAACACCATACCCACAATTGAAAAATTACATTCTTTTCATGTACCTGAACAGTCCCCATGATAGACTATTGGCTGGACCATAAGTCACAATAAACTTCAAAAGATTGCCACATTACAGGGAATGTGCATTAGAAACCAATAATAAGAAACCTATACAGTCCTTCAATACATGGAAATTAAATAACACACTTCTAGATCTACAGATCATTGAATAAATAAGGGGAAAATGTTTTGAAATATGAAAAAGTGACAACAGCATATCAAAATTGGAAGGATACAGCTAAAGCAGAGTTGAGAGGAATGTTAAGTACTTAAATAAAAAAAGGAGAAATTCATAGCAGCATTATTCACAATAACCAAGAAATACGTACAACCCAGATGTTCATCAGTGGATGAATGGATAAACAAAATGTGGTAATATGATTTGGATATTTGTTCCCTCAAAATCTCACACGGACATGTGACCCCCAGTGTTGGAGGTGGCGCCTAGTGGGAGGTGTTGGATTATGGGGTGGATCTCATGAATGGCTTGGTGTCCTCCACATGGATATGAGTTCATCCTATAGCTAGTTGTTTAAAAGAGCCTGGCACCTCCTCCCTCTCCCTTTTGTTCCCTCTTGCCATGTGATATGCTAGCTCTCCCTTTGCCTTCTGCCATAATTGTAAGCTTCCTGAGGCCTCACCAGAAGCAGATGCTGGCACTATGCTTCTTGTACAGCCTATAGAACCATAAGCTAAATAAACCATTTTTCTTTATAAATTACCCAGCCTCAGGTATTCCTTTATAGCAACACAAAACAGACTAATACATGTGGCATATACATACAATGTAATATTATTCAGCCTTGGAAGGAAATTTTGACATATGCTACAATGTGGCTGAACCTTGAGGATATTCTAATAAGCCAATCACAAAAAGATAACTACTTATGATTCCACTCATATGAAGTATCTAGAGTAGTCCACCTCATAAAATCAGAAAGTATTACTGGTCTCCCACTTTTAGGCTATTAACGCTTGTAGTGAGAGTTTGTAGGTTTCTTGTCGTGGTTGCCAGGGGCTGGGGGCAGGGGGAAAAGGGTAGTTATTATTTCATGGATATAGTTTCACATTTACAGGATGAAAAAGTTGTGGATGTTGGTTGTACAAAAATGGGAATATACTTAATGCTGCTGAGCTGTATACTCAAATAGTTAAGATGGTAAATTTTATGTTACATGTATACTTTGCCACCATTTTTAAAAATGAGGAAAGGCTTAAACAAGAATAATAAACATGCTATATGCTAAACCAAAAGTCAAAAAAAAGAAGTAAAGATGGGCATAAATCGGCTGGGCGCGGTGGCTCACGCCTGTAATCCCAGCACTGTGGGAGGCTGAGACGGGCAGATCACGAGGTCAGGAGATCGAGACCATCCTGACTAACATGGTGAAACCCCATCTCTACTAAAAATGCAAAAAATTAGCCAGGAGTTGTGGCAGGCGCCGCCTGTAGTCCCAGCTACTCGGGAGGCTGAGGCAGGAGAATGGCCTAAATCCGGGAGGAGGAGCTTGCAGTGAGCCGAGATCGCGCCACTGCACTCCAGGCTGGGTGACAGAGCGAGACTCCATCTTAAAAAAAAAAAAAAAAAAAAGATGAGCATAAATCAATTAAGTAGAAATAGAAAGCAGACCATTAAGAAAATGAACAAAACAACAAGTTTATGTGAAGGTATTTTAAAAATGGATAAATCCCTAGTAAGCATAATTAATAAAATAGAAAACACAAATTGCCCATGTCAGGAATAAAAATGAAGATGCCACTACGGATCCTATAGACAGTAAAATGATAAGGCAATATTATGAACAATTTTATGCCAATAAATTTGACATTTTAGATGAAATTCATCCATTCCTTTAAAAGCACAGCTTCTCAAAACTCTTGACTCAAAATGAAATAGAAAAACAGAAAGTCTGTATCTAATTGTTTGTTTGTTTGTTTGTTTGGAGACAGGGTCTTGCTTTGTCAGACTGGAGGCTAGTGGCATGATCATGACTCACTACAGCCTCAACCTACCAGTATCAAGTGATTCTTCTGTCTCAGCCTCCCAAGTAGCTGGGAGTACAGGTGGGCACCACTATGGCCAGCTAATTAAAAAAAAAATTTAGAGACAGGGTCTCACTTTGTTGTGCAGGCTGGTCTTGAACTCCTGGGCTCAAGAAATCCTCCCACCTTGGCCTCCCAAAGTGCTGAGATTTCAGGCATGTGCCATGACACCTGGCCTAAAATTTTAAGTTTTAATAAATAAAAATCCATACATACAGAACCAGGTTCAGCTCCACTGAAACCCCTGCAACTCAGCCAAAAGTAAATGTAACATGGTTTTGAATGCTGTCTTAATCCAGGGCACATGAAAAACCCTTAAAAACAAAAACAAAAACAAAGCATACCTCTGCCCCACCGAGATGAGCTCAAAAACAAACATTACAAACAACGAGGAAATAACCATCACAGGAGGGTCAGCAGAGTAAATAAATAATAAAGTTGGCACCTACAAGAACTGCATATAATATGACAATATGAAAGAATATGAAATGTTTTAAATGGAAAAAAACTCATAATGAAAGCATAATACTTAAAAAGAATCAGTAGATTTAAAAAATAACCAGAGAAAATTTCTAGAAATAAAAAAGATCTTAAGTATAGAGAACATAACAAGCACAGCTCAAAATTAATGAACTTAAAGATATATCTGAAGAGATTACCTATAATGCAGCACAGAGATAAAAAGTGAAATACAGATGAGAAACTGAGACATGGAAGAAAATAAAAGGGCCCAAGACACATCTAATAAATGTCATAAAAGGAGAAAAAGGAGGAGAAGCATCAGAAGAAAAAGTGGTTTACAACTTTTCAAAATTAAACTCAATTTTAAGATGAGGAATCAAAATGAGTGTCAAGTAGGATAATGAAAGTGGATCTAACACCTAGACACATCACAGTGATAATGCAAAACAGAAATCTTGAAAAGAAGGAAGGGAGGGAAGGAAAGAAAAGAAAAACAGAAAAGACATGCTACCTAAAAGGAAAGATGATTGGGCACAAGATGTCAGAAGACAGGAGAATAATACCTTCAAACTGATAGAGGAAAAGTAGCAATTAAGAGTGGGGCAAAATAAAGACATTTTCAGACAAAGATAAGGTTTTTTTCATAGACTCACTGGAAGAATTTCTAAAGGATGTGAATCAGCAAAAAGAAAAACCCAGAAAGACAGAATGAGATAAAATTTTAAATGATGAGCAAGGAAATTGGTAAATATGTTGGGGATTCTGTTTACTAAGTAATGATGATTACTTTTTACGGAATTTCAAAACAAATTAGATCAAAAGCACCAGACAAAAATAGAAAGAGGCCGGATGCGGTAGTTCACACCTGTAATCCCAGCACTTTGGGAGGCCAAGATGGGCAGATCACTTGAGGTCAGGAGTTGGAGACCAGCCTGGCCAACATGCTGAAACCCCATTTTCACTAAAAATACAAAAATCAGCTGGGTGTGGTGGCGCTCACCTGTGATCCCAACTACTCAGGAGGCTAAGGCAAGATAATCGCTTGAACCCAGGAGGTGGTGGTTGCAGTGAACCGAGATTGCCCCACTGCACTCCACCCTGGGTAACAGAGGGAGACTCTGTCTCAAAAAAAAAAAAAAAGAAAGAATGTACCTACAGCATTCTAAGGTCTTTTTTATTGCTCAAGAAGGAGATACCAATTAGTCATTAAGTCAAAGATGCAAGGTTAAGAGTAACTTCCGATAGTAAAGCAATACAATATCTTATTTTTAATCCAGTGCAGGGGAAAGTAGAATAAGGAGCACTTAATTGATCTCATAGAAGTCAATAAAACATAAAAGAAGCAGCAAGTATAAGCCTGATTAAACAGAAAGTGGGGAAAGAGATGGGTCATTGAGCTAAGGGGAGGCCTGGTGACAGCTCTTGGAAGATGAAGTCTGACCAGAATAGCACATAAGTCAATCAGGTTGCTGTGGCCAAAGTGCATCGTCCTTGCCTCTCTGAGTTTGTAGTGGGGAGAAACAACAAACCCAACACTAAACATGGAGGAAAGAATTAAAGACTCAGGCCTATCAGTTTCCACTCCCTGCCCTCCCGTTACTACCAGTTTAAAGGCTTACAGGGGCTCATGGATGAGTGGGAAGTTTTTGTGACGTTTGATAGAGAAATGAGCTGCCTCTTGACCAGCAGAGAGCCCCAGGTTCATCCTCATGTGGAGTAACAGGGCTGCAGAGCAGTCAGTGTTCCAGAGCCCTGTGCTCACAGATCTAGCTACAATCCCCACCTGCACTGTTTTTAGTTGTGTATATCCCTTAATGTTACTGAACCTCATTCTCTTCTGATGTAAAATGAAGACAGGCATTTCTGCTCAACCCATTTCATCTGTAAATGGAGGGAATAAGTCTTTATGAAATGAGACAAAGTATATTCAGTGTCTGCAGTGCAGTTAATAAATTAGTGTCTTTCTACCTGTTTCTCACAAAACTGAAATAAAAGCTGGAAAATTGCTTTGTAAACCATAAGGCACTCTGCATACAAAAGAGATTACTATGAATTTTTCCTAAGTGATTAACTCATGACTCCTTTCCATACTCCTCAGCAGTGGCAACATTGGGAGGCTGGATTTTGGTGGGATGGAAGATAATGAGGGGACTCTGGTTTCTGGCCAGCTCCAGGACTGGATGTGATGGTTAACGATACTTAACATCACCACACAGCTCATTCCCTAGCTGGCTCAGTAACTATGGATCTCTAAGCAATGTCTTAACATTTACGCTTACATCTGCTAAGCTAAGTATGTACTGTTCCTTGATTTACATGCCACATTGATTTTTTAAGGGGTTTCAACTGTGGATCATGAGGCAGAAGAGGTGACAATGAAAGGTCAGGCAAAGACAGGAGTGTCCAGTGTGGAACACGAAATCCCATCCTGACTATAAAACATTATATGCTGTTTATTACATTTTAACTTCAGAAATTATCGACTCCATTTTCCATTTCCTTGCAATATGTATTGAGCTTTTCAGTCCTGTTTTGTCATCATGCAAACAAGTAAAATTCTTCAGGATGCAGACCCACCTAATAGTACTAAAAAGGAATCTTTAAAAAATATGGAGATGTCTTCTCCCTATGGAGCTACAGGGGAAAAGACACCACTCTGTGTCATAAAATCTATTTAAATGGTTGCCGGGCGCGGTGGCTCACCCTTGTAATCCCAGCACTTTGGGAGGCCGAGGCAGGTGGATCATGAGGTCAGGAGTTCAAGACCAGCCTGACCAATATGATGAAACCCCGTCTCTACTAAAAACACAAAAATTAGCCGGGCGTGGTGGTGTGCATCTCTAATCCCAGCTACTCGGGAGGCTGAGGCGGGAGAATTGCTTGGAGCCAGGAGATGGAGGCTGCAGTAAGCTGAGATCATGCCATTGCACTCCAGCCTGGGCAACAGAGCGAAAGCGAGACTCCGTCTCAAAAAAAGAAAAAAAAAAAGCTATTTAAAAGAACCTGATATGATAAAGTATTGAATTGAGAACACTCAGTGAATATCAGCATTACTCTCCTGTTCAGTAGAGAGATAACTCTGATCATCCTCAGCTATTTTCCTGTCTATAATTTGCTTATTTGTATTATTTGTGCAAAGAAGTCTTTAACACCTCATATTTCAATAGTAATCCTAAATCCTGTTGTTTATGTCATAATTCGCTGCCCTGATAATGCTTAAACTCATCTCTGTTTTTCTAAAAGACATAAATATGTATAAGGTTTCTATATTAAGAAAAAAGACGAGTATGCTGTTTCTGTTTACTTCTATCAGCATAAAGGTATAATAAAATCCCATGAGTGGCTGGGCGTGGTGGCTCACGCCGGTAATCCCAACACTTTGGGAGGCTGAGGCAGGTGGATCACTTAAGGTCAGGAGTTGGAGACCAGCCTGGCCAACATGGTGAAACCCCATCTCTACTAAAAATACAAAAATTAGCCAGGCGTGGTGGCGAGCACCTGTAATCCCAGCTACTCAGTAGGCTGAGGCAGGAGAATCGCTTGAACCCATGAGGCGGAGGTTGTAGTGAGCCAAGATCATGCCACTGTACTCGAGCCTGGGTGTCAGAGCAAGACTCCGTCTCAGGAAAAAAAAAAAAAAAATCCCATTAGGGAAATGCACAACAAAACAATAATGAGATACTATGAATACACCTACTACGATGGCTATAATTTATTTTAAAGTGTTGGGAAGGATGTTGAGAAATAAAAACTCTTTTACCCTGCTAGTGGGAATGTAAAATGGTCCAGTTGCTGTGAAAATCAATCTGGCAGTTCCTGAAATGGTTAAACATAATGTTAGCGTATAATCTCCAGTTCTGCTCCTCAGATCTACCTGACAGAAATGAAAACATTTCCACACTAAAACAGGCACATAAATCTTCACAGAAGCATTATTCACAGTAGCCAAAAAATGGAAACAACCTAAACATCCGTCAGCTGATGAATGGGTAAGCAAGATGTCATATCCTTACCACACTTTAGAATATTATTCAGTCATAAAAAGAAAGTAATAATGATACACGTTACAGGGACGAACCTTCAAAACATTATGGTAAGTTAAGCTAGTCATGAAGGATTTACATACTGCATGACTCCATTTATATGAAATGTCCAGAACAGGAAAATCTCTCAAGAAAAAGCACATTAACGGTTGCCTAGGGCTGGAGGGCATGGGGGTTTGAAAGTGACAGCTAAGGGGAGCTGGATTTCTTTCGGAGATACATACGATCTAAAATTGTGGTGATGCTTGAGCCCAGGAGTTTGAGACCAGACTCGCCAACATGGTGAAACCCTTTCTTTACTAAAAATACAAAAATTAGCTGTGTGTGGTGGCATGTGCCTGTAATCCCAGCTATTTGGGAGGCTGAGGCAGGAGACTCGCTTGAACCCGGGAGGAGGAAGTTGCAGTGAGCCGAGATCATGCCACTGCAGTCCAGCCTGGGTGAAAGAGCAAGACTCTCTCAAAATAAAATAAAATTGTGGTGAAGAATGTATAACTCTGTGAATATACAAAAATCCATTGAATTGTACACTTTAAATGGGTGAATTGTATATGAATTATGGCTCAATAAAGTGGTTTTAATGTGTCTCATGCCTTAAGGGATTACTAGTTTAGTATATGGTCTCCAGTAGTGGTTTAATGAAATTCCGTGGGAGATCTCTTGAGCTTTATTCAGAGCGTTGTTTTACCCTCCTAGTGTCCACTCCCTGCTGTCTTTGCATAGGAGAACCACAGTCCTGTATTCAGAGGTAAAAGTGGATAAGTATCTCATGATTTGAGGATAGATAGGTGTGATGGAAAGAGAGTTGTCATTCACTTGGTCTGCCCTGTTCCCTAAGTGTATGTTTGCACCCCACACCTCTGTCATCCTTGTTCTGAAATGAGTGCTATTCTACCTCAGGAACATACTGATGACCCCCAGCACTGTGAAAATCAGAACAGTGAATGGCAAGATTCAAAGGGGCCATGACAAATATTAGGGAAATGGAAAAGTAGAATGAGATCCATCCATTGTGGATCAAACCTAACAGACAATGGCAGCAAGAAGTGGGGAGAGAAGAGAAACTTTCTCTGAAGTCTTGCCTATTCTGTGCCTCCAACAATATGCCCCTTCCCCATAACTTGCCCAACGAATCTCTTCAACTGTATCCTTTGTAATATCCTTTATAATAAACCAGCAAACATAAGTGTTTCCCTGAGTTCTGTGAGCACTTCAGCAAATTAATTGAACCCAAAGAGGGGGTTGTGAGAACCCCATCTTTTTTTTTTTTTTTTTTAAGACAGGATCACGCTCTGTCACCCAGGCTGGAGTGCAATGGCACAGATCACTGCTCACTGTAACCTTGAATTCATGGGCTCAAGTGAGCCTTTCACCTCAGCCTCCCAAGTAGCTAGGACTACACAGGCTTGTACCTCCAGGCACAGCTAATTTTACTTTTTATTTTCTTGAGACAGGTCTCACTCTGTTGCCCAGGCTGGTCTTGAACTCTTGGCCTCAAGTGATCCTCCAGCCATGAGCCACTGTAAATGTCTGGGAATGCCAACTTGAAGCCCAGCTGGTCAGAAGTTCTAGAGGCCCAGACTTGCAACTGGTGTCTGAAGGGATGGCAGTCTTGGGGACTGAGCCCTCAACCTGAGGGATCTGATGCTATTTCCAGGCAGATAGTGTCAGAATTAAATTGGAGGATACGCAGTTAGTGTCTGCTGCAGAACTGATTGCTTGCTTGCTGGTAGGGGGAAATCCCCACATATCTGGGGGTCATTGAAGTCTTTGGTGTTGACTCTTACTGTGTTTGTTGTTTTCATGTGAGAGCAGAGGAAAAGCAAGGAAATGTTTTCCTCTGGTCAGTTTTCCAGACCAGTCTTTACAGAAACACACACAGAGCTTCAAACAACACTACACTTACACAGCCCTAAAAGTTAGTAAGTACCTCTTTCAGTTCTGCACTCCAAGCACTTCAATGATTTCAGCCTTACTGTAGTCCTGGTGTTGATTTTTAACATCCATCTCTCAGCAACTGGCAAAAAAAAAAAGACAAAAAATATCAGTGAAGATATATGGATTATCAACCAACTTGATAAAATTAATATTTTGCACAATAATGCACCTAACAACTGTAAAATACATGTCCTTTTCAAGTGCACATGTTATATTCAAGACAGACCACATACTAGGCCATAAAAAAAGCATCCGTGAATTTCAAAGGATCAAAATCGTACACAATGTATTCTTTGGTCAAATGAAATTAGGAATCATTGACAATGAAGTACCTAGAAAACCCACAAATGTTTGGAAATTAAACACACTTCTATATAATCCATAGGTTAAAGAAGAAATCAAAGGGAAAACGAAAATAGTTTGAACTAACTGATAATGAAAATGCACCATATAAAAATTTGTGGGGCCAGGCATGGGGGCTCATATGTATAATCCCAGCACTTTCGGAGGCCAAGGCGGGTGGATCGCTTGAGCTCAGGAGTTTCAGACCAGCCTAGGCAACAGGGTGAAACCTCATATCTACAAAATACAAAAATTAACAGGATGTGGTGGTGTGCAATTGCATGGCTGTGGTCCCAGCTATGTGGGAGGCTGAGGCAGAAGGATCGCTTGAGCCCGGGAAGTCGAGGTTGCAGTGAGCCATGATCACACCACTACACTCCAGCCCAGGTGGCAGAGTGAGACTTTACCTCAAAAATAAATAAGTAAATACATAAATAAATAAAAAGAAAATTTGTGGAATGGAGTTAAAGTAGGGATTCTGTATTTAAATGCTTATATTAGAAGAGAAGGCCTAGAATCAATAACTACAGGTTCTACTTTAAAAGGCTAGAAAAGGAAAAGCAGAGTAAACCCTCGGTACCCAGAAGAAAGGAAATAAGATGAGAGAAAAAAATAAATGAAATATATAATTAGCCAAACTAAAAGTGAATTCTCTGAAAAATCAACAAAATTGATAAAACCTTGGGTGGGCATGACGGCTCATGCCTGTAATCCCAGTACTTTGGGAGGCCGAGGCGGGCAGATCACCTAAAGTCAGGAGTTTGGAACCAGCCTGGCCAACATGGTGAAACCCCATCTCTACTAAAAATACAAAAATTAGCCAGGCATGGTGGCATGCGCCTGTAGTCCCAGCTACTCTGGAGGCTGAGGGAGGAGAATCACCTGAACCTGGGAGGTGGAGGTTGCAGTGAGCTGAGATAGTGCCACTGCACTCTAGACTTGGCAACAGAGCAAGACTCCGTCTCAAAAAAAAAAAAAAAAGAGTTGATAAAAACCTTAGCTAGAATTATCAATTTAAAAACTGCAAAGACAAATTACATGAAAGAACTTATCACTAAGGAGCATTTTAGATATTAGAAGTCTAACAGAATTATTGCGAGGCCAAGGTGGGCAGGTCATGAGGTCAAGAGATCGAGACCATCCTCCCAACATGGTGAAACCCCATCTCTACTAAAAATACAAAAATTAGTTGGGCATGGTGGTGTGCGCCTGTAGTCCCAGCTACTCGGGAGGCTGAGGCAGGAGAATCGCTGGAACCCAGGAGGCAGAGGTTGCAGTGAGCCAAGATTGCACCACTGTACTCCAGCCTGGTGACAGAGTGAGACTCCGTCTCAAAAAAAAAAAAAAAAGAAAATAATTATTATAGACAAGTCAACAAATTTGAGAATTCAGATGAAATGGACAAAATTTCTAAAAAAAAATATATAACTTACTGAAACACACAAGATGAAACAGATACATTAAGGAAATTGAGGCCAGACGCAGTGGCTCACACCTGTAATCCCAGCACTTTGGGAGGCCGAGGCGGGCGGATCACAAGGTCAGGAGATCGAGACCATCCTGGCTAACATGGTGAAACCCCGTCTCTACTAAGAAATACAAAAAAATCAGCCGGGCGTGGTGGTGGGCGCCTGCCTGTAGTCCCAGCTACTCAGGAGGCTGAGGCTGGATAATGGTGTGAACCCGGGAGGCGGAGCTTGCAGTGACCCAAGATTGTGCCACTGCACTCCAGCCTGGGCGACAGAGCGAAACTCCATCTCAAAAAAAAAAAAGGAAATTTAATTTATTACATCAAAAAAAGAAATCTCCAGGCCTAGATGGTTTTGCCAGATAATTCAACCAGAAATTTAAGGAACAAATAATACCAATCTTACACACACTTTTCCAGAAAATAGGGAAGGAGAGGACAGTTCATTTTTTGAGGCCAGTACTACCCTAATACCAAAACCTGATAAAGATATTACAAGGAAAGAAATGACAGACCAAAAACCTCATGCAAAAATTCTTAAGAAAATGGTAGCAAATTTGGCTGGGCATAGCAGCTCGTGCCTATAATCCCAGCACTTTGGGAGGCCATAGCGGGTGGATCACTTGAGGTCGGGAGTTGGGAGACCAGACTGGCCAACATGGTGAAACCCTGTCTCTACTAAAAATACAGAAAAAAAAAAAAATTAGCCAGGCATGGCAGTGCATGCTTGTACTCCCAGTTACTTGGGAGGCTGAGGTGGGAGGATCACTTGAACCCGGGAGGCGGAGGTTGCAGTAAGCCGAGATCATGCCACTGCACTGCAGCCTGGGCAACAGAGCAAGACTTTGTCTCAAAAAAAAAAAAAAAAAAAAAAAGAAAGGCCTGGTACAGTGGCTCACACCTGTAATCCTAGCACTTTGAGAGGCCAAGGCGGGCGGACTGCCTGAGCTCCGGAGTTCAAGACCACCCTGGGCAACATGGTCAAACTCCGTCTCCACTAAAATACAAAAAACTAGCTGGGCATGGTGACACGTGCCTGTAGTCACAGATACTCGGGAAGCTGAAGCAAGAGAATCGCTTGAACCTGGGAGATGGAAGTTGCAGTGAGCCGAGATCACGCCGCTGCAATCCAGCCTGGGCAACAAAGCAAGACTCTGTCTCCAAAAAAAAAAAAAGAAAGAAAGAAAAAAGAAAATGGTAGCAAATTTAATCTAGAAATATGTAAAAAGGTTACAAAATGAACCACTAATACAAGATTTAACAAAAAAGAAAAAGAGAAATAGAAAATGCTGAGCTAGAAGCAGTTGGGTTGGCTGGGAGGCAGGATTCCATGTAGGCCAATGACATTTTGAAATGGCATTGTTTTCTGCTTAACAGTTTTAAAAATCAATTTTATTCATATTAGTTGAATAAAGGAGAAAAAAATATGATCACTTTAGTATATAAAAAATTATCGGACAAAATACAATATCCCTTCATGATGAAAACTCTCAGCAAGCTAGAAGTAGATGAGAACTTGTTCAATTTGATAGTCTATGAAAACTTCCAGCTATAATATAGTGATGAAATATTAAATACAATCCTCCTATGATAAAAAAGGCAACAATGCCTATCTATGACTACTAATGCAAGTCCTAGCGATTACAATAAGGCAACAAAATAAATGAAACCTATAAATACTGGCAAAGAAGAAAACTTCCTCTGTAGATGACTCAAGTATTTACTTAAAAATCCTAAAGAGTAGATTCTTTTTTCTTTTTATAGATAGGGTCTCAGTCTGTCACCCAGGCTGGAGTTCAGTGGCGTGATCACCGCTCACTGCACCCTCGACCTCCCCAGCTCAGGTGATTCTCCCACCTCAGCCTCCAGAGTATCGGGGACTACAGGCATGCGCCACCTCACCTGGCTAATTTTTTATAGAGATGGAGTTTCCACCATGTTGCCCAGGCTACTCTTGAACTCCAGGGCTCAAGCGATCTGCCTGCCTTGGCCTCCCAAAGTGCTGGGATTACAGGCATGAGCCACTGTGCCTGGATAGGTCCCAATCTATAATCGAATGAAATCAGCTTCTTTTAATCATCCGTCCACCATCTTTTGGATGGTCCAATACCTCTTCAAGAGCTTTCATTTTACTGTTCCGAAAAAAAAGGGCTGAACCGATAGTGGATGCTAAATATTAATGGGAAAATAGAGGGATCCATTAGGAGAATCTTGGGCTGTTTGGCATCATCACTCACTGGAACTGGGGACAACTTCTTAGATCTCTGTTACATAGGACATTTCAAGATAAGATAATGTTTACATGATCTAAAATATGACTGTGTTTAAGAAGTAGAGACAAACAGTTCACCAAAACCATGGCTAAAAATGGTTAAGAACTTGTCAGTCTTCCTCAGGGGTCCTCTCTTTGCAGAAGCACTGAGACCACAGAGGCAAGAGCTGGGGAAGGAAAACTGCCCATGAGATGAGATGTGCCTCTCAGCTTCCAAAATCGGGGAGGTAAGAGGGATTCTGGACAAAATGAAACCCTGCACCCACAAGGAGTCCAGCAGACAGATGTAGACACCAAGCAGACATCCTCATAATCTAAAAGTAGGGTCCAGACAGCAAGTTTCTGGCCCATCCCACACTCTGCTAATGCTGACCTGGACCTAAAATTAAGCCACTCAACCCTATCTTGAGATAACAGAGGGAGAAAATGCTCCCTCCATTTTACTTTCTAGGGTTGCAAAGGGATGACACCATCCACACCAGAACTGCATGAATGGCATCAGGAATGATCAGAGACCATAAATTCCAGTGAGACCAATAACACCATTTCTGGTCCTGCATGCTCTTCCAAACTTTGCCACTAACCCCTTCAAGAGGTACAGTCTATTTCCCTTTCTCTTGAAATTGGGTAGGCCTTTGGGACTCCCTTGATAAACAGAATACAACAGAAATGACACTGTGTATCTAACAAGGCTAGGTTAGAAAAGGCAACAGAACTTCATCCTAATCTCTCTCAAGATGCCCCCCATGGAATCCAGCCATCATGCTGTGAGGAATCCAAGCAGCTACATAGAAAGGCCACAACTAGATATTCCAGCTGTAGTCAGCTGAAGCTCCAGCCAACAGCCAACATCAACCACCACACGTGAAAACGAGCAAGCCTTCAGATGATTCCGACTCCCAACCTCCAAGCCACCTCAGCTGAAGCCAAGTAGAGCAGAGACTAGCTGTCCCCCAATGCTCTAATATGCAGATTCATAATTAAAAAGAATGTTATTGTTCTAAGCCATGAAGTTTTGGGGTGGTTTGTCATGCAGCAACTGGAACTGCCTGATCACACCACACACACAAAAGCAGAAAACAATGCCATTTCAAAATGGCATTGGGCCACATGGAATCCTGCCTCCCAGCCAACCCAACTGCTTCTAGCTCAGCACTTCCTATTTCTTTTTTCTTTTTTCTTTTTTTTTTTTGAGATGGAGTCTTGCTCTGTCACCCGGGCTGGAGTGCAGTGGCACAATATCGGCTCACTGCAACCTCCGCCTCCTGGGTTCAAGTGATTCTCCCGCCTCAGCCTCCTGAGTAGCTGGGATTACAGGCATGCACCACCATGCCTGGCTGATTTTTGTATTTTTAATAGAGACGGGGTTTCACCCTGTTGGTCAGGATGGTCTCGAACTCCTGATTTTGTGATCCACGCGCCTTGGCCTGCCAAAGTGCTGGGATTACAGGCGTGAGCCACCATGCCCGGCCTCCTATTTCTCAATCACAATCACTACACAACTTCCTTCAGTAGCATTGGTCACTACCTCTTTTCTCAGTATCCAAGTTGAAGAAGAGTGAATTTATGACCTCTGCAGCTTGACAATATTTACAAAGAACTCTCTTGAGAAGTGCTTTATAAACCTTGTCATTTAATCCTCATGCAGCTCTATAATTTAATATATTATTTCCATTCAACAGAGCAAGACACAAAAGGTAAAGAAAGCAAGTAAGCCAGGTGCAGTGACTCATGCCTGTAACCCCAGCACTTTGGGAGGCCAAGGTGGGAGGACTGAGGCCAAGAGTTCGCGATCAGCCTAGACAACATAGCAAGATCCTGTCCCTACAACAAAACATTAAAAAATTAGCCAGGTGTGGTAGTGTGCATCTGTAGTCCTAGCTTCTTGGAGGTTGAGCTACTTGAACACCTGAGCCCAGGAGTTTGAGACTGCAGTGAGCCTCATGATTGTGCCACTGCACTCCAGCCTGGACGACAGAGCAAGACTCTGTCTCAAAAAACAAAAAACAAAGAGGGCAAGTAATTTGCCTAAATTTCAGTAAGTGTCAGACTTATATTCTCTAGTTGGATGTAGCATATACCTACAATATACATATAATATTGTCTAGTTGGAGATAGCATATATCTACATTATACATATCTATATAGAAGTATAAATAAATATATATGGTACTATATCTAGTTGGATACAGTATTCTATATATGTCAATTAGGTCGTTTGCTCACCTCCATCATTAATAATTTCTAGTCTCCTTATTCTAAGTTACTGAAAGGTGTGCTAAAATCTCCAATGATGACTGAATTTGTCTATTCATCCTTTCTCTTTTATTGACCTTTTTATATCCTGAAGCTCTTTTTTTTTTTTTTTTTTTTTTTTTTGAGACAGAGTCTTACTCTGTCACCCAGGCTGGAGTGGAATGGCATGGTCTTGGCTCACTGCAACCTCTGCCTCCTGGGTTCAAGAACCTCCCAGGTTCTCCCGCCTCAGCCTCCTGAGTAGCTGGGACTACAGGCGTGTGCCACCACACCTGGCTAATTTTTATATTTTTAGTAGAGACAGGGTTTCACTATGTTGGCCAGGGTGGTCTCGAACTCCTGACCTCGTGATCCACCTGCCTCAGCCTCCTAAGGTGCTGGGATTACAGACGTGAGCCACCGCACCCAGCCTTGGGTATAAACTTTTATCATTATGAGCTGCCTCCATGTTATCTCTCATAATATTTTTGGCCTTAAACTCTATTTTTTTGACATAAATAAACATCAGCTTTTGTTGGTGTTTGCATTACCACCTTCATACTTTTGCTTTCAACTTTTTTTTTCTTCTTTTTTTTGAGATGGAGTCTCACTCTGTCACCCAGGCTGGAGTACAGTGACTTGGTCTCAGCTCACCGCAGCCTCTGCCTCCCAGTTCAAGCAATTATCATCCTTCAGCCTCCAGAGTAGCTGGGATTATAGGTGTGTGTCACCACACCCAGGTAATTTTTTTAAATTTTTAGTAAAGATGGGGTTTTCACCATGTTGGCCATGCTGGTCTCGAACTCCTGACCTCAAGTGATCTGCCCGCCTTGGCCTCCCAAAGTGCTGGGATTACAGATGTGAGACCCCACGCCCAGCCTTGCTTTCAACTTTTCTATGTCATTATACTTAAAAGTGTGTCAGCTACTAAAAGCATATGGTTGATTTTGTTCTTTTCGTCCCTCGCTCTGTCACCCAAGCTGGAGTGCAGTGGCTCAATCACAGCTCACTGCAGTCTTGACTTCACAGGCTCAAGTGATCCTTCCGCCTCAGCCTCCTGAGTAGCTGGGATTATAGGCATGCATCACCACACTCAGCTAATTTTAATTTTTTGTAGAGATGGGGTCTCACTATGTTGCCCAGGCTGGTCTCAAACTCCTGGGCTCAGGCAATGCTCCCATCTCACCCCTCAAATGCTGGGATTATAGGCATGAGCAACTGTGCCCAGCCAATAGTTAATCTTTTTATTGTTTAGTCCAGTTTCATTAAATTTCTTTAATGTAATGTAAATTACTAATTTAATTACTATGTTGGAGGTAAGTTCATCAACATTTACTTCTATGTGTCCCCCTCTTTTTTTGTTGTTCTTTTATTCCCCCATTCTTACCTTTTATTTTATTGGTCAAATAATTTTATTATTCTAGTTTGCCATATTAGTTCATACTGTCATGCACTATTATTTTAGTTACCATAAAGATTATAATACTGTGCTTAACTTGTTACAACTAAAATTCTCATGCAGTGCTTCTGACAGCATAAGTACAACCACAGTGGAAATGTTTAGCAGTATCTACGAAAACTGAACATACATACATCATACAATCCAGCAATTCTACCCCTGTTTATCTCCATAATGTCTGTGTGCAGGGGTGGGGGAGAGGATTAATACTTATGTGCATGTCTTTGTCCATATTTTGACAATAATGGTCATACTAGCAGTATTTCTATAGAAAAATTTGAAACAACTCAAATTTCCAACAATAGAACAGATAAATAATCTGTGCCACATCCTACAATGGAATACTACACAGCAAAAGGAAGGAACAGGTACCTGCTATATGGAACAACATGGATGAATTTTACACAGATATTGAGTAGAAGATTATTTTACTTATGAGAAGTTAAAATAGGTAGATATTAAAAGGAGAGGTACATGAAGGAAATATTTTTATTCAGTGGGACCCCAGGAGACTGGATAAATTATCCAGATCCTACATTATTGCCTGAACAGGTAGATTTGAGCAGGCTGCAATCTGTTCACCCACCAAAAGCCCATGCCACATTCCTGTAGATATCTATACTTAAAATGACAAAGACACACGTTCCTAGAGGGTCTTGGAAGCGGGTATAAAGTTGGTCAGGTCACGAGAGCTGCACAGCCAGTACAAGGAATTGCCTGGGTAGGATTCAGCTTTGACTCTAGTAATAGCTGACTGGTTATGCATCCTTATATTAGCATTGCTTCTCTGTATTCTCTATGGTTTTCTTTTCATTTAAGACTACTTCTTGGCTGGGTGCAGTGGCTCATGCCTGTAATCCCAGCGCTTTGGGAGGCTGAGGCTGGAGGATCACTTGAGACCAGGAGTTCAAGACCAGCCTAGGCAACATAGTGAGACTCTGTGTCTACAATAGTAAAAAATATTAGCCGGGCCGAGTGACATGCACACCTGTAGTCCCAGCTACTCAGGAGGCTGAGGTAGGAGGGTAGCTTGAGCCCAGGAGTTTGAGGCTACAGTGTGCCTTGATTGCACCACTGCAACCCAGCCTGGGTGACAGAGCAAGACCCTGTCTCTTAAAAAAAAAAAAATGGTTGGGAGGTTATGTACAGTTGCAAATAAGAACAAAAGATGTGATTAAAACTTTCAATATGTTAATCTTAGCTCTGAAAGTTACTAATTCTGTGCTTTGACAAGTATTTTATTGGCATTACCTAGATTTCCTCATCAATAAAATTAGAAAAACAACAGCACCTTGTACCTCACAGAGTTGTCAGAATTAAGTGGAAAAAAAACTAACAACAAATCACTCCCATGGCACATAATAAGTACCTAAAAATCACCTAATAAATATCATCTATTTGTATTGATGATGAAAAGACTATGTCATGTCATATAATCTATTAGTATTAAAGAAAAGTGTCTTCTGTCCTTAACATGCTTTCTGAGGCCTGCTCTTTCTTATAAAGCTAATATCTTACAAAGCACAGCCTGCAAATGTAATTAGTCTTCACTAACAACATTACCCACAGATTTTTTCAAAAAGAAAAGGACAGCAGCTAGAGAGAAGTCATTCGGCTTATAAACATAGCTCAGAGAATCTGACCCAAATAGTTAACAAATTGAAAATATTAACAAAAGATCAGTCTTGTTCCTTGGCCAATCCAGTCTTTTATGCCTATTTGTAACTATTAACATCAATTCTGTTATCAGAAATCATAAACCCATCCTCAGCAGTGTGATTTATATAACAAAGTCTCCTAAGACTTCTGGTCTTGAAAGATTAATGCTGTCTTGTGAAAGTTACCTAAGTCTGTACAAATACATACATACATATATAATTCTGACTAGCTACCTTACTTAGCTGCCTACCTGTTCTCCTGGTAATTATGCATAAATTAATATGTATATAATTCTAAAAGGTGTAAATACTCAGAATGTTTGTCAAATCAGTTGGGCATCAATGACACTTCCTTTTTATCCCTACACACATGGAAGTCTAACAAAAGCATGACTGATTTGAATTTCTTTTTCAAGCTAAGAGTAGAGAGGTCTTCTCTCATTCAAATGACTAATTCATGTGAATCTTTCTGAAAAAAACAAGAACATATTAACATATCTACAAGGAAAAATTGAGAAGAATGTACACCAAAATATTAATAGTGAACATTTTCTAGATAATAAAACTATGAGTACTTACAACTTTCTATTTTATAAGTCAACTTAGGTTACTGAATTTTTTTCAATTAGACTGCATTAATTCCATCATCAGGAATGATAAAACCTAAAGCATTTTTCTAAAGAGCTGGGAGGGAAAGCTATCTTTTACTTATTAAGAAAACTGTGAGCAAACAGGCTGGCAAAATGACACAGAGCAGCACTAAAACCAAACTGACCAAAATAAACAAGCCTACCAAGTCTTGCACATTCTTTTTTTTTTTTTCTTTTTTTGAGAAGGAGTCTCACTCTGTTGCCCAGGCTGGAATGTAGTGGCACGATCTTGGCTCACTGCAAACTCCGCCTCCCTAGTTCAAGTGATTCTCCTGCCTCAGCCTCCCGAGTAGCTGGGATTACAGGCATGTGCCACCGTGCCCAGCTAATTATTCCATTTTTAGTAGAGACGGGGTTTCACCATGTTGGTCAGGCTAGTCTCGAACTCCTAACCTCAGGTGATCCACCCACCTTGGCCTCACAAAGTGCTGGGATTACAGGCATGAGCCACCGTGCCTGACCAAGTCTTGTACATTCTCTTCCCATATTTCATCAATGTACTGAGACATTTCCAATATTAAGATTTTTGTTCAGATGTGCAAAATTGAGGTAAGTGGCCCTTTCACACTGAATAAATACTGTTTGGGCCACAGTGGAGGCTTAACAAATGTGGTTTTATCATTGCCTTTCTTTACTGAATGACCAGTTAATATAATCCTTGAAAAGCTGCTAATAAACGCCTATCATAGTTCAACTGATTTATAATTTAGCAATTCATTGTGTACTTTTGCTCACAAATATGAATGTTATATGATATTCCATCTTATATTTTTTATATTAGTATCTCCAATTTCTTATTATCTATGTAGTATTACATCACTTGGATGTAAACTGACTGACTTAATATTTACATAATACAGGAAATTGTTTTTGGACAAACTCTTCCTAAAGTTCATTTCCAGGTGTTATAGATCAGTGGTTCAAAACATTTTTGGGTTGTATATACCCTTAATACTCTCATAAAATTAGAGACTTTTGCCGAGGAAAAAATACGCATGAATAAAATAAACATACAATAATTAGGTATATAATTCCAAGGCAAATTATTCCAGGTGAAGTATCCCTGTTCTAGACAGAGCATATTTGTGAGCCACTGCACTTGAACTCCACAAATTTTTGAATTGCATATAATTTTCACATGTCATGAAATATTATTCTCCTTTTGATTTGTTGTCAACTATTGAAAAAGTTAAAATCAATCAGTTCACAAGCCATACAAAAATAGGCTACAAGCAGGGTTTGGCCTACAGAGCCATAGTTTGCAAACCCCTGCTATAGACCCAGAGACCATTATACCATACACAGGCTACACAATTATGTAACTTGGAAAAAAAAAAAGACACCTCATGCTGCCAAACCTCATGCAAGAACTAGCTGGGTACCACATCTCCATCTCTTAACATCTCCATATCAAACACAGGCTGTGCTTTTTCTGTTGGAACCTTCATCCTATTTCCTTAATTACAAGTGTAATTTTTTTTTTTTTTTTTGAGACGGAGTCTCGCTCTGCCTCAGCCTCCCTGAGTAGCTGGGACTATAGACGCCCACCACCACACCTGGCTAATTTTTTTTTATTTTTAGTAGAAATGGAGTTTCACCATGTTAGCCAGGATGGTCTCGATCTCCTGACCTCGTGATCCGCCTGCCTCGGCCTCCCAAAGTGCTGGGATTACAGGTGTGAGTCACTGCGCCCGGCCACAAGTGTAATTCTTAATTACAACTGTATTCCTAGCTACTTGGAAGGCTGAGGTGGGAGGACTGCTTGAGCCCAGGAGTTCCAGGCTGTAGTGAGCTATGATCGCACCACTGCCCATCACAATTAACCTCATATTTTCATTGCACCTTATATGTGAATGTGGAATGACTTAGAATATCCACATAATAAGGTTTTAAATTTAAGCTTAATAATTTATTATTATCAGCCACCGTTTTGTTACTCTGTTAATAGTAACTTTGCTAATCCTCATAAAAATCCTTTGAAATTGGTACTATTATTATATAAATAATAAACTATAGAACAGAAAGATATTGAGTATATTGCCCAAATTCACACACAGTATTAATAATTAGCAAAACCTTAGATTTTAATTCAGATACTATAGAATAGGGGTTGGCAAACTTTTCTGTAAAGGACTAGATAGTAAATATTTTAGGCTTTGTGAGCTAAAAGGCAAAATTAAGGATATTATATAGGAGTTTATATAAAAGAGAGATGAAAAATTTCCCCTTTGTTTTTCCTTTTTTTAGAGATAAGGTCTGGAACTCCTGGCTTCAAGCAGTCCTCCCTCCTCAGTCTCCCAAAGTGCTGGGATTACAGGCGTGAGCCACTGCACCTGAACGCTACAATTTTTTTTTTTTTTTAAGATGGATTCTCACTGTCTCCCAGGCTAGAGTGCAGTGGCGCGATCTCGGCTCACTGCAACCTCCGCCTCCCAGGTTCAAGCAATTCTCCTGCCTCAGGCTCCCGAGTAGCTGGGATTACAGGCATATGCCACCATGCCCAGCTAATTTTTGTATTTTTAGTAGAGATGGTGTTTTGCCATGTTGGTCAGGCTGGTGTCGAACTCCCGACCTTGTGATCCACCCACCTTGACCTCCCAAAGTGCTGGGATTACAGGTGTGAGCCACCGCGCCTGGCCACCTCCACAAATTTTTAATTGCCAAAATCCAAAACTTTATTTATGGACACAAATTTAAATTGCATATAATTTTCACATGTCATGAAATATTACTCTCCTTTTTTTTTTTTTCGTGGTCAACTATTAACAAAAAGTTAAAACCAATCAGTTCACAAGCCATACAAAAATACAGGCTACAGGCTGGATTTGGCCCACAGGGCCATAGTTTGCAAACCCCTGTTCTAGACCCAGAGACCATTATACCATACTCACACAGTCTACACAGTTATGTGACTTGGGGGAAAAAAAGAAAAAAACACCTGGCCGGGCACGGTGGCTCACGCCTGTAATCCCAGCACTTTGTGAGACTGAGGCAGGTGGATCACCTGAGGTGGGGGGAGTTCAGGACCAGCCTGATCAACATGGAGAAACCCCGTCTCTACTAAAAATACAAAACTAGCCAGGCATGGTGGCGCATGCCTGTAATCCCAGCTACTCGGGAGGCTGAGGGAGGAGAATCGCTTGAACCCAGAAGGCGGAGGTTTCAGTGAGCCAAGATCGCACCATTGCACTCCAGCCTGGGCAACAAAAGTGAAACTCCGTCTCAAAAGAAAAAAAAAAAAAAACACGTGATGCGGCCAAACCTCATGCAAGAACTAGCTGGTACCATATAAATCTCCTAAGGTATCCCCTCGGAAAAACTTCCTGCCCTTCTTAACAGCTCTCTCTGCACATACTCTGCAATAATATTCTAACTCCTAAGGTCCTCTAAAACAAAAAAAGTTACTATAACCATTCAAACGATCTCCTATCTTGCTGTTTTTCCACTCATGTCTCTGAAGAAAATCTAAACTATCTAATGTGTAATTCTACCTAAGCAATTGGTCTCCTCCGTAACAAATCACCGTGTGAAGGCAGACTATTTCTATGTCATGAGAATGCTTAAACAAAAAGAGCACACAGGAGAAGTGAACATACTGTCAAGGTGTTATATGAAAATTAACTCTAGGAAGGGCATCTGATGAGGTACTGGAAAGAAGGAGATCTGTCTTCATAATGTCATCAGTAACTGGGAAGAGAAGGACTAGAGACCAGGTAAATAGATAAGTCACTATTTGGTGAGCATTTCAAATGAAGTTATTCCACATCCTGAAAAACAAAAATGCATTTCATAAAACAAAGAAAAAAATCAAAATGACCTCCAGCTTTGCTTTAAAATGTGCAACTACAATGCTTTTCTTCTCTCAGAGCTCTTCTCTTGGAATACAGCAAAATGTGGAAAGAAAGGGAATCACAATATACTCAGCCTTTCTTGGAGCCCAGACAGGCTAAATAAGAACACATTCTTCACCACCGGCAAGCTTCCATAACCCATGCTGAATATGACCAGATGGAAGTATGAGAAAGACTGGAATATTGTTGACTCTTCCCTTCATAAAGAAAAGTCAGGTTCACCAAAGCCTGGGACTGAAATGTTTCTGTATTCACAATAATTTCCTTTAGACAGCTATGAAAATGCTGTGGATCTGCAATATTCAACTTGCCCCCACAGAGCTTCCAAAAGGGATCTTTTGGCTAGGCACGGTGGCTCACGCCTGTAATCCCAGCACTTTGGGAAGCCGAGGCGGGTGGATCACCTGAGGTCAGGAGTTCGAGACCAGTCTGACCAACATGGTGAAACCCCGTCTCTACTAAAAATACAAAAATGAGCCGGGCATGGTGGTGCATGCCTGTAATCCCAGCTACTCGGGAGGCTGAGGCAGGAGAATTGCTTGAACCCGGAAGGCGGAGGTTGCAATGAGCCGAGATTGCGCCACTGCACTCCAGCCTGGGCAACAAGAGCAAAACTCCATCTCACACACACACACAAAATCTTTGGAGAAACGAATCCTACTCCTGGGGCCTCAATATCATATCTTCCCAGAACCTTGCCTTGGGAGCAATTCCAGCTCTAACATCTCCATATCAAACACGAGGCTGTGCATATCAGAACACAGCCTTGTCCATGTGAAACACAAGGCTGTGCTTTTTCAGTTGGAAACTTCATTCTGGATCTCAAATATCCAACTTTCTTTTCGATAGCCATTTGACTGCACACTGTGCAACGTGGTTATAAGGTGAAATGACTGAGGCAGTGAAAGAAATCCCAGTATAACAAACTCCAAGAAACCACGTAACTTAAAATTGGCCCCAGAGGTTGGCGAGGCTGCATGCCACTGTGTATTATGCATTATGAAAGCGACAGGGGCCATGCTTTAGAACAGAAGGTCTCAGAGTCTTCACAGACACAGATCGAGCCATACGGGGACCTTGTCCACGTATTCCTGAGCCCCAGAACTGCAGAAATCAAACTCTACAAAAGCTGCACCAGGCCAGTTTTGATCACAGTCTCCAGTGGGTCACAACAGCGCTGTCACAGGATCACTGATAACAGCATGACACATTCATAGTCACCGCTCAGCGCCGTCACACAAACGGCCCCGCCCCCACTCAGTCCCGCGGGCCCAATCGGGGACAGTCAGGGCTGTCCCGGGCTGTGCACCTGCTGTGCACACACACCCCCTGCTGTGCACACCCCCCGCCCCCCCGGGACCATCACAGGCGCGCCCACTCACACCACCACACACGGACGCAGCCACAGAACGGCACACACAAACACAATCACACAGTCTCCCTCCCCAGCAGGTGACTTGCACACAGGCCTGGGGCTTCTGCCTCCACAAACCCTCTCCGCGTCCCATGAACCCAGGTCCCCTGCCGTGAGCTCTTCTCGCATCCAGACCCGGGTCACCTCAACTCACCACATGGAAAACGAACACCAGGTCAACGGAAAAGGGAGCCGGGGTCCTGGCAGAAGCGTAGTGCCAGCCGCAATAGGGCGGCCGTGGGTGCAAACGGAGGGGAGCGCCGGCAGCTAGCACCGCGCGGCGACTAACGGGCCGCCCCGGAGACTCCTGGGAGCTCAGGCCCACGCGCGAGTGCGCAGGCGCAGACGACTCACCCTGGGCCGGGGGTGAGGCTTGGTGGGTGCCAGGGGTGCTGAGGAGGCCAAGGAGGGCACTGGGAGCTCCGTTCCGGGAGAGCTGTCTAAGGACGCGGAACCGGGTGGGGAGGCCAGGGAGGTAACCAAGAGTCCGAGCCGGGCCTGGAAATTCTGAGGAGGAAACCGGGACCGCGGTATCCAGACGCTCCGATCTGTACGAGCCGGGCCTCGGGCGTGGTCCATGGGCGTGACCTTGAGGGTGACCCGGAGCGAGCTCCGCGAAGGGGGATTTTGCCCGTTCTGATCCCGCGGAAGCGCCATCGCTGGCGGCGGGTCCCCGCGCGGAGCGGGCGCTGTGTGTTCGCGCGCGCGGGCGCGCGCTGAATAGGGGTGGCCTCCTGCGCCCAACCTGCTGCATTTTAGGTGCTTGCCTCTCTTTGGGATGTTGTGGCCGATTGTGTGTGAAAAGTGAACGGAGTAGTGTTGCTGCGCGAGGTTTCCTCTGCGTGTGTCTATTTTTAGATTAGGTGTGAGTCGCATTTGAGACTGCCTTTGAGTGTGGAGAATTGCAAGTGATTTGTAGGTGTGGTTGTGACTGCCTGGAGTCGTGTTAGCTGCTGTCTGAGGTTGTGAATGACAAGTGGGGCCTGTAGGTTGGTGGTTCTCTGAAGGATGTTTGATTGACTGTGACTCTGCATGTGTTTGTAACCTACTGTTACTTCTGGTGGTTTTGTGGCCTTAGTGACCTAAATATTTGAATGATTGAGGAACTCTGTTATGACCATGGCTAGTTGGTTATGTAAGACTTGATTATCTGAATAGTAGCCATTAAGCCTGCCTCCAAAACTGTAACTAAGTAGCAATTTAGCAAATAAAATAGAGATAACAGTATCAGAGGGGAAGAGATGATTTTCATAATTCCCAGATTCATTTCCTGGAAACACCATATTAACTAAAACCAGTATGTTGAAATGAATAGCATTCCATTGGGGACATGCAGGAAATTTTTTTTTTTTTTTTTTTTTTACCATAACTACCACTTTTGTTGTTGTTTTTTGTTTGTTTTAAGACAAGGTCTTGCTCTTTTGCCCAGGCTGGAGTGTAGTGGCATGATCTCTGCTCACTGCCACCTCTACCTCTGAAGTTCAAGTGATTCTCCTGCCCCAGCTTCCTGAGTAGCTGGGACTACAGGCTTGTGCCACCACGCTCGGCTAGTTTTTGTATTTTTAGTAGAGATGGGGTTTCACCATGTTGCCCAGGCTGGTCTTGAACTCCTGACCTCAAGTGATCCCCTCCCCCCGCCCCCTCGGCCTGCCAAAGTACTGGGATTACAGGTGTGAGCCACTGTGCCTGGCATAACTACCACTTTCAACACTTGTATATGAGTGAGGTTTCCTACTCCCTTAGGCTTGCTAAGATAATAAAAAGTATTTGATAGATTTTTAATAAGTCCAGTCTCACTGTAGTAATTAAAATAGTTATTTTGCGGGCCTGGTGCAGTGACTGATGCCTGTAATCCCAGCATTTTGGGAGGCCAAGGTGGGCAGATCACCTGAGATCGAGAATTCGAGACCAGCCTGACCAACATGGAGAAACCCCATCTCTACTAAAAATACAAAATTAGCCGGGCATGGTGGTGCATGCCTGTAATCCCAGCTACTCAGGAGGCTGAGGCAGGAGAATCGCTTGAACCCGGGAGGTGGAGGTTGCGGTCAGTCAAGATTGTACCATTGCACTCCAGCCTGGGCAACAAGAGTGAAACTCTGTCTCAAAAAAAAAAAAAAAAAAGATTATTCTCAACTACAACATAGACCAGATAGGCAAAGATTTAAAAGTTGTCAACTGTCTTCATCAGGGCTTGGGAAGGTATTCTCATCCACTACTATCAGTGTAAATTGGCAAAAAGTCCAAGAAGAACCGTTTGGAAATACACAGTAAACCTGTGGTTAGAGGTAGATGGAAGGCAGAGCTGCAGAGGGAAAAACACAGTGTTCCCTCTCTTCAAGCTAAAACAGGTTCCCCAGAATCCTGTATACTTTACCAAGAGACTGGGTTTCTGGTGTTTGTGAGGGAGCCTGATTTGTCTGTTTTCCCACTAACTACCATCCTGGACATCTGAAGGGTACACAGGGTGGACAAGTGCTGAAATAGTGAACATTCATGCAGATTTAACTGAGTTAATTCTGGGAGTTCTGAGTCAAGTATGGTCTCACATACGTATATCCTCCATCTTTGCTTTCTCAGGACTGTTTCTTTTTCCAAAAGAGGAGCTCAAAAGAGAAAGTTCATCTAGAAATCTCAAAGCCATGTCTCAGGTGAGATGATGTTTCCTCTCTTTCTGAAATAACTTTTTTTCATGGTGTATGAACATGAGCTTCACTGTCCTTTAACCTTCCCTGATATTGGGATTTGCTTCCATGAAATTAGTCTTCAGTCAGGGCCAGATTAGGCTGAGGCAGGCAAGTGGCATGAGGTGAAATATTTAAGGGGTACCCTCAGGGCTGTGCCCTCCTAAATTTTGCATTCTAGGTGCCTCACCTGCCTCACCCTGTATCCAGCCCTGTTCACAATTTCTCCATTCCAACCAAATCAACTTAAGCCTTCCCCAAGTGTACCTTCTGGTTGTACATATTCATTGGGTATATCATTCATCATCTCCTTTCTCAGTCTTCTCACAAACAAACTGCTGGAATAGAAAGGTATTGTCTTGATTTAAATGGGAATATATGGCTTGAATGAATTTAACTTGTCCTGATGCTGATTTGAGACCTAAGCTGTGAGTAGTCATGGAGCAGACGTGGAAAAACCTTGATGATCTCCGCTAGCCTAGGTTTTGCAATGGTACGTTGGGAAATAGAAGTGGTAGATCCCAGCATTAGTTTCTGGAAAGATGTCCTGCTTTGTGAGGTGTTTAGGATAGCAATTTGATTGCAGGCTTGTAAAGGAAACACGTTTTATGTTCCTCCTCTCTGATCTTTTTTCATTCATGTCTGCTAGCCATTCCTACAAATTGTGGGCTGCCAGTGAAAACCTTTCCAGTATTCCAATGCTGTTAGAGATTTGTTATTTTCTTTTTAGTTTCTTCTAATTTTTTATTTGCGGGTGCAGGAGAAGGAAATCCATATGCCAGGCCACTTTTGAAATATTCTATTGTTGATCAAACAGTACTTTGTCCTCTTTTCATATCTTTCAGAAAATTCCTCTTTAGCTCATCCACCAACCTTTAAAATACTGGTTTTCCTCAGATGCTAATTGGTTCTCTTCTTCTTCACAGTCCGTTTTTCTCTACGCACAATCAGATTCACTCTGAAGGCTACACTTAGTGTGATTCTAGTGACTCTCAAATACCCCTCTCCACTCTAGACCTCTGTCCAGAGTGTCAGAACCGAATATTCAACCTCCAGTAGCTATCACCACCTGTATGTTCCACAGACAAAGTACATTTCCAAAGCTTACCTCATTACTTCCTTTGGTCCAGCTTACATTTTCTTCCGTTTCCCATTTTCACTTTCTAGTCCCAGCAGCCATGCATTTGCCTATGCAGATAAAATGCCTGTATCTTTTCCACTCTACAGCCAATTTACGACCATCTCTGTTGTAATGGTGGTCATGTAGGAGCAGTTGTCCTCTGTCAGCCCGCTGACACTTCCTTAATCTAGGAGACATTTCTAACCATGGTTACTTAATTGTCATTTCCACCTAACATGTGATAAGCCTTTTCCAGTCTTCAGGAGTATTACCTCAAAACTTTTATCACATAACGTGTGTCAACTTATGTTTATTGATGTTCTTTACATTCCTTAAAGCAACAGACCCAAAGTAGGGCATGCCTCACAGTAGAATGTATAAGACGGTCTATTGGAAGGAAATAAAATACTAACAATTTACATTCGAGAGCAGTATTCATTAACAATGTAGATTTTCATAAATGCCTATTGATGGTTTATAAATAGCTACAATGTTGGGAATGTGTTCAGTATATCTTTAAGACCACTGTTCTGTAGGAAAAAAAAATCTAGTATCATGTCATAATATCCCCATTGCCTATCTCCATATACCTTTTCCTTCTTAGAGCTCAAAGACTGTTTCCTAACATACTGTGCCTTTTGCTATTTCCTGATTTACTAACTGGTTTTTTTCTCCCCATGAATTTTTAAAAGCTGATGCCCTGTATTCCTACAAAACAAATTCGTTGTGAGTACAAAACTTTTATGTCCTCAATGAAGCCTCGGAGTACAAAATGAAATTTTTCCTTGTTTTGTGACACTTTACCTTGTACGTATTTCTGTCATTGCATCTGTAAAACCTACTAAGTGCATGTATTTACATGTATGCCCCTCTCTTAGCCTATAACTTCTCATGAGCAGGGTCAGGGTTTTATTCATTTTGGTCTACCAGGCAACCAGTCACATTCAGGACAAATAGTGTGATCTCAGTATGTTTAGCATGAGATTATAAGTAAATACAAATGGATGTATTTTCAGAGAGAATTTTATGCAATATAAAACATAAATAAGGAAACTAGTCTGACCAGTAAACATTGTCAGTACTAGGTCTCCAATATCTAGTTCTCACACATTTCCGATCACTTCAGGATGAACTAGAGTATGCCCTTACAGGGATCAGTGTCATTCAAGGATGTGACTGTGGACTTCACCCAGGAGGAGTGGCAGCAACTAGACCCTGCTCAGAAGGCGCTTTACAGGGATGTGATGTTGGAAAACTATTGCCACTTCGTATCTGTGGGTAAGAAACACTCCTGAATCTTTCACTGTCATGCATCTCCTTCTAAGAATTCCTGAAACATATAGGACTTTGAATTTCAGGGATTAGAGGTGATTATTTTTTTGGCAGAAAATATTATATTGCCAGGCACAGTGGCTCACGCCTGTAATCCCAGCACTTTGGGAGGCCGAGGCAGGTGGATCACTTGAGGCCAGGAGTTCAAGACCAGCCTGGCCAACATGGTGAAACCCAGTCTCTACTAAAAAGTACAAAAATTAGCTGGGTGTGGTGGCACATGCCTGTAATCCCAGCTACTCTGGAGGCTGAAGCACGAGAACCACTTGAACCTGGGAGACGAGGTTGCAGTGAGTTGAGATTGCACCACTGCACTCCAGCCTGAGTGAAAGAGTGAGACTGTCTCAAAAAAAAAAAAGAAAAGAAAAGGAAAGAAAGAAAAGAAAATATGATTATATCATCACTTGTGTAGTGTAAGGTATTAACTTTGGTAAGACATTAATGTATACCTCATTTACTACCTTGAAGTTGTATCTTTATCTTACTTCAATAGTTTTAAAGTCGAAACAGCTTAGACCAAAAGTCTCATTTTCCATCATCAGGGTTTCACATGGCTAAGCCTGATATGATCCGCAAGTTGGAACAAGGAGAAGAGCTATGGACACAGAGAATTTTTCCAAGTTACAGCTACCTAGGTGAGTCTATAAATGAAGTCTAGTGAACATTAAATGTCAAGTAGTTGAAGCCTTTGAATGTTTTTAGGGATCTATTTTTGTTATTGTGGTAAAATACACATAACATTAAATATGCTATCTTAAACTTTTTAAGCATATAGTTCAGTAGCATCAAGTACATTCGCACTGTTGTGCAACCATCACCACCATCCATCTCCAGAACTATTCATCTTGCAAAACTGAAGCTCTGTACCCATGAAACAATAACTTCCCCTGGCCAGGTGAGGTGGCTCACGCCTGTAATCCCAGCACTTTGGGATTACAGCCAAGGCCAAGGTGGGTGGATCATGAGGTCAGGAGATGGAGACCATTTCTGGCTAACACAGTGAAACCCTGTCTCTACTAAAAATACAAAAAAATTAGCCAGGCATGGTGGTGGACACCTGGAATCCCAGCTACTCAGGAGGCTGAAGCAGGAGAATTGCTTGAACCTGGGAGGCGGAGGTTGCAGTGAGCCAAGATCACACCACTGCACTCCAGCCTAGGCGACAGAGCGAGACTCCATCTCAAAAAAAAAATAAATAAAAATAACTTCCCTTTATCCCTACTCCCTAGCCATGCCAACCACCATTCTACTTGCTGTCTCTGTAAATTTGACTACTCTAGGTACCTCTTGTAAGTGCAATCACATAGTATTTATCCTTTTTCTGACTGGCTTATTTTACTTAATGTAATGTCCTCCAGGTTCATCTATTTCCTTCATTTTTAATGCTGATTAATATTCTGTTGTATGTATATACTATATTTTGCTTATTCATTCATCCGTCAGTGGTCCGTTGGGTTCCTTCCATCTTTTGGCTATTGTGAATATTGCTGCTATGAACATGGGTGTACAAATATCAGTTTTAGTCCCTGCTTTCAGTTCTTTTGGGTATAATCTCAGAAGTGGAATTGCTGAATAATGTGGTAATTCTGTGTTTATATTTAAGGAGTCACCATACTGTTTTCTATAGCAGCTGCATCATTTTACATTCCCACCAACAGTGTACAAGGGTTCCAATTTCTTCACCAGCACTTGTTATTTTCTGTATTTTCGTAGTATCCATCCTATTAGTGATCTATTTTTAAAGACCTGAGATCTGTAAAGTGCCTATACATGGCTGACTTTCATGCCTCTAAAATGTAAATTTTAGGTATGAATATCACTCCCCATGTAAATCTTTTCGTTGTTTGCCTGGGTTTGTGGAAATATTGCTGCTATTACCTTACCAAGAATCTATTCCATGTTTTATAGGTATAATGTACATAGAGATGTAAAGTGTAAAGTTCTTTGAATTCTGACAGAAGGATAAACCCACGTATCTCACACTCCAATCAAGATAAAAGACAGTTTCATTAACCCATTAAGTTCCACCAGGCCTCTTCCAACTCAGTCCCTCCCATTAAGATAATCACAGTTGTGATGTCTACCAACATAGATTCATTTTGTCTATTGCAAACCTTTTTCATGTCTGCTTTCTTTCACTCAGCTTCATGTCTGAGAGATTTATACATGTTTCTGCATGCATAAGTAGTTTGTTAACTGTGGAACAGTTTTCCATTGTACGAGTATACCAGTTTATGCATCTCTTGTTGAAAGACATTTGGGATGTTTCTAGTTTAGACCTATTATGAACAAAGCTGCTATAATCATTCTTGTAAAAATATTTTTGTGGACATACATGTTTATTTTTCTTCAGTAAACACGTAGCAGCGATATCGCTGATTCATAAGGCAGATGCGTATTTCATTTCTTTAGAAACTACCATTTTGGTTTGGTAGTTTAGTAGCTAAAACTACTATACCATTTTAGACTTTCATCAGCACTGTATGAGAATGTTGATTGCCCCACGTTCTTTTCTACATTTTATGTTCATTTTGTCCATTCTGGTCATTTTGACCATTCTGGTTGTATAACTTCGCAGTTTTAATTTAGATTTATCTTACAACTAATAATGTTGAAAACTTTTTCAAGTGCATTTTATATCAGAGGCATCTGTTCAAGTGTTTTGTTTGTTTCTTTGTTCGTTTGTTTGTTTGATAATTTTTGAGACAGAGTCTCACTCTGTCGCCCAGGCTGGAGTGCAGTAGCACAATCTTGGCTCACTGCAACCTATGCCTCCCGGGTTCAAGCAATTCTCCTGCCTCAGCCTCCCGAGTAGCTGGGATTACAGGCGTGCGCCACCACACCCAGCTAATTTTTTGTATTTTTAGTAGAGACGGGGTTTCATCATTTTGGCCAGGCTGGTCTCAAACTCCTGACCTTGTCATCCGCCCACCTTGGCCTCCCAAAGTGCTGGGATTACAGGCGTGAGCCACTGCACCTGGCCCTGTTCAAATGTTTTATCCATCTTTTATTTAGGTAGTATGTATTTTTCCTTGAGTAGTAGGAATTCTTTACATACTGTGGATAGAAATCTTTTGTTCAATGTATGTATTACAAATATTTTCCCTAGTCTATGACTTGCATATTCATTTTAATGGTGTCTTTTGATGAACAGAAGTTTTTAACTTTGGTGAATTTCACTTAATCATTGTTTCTTTTATCATTAATTATGTGACCTCTCAAACAAATATTTGTCTTTTTCTAGGTATAGTGAGGATAATTCTCTTTTCTAGGTATGGTGAGGATAGTGCTCTGTAATTTCTTTGTATATTTTGCTTTTTTTTTTTTTTTTTTGAGACAGAGTTCCGCTCTTGTTGCCCAGGCTGGAGCGCAATGGTGTGATCTCAACTCACCGCAACCTCCGCTTCCCTGCAACCTCCACCTCCCAGGTTCAAGCGATTCTCCTGCCTCAGCCTCCCGAGTAGCTGGGATTATAGGCGTGCACCACCACGCCCCGCTAATTCTGTATTTTTAGTAGAGATGGGGTTTATCCTTGTTGGTCAGGCTGGTCTTGAACTCCTGACCTCAGGTGATCCACCTGCCTCAGCCTCCCAAAGTGCTGGGATTACAGGCATGAGCCACTGTGCCCGGCTGTATATTTTGCTTTTTAAGATTAGTTCTGTGGTCCACCTCATGTTTTGTTTATGATGTGAAGTAGGGTTCGAGAGTCTATTCTTCTATATGGTTATCAATTTGTTCCATCAGTATTTATTGACTGAATTACTATGGTGATCATAGAGAAAATTGATCACATTTGTATCAGTCTATTTTTGGACAATCTGTTGTTTCCTTGGACATAATTTAAGTCACATTGACAATACCACCTGGTCTTTGATTATTGTAACTTTATAATAAGTCTGGAAGTCAGTTAGCGTAAGTCCTCTAACTTTATGCTTTTTAAAAACTTTTAGGGCCAGGCATGGTGGCTCATGCCTGTAACCCCAGCACTTTGGGAGGCCGAGGCGGGCGGATCACCTGAGGTCAGGAGTTCAAGACCAGCCTGGCCAACATGGTGAAACTCCGTCTCTACTAAAAATACAAAAATTAGCCGGATATGGTGGCACATGCCTGTAGTCCCAGCTACTCGGGAGGCTGAGGCAGGAGAATTGCTTGAACCCGGAAGGCACAGGTTGCAGTGAGCCAAGACCGCGCCATTGCACTCCAGCCTGGGCAACAGAGTGAGACTCCATCTCAAAAAAAGCAAACAAACAAATGAAAACAACTTTTAGCTATTCTATGTCATTTTCTTCTCAAATTCATTTTGGAATCAACTTCTTGATTTCTTTAGATAAACGTGCTAGGTTTTTTATTAGTGAGAGCTAATGTCTTAGCAATATTGAGTCCTGTGGTTCATGACAATGCTATAACTTTCCATTTTAGTTAGCTTCTCTAATTCCTGAAAGCAATTCCTATTTTTGGTATAGAAATCTTACATATTGCTCATTAAGTTTCTCTCTAAGCTTTTAATATTTCTGATTCTATTGTACATAGTAAGAGTGGCTGGGCATGGTGGCTCACACCTGTAATCTCAGCACTTTGGGAGGCTGAGGTGGGTGGATCACCTGAGGTCAGAATTCAAGACCAGCCTGGCCAACGTGGCAAAAACCTGTCTCTACTAAAAGAATACAGGTGGCACACACCTGTAATCCCAGCTACTCAGGAGCTGAGGCAGGAGAACTGCTTGAACCCGGGAGTCGGAGGTTGCAATGAACCATTTCTTTCTTTCTTTCTTTCTTCCTTTCCTTTCCTTTCCTTTCCTTTCCTTTCCTTCCCTTTCCCTTTCCCTTTCCCTTTCCCTTTCCCTTTCCCTTCCTTTCCTTTCCTTTCCTTTCCTTCTTTCTTTTTTTTTTTTTTTTGACAGTGTCTCTCTCTGTCGCCCAGGCTGGAGTGCAGTGGCATGATCTCGGCTCACTGCAACCTCCGACTCCCGGGTTCAAATGATTCTTGTGCTTCAGACTCCTGAGGAGTAGCTGGGATGACAGGTGGGCACCACCATGCCCAGCTAATTTTTGTATTTTTTTAGTAGAGACTGAGTTTCACCATATTGGCCAGGCTGGTCTCGAACTCCTGACCTCAGGTGATCCGCCACAGCCTCCCAAAGTGCTGGGACTACAGGCATGAGCCACTGCCCCCCGACTATTTTTAGTAGTTTTAATTACATATAGTAATTATAATTTTAACCATTAGTAACCTTTTAACAGAGTAAACTAAGAAGTAGATAGTTGTGAATTATCTGCTACATACTAGCATTCTATAACAGATTGGCAAATGTTATGAATACATCATCTTACAACTTTATAGATACATATTTCCTCATAGTACAATTTTTTAGTGTTTAACAGATCCAAAGAGCTTATCCAAAACTCTTATTCCACTTATATTGACCTACACAGATAGTATTTATTATGTTTGGATTGTTCATGAAAATTTTATAATACATTAAACAAAACTAGCCAGCCTCTCAAGTCATTTCCTTGTTAACTGTTTTTATAGCACATACAAGTAAAAGGCAATTAAAGGCAAATCAAGAAAACCTGAAAAGTTAAATACATAGGTTTGTTTGTTTTGTTTTCCTGCTGTGTTTGATGTATATGAAATAATAGATATCAGACAATTCATTTCTACTATATGTTTATTTGTGCATTTTTTTCTTAAGTTGAATTTATAGTTTTTATAGTTTTAAACATAGTAAATATAATAGTAACTTATTTGACTAGTAAAGCCAAGT